>NC_000004.12:139546381-140171381 GCF_000001405.40 Homo sapiens | reverse complement strand
AGGGTTTGAAAGGCAGAGAAAGATAGCCAAAGGAGCTGTCTGCAAACGGACAGCTTTCCCAGATAGCCCCAGAAGGAAGAATCAACAAATTAATGAATCAGACTTCTTTTAATAGTTCTATTATGTTATCAAATCGTGAGTATAAGACCCTATGACTTCATCACAAGGTTTAGCATGCTGGCTGAAAATGTTAACTAAACTTGCATTTTTTTAAAACACTAAAATTTTAACAAGCTCTTGACATTTGGAGGAAAAGAAATCTACAAAGCTCTAAGTTCATCATATACACAAAACCACATTCAGTATCACAAAGATTTTATAAGTCTGGCCTCATCCTCACAGGTAGTTTATTTCTGAATTCTTACTATTTGTTCGTGTATCAGGCAAGCTCACATAATCCTCCAAATAAACCGGTGTGGTAGATCTTATAATCAATATTGCCTCCATGTTATAAACAAAGAAACTAAGATTTACGGAAGTTATATAACTTACCTGAGGTCAGGCAGTTTGTATTAACAGGGCTGGGGATTTGAACCCTAGTTACTGACTGCAGAGTCTAGATCCAAATCACTATGATATATAAGCCCCATTTCATTACAGGTAGAGAGACAGGAAATTTCTATATCTCCAATGCCCAAAATTGTGCGTGACACCTGTGAGTATATAGTAAGTATTTGTTGGATACCTAAATGAATAAATTTACAAAGGTAAAAAGGACGGACTGCATCTTCAAATGGGCTTATAAAGCTCCTACCAAATTTATAACATATGCGTAACCCACGAAGTCATTTCAAATAAGTCTTTGCTGTTACCTTGTTGTTCTCAACTAAATTGTTTCGAAGGTCAAAATGTGAACTGCAGAAGAGTCCACCAAGCTTTCCACTGTCTGTTTACTCTCTGCTGTGCTGTTTAGTCATAACACTGGTAGAGATACTTGATAGTAGGAAATATTTTTATCACTGAGAAGTAAATTTAGGGCATAAGTCTTTTCAATTCTTGCCACTTATTTAGTGTCTCTTAATAAATATGTGAGAAATGCATTCTAATTGGGAGACCTAGCAGTTATGCATGGTGCCTGGAGTCAGCCTGAGCTGGAAGCTAGGCTCCAACTCTTGTCACCTGTGGGACGTTAGTAAAATTATCTCTGCCTCAGTTTCCTCATTCAGAAAGTGTTGTGTGCCCCCTAGGTTGTTGTGGGAACCAAATGAGATAAGTTAAGTACAAGCTGGGCATTGTGCCCAATAAATAGGACATGATCAGTAAATGTTAACTATTATTACATCAAAAGGATTTTGCTTCCTTCAGTGTATAAAGAAAAACTTAATTCATTCATCAGCAAGCAGGTATGAAGTGCCCCTACCCAGCCCCCAGCCCTTACACCAGCCTCTGCTCCATGTGTAGGAAATTGAGAAACAATGCAATTGTCTGCTTTCATGGGCTCAGGTTCTAGAAAGAGAGTTGGAAGATAAATAAAATAAGATGCACTTATGACTGGTGGTGAAAAGGGGCTCAAAGAAGGGTAAGGGAATGTAGGGAGATGTTGGCCAAGAAGGTCTCTGAGGACCACATCTGAAGGAAATGAGGCATGGGCCCTGCAGACATCTGGGAACAGAGCATTTCAAAGGGAGTTCCGGGCATATTAAAAATTTTTTAGGCCAAGTGCAGTGGCTCACGCCTGTGATCCCAGCACTTTGGGAGGCCGAGGCAGGCAGGTCACCTGAGGTCAGGAGTTCAAGACCAGCCTGACCAACATGGAGAAACCCTGTCTCTACTAAAAATACAAAAAAAAAATTAGCTGGGAGTGGTGGCGCATGACTATAATTCCAGCTACTCGGGAGGCTGAGGCAGGAGAATCGCTTGAACCTGGGAGGCAGAGGTTGCAGTGAGCCAAGATCGCGCCATTGCACTCCAGCCTGGGCAACAAGAGCGAAACTCTGTCTCAAAAAACAAAAAACAAAACAAAACAAACAAAGTTTTAAAGGTCCTTGCCTTTTAAGGAAGAGTGAAGGAGGAATTATAGGAGATGGAGCAAAGGAGGGAGAAGGGACAGCCAGATCCTGAAGGAACTTGTACACCACAGTAAGGACTTTGGATTTTACCCTGAATGAGATGGGAACCATTAGTAAGCTTTGAGCAGAGGACGGACATGATCTGATATGTATGAGAAGAGTCACTGAGGCTGCTGTGCTGAAAATTGACTGTATAGGGGCAGGGGTAGTATCAGGGAGACCAGTCAGGACACATTGCATTGGTCCACGTGAGAGATGGCGTAAGTTTAGGCCATGGCGGTAGCAGAAGACAAGATAAGTGGTGGTCAGATTCTGGAAACATTTTAAAGGTAAAGCTGACATGATTTGCTTTTGACTGGATCTTACACATGAGAGAAGGAAGAGTAAAGGTGACCCCAGGGTTTCGTACCAAGGCTTGTAGTCTAGTGTTGTCACTGGAGAAAAAGGATGTGTTAGTCAGGGTTCTCCAGAAAAATAGAACAAATCAAATGAAGAGAGAGACAGAGAATTTATGATAAGGACTTGGTTGAGTGATTATGGAGTCTGTAAATCCCAAGATCTGCAGGGTGAGTTGGCAAGCTGGAGACCCAGGACAGCCAGTGGCATAGTCTCAATCCTAAGGCTGGCGGCCTTAAGACCCAGGGAGAGCCAATGTTTCAGCTCAAGCCCAAGGCAGGAAAAAAACTGGTGTCCCAGTTTGAAGGCAGTCAGGCAGGAGGAATTCCCTCTTACTCAGAAGAGGGTCAGCCTTTCTGTTCTTATCAGGCTGTCAACTGACTGGATGAGGCTCACTCATACTGGGGAGGGCAACCAGCTTTACTCATTCTGTGAATTAAAATGTTCATCTCATCCAAAGACACCCTCACAGAAACACCCATAATGTTTGACCAAATATCTGGGCCCTCCGTGGCCCAGTCACATCGACGCATAAAATTAAGCATCACAGAAAAGGAACAATTTTGGAGAGGAAATTGAAAGTTTTGCTTTGGTCATGTTAATTTGGTTCCATTTATTAGACCTCAAAGGAGACTTGTGGCTAAGCAATTGGGTGTAGAGATCAGTGTCCTGGAGATACGGTATTTTTCTTTTCCCTTGGACATTCCGTATCTAATCCTGATGTGAAATTCCTTATGTTAACATTGACTTTAACTGACTCTGCTTTAGTTCTTAAGATTAAATTGTTAATTTAATGACACTTATTTAGCTATATCACATAACTTATTCCTTAAGACATTGTGACTTCTCACTTTTCTGAATCTTCACTTTTGTTATTTCCTCTTTCTGGATGCCCTCTTCTCATCTGTGCCCCCTGCAAAATACCTATTTAAGATTCATGAGATGGCACCACACCCTCCTTGAATCTTTTCCTAAATAATTTAGGCAAATTTCAGACTACAGACATGGCCATTCTTTCGAAACTCTGTAAAGTCTCCCTCCCTTCCTTTCTTCCTTTCTCTCTCTTTTTCTTTCTTCCTAAAAAAGAGAAAATTGGCCTGGCACAGTGGCTCACGCCTGTAATCTCAGCACTTTGGGAGGCTGAGACAGGTGGATCATGAGGTCAGGAGTTCAAGACCAGCCTGGCCAAGATGGTGAAACGCCACCTCTACTAAAAATACAAAACATTAGCTGGGCATGGTGGCAGGCACCCGTAATCCCAGCTACTCAGGAGGTTGAGGCAGAGAATTGCTTGAACCTGGGAGGCAGAGGTTGTAGTGAGCTGAGATCGCGTCACTGCACTCCAGCCTGGGTGACAGAGGGAGACTCCATCTAAAAAAAAAATAAATAAATAAAGAACAGAAAATGTTCAGTTTCTCTCTTTATTACATATACGTATACAATTAAAGCAATACAGAAAAGAATAAGGTAGTAAAAATCCCAGAGTGGTGATGTTTAACTAGCTTTCTGAAGTTTATTAGATTCATACACACAAAGTTACATGATTTCATAAAATGAAAGTATTTTTGTAACTTGTTTTCTAACCTGCTTTTAATTTTTTGTTTAAAAAAAGTATTTATGCCGGGCATGGTGGCTCACGCTGTAATCCCAGCACTTTGGGAGGCCGAGGCGGGCGGATCATGAGGTCAGGAGATCGAGACCATCCTGGCTAACACGGTGAAACCCCGTCTCTACTAAAAATATAAAAAATTAGCATGGCGTGGTGGCGGGCACCTGTAGTCCCAGCTACTCGGGAGGCTGAGGAAGGAGAATGGCGTGAATCCGGGAGGCGGAGCTTGCAGTGAACCGAGATCACGCCACTGCACTCCAGCCTGGGCAACAGAGCAAGACTCCGTCTCAAAAAAAAAAAAAAAGGATTTATTTATTTTTAAATTGACAAAAATTGAATGTATTTATGGTGTACAATCTGATGCTTGAATATATGTATACATTACAGAATGATTCAATCAAGCTAATTAACATATGCATTGCCTCACATGCTTATTATTTTTTTGTGGTGAGAACACTTAAAATCTACTCTTGTAGCAATTTTCAAGTAAGAATACATTGTTATTAACTGTAATCACTGTATTGTCCAAGTGAACGCTTGAGTTCATTTCTTCTAACTGAAATTTTTTATCCTTTGACCAATATCCTCTTTTGTCCCACCCTGCCAGACCCTGTTAATTACATTTTTCTCTCTGTCTCAGTGAGTTTGATTTTTGAGATTCCACATGTCAGTGAGATCATGTGGTATTTGCCTTTCTGTATCTGGCTTATTTCATTTAACATGATGTCTTCCAGGTTGATGAATGATATTCCATTGTGTATATACTGTATACAATATTTTCTTTATTCATCTGTTCATGGACATAAGTTGCTTCCATATCTTGGCTAATGTGAGTAATGCTGCAGTGAACATGGAAATGCAAATATTTCTTTGACAAACTGATTTCATTTCCTTTGGATATATACCTAATGGTGGGATTGCTGGGTCATATGGTAGTTCTATTTTTATTTTTTTGAAGAACCGCCACATTGTTTTCCATAATGATGTACTAATTTACATTCTTACCAATAGCATATAACTTGCTTTTTAATATTAACAATATGCAATGGAGATCTTTTGATGTCAATCAATATAACTGAATATGTCTTAACAGTTGCTTATTTAAATGTTTATATACAATACATTTTATTTATCCAGGCTTCCAATAATGACACTCAGTTATTTTCACTAGTTTTACTATGACAAGTAATACAATGATTCGTGTGCAGCCTTATGTGTGTCTTTTAAATTGTTGCATGTATTTCATTATTTGGATACAATACAATTCATTTAGCCAATCTCTAATATATTATATTATTTGGATATAATACAATTTATTTAGCCAATCCCGAACATATTTCATTATTTGGATATAATACAATTTATTTAAACAATCCCTAATATAGTTCATTATTTGGATATAATACAATTTATTTAACCAACCCCTAAATGATGGCTATCTCAATCACACTGTGTGTGTGCACATGCACGCGTGCGCGCGCGCACACACACACACACACACACACACACACACACACAGAAAGAATAGAAGCAAGGGCCAGGCGCGGTGGCTCATGCCTGTAATCCCAGCACTTTGGGAGGCCAAGGTGGGTGGATCATGAGGTCAGGAGTTTGAGACCATCCTGGCTAACATGGTGAAACCCCATCTCTACTAAAAATACAAAAATCAGCCGGACATAGTGGCAGCGCCTGTAATCGTAGCTACTCGGGAGCCCTGAGGAGGCAGGAGAATAGCTTGAACCCTGGAGGCAAAGTTTGCAGTGAACTGAGATTGCGCCACTTCACTCCAGCCTGGGTGACAGAGCAAGACTTTGTCTCGAAACAAACAAAAAAAAGAAGAAGAATAGAAGGAAGGAAATAAGGAAAATGTAGAAAAATGGAGAATTATTGGCTTATATAATGAAAATTCTATGGCACCTGGCTTTAGGCTCAGCTGGATCCAGGGCAGAAACTGTGCCAAGAGGACTATCTCCATTTCTTGGTTCTGTTTTCTAGTGGGTTGGCTTTATTTTCAAGCAGACTTTTTCCTGTTATATCAAAGCTGGCAACTTTAAGCTTCTATGATCCTTAACTTCTGGATTCCTAGAGGAGGAAATGTCCTTTTTTTTTTTGGTAATTCCAACAAAATTCCCAGAGGGAGCTTTAATTGGACCAGCCTGAGTCACTGTCTTTGAATCAATCACTATGGTAAAGACAGACATGGCCTGGGTGAGCAACATGCCCCTGGGACCAGGGAATGTTCACCTTCCCTAGCCTTCTGCAAATTTCATGGGCTGAGAAGGTAGGTAGGATGGTTTTGAAAAAATATAAATGTGTTCTGTTACCAGAAGATACAGGCATGCTTATCGTGAAGCCAAAACCATCAATACTGAGGATGGATTAACGTAGTTAAACACTAGTGCTTCTGTGGGGAAGTTTTTAATGATTACAAATCTATAACATCTACCTGTAAGAAGGTGTTCATGGTTTGGAACTTCATTTTAACCAACATATGTTACACTGCTTCTCCATTAAGTTGGAGAAGATTCCTGCCCCTTGCCAATCAGACTTGTCTTCTTGCCTTTTTGCAACATCTGTTTGTTACTCATCCAATGGATGGCGAACAGCGTTGGTTCAATGAACTTTCACTGCCCTGGCCAGCTATTACTTCATCCCTGGGCCAGGTCTGTTCCTTAATGGTAGCTGAGGTATTATCGACTTTTTACTTCTTCTATGATGAAGATTCGTTGTTTTATTTAGTTTTGTTTAGTTTTTTTTAAATTATTATTATTTGAGATGGAGTCTCGCTCTGACGCCCAGGCTGGAGTGCAGTAGCAGCACTTCGGCTCACTACAACCTCCGCCTCCCGGGTTCAAGTGATTCTTCTGCCTCAGCCTCCTGAGTAGCTGGGACTACAAGCGTGTGCCACCATACCCGGCTAATTTTTTGTATTTTTAGTAGAGACAGGGTTTCACTGTGTTAGCCAGTATGTTCTCCATCCTTGATCTCCTGACCTCGTGATCCACCTGCCTCGGCCTCCCAAAGTGCTGGGATTAGGCATGAACCACTGTGCCTGGCAGTTTCTTTCTTTCTTTTTTTTTTCTTTTTTTTTTTTTAATTAAAGACAGAAGCTCACTCTGTTATCCAGGCTGAAGTACACTGGGGCAAGATCACAGCTTGCTGAAACCTTGAACTCCTGGGCTCAAGCTATCCTCCCTCCTCAGCCTCCCACGTAGCTGGGACTACAGACGTGAGCTGCCATGCTAGGCCTGAAGATTTTCTTTAAAAATAATTAATAGGAAAGGATGCAGGAGAAATGAAGAACATTCAGCCCAAAGCTGAGATCTTTGTTTTGAATCTCATGGGAACTAATAATACTCTAATTCTAAAATTGTTATATTTCACACTAGATTATTTTCTGGCATCAAAAGCCAGTGGGTAATCAGAAGCCTGACCGGACCAAAATATGTGGATGTCCTGGGTAGGTTAACCATTTGGTGGACCTGACACCACTTTGGCATTAATACAATGGAGAAACTAAGGATAATGGAAGAGCCTAGGTCACTGGTAGTTCTCTTTTCTCCATAGTCTTAAACTTGCATATCCCACTCAGTAAGATAAAAACCCTATATCAGGACACACCCTTCTTAGTAACCACCTACCTTTGCATGGTTCTAGGACCTCTCAAACTCTACCCCACCACTGCACCAGACAGATGATCCTAGTGTTTCTTCTGAACAGGGCGAGCCCTCTCCTGTATCATCCCCCCTTGATCCACCCTCTGCAGTTATAGTAAATTGTTTTTTCCATCTCCTCACACGTGTAGTTGGGCCATCCTTAAACCTTTCCAGCTCAGAGGAATGACAAGAAATTTGAGGGACCTGACGGTGCACAAGTGGATAAGTAAGCTTTGGAGCCACTGTGAACCACAGTTTGGTGACATTGAGAAGAGAAGTGGAAGAAGCAATCGTACGTGTGTGATGGAGAATGGGGGCTGGGCCAGGGAGGGAGAGAGAGTTTGCCAGCAAAAACAAGATGACTCACAGAACTATTTTCAAACTCTTTTTAGCTGTGGAACCCTTTATTCAAAGCATATCTTGCTCCAATTTGAAAAAGAAGGCAGCTAAGTTGAAGAGGAGCCAAGACCCAGCCCACTTCCCCCTTCCCATACAACAGCCCCTGAAACCCCTCGGAGGGAATTCTTAGGGCTCAACACGGCTGAAAAACTGCTGACCTCGACTGTCTACTGGAGTAAAAGTGAAGAATGCAGTTTGTTCAGAGACAAACTGATGTTGCCTAGGCTTTGTTCCAATGTTAGAAAGGGAGGGCACAGCTAAGGAACAGACAATAGAAACCATTAAACAGATAGATACCTCAGGGCGATTTTTCATCAGACAATGAAAGTGATGCTTTGTGTTCCTCAACATTGTATCTTATTTTTACTTTCAAATAACATGTACAGGATGGGAAACCTTAGTGTTAATATTGGGGGTAATTCTCACTAAGCTTAGGTTAATTTTTTGTTTTCAAATTCTGTTTTTTCTAGTTTCGTTTTAACTGTGACAAACCTTTTCCTAGTCTCCCTTAAACTCTGCCCAATCAAGAACTGACTATACTTCCCTCTTGCTAGCCTATTGTATTATGTACATTTCCTTCTCACCACCAGATTGTTAAGCTCCTTTAGGGAGGAAAATGTTTCTTTTCATGTATGTATCCCTCGCACCTACACAGGACTTGTCAATTGTTAATAAATATTTGCTAAATAAATGGCACTAGCAGAGACAGAATAGCTACGAGGCCCCTACAACAACAACCACCCCACAAATGGGAATTCAGACTGTGTGGTGGTAGGTAAGAAAGAGGCTTTGGACCTGATTTGAATGCAAGTTATGTAAACTCTTTAAGCCTTTGTTTTCTCATCAATAAAACGGGAGTAATAACGTGGTGGAGTTACATCTTTCTCAGGCCTATAGCTGTAATTACCTTAAAATCCCTATGCCTTAGCTTGAACTGCTATAACAAAAATACCATAGACTATTAGCTGGGTGTGGTGGTGCGCGCCTGTGGTCCAAGCTACTCAGGAGGCTGAGGTGGGAGGACTGCTTGTGCCCAGGAGGTCTGCAGTGAGCTCTGATTGTGCCACTGCACTCCAGCCTCAGCAACAAAGTGAGACCCTGTATCAAAACCAACCAACCAAACACTATAGACTAGAACGCTTAAATAACAGAAATTTATCCCATACAGTTCTGAAGGCTGGGAAGTCCAAGATCAAGGTGTGAGGCTGATTTGGTTGCTGGTGAAAGCTGTCTTTCTGGTTTGCAAGTGGACAGCTTCTTGCTGTGCCCTCACATGGCAGAAAGTGGGGGTGGGGTGGGGGGGAAGCAACCTCTCTCCTGTCTTTTGTTATAAGGGCACTAATCTCATTATGAGGGCCCCACCCTCATGACCAAATCACCTCTCCCAAGTCCCACATCCAAATACTATCACACTAGGGATTAGGGTTTCAGTGTATAAATTTTGGCGGGGGACACAAACTCAGTCCATAGCACTTTCTATCAACCATGAGGTAAAGTAAATCTAGTATACAGAGTTTGGCACATTCCTCTATAGACTCTTAGCAACTCCAAAATCTATAGCCCTCATCCCACCATTTATTTATTTATTTAGCTATTTATTTATTTGAGACAGGGTCTCACTCTTGTCACCCAGGCTGGAGTGAAGTGGCATGATCACAGCTCACTGCAGTCTCAACCTCCCTGGCTCAAGCAATCCTCCCACCTTGGCCCCACACGTAGCTGGGACAACAAGCCTGCCACCACACCTGGCTAATTAAAAAATATTTTTAGAGATGTGGTCTCACTGTATTGCCCTGTCTGGTCTCAAACTTTTGGGCTCAAGTGATCCTCCCACCTTGGCCTCCCAAAGTGCTGGGATTACAGCCACCACCTCCAGCCTCTCCATTGTTTATTTGAGTATGGATGAAGTAGATGGACCCATTGAATTAAAAATAAACATATGTTTATTGCAGCACTATTTACAATAGCAAAGACTTGGAACCAACCCAAATGCCCATCAATGATAGACTGGATAAAGAAAATGTGGCACGTATACACCATGGAATACTATGCAGCCATAAAAAGAATGAGTTCATGTCCTTTGTAGGGACATGGATGAAGCTGGAAACCATCATTCTCAGCAAACTAACACAGGAACAGAAAACCAAACACCACACATTCTCACTCATAGGTGGGAGTTGAACAATGAGAACACATGGACACAAGGAGGGGAACATCACACACCGCGGCCTGTCGGCGGGTGGGGGGCAAGGGGAAGGAGAACATTAGGACAAGTACCTAATGAATGCGGTGCTTAAAACCTAGATGATGGGTTGATAGGTGCAGCAAACCACCATGGCACATGTGTAACAAACCTGCACGTTCTGCACATGTATCCCAGAACTTAAAATAAAAGAAAAAAAAAGAGAGAAAACACACACACACACACACACACACACACGCACACACACAGTAAAAATAGTTTTAAGGCTTAAAAAAAAATATATATATATATATATACACACTTTTTTCTTTTTCTTTTTTATTTAACAAACCAGAAGGCATAGTTTAATTCATGTGTGTTAAAAGCACATTTGGGCCAGCTCTGGTTTCCATACATCCTAGGGTTGTTGGGAATATCACATTGGTTAATATATGGAAAATGCGTTGGCCAGTAGCCGACACCTGGCTGTGATGTACAACAAATATGAGCCCCTTCCCCACCTGACAGACAGCAGAGTGCAGTTGGGGTGAGGGGATCTAAGAGGCTGGTTCTCCTCCGCCTCTCTTCCACCTCTGCACCTCTCCAAGTCAATTTATAGAATACCCCAAACCCAGAGACACAGCATTTTGAAATATAAATCATATCGCACTATGATTTTCTTATATTGCATTCAAACAGTTTCTATAGGATGGCAGTGCAGTGCTGCTCTCCTCGGGGGCTACTGCCTGGCACTGGCCACACACAAGTCCCTTTCTGATTTTGTAACTTTGGTAAATTGTGTGCTACCATTCCCTCTTTCATTTACGTGTCCCCCACACACAGTTACAGAGCTCTGTCATGGACAGCCCTGTGTTAGGTCCCAAGACCAATAAAACACAAGTGAGACATAGACAGGTAAATAAACAGTTATAATAGAGTGTAATAATATAAGTACAAAGACAGAAAAATGCCCACTATTCTCAGAGCACTGAGAGGGTGGCTAGCTCAGAATGGGGGCTGAGGGAAGCATGGCCAGAGACAGCTTTCTACAAAAATGACTCCTCAGCTATAACCCCTCTGCAGCAACAAACTTCTGTTAAAATGAGATCTGGGTAAAACACAGTAATTTTATTTTATTTTATTTTATTTTTTTGAGACGTAGTCTCACTCTGTCACCCAGGCTGGAGTATAGTGGCGCCATCTTGGGTCACTGCAACTTCCGCCTCCCAGGCTCAAGTGATTCTCCTGCCCCAGTCTCTCGAGTAGCTGGGATTACAGGCGTGCGTCACCATGGCTGGCTAATTTTTATATTTTTAGTAGAGACCGGGTTTCACCATGTTGGCCAGGCTGGTCTTGAACTCCAGACCTCAGGTGATCCGCCTGCCTCGGCCTTCCAAGGTGCTGGGATTACAGGAGTGAGCCATCGCCCCCAGCCAAAACACAGTACTTTTAGTTTTGTAAAAAGGTAGAATCTTAAAATGAGAAGGAACCTTAGGAACTTGGTTACATATTTCTTCCATAGCTTGGTTCAAATTGGGTCTCTGCCATTTTTAAGCTGTGTGGTTTGGGGAAAGTTCTTTAAGTTTTCTGTGCCTCAGTTTCTATATCAGTGAAATAGAGGATAACAATAGAACCTGGAATAGAGCAAATTTTCAATGACTGTTGGCCATCACAATTAATTATTTCTAACGTTAACAGTTTAGCTGATTATGGGCCTTCAATAAATTTAAAAATTCATAAATATTTTCTTTCAGAAGTCTTCAACTTTGTATATGAAAGCCAGACATTGTTCAAGTCAGATGCCTTATTATATTATTTAACCGTGAGAGTAGAAATATATATGAAACAGAATGAGAGACTTTTAAAAAATTTCTCTGCCATGGACTTTAGATAACCTTTCCCCTAATAACCATGAAACTATTATATACATATTAAAATACATGAATAAGAAAATAAATCCTATTAATTCATACTCCTCTCAAAATTTATGACATGGTCTAGGACTTAGTAAACCCCTTCTTAATAAAAAATGAGAATTAACAACATACACAGAATCTTGCGAGAGGTATTTAAATACTTAAGAAAGCAAATTTTTGAAACACCCCTAGTTCATGAGGCATGTCACCTATATGCAATTGCTTCATAGGTAAAAGGAGATCATTAAAATAGCTCCAAGAGGCCAGTTTTGTTAGGCTAGACAGAGTGCATGCTTCAAATGTAATGAAAATCTATAGCTTTAAAGATATTACATAATCTTTTCAGTTAAATAAGGCCAACCTTTTCTCCTAATAAGGAGGTTTTATTACACAGGGATAGATATTAATATAACATACTCAAAGTACTAATGCTGAAAAAGGCTAGTCAAATTCACCCTTTTGGGATTTTGCCTTTGTGTTGCTACTTCCTCAATATTTAAAGGTCAGAATTCACACACCCAGCTGAGGTTAGGAAGGCCCGGGAGATCTGGACTAGTGATTCTGGTAGAGCAGATGGCAAGGGCCTTGTGGTCGTTGACTTAGGCTACGTGCCCAGGCAATTGTTGTAAATTTAAGTGGATTTAGAACTGCCTTCAGTTTTCACTCTCTCCTATACCACAGAGCTTTCTAGAGTGTGTTCTATTCTGTGGGACATAACAGGATTTTGGCAATGTTAGGTTAAACAAAGTTAAACATGCTTTGCTTCAAGATTTCTTGTGACCTTCAATGTGGTAATAACTCTTTGGAGAGATGCAGTACAGAACATGTCCTAAACTTACTTAGCTCAGAAGCCTTTCTGGTAAAGCATCTTACGGAACCAAGTTTTTCAGACACACTTCTGAAAACGCTATAATAATACATCCACTGCATTGCCAAAGTAAACAGTGTAAATCAGCTTAAGTCCTTTTAATGGCAGCCATTGTCCCAAGGATATAGTCTAAACTGGATGGCCTTGAACAATCCAGGTCCTGCTTGTCTCCCCAGCCTCCATCTCATTTCTCATCACACTCTTTCACACTCACAATCGTGTGAGAAGGAACTACCACTGGATTTTTTTGGAGACGGATTCTTAGCTCCTCCAAGCATGCACTCTTTTGCTTGTTCCTACACCCACTCCATATTAATTCTATTATGGCATATACTGCCCTGATTCTAGTTGGCCGTCATTGAGGTTGGGACTGTGTTCTATACACTGTTATTATGCTGTTCACCCAGTGCCTACCACAGTGTGTGGCACACAGAAGGCCATAAATATATTCATGGAATTATTGAAATGATACCTATTGCTAGACAGCTGAGGGCACATCCCCCGGCTGCTAGTAATTTAGGAGTGCCTGGGCCCCACTTTGGAAAGATATAAAGGTTTGGTTGCTCATATGTGGGCAGCAGAGGGTTCCTATTCTTCTTTAGCCACAAGATACTCTTTTATGAAAGCAGATCTATTGATCCATAGTAAGAGGGAAACAGAGGGGGCACATAGACTGGAATTTCCGCACAAAGGTCTCTTTCTTGTCACTGGGACACTAGGCCTTCTCAGGTGAATATAGGAAGATGACACAGACTTGGTGTAAAGGAAATGGAACCTGGTTGAACTCCTCAGAACTGCCAACTTTGGCTCAGAGCCAGGACAACAGGATAACCTGGTGTAGCTACTTATTCATCAAGCCCTTCTTTCCTTGGCATCCAGAGAGATATCATCACAGTTGGGGATGCAGTCATAGTAATTTCTTTCTCATCACTGCTATGGCATCTCAATTATTATTATTATTATTTTTTGTCATTCAAGAACAATAGCATTGATGCTGTGTCTACCGCTTTCATCCTGAAGTTTTGCCTTGTAGCAGGCTCACAGAAAAGACAAAGATGGTCATGCTGTCAGTGTTGTGCTGTGAGAAGGGACTAAAATTGCTTCTCCAGAACTTGGATTTCTCTATGACTTTCAAGGAGTTCTTTAGGAAGGTGACCAACAAAGCTGGAAACCTTGCAGGACCATATCATGGGATCTGGAAGTAGCCAGCATAAAGGTCTCTGTTTCTTCTAAGGTCACTGGAGTAGATCAACATCTCTAATTCAGGGTGACTGGCATATGTTGCTCAAGATGCAAGCCTTGCTTGCTTCTTGCTTCTTTCTTCTAATCTTCCTGCACAATGAGAATGGGGTTTCTGACCTCTGGTACGTCACAGCAGAGTCCTGCACAGGTCGGTTTCTCAAAGATTCTTCCCCTCTGGCCATCACACAGTTTCACAGTTCTTCCTTTCCCCACATCTGGGGCATGGAGCTTGTGGCTGCCACTCCCATTTTGGAGAGATGAAAGACGGGTGCCTGTGTGTGCGCTTGTTTGTGTGTACACATGTAACAGTTTTTCTTTTGGGTATAGCCCATTCATGCACTAAAATCAGGCAGCAAAGTATACTGTGGTTGTGCAAGAAGAGCTTCATTTGTCATTGGGGAACTCTGTGGTAAAACCACAAAGTGTGCTGTCCCACCTGCTGGTTCCCCAAAGGGAAGGATGCAAATTCTTGTGTCTTTTTGGTTTCCCTTCATGGTAGGAGAGGTAAACAGCTTGAAGGGAATACATGGTGCTGCTATTGTTGTCATTTTTTCCCCAGAATGAGAAACTCTCAATGAATAATTAAATTCTGAGTCACAGGAAAAAGCTAAAATGAGAACCCAAGTCTCAAAAACTAAAGACCCAGTGCTTAAGACCCTCAAATTTGTTGCCTCTGTAAATCAAACTGCAGTCTTTTGTGGGTGATGGAGGCAAGTGAAGGAGGAGGGATAACAATTAAACTACAGTGTGGCCAGGCGCAGTGGCTCACACCTGTAATCCCAGCACTTTGGGAGGCCAAGGCAGGTGGATCATCTGAGGTCAGTAGTTTCAGACCAGCCTGGCCAACATGGTGAAACCCCGTCTCTACTAAAAATACAAAAATTAGCCAGGTGTGGTGGCGTGCACCTGTAATCCCAGCTACCCAGGAGGCTCAGCCAGGAGAATCACTGGAACCCGGGAGGCAGAGGTTGCAGTGAGCCAAGATGGCGCCACTGCACTCCAGCCTAGGCAACAGAGCAAGACTCTGTCTCAAAAAAAAAAAAAAAAAAAAGAATTAAACTACGGTGAAGAGAGAGCAAAGCGAATGCAGAGTCATAGCTTCCCCTCTGTGGCGAAGCCATGTGTTTCCTGAGTTAATAGAGATATTATTTAGTGAATATGTGAAAAAGATAAAGGCCACTTTGCTACCTCTTTTTCTAATTTCTTAAAATTCTCTACATATTTTCAGAATCTGAACGGGCTCTTTTGCTACAGACGTAGTCCAGTTAAATTTTCTGACTGAGACTTGAAGAAGGGCAGTTTGATACAGAAATTTGTATATTAACTAAATAGCCTTCAGAAAAAGTGTGGCAACTTCAATGAAATATACACTCTCTTAAGTTGGTTTTACTGCTTAGAAGTAGCCTCACACCGTATTAAATATTTTGCTGCCCATTTTGCCATATATCCAGTGAATATTAAAAATATCGTTCACTATATAGAACTGATTAATTGAAGAAAAATATAGCTTCTTATCGCTGACATTATGAGGTTAGAAATAGCATCCTGTGCTAATCTGCAATGCCAAGAAATGAAGATGGTTTAAATCAGATCTCATGACTAATGCATAAGATCCAAAGTTCTTTTATTCCTGGCTATTTTAGAAAACTGGGGTGTATTTTTACCCTAAAAACTAATTCTTAAGATTTATTGAAATAATACAAAATGACTTATAATTAACATCTCACAATCAAGATTTATAGTTTACTGATTATTAGAGAAATAATAATTTCTCCATCTTAATTTTTAAAAATATGTATATGCAATGGTTTAAGTCCATATTCAAGAATATTTGATCCTTAGTTGTTATTTTTGTTTTTAGATAATATCGGGAAAGATAATGTGCTTTAATAAAATGGAAAGTTTAGATTGATTTCTGCAGTTGCTAGTCCATTTTAATTGTACTTATTGTGAATTCATTGAAATGGAAAGAAATATATCCAGCAATAAAGTAGGCCTGTTATTTTTGCTTGTTTTTGTTTTGGTCATGACAAACTGTGAAATGCTGTGTTTTTTCTATAGTTCTAGTCTATGAAATCTGCAATCTTTCCACTTGATTTACGAAGGACCTTAATTACTGCTGTCATTAGCACCTAGTGTTCAAAACAGTCTGTTTAAATGTACTGTTAGTCTCACCTCCAAGTCCCTGCTTGCTTTATTTTTTTCCAAGGGTAAGTAAAACAATAATTGACTTAGTAACAACAATCATTATGTACAGTGAGTTAAATATTACACATTTTTGATGCCTATTTCTATTTATTTAGAATTTGGTATTTGTGTGTTCAGTCTGGCCTAGACTTGGAACAAGTGTCCGTAAGTAGCGCTGTTACTAGCGCAGACTTATTACCTGGGTTTTAAAAACAAGTCACTCATTTGCCTTTTTCTTTCCACATGGATAGGGATGACAGACAACTGCTGTAAAGCTTCAATGTTTCTGCCTGGTCATGCACAGTTCTGCAATATAATGCATAAATGTATAACAACAACTTGGGATCGCTTGATACTTTCCTTGGAATAAGGAAACCCTACCAGGCGCGTCCCCGCGCACGCGCGCGCGCATACACAGACACACACACTCACACACGCTCTCACGCACACACACAGGTCAAAAGTTGATTTATTTCTGAGATCCCCCCAGAATCTTTCTTCTCTCCGTCGCCGACGGCTCTGGGCTTCTCGGCGGGGCGGTAGTGTGGTTGGGGGCGTAGGAGGGGCGCCGGGCGCCGAGGCGACGGAGACGGGAGCCGGGTGCTGGTGCGTGCCGCGCCCGCTCCTGCCGGGTGAGAGTCCGGGCCGGGTTTTGCGCCGTGTCCGCGGGCCTGTCTCACGGCCTCCAGCCGCCGCCGCTGCCGTGTTTACTGAGCTCGCGCGTCCTGATATCACTCCGCTGGCATGGAGGAGGAGGAGGAGGTGGAGGAGCGAGAGGAGGAGGAGGAGGCGGCGGCGGCGGCGGCGGCGAGCAGTTGATCATTGTGATGGTGGCAGGAGCAGCGGCGGCAGCGGCAGCCCAGCCGAGCGTTAGGTGCTGCTCTCTGCGCGGCGTTTTGCAAAGGACTTCACCGATCTACTTTTGCAGTCGCCTCGGACTGTCCATGTGTTTACTTCCCCCAGCCCGAGGATTCGATATCTAGGTTCCTGTGAAATGCAACTGAGCAGCCAAAGTACTTTGAGAACACGGGGCGGCATAAACACCAAAACTTTTTTGTGGAAGGAAAATGCAATAAGCAAGCTTGCCGTTTTCCGATGCGGTGTGGAGTGAGTGTGTGTCGCGCGTGTCCGCACTGGAGGCATATGCTTGTGTGTGTACATGGGGTGTGTTTTTCGGTATGTAGGGAGAAAATGCTTGCCAACCACCGGAAATCTCCTGGAATTTATTAGAAAATAATGGATTATAAAAAGAAGGCAAGCAAGGAGCGGATCTCCCCTTGAGTTGCAACCCGATTTGCTGCTGGCTCAGTTTGTTGTGATTCTTTTTGTTGATAGGTGTCTGATGGTATTCCGATAACGTTCCCCCCTTTTCTTCCCCTTGAGCTTTTACAGTTTAAAAAAAGGAAACAAAAACCACCCCAAAATCTCCCCCCCCGTTTTTTTCGCCCCGTCGGGATCGCCGTTTCCATCCATGTGCTTGCGTCTCCCCCGCGTTCCACTTAAACTATTTTAATCCTTGGACCCAAGGAGGAGGCTGATAGGGGGGTGGATAAAAAAAGTTCTTCCAAAATAGTGTGCCCGGGGAGCAGGATGGGGGATTTCGCAGCCCCCGCTGCTGCCGCGAATGGCAGTAGTATTTGCATCAACAGTAGCCTGAACAGCAGCCTCGGCGGGGCCGGGATCGGTGTGAATAATACTCCCAATAGTACTCCCGCTGCTCCGAGTAGCAATCACCCGGCAGCCGGTGGATGCGGCGGCTCCGGGGGCCCCGGCGGCGGTTCGGCGGCCGTTCCCAAGCACAGCACCGTGGTGGAGCGGCTCCGCCAGCGCATCGAGGGCTGCCGTCGGCACCACGTCAACTGCGAGAACAGGTACCAGCAGGCTCAGGTGGAGCAGCTGGAGCTGGAGCGCCGGGACACCGTGAGCCTCTACCAGCGGACCCTGGAGCAGAGGGCCAAGAAATCGGGCGCCGGCACCGGCAAACAGCAGCACCCGAGCAAACCCCAGCAAGATGCGGAGGCTGCCTCGGCGGAGCAGAGGAACCACACGCTGATCATGGTGAGGGCGCACGGGCAGCGGGCTTGCGGCGCGCGTTGGGGGTGGTGGTGGTGGTGGGGGGCGCGTGGAGCTTCTTACATGGGGGTACAAGGGTCTGATTTGCACGGTGGGTGAGGTGGGCTGAAGCCTAAGGGTTAACGTCAACTTTTCTTAGGGAAAAAGCTGCCGTCGTCGCTACCTGTTAATCTGTCAGGGTTGTCAGATTTGGGGAGGAGGGGGCGAGAGGGGAGAAGCCAGTCACGACTGCGAGGGGCGGAGGGAGCCTAGAGGAGCGTCGGAGTGAGGTGCTGGAAAAGTTTCCCCCCTTCCCTTTCTTAAGATACCGATTTGAAAGAGTGAACCCCTGAGTTGAAACCTTGCTCCTCCTCTTCGCCGCTCCCCACCCCACCTCTAGCCGCGCCGCCTCGCCTCCCCAGACCCGTCCCCCTACGCCCACCCCTCTCAGCACATCCGCCGGGTGCGTGGAAATATTGATGCTGTCGCAGGTTCTGGGCGGGCACCAGGCCCTCAACCCCTAGGGGGGAAGCGGGGAAGGAGAGCCTCTCGCCTCCTCTCCCCAGCTCACCCCCTTTGGGCTGAGAAAGTCTGAGAGTTTTGTGAATGAACTTTGAAGTGGGTGAGAAACGAGCGAGGGTGGCTGCGCGCGGGGGTGCTCGCGGGAGCGCGCGCGGATGCGGGGCGCGGGTGCGCTCCGCTCTTTGCTCGCGACTCGGGGCTAGCCCGGCAGGTGGAGCGGCTGGGAGGGTTAAGAGGGGAGCGGCCTGGAGGGGGCGGGAGGGGAAAGCAATACCCAGGGTTTGCGCCAAGAGGCCCCACCACACAACTTCGCTTGGGATTCTTTCCTTTTTTCCTTTTAAACTTGCGTGCACGGAGTCTTTCTCCGCTTGGCGCCCCCTGCCCCGCTGCCCGCCAACTTTGGGGGCCTGCTTAATAAGCCCAGAGCAATGGAAGGTAGCAGGGAGGTAAAAGAGGCTTAAATGGCTGGGTGGGCGGGTTCGAGGTAGGATGAGCAGCCAATGGCTTAACTTCTCCAGGAGGAAGGGGCAGTTCCCACCCCCCAAGCCGGAGGCTAGAATCCTTTCTCTTATCTCCCCTCTCCGGTTCTTTTGCTTTCCTTTCTGGGTGAGGGGAGGCCGGAAGCTTGGGAAAGGTGTGTGCCCCCCCCCCCCGCACCGCGCCGCCCGGGTGCTGGGTGGGCCAGGCGACGGGAATCCTGGAGCGTGCCGGGGCCGCGCGCCTTCGCCTGTTTCCCGTGCAGACCGCCCAGCGATCGGCGGCGCAGAGCCCGGCAGGGGCGGCCCTCCCGTCGTGCGGTTTAGAAATCGCACACGTTCCCGGTCTGTGAGTCCCCGGCGCCGGGGTGGTGCCAGTGCTGCCGTGGGCTTTCGCCGGGGGCTCGGGCCGGCGCTCGGTGACAAAGAGTCGGCTTGGGGGAGGGGAGGCGACGCCGCAGTGCTCGCTCCCCACGTCCCCCCACCCCGCACGTGAAGAGGAACAATTTGTTTATCTTGGGCTTCAAGAATCCTTCCCTCCTCCCAGTTCTCCGGGGGCGCTCAACCCCTCCTCCCTCCCCTCCCAGGTCGGCGCGATCCTGCCCAGTCCCGCCGGCAGCACCTTCCCTCCTCCTCTTCCTCCTCCCCCTCCCCTTCCTCCTCCCTTCCTCCTCCTCCAGCCACTCTTGCCCGCCTTCTTCCTCCCTTTTGGAACGTGGCCGTGGGGGAGGGAGCGGGAGGCGCTTTGTCCGCCTCGCGGCCCAGCTCAGACCCCGGGGCCGCTGGGCTGGGAGGGGTGCTGCGCCCCGTGGCCCTGCCCGCTTCATCGCGGCTGTCCCCGCCCCGCCGCGCCCCCCATGCCCCCGCGTCCCTCCTCTCCGCTCCCCCTGCGGCTGAGCCTGCCCCGAGCGCGAAGAAGGGGCCGTCTCGGTTGGTTTTGAGGAAGAACGACAGTTCGAGTCGGGGGAGGTTCTCGCTTTACAAACAGGAAACCGAAAACCACTGACACACTGTAGTTTTTCTGATTGTAGCCGGAGGCGGGGCCGGTCCCGCATCTCGACTGTAGCTCCGGTCCCTTTCTCCAACCTATTTCTCTCCCAGCCCCCGCCCCCCTAGCGCCCTTCCACGGAGGAGGAGATTCACTTTGTGAACCTGAGACTGAGAATTTAAGAGGCACTGAAGGTTTCATGCCTGCCCACCCCGCGTCCTCTTTTCGTGTATTTGTACACCCCACGCGCATGGATTGCGGAGAAATGGGCTCCTTTCGGGAGGCTCCAAAATTCCCGTGCCACAGAATCTCTCACAACCTTTGGGGATCAAGGACTGCTGTGGCGTTTACCTCGCCAGCTGGGGGACCCTGGAACAAAAGCCAGTGCCGTTCCCAGTGCCGGGTCTCTGGACACGGCAAGATGAGTAGAGTTTGCGACCAGAAACTTTCGGTGTTTGGGTTGTGTTCTCTGGTTTCCGCCCTGGTGGAGGGAGGGCTCGGGTGCGCGCGCCTGGTTTGTGATACACTCGCAGGTGGAAGCAAGCCCAGCCTCCTGACCTTACTGGGAAGAAGACAGCAAGCCCAAGCCACAGCTTACTTTTGAAAATAGAAAGATAATGCTTGCTTCAATAGACAGAGACATCAGCTGTAGATTTCATAGTGAATCCCAGTTTAGCAAATTAGCAACAAATAGACTTGAAAGATGACTGCGTGAAAATAAAATTTTCTGTCATTTTATGACAATGATTTAGCCTGTTGATTAGACTTACGCACTAATAAATGCCAGGGCTGTGTACAGAATAGGAGTGTATTTTAGCTTCAGCTGTTTCACATGCATCTCTCACTGGTATGTGTGATGAGTGTGATGAATGTAATGTAAGCCTTAACTCTTAAGCAGAGTTGCAAGTAAATTCTGTGTACCAAAAAAAAAAAAAAAAAAGAAAGAAACATGCTCTACAAGTTATATTTCCTTTTAAAATAATTAGTTTAAAAGTTAACCTTGGCTTCTGAGAGTATTTTAACAGTCTGTATTGAGGTAAAATCTCAAAAATAGAGGTTGTAAAGAAAACGTTGCTCTTCATTTTCTTGAATTGACTGCAGGATTATAGTTGTACTCCAGTGAGGCACAGAACAATTAAATGTAGTTCTCAGATTGGGCGCTCTATTTGGAAAGCCCTAAAGAAAAACAATGATCACCCACAACCAAATAATAATAACGGTGATATAAAAATAAAGATGAATAGGATTCTTTACTGTTTCATTGGTATTGTTTACTTTCTAAGGACCAATATGTCCGAAGTACTAAATATCGATTAATTATCTTTCTGCCTCGCTTGGATTAAGAAGGCAGTCTAATGAGGGCTTTGCCTCTTTTGATTTGTTTTCCTATCTTACACATTTACAAGAATGGGCATGAAAAACAACAACAAAAAAATAGCAAACAAAAAGCAGAGTGGGTGAGGGGTAAAAAATTTTCCTTGGCTCCAGGCTGCCACAGAGGGGGCTGGGTTCTGTGTGAGTCCTCACCAGCCCTGTTGATAGAGCAGGTGGCACAGACCTGGGTTTGAAGCTGCACTACCTCAGGTATTAGGTCCGTTCTGAACATGTAGTCAAATGATCCCATCCCAACCACCACCACTTTATTGACATAGTTTTTTTCTTCCCCTCAAAGACTTGGTGAAAATTATTGACTTCACCTATCAGAGAGCCTCAGTTGAAAAGATGGCTTTTAATTATTTGTGGTAACAAAAGGGGGCATTGTTTATTTGCTGTATTTGGAACTGAGGTCCTGGTTAAAATTTTAAGGCAAATTTCAATTGACAAGTACATTTTCAAGCTGAGCAGGCACATCAAAAAGCATGACAGTGCACAGTTTTCAAAATTTTAAAATGGTGATAGTCTTAGTTGACTTAGATAAGACCATATTATTTTCATGACCTCTTCACTGTATTAGCACCATCGTAACTTTCAGAGTGTGCTTAATTTATATACAGCTTACAGACTGCATAAATCTATGTGACCCCTGTTCTGAAGAGCTTATCACAAAAAATTCATAACATGCATTTAATAATAAATGCGTTATTACCGAGTATTGGAGACAACTACAACCCATCCAAAATGTTCCATCCATTCCTGGAATAGATTCAGGAAATGTCAACATATTAGTCCACTGCTGAATGTCCTTATACGTTAATCTGGCTTCCCATTTCTTACCCTGTTGAAGGTAAATTACTGGCTCTGTATCAATTTTTTTGGCAAGCTCGTATTACCAAGCTATTTCTACATCTTCCCTATGATAACCTTTTCTTTGGCTTATCCTGTTCTGCCGCTAGCATGGGTAACAGGACAGACTGTCTTTCGGAAAGCTTTCCATTGCCCAACACAGCATGCCTTAAGTTTGTGGAAAACTTTTTGAAATTTTGTTTTTTCTGTCCTTCATATGTATTTTTTTCTTTTAATTCTCAAGAAGCATTTTTTTAAGCTCCAATACATGTTTAATTCTATTATGTTATTTGGTTGTGGTATATTTTATTTAGTACTGGGCAGCCAGTGGTCAGAAAAGTAGAAGCAGAGTTAGTTAAGCATTAATCATAATCTACAAAATGCTCTTCAAGCTGAGTTCCTTCCCAGGGAAAGCCAAGTTTTCAGGAAGCTAGTATGCTTGATACTTTCTATCCTGTCTCATTAGAATTATAAGGGCAAACTTTAGAATCTTTTTTAGGATTTCTGCCACCTGATAGGAGAAAAATGGGCAGTCCTGTACATAGTTTACTGACATCTCTGGAAGAAGAAGGATGAGGAATTTAATAGTAAAATAGAGTTATATGGAGTTATTTTCTGAATATCGCTGTGAGACTAATGGCCAACTGTTGTTAAAGAAGTTTTCCTGCCCATTTGGTTGAGATAGGAATATAAGGCATTTCTCTCTCTCATGCATGCACGTGCACACACACACACACACATTCACTCATTCACTCACTCACCCTGGTGTGAGTGTCATAGAAGGGATCCAGTGTAAGAACCTGTTTTGCATGTTAAATAGTAATTCTTGGATATATTTGAAGTACTTGTGTGATTACTGTTCCCTGTTTGTTAAGTAACAGTCCTGTCTTATACTCTTGAGCTTAAAAAGGCTAAATTCTGTTGTCTTTTTCCACATTACCCATCTTGGAGAACTGTGAAATCAATCAAACAGACATCAGACTCTTATAAAGAGGAACATATTTAAAACTCACTGTCAAGATTTTCATAGTGTCTACCTTTTAAGTCTCCCAAATAGCTTTACATTTTTCACTCTATTATTCAAAGGCTGATGGTTGAGTTTTCAGATCCCCTGGCTGCTTGCTTTGTTTTTCCTTCCCCCCACCTGCTGCCAACCTTTTGGTCTTTTCAGTGATCTTTAACACCGTTATCAAAGAGTGGGAAGAAGCAATAAGAAGAGAAAAAATTTAATTTTGGTGCTCCTGACTCTCAGAACTAATGAAACAATCAGATACAATACCATTTTGGATTTAGTATGGATTTGCCTTTATTCTTACTTAGCACAAATAATAAAGACTGAGTTTCTAATTTCATTCATTCATTCAGCAGCATTGGTACATTGTCCATAGTGTTTCATGGAAGTTAAGATACTAAATCACGCTCTTGCATCCAAGACTTTGACAATATATATTCTCTGTAGATTTTCAGTATTATTCTAGCCAGATTCAAGGGCGTAACAATTTTTTTTTTTTTTTTTTTTTTTTTTGAGATGGAGTCTCACTCTGCCGTCAGGCTGGAGTGAAGTGATGCAATCTCGGCTCACTGCAAGCTCTGCCTCCTGGGTTCAAGTGATTCCCCTGCCTCAGCCTCCCGAGTAGCTGAGACTACAGGCATGTACCACCACGCCTGGCTAATTTTTTGTATTTTAGTAGAGACAGGTTTCACCATGTTGGCCAGGATGGTGTCGATCTCCTGACCTTGTGATCTGCCCACCTCAGCCTCCCAAAGTGCTGGGATTACAGGTGTGAGCCACCGCACCCGGCCAGATTTTTAAAAATCAGTATAGTCATTGGCACTAACGACAGCAGTTTCAGGCTTCAGGGTGTTATATCACCTTTCCATGATTTTTAAGGAAAATATTATAATATGCTTTACTTTCCTGTTGTTTCATACCAATTTGACATTGGTATCTGCCAAATAAGTTAATTTGCAGATGACTGCTCCAAAATTACAGTATCCCCCCACAAATTAAATTTTTATTACAAATACAGCCTGCTTTCCAGACAGATTCCAAAAATTCACTATTTAGTTTTGTGACTTGGAAATGTAGCTTCTGAAAAATCAGCTGTCACCAAGAACTGATTAATTTAGTTTAATTTTTTTGTTGTTTAAATCTAAGAAAGTTTAAAGAACAAAAGAAATAGGGTTAGATAAAATTATGCAGAAAATGGAGTTGAGGGCCTGCTGTATAATAAATACTTAAAGATCATGGGGTTCCATTCAGTGGATCAGAGAAGGAGCACACTTTTTTTAAAGTCTACTTGGCAATTCCATCTGTTAAACAGTGGAGGGGTTTTTGAGTTCCTTTCTCCATTTGGGACAGAAGCACAGCATTCGGCGTTCTCTGAGGGCCGCATGCACGCATGGATAGGAGCAGGAAGTTACTACTATGGCAAGCTGTGTATACTATTCTTGGAGAAATTTAATTAAAAAATCTCAAAAGGTGGCCGGGCACAGTGGCTCATACCTGTAATCCCAGCACTATGGGAGGCCGAGACCGGTAGATCAGTTGAGATCAGGAGTTTGAGACCAGCCTGACCAACATGGTGAAACCCCGTCTCTACTAAAATACAAAAATTAGCTGGGGATGGTGGCACACGCCTGTAATCCCAGCTACTTGAGAGGCTGAGGCAGGGGAATTGCTTGAACCTGGGAGGTGGAGGTTGCAGTGAGCCGAGATTGTGCCATTGCACTCCAGCCTGGGCAACAAGAGTAAAAATCCTTCTCAAAAAAAAAAAAGAAAAAAGAAAAAAAAGGCCAGGCGCAGTGGCTCATGCATGTAATCCCAGCACTTTGGGAGGCCGAGCGGGCAGATCACGAGGTCAGGAGTTCGAGACAAGCCTGACCAACATGGTGAAACCCCATCTCTACGAAAAATACAAAAATTAGCCGGGCGTGGTGGCGCATGTCTATAATCCCAGCTACTTGGGAGGCTGAGGCAGGAGAATTGCTTGAACCAGGGTGGCAGAGTTTGCAGTGAGCTGAGATCGTGCCACTACACTCCAGCCTGGTGACAGAGTGAGACCCTGTCTCAAACAAAACAAAACAAAACAAAACAAAACAAAAAAATCTCAAAAGGCTTGCAGTACTTCCTCTGACATAAAGAAAGTGATTCCTCAATAATAATTTAGGCACCTTTTAATTATATTGGACCTCCCATTGATTGGAAATGACCTTTATGCTGAAGTAGAACCTTTTAAAATGCTAATAACTAACATTCATCCCCCTTTTGCAATGGCTTAACAACTGTAGAAAACTTAAGTGAAATATTTAGTTTTTAACTACCAACTTCCAGAATTTTCCTAACTCCTTTTATTGCCATCCTGTTGAGTAGAATCTGGTTGTGTATCATTTCATGTTTATGGACCCTCCACCCCTCAACTGTTAACAGTGTTTTACTTCCATGGGTAAAGGAGGTTATTAGGTTACACTGCTGTGTATCTCTCCTTCCCTTTCCCAACATCTTTCTCCACCTCCCGAGCACGTCTGGACAGGGGCTTCTATCTCTTCAAAGGAAAAGGCCGAAGTGCTCTAAGTCTATTTGTGTAGATTCAACCTGGGTTGCAACTGTGACTCAAAAGGATTGCACAGCTCTGAAAGACATGCTCTGCTTGTGCCCTTTATTCTCACTCTGGTTGGTTATTTTTCTTTGTTTGTTAGATGCTGAAAGTAGCTCAGCGATTGAGAGTGAATCTAAAAGGCTGGGTACCCAGTAAAGGGCTTGAACTAGTGTTAAGGTAGGAGAGGCAAAAAAGGATGAGCATTTTGGAGGCATCACCTAGAATGGATATCAGAGGAGAGAGACATGTGAGAGCAGGTGTGGGTAAACAGACTATATCCTGGTGCTTTGGGAGTTTACAGAAGTAAAGCATGCTTTTAGTAACCTATTCTGAACTTGGAGAACTTGCTGAAACTCGAATATATATTTTTAAGAGCTAATGGCTATATTGTTTGTACCTGGAAAGCAAATCATGTTCCTGAAATATTTCTGTGCTCTCTTAAATTATTACTACTGCCATGTGAATGGATTTACTGTAGGATTCCTTTAATTCTTTTTTTTTTTTTTTTTGGTTTTGCTTTTTTTTTCGGAGACAGGGTCTCGCTCTGTCACCCAGGCTGGAGTGCAGTGGCACGATCCACCTCCCAGGTTCAAGCAATTCCCCTGCCTCAGCCTCCCGAGCAGCTGGGACTACAGGTGCTCGCCACCACTCCCAGTTAATTTTTTGTTTTTTTGGTAGAGGTGGGTTTTTGCTGTGTTTCCCAGGCTGGTCTCAAACTCCTGAGCTCAGGCAATCTGCTGGTCTCGGCCTTCCAAAGTGTTGGGATTACAGGCATAAGCCACTGAGCCCGGCCTTAATTCATTGATTATTAACTGGTAGAGGTTTGGCCATACCCCAGGAACATTTGGCAATGTAGGGAGACATTTTTGGTTGTCACAGCTGGAGGGCTGCTACAGGTGTCTAGAAGGCAGGGGTAGAAGTGGGTAGAAGGAAGGGATTCTACTAATATCCTACAAGAGATTACACCCGTAACAGAGAATTACCTGATCCAAAATATTGCTGCTGGTGAGGGGCCCTGCTTTAAACAAGGAGCTCTCCTAGGGTTTTGAAAATATGAAAGAAGATGGGTTTACACATGCGGCATTACTCTCAGCTTTTTAAAAACATCATTACTTGAAGAGCAGAGAGAGGCAGAGGTGCCGCGATGAGGTGAAGGATGCCTGGGAAGAAGTTAGAGGACTGCTGTGTTGCATGGCAGCGCCATCCTAGCTGGCCACGTGGTATGATGTTCTGGCTGTTTACTTCATGATTGTTATCTCTTCTTGCCTGTCAGAAAGGTGAACGGTTGTCTTTTTTTGAGACAGAGTCTCGCTCTGTCGCCCAGGCTAGAGTGCAGTGGTATGATCTCAGCTCACTGCAACCTCCACCTCCTGGGTTGAAGCGATTCTCCTGCCTCAGCCTCCCGAGTAGCTGGGATTACAGGCACCCGCCACCACGCCCGGCTAATTTTTGTATTTTTAGTAGAGACGGGGTTTCACCATGTTGGTCAGGCTGGTCTTGAACTCCTGACCTCATGATCCGCCCGCCTTGGCCTTCCAAAGTGCTAGGATTACAGGTGTGAGCCACCGCGCCTGGCCAGTTGTCATTCTTTTCACCTCACAGAGTCATTGATCAATGAGTTAGTATACGTAAAAGTCCTGAACACCTTATGGTGCTGCACAAATGCTAGGCATATTTTAATGAGTGACTTTCATTTCACTTAGTTGTTGCCTTCTGCCCAAATGCAGACTTAAAGTTGAGTGATTTGAGGCTTATTTCACTCGTGCACAAGCCAACGTCTCCTGAACATGTACTGAGCAACTGTTGCACGTTGGGCACTGTTCTAGCCACTGAGGATGCAGTGGTGAACAGGACGTCCTTATTCTCACTGGGCTGCAGCAGGACATAGTTTTACATTTCAAATTAGTTTTATGAAATGGTATTTGTTGTCTTATTAGACATGTAAATGGAAACACTTTAAAAAACTAACATTTAGGAAAATCCTAAGGGCGTCAGATGCTTTGTATCTTCTTGCAAGCATTGCTTTCTGTAACAAAATTCATTTCAAATAAAACTGTGCAGAGGAGAGGATTAGTTGGTGTGGTGGGGAATAAGATTAAGGTATGGTATAGTTGTTAAAAATGAGGCAGATCATTGTCTTTCTTTCCCCCCTTGTTTTTGGGACGAGGTGACCCTTGTAGCATCATGATCATGGCTTGACACTGAGCTTTTAGAGGAAACTAGACAAAGAGGAGAACATTTAGAAAGAAGCATACAGGAAGGTGCAAAGTCTTGAAACGATGTCACAGGAAGAACAGCTGGAAGACCTGGAGGTGTTTAGTCTGATTTAGGGGGTGACAGGATTGCTTTCTTAAAATATTTGAAGGACTGTCACTTGAAGAAGGGATTAGATGTGCTCTGTATGGCCTCAAGGGGATAAATTTAGGATCTCTGGTTGACAGTTATTAGGATCCAGGTTGTGGTTTAATAGATATATTTAAAAAGCCAATCTTATGAAAATTTAAGCTGTTCAAAGATGAAATAGGCTGCTTTGCTGAGTAGAACTGTCCCAGCAAAAGTTGTTCATTTGGCTGGAACATTGGAGAGGGACAGGGACTTTGTCTATTCATTATTATATTTCTATGACTTGAAAGGACCTACATGTACATAGGAGGAACTCTAAATATTTGTTGAATAAATTACTAAATGAAAGAAAATAGGTTAAGAAGTGACTTAATTCCTCCCCTCAATGTTATTTCCTTTCTCAGAAGTAGCTACAGTCTGGAATCTCTTTCTCCAGACCCTCTTCTGTTCACTTACATATATATTATATATTGTACATAATCACATATTCATTTTTTCTACATAAATGGAATCATATTATGTATACTTGTCTGAAATACACTTTTTTCTCTTTCATATATTTTAGAGAGCCATCCAAGTTGGTGCATATAGATCCTCAACTCATTCTTTTTAACTGCTATATAGCATTCCATATTGTGACCATTTCATAATTTATTGAATGATTCTCTATTGATTGATACTTTGGTGGTTTCTTATTTTTTGCTAATTAAATGTTTCTGTAATGAACATCCTTATTCATATATCCTTGTACATATGTGAGCATTTCTGTAGCACAGATTTAGGGTTCTTTCTATAGATATAATATGTATAAAGAGAAAAAAGTTGGCGGGAAAATCTCTTAATCTAATATGGTTTAATATAGCCCCTGAATCTTATTACAGCCCATTTTAGGGCAAATGATAATTATGTCTCCTTAACAATATGGCTTAAAAAAGTATCAACTCTAGTAACTAGTGTTGGTCTTTGCACAGAACATTACTAGTTTTTAAAGGCCGTGTATTTGGCAAATAACACATCTTACAGGAGTGACGTTCCTTTTTCTCAGCTGGCCCTTAAAGAGGTTTTACTGAAGGAGGAACCTGCTCAACCAGGTCCTGCTCATTCTGTGAAAGTGGGAAATTCACTTCCTTGAACAATTTTGTGGTTCTTTTTACCTTTCCTGAGCTTTGTGTTTCACAGGCTTGATTATATGGCTTTATTTGCAAAATGTATTTCAGTGGGTGATACAGAACCTAGGGTGTTCGTGGGTGCAGATTGGAGTGGTCATAAAAATCTCAGGTCTGTGAGTTGCCACTTCCTACAGGTTAAATTACCCTGACTAATCCAGTCATCTGTGTAACATGGTAATAACAACCTGCTGACCTGGCCAACTGTAGAAAATGCATCAAAATGGACTTGCTTCGACAGGCACCTTATAGCATTTGTTTAGACAGTGAGAAGTCCTATCAGTTTTCATTATACACAGGTGCTGCAGTGGTCTGAAGACTGCCCTTCATCAGAGTTCTTAGTTATTTTGCTTTCCCTTTGGCATAGCAGCTCCCTTACACTAAGATAATAATAATTATCGTCTATATTTTCACAGTAGCTGGAGCAACCTGGCTCCAGAATCTGTGCTCTTGGCTACTATATTTTTCTGTCTTCACCTGACTGCAGTGTTTCTTCTTGAAAAGGTTGTCTGAGCAACTGCATTTTCTAAATAGCCGTGTTTTGGCAAAGAGCAGTTCTCATCTATTTGACTTTCCTTTATTGGTCTGAACAGGAGCCACAATTCAGGGACATGGTAGTGCTGGTTCTTGCCAGGCCCTGCTGTTTTATGATGAGGTCCCCAACTTTGCTGTCTCCTGGCCTCACATACCCCTGGCCTTGAATGTTTCTCCTCTCCCCATCTCCTGTCCCACCATATCATGTTCCACCTTTGTGACAGTGACAATAGGACCTGGAACCTTGTACAAGGTACATGTGGCAATGATTTGACCCAGAGAGATAAACCAAGGGTGGGAATGTACGTGATTCGGCGCCTAAACTTTATATGTCATTCTCTACCAAATGATTCCAATAAACTAAGTATTATGCTTCAATTTATGATCTAGATTTGGTTTAGCCTTTTTTTTGCCATTTAGCTGGGCCCATAGCATCTTATTGCTTCCTTCTTTATTCTGAACCTTTGGCTAGCTAAGTTAATGCAGCTATGTGCTCACTGTAAGCTTTAGGAAAGGGGGCTTCCTCATTCCATAGATAGCCAGGTGCCTTCTGTTTCAGTGGCTTAAATAGCAAAAGTTGGTTGTATACATAAAATTAAAAACTTCTCTCTTAATCTTGCACCTAGGCCATCCAGTATGATAAATTAAGAGATTCTTTTTTATTTTAATTTTAATTTTTTTTTTATTTTTTGAGACGGAATCTCACCCTGTCACCCAGGCTGGAGTGCAGTGGTGCGGTCTTCGCTCACTACAACCTCTGCCTCCTGGGTTCAGGCAATTCTCTTGCCTCAGCCTTCCGAGTAGCTGGGACTACAGGTGCGTGCCACCATGCCCGGCTAATTTTTTTGTGTTTTTAGTAGAGACAGGGTTTCACCATACTGGCCAGGCTGGTCTCGAACTCCTGACCTCGTGATCCACCCGCCTTGACCTCCCAAAGTGCTGGGATTATAGGCGTGAGCCACCGCGTCCGGCCCCAAATAAAGAGATTCTTAAAGGTGCTGCTCTGGTCATGCAATAAAATTTCAACCTACAACTTTTCCTTAATTCTTTAGTTTAGCTACTCTACTGTCCCTCTGAGGAGTGCCATCTTATTTTTTGTGTGTTTGCTTCTAATATTTCATGGTTCTATTTCTTTTATTTCTAGCACTAGAATGTTTTCTTTCAAGGATGACTTTCACCTATATGCAAGGTAGACAACTGTCTTGCATTTTGCATGACGTACACTTCCCTTTATATTGATTATAGATAAATGGTTATCTAAATGTTTTGAATACTAGTTATTTCATAGCTATCTGATTATAACAACTATTAGATAAAAACTATTTTCCAAAGACTATCGAGATTACAGCTGTTGCAATAAACATGTAATTTCTAATTCCTTTGGAAAACATTTTATTTTTATTTGAAAGAGTCCGGAGATGATTTATAATAGGTAATAAATGACTAAAATCAAATCTTAACCTTACTATGGATTTTGTTGTTGTTGTTAAGAGATAGGGTCTTGCTTTGTTTCCCAGGCTGGTCTCGAACTCCTGTTTTAAACTATCCTCCTGCCTTAGACTCCCAAAGTGCTGGGTTGATAGGCATGAGCCACTGTGCCCAGCTGGATTTTTGTTTTTAATATAACTCAAAAAGTGAGTGTTTCAGACCGTTTCTTTAAAGAAAAATGTGGCAAAGTTTCAAGACTATTCCAGCCTGGGCAACAGAGTGAGACTCTGTCTCAAAAGAAAAGAAAAAAAAAGACAACAGGGACTTGCTCTGTCACCCAGGCTGGAATGCAGTGGCACCATCTTAGCTCACTGCAGCCTCCAACTCCTGGGCTCAAGGGATTCTCCTGCTTCAGTCTCCTGAGTAGCTGGGACTACAGGTGCCTGCCACCATGCCCGGCTAATTTTTAAAATTTTTTGTAGAGATGGTTTCTCACTATGTTGCCCAGGCTGGTCTCAAACTCCTGATTTTAAGCGATCCTCCTGCCTTGGCCTCTCAAAGTGTTGGAATTACAGGCATGAGCCACTCTGCCTGGCCTAAAGGCTAATTTTGACAGAATAGCCAAATAGCCATATGAATTTATAAATAGGAGTATCTTGTTAACATATACGCAAAGAAATTTGAGATATGTCAGAATTCAACAAAATTTTCTGGATACTAAGTCAAAGAAGATATGAAATTTTAATTCTTTATTCTTGAGTTTGGGCTTCAGGATGCCTAAGTGATAATACTGCCAGAGTCCCCAGCTGGGGCAAAGCATAACATTCCCTTCCTATGCTGCCATCTTCTGTTCCTGGCTCCTTTTGTGCCCAGTTCTAATCCACTGTGGGACTTCAGTCCATCGTTTCCCCTCTCTCACTGGGGAGAGTGTGTGGCGATAGCAGTGGACTCCTTTGCCAAGCATGCAGGTGGCGTTTGTCTTTAATCACTTAAGGTATTTCCTCACGGTGGTGTGTGCAGATCAGCACCTCATGGGTTGTAACATTCTCTTACTATTCCCATCCTGCAGTAGCCCTCTGCCCGGAGATTCTCTGATGTTTGGTAAACAGAGGTGGTTTATATAAAGAAGCAACTTTCTCCGTTTAGAAGTTGTTATGGCTAAATGGTTGAAAATGTATTTTGCAGTTTAACTAGGAATTCTTAAATGGTTTGCAGCTGCTATTGGATTTTTTCACGTTCATTTTCTTCAATGAAGCATGGAGACAATGATTTTAGATTTGGATTTCATGCTACTTAATTCTTAGAACCTATTGAAGGAATATTTGAAAAAGTTGTTTGTGAAAATCGTAAATAACCACACTCAGAAATACTTCTGGCAAGTTGTATTTGTTAGAGTGGAATATGTCTGGATCCCACAGTGAACTAGGAACATGAAATGGTGACTTGGTGGGTGACAAAATGTGACAATCAGGGATGTCTGGCATTCAAGCTATTGAAATTTAAATGGGCTATTGCTTTTTTAGTGTTGGCTCCTGTTCTTAGATTTAAAGGATTTATATGAATCATTCAGGGGCTTTTTATTAACTTTCAGTTTGTGGTTGAGATTGGAATTGGAAGGTTCAGAAAGATGTAACAGTAGTTTCAAGTAAAGGAGCTTAATGATTGTGCCTGTGAGAATCATGCCTTCGTGCCCTCCACGGAGGCACAGGTTGTTTGTGTTACTGGTTTGGTAGGGTTCGTGTTTATCTGTGGTCTGGAATGTCAAAGGATTGCAGACTAGAGAACTTTGCTTTCCTCTTTATTCTGAAGTAATGGTGTAGGAGTTTCTGGTATTGACTTCTGGGGGTGGGGACCACCATATATGGAAGAAGAAAGGAGGATTGGCTGGCTTTGATATTCTCATCCACTTTTTCTAATGCCGTTTTCATTACTCTATTAACAAAGATAGTGCATACTTTGAATATTTATGTCTATCTTTTCCTTCAAAGTGTAATGCACACTTGTTTTCTTCAACTTTTTGTAATATATGTGTTTATGATACACTAAAGAGCAATAAATTTGAGGAGCGAGATAATTAGCTTTGACAGACTTACAGGAATGAGACTGTAAGAGGAAGAAGCAAGAGGATTGCTTAGAAAAATATTTGATTACTGGGCTTGAGGAAAATTATCTAGAAAGAAAATTTTCAATGTTAAAACCCACAACCATATGGGTGGCACAGGTTGTAGGAAGAAGTGACTACTTTTGTGACTTTTTGAAAAAAATTAAACTTTGTTTATAGTTTAAAAAATCTTCTTTAGGCCGGGCGCGGTGGCTCACGCCTGTAATCCCAGCACTTTGGGAGGCCGAGGTGGGCGGATCACGAGGTCAGGAGATCGAGACCATCTTGGCTAACACGGTGAAATCCCGTCTCTACTAAAAATATAAAAAATTAGCCGGGCGCGGTGGCGGGCGCCTGTAATCCCAGCTACTCAGGAGGCTGAGGCAGGAGAATGGCGTGAACCCGGGAGGCGGAGCCTGCAGTGAGCCGAGATAGCGCCACTGCAGTCCAGCCTGGGCGAAAGAACGAGACTCCGTCTCAAAAACAAAAACAAAAAATCTCCTTTAAAATTTTCAAAATAGAATTTTTAAATGGAGAAATTCAAAATACTGAATAATGAAATGGGAGGAAGAAAAAGCAACCCAGCCACTGGTGCTAAATTTCCTAAGGTTGTTCACATAGCCCTTTAACTTTAACCTCTTTCTTAGCATCATTGTTTATCATTTTTTGAGGAATCTTTGTTTAATAGCTAGCTTACCTTAAGAAATAGTTTTCCTTTCCCTTTGGTGGCTCATACATTTGGGGAAGTGACCTTCAAGAAACGTGACTCATTTTGCACCAACTTGACTTAGTCATCCATCCAGCCTCTCCCAATTTGGGGATCCTTTGCAAAGGGAATGATTAAACACTGCCCATGTCTATAAAGAGGGAGATTAACCATGGGTTCGGTTAAATTACTCCTAATATCGTACATTATTTTGTATTTTCTGGACTAATAAGAAAACTTGACAAAGTATAAGCGGTTGATTATGGCACAAAGTGGGGAGGGTTAAGATTCATGTCATCTGAGATAAACACGGCTCCAGTATCGCCATTATTTCTGTGGCCCTTTCTCCCTGGGTTAAATTATGCCCTCATCCACAATGGAGGTCATGATAATATGCGGTGGGGGAGGAGGGGAAGGGATGTATCTAGAACATTTTGGGATATACTGGGCTTATTGCTTATGAGAGAGGCAAGAGGAGGCTTTTTAGGGGAATTTCACTGAAAAATAAAATGTGCAGACACTTCACAGTCAAGGCTATGGGATGAATTACATTTGGCTCCTGCCACCTCTCAGCAGCAGGGTCTCTACACATGAACTAGGGAATTGCTTGAAGGAAGCCCCTCCCAGGAATGAGTGGGGAGAGCCAAAAGGTTTGGATTTCCCTATAAATTGAACCCACTGTCACCAGAGATCAGTGTGAGGGGCTCTGTTATAACGTCCAGCTTTTCTTCTGTCCACACCCAGGAGTTGCTCCTCTTCCTGCCACCCCATTCTTAAGTCTTTTGTTCCTTGAATAAATATTATGTGGTTTGGTGCTCATTACTCTTTGTTATGAAAAAAGGCAATTCATTAGGTTGAAGGAGAAGGGGGAGGGAGATAGCATTTTTCACCGGCGCATCAAGCGTGGTTACACTGATTTGAATTCCCAGAAAAGTAATAAAACAGTGAAAATAATGATAAAACAGCTCCTGGGCTGACAGCTGTGCAGCACATGGGGACACTGAAGACAGGCCCCACTGTTGCAGCAGGACAATATTGTGGAGCATATGGTGCCATGGCAAGCCAGTTGTTGAACTCCGTGGCTGGCTTTTGTTTGGGGAACTCTCTCGGCATTGGGTGTATGGTGGCTCTTCAGAGACGTCTAGTCTCATTGGCAAGAGGGCTCTTGGCCCCATGCCAGCCTTGCTGTACGGTGGCTGACCCAGGCCATGTGGAAAAGCTCATGCTTGGAAAACATTCACTCCTCCTTACTTTGGTCACTAATCAAATCATTTGTTCAACAAATATAAATTGGAATCTTTTTTCACAGCAGCCCAGTGGCTACATTACAGAGGGACAGTTTCCTCCAAGGATGCCAATTAATTATTAAATGCGTTAATTCATTGGTGCTCAGTACTTCTTGTAGGAGTGAAAGTTGTTTTGTTTTTAATGCTTTCAGAGCACTTTGCACATGACATCTTTATTCTTAAGGCTTAAATAGCTAAAATCAGCAAGTGTCTAGAGCCAGGGTTGCTGCTAGAAAGGAGATAGAGTATTCGTCTATGTGGTTTTTACAAGACAGTGTTAAAATAGGCCTTTTGCTGAGCATGGGTCTATTTTTTAAATGTGTGAAGCCAGCATGTGTATGTGCATAAAAAGTCTAATTAACTCCACTTTCCTCCAGAGGGGTCTCCTTGGCTGCCCTGTGAGTGTGCTCCACTGTGGCCAGAGTTGCACCATCCTCCTGAGCCCTTTATGACTTCAACACCTCTGTAGTTATGGACACCCATTCTGGTTTCTTTTCTTTTGATTCCAAAGTGCAAAGGATGATCCAGCAGGGCTACTCGGTCCTGGGAGAGGTTCCTTCAAACGCAGCAGAAGGCGAGGCTCAGAGAGAATCACACTCCATGAGGAGGGGCTGTAGCCCGTGCCATTGTGATTCGTGCCTGAGAATATTTTTATTGCAAGAGCTAAAAGGAGAAAACGGGTGATATTCACACTCTGATCGAAGAGCACCAAATGTCACCATATTCTTGGTCTCTGTGGGACCTTTTTTTGCAGAACACCCATGAAGGTTGGTGGGGTTATGGTGCTGGGACAAGCGAATTTCTTTTTCTCATGAACAAATGTCATTAAAAGGCCAAAATCTACTGGAAAAAAATACACATGTATGTATATGTATATTTATTTCTGTGGTGTTTTTCTAATCACTCATCGGAGTTTATATTTTAACACTGGGCTCTGCAAGGGGAACTGATATTTTTTCAGGCTTTAGTTTTTACATTTTTAATCACTGGTCTTGAAAAAATGTTTTTAAGTGGAGAATAGATCTGTTTACAAATCTGCTGTAAGTAGATATGCACTTGCTGTAGCATTCAGGGTTGGGGAACATCTATGCCTGTGCCCTGGAGGTGATTCAGAGCATCTGGAGAAATGATTGGGGTTCTGTTTTCTTCTTGACTTGCCTCGCTTGACTTGGTTGTACAAGTTCCTTGAGTGTGGGAACATCCTTTCAACCTTTCCTTTCCTTAATGTGTTTATACGAGTCAAAGTTAGGGGAAGTATTTCTGGTTTTACTTTCCCCGTACTTCCTAAGTTAGGGGACCAATCTACATATTCTCCCTTTAAGAAATGGAAGCAAGAAGATAATGAGCCACAAAAGACCTGCAGTTGACTCTTCTTGCCCTGAGCACTGTGGAGCCAGTCATAGATAGCCAGTCCTGGAGGTTTTAATACAACTGTCACAACCTCCCTGGAGGGAGAGATGGGAGAGATGGCAGAAGGGATGAGTATGGAATAAGAAAGTTGGAGAAAGAGGAAAATGGTGAGGGTAAAAATGATCATACATTTTGAGGTGTTAAGTATGGGTAAAAAATCAAATAGATGAAGTATCCTTGTTTCTGTTTAAATCTGTAAATATCTGTATACATACAGCCATTTTATGTTTACAGAATGAGACAGACATTCTGATTATGCAGCATGCTTATAGGATGAGTGGAGCGACAGTGAGACCTAGCTTACTCACTAGGTCACCAAATAAGTAGGTGGCAAAGTAAAAGAAGAAACAGGTTTTTGACTGTTCTACCTTTGCTACAGGTTTTCCAGTTGGATGAAGAAATAGGAATCTGAAAATGTAGCTACGTTGTTTTACAGACTATTAGGAAATATAATCTTCCACGGTTATGGGGACAGTTCAATTAAAAAAAAACTTGCCCCTCCATGTGATTTGTATTATAATTATTTAATACCTGAAGGACTCTTATGATTGAATTTTAGGGTGCTTCGTTTACATTCTAGCTGGTGAGAGTTGCAATACTATCACTTTGTGGTCCTCTAATTGCTGTCCCAAACATTCAAAAAATGCCCTGTGATTCAATTATAAGTATCTTTTGGGGACTGTGTAATTATATACTATGTAGTTATCATTATAAAGCACCAGGGGACATTAAGCCAATCAGATAGCTTTAGTGGCTGGTTGTTCATAACCCTGTAATTGATACCACAAGGTGCTTTGGGTAATGGTACAAATTTTATAAGGCAGGACCACTGTAGTTTTAGGTTCAGGAAAGAGTTACATACTAATTTTTAAGTTACACAAATAGGACTTTTAAAGTAAACTCTCTTTTTTTTCTTTTTGTTGGCTTTTATTTAAACCTAGTCAAACACTGTAAATAAATATTTACCATGTATATGGCATGTAACAGCACATAGTGGCTCCTTTTGATAGAAATCCATCTCTGTTCTCCCCTCCTTTTAAAATAAATACAGGTATCAAAATAATCTTCAACATATTTTTGATAGTACTTATAGTCAGCACTCACATTTTGTAATAAACTCTTATCAAAGAGTGGACTGACCAATTTGTTCAGAATAAATGAAATAGGAAGTTTCACGATGTAGACCAAAAACCTCTACAGCTCTCATTGAAAGGAAGGGGGAGGGTACAGTTGCATATGTAAAGCTATGTCTTTGTGAAACTAAAATTAAAGCAAGAACAATACAAGAAAATATGCCGCATATAGGAAATAATTACTAGATATGTGTACCTAGTAATCTTTGAATTACAGAACAGTGAACAAATGTTTTCAGGGATGTTCGTGCAAAGTGAGAAGTCTTCAGCCTGCTCTTCCCAGGGCACCACGAAGGCATTTGCTTGCAGACGTTGCCTTCTTCGGAGCTCTTTTAAAGTGGTCGCCAACTCTCAACAGCAATTGCTTCTGAGTAGTGTTCAAACAGCCCTGACATGGGTCCCTTGGTATATCATTATCTAGTCTCATATTTAACCTTTTTCTAATAGCCTCCCCAAAGTCCAGAGTTTCCAGTTAGTGCCAGAGGAAGTTAGAAAAGGCGTTTTTTTCCTTGTCTTGACTGCACAGCTGTGAGAAGCACAGGTATCTGAGAGTCATCTTTGTTTTTCCTTTCTTTGTCTATGAGGGACCAGTTATATTGGAAAGTAAAGTGACTTGTTGAGATAGGCCAAGCTTTGCAACGAGTGTCAACACACTAATAAGAACTTCCCTTTTTCCAGTTTTTTACTGAGCTCCTTGTGGATTCACTCTTTTCTTACAGGAGAGAAGGGCAAGGGAGCACGAGCATTCGTGGACTGTGCCTCTCCTCCTTTTCTGTATTCTTCAACTTGCCATTGCAGGAGCATGTGTACCAGTAAGAGGTCCGTACAAGCTGCAGAGTGTGGGCCGGGCCTGAGGACAGTGATTGCATGGGTGTAGGCTCCACCCTGGCACCTCTGTGTGGTGAACAAGACCTGTTTATCCAATTGCCGCACATACACACTCATGACTGCAGTGCCTTTAAATGGATGTTACTTTATTAGGAGAAGCATATGGAAATGATGACATCTCTGATGTCTCAAATAGAGACTGGAGACAGCAATCCTGAATGTATGTGGGTGGAGAACACCCTGGTGTCTCATTTTGAGTGGAGACAAGGGTCAGATGACCCAAAGAGCCTTCACCTTCACCCTTCACAGCCCCTGGCTTGGTGCTGGGACAGCAGTAGACTGATTGCTGATGTTTGGGCACTGCTGCCAACATCACATACCACTGCTGCCCCTGAACTTGGACATGGAGATGGCAGAGGTGGATGAGATGGGCCATGGAGGGGAGAGCTAGATGGAAGAGGGAGGGAAAAAAATGAAATAGAGCAAGGAATGGTAGGTGACATTGGATGTTGACTATTACCCAGAATTAGTTTTTGAAATGGTGAGAGGAAAAGTTACTCCACTTTTCTTAGAGATAGCTTGTAGAAATTCCATTCTACTTTTCCTTCCTGGCTTGTTACCTTCTAAAGCATCTTTGTGGTTCTGCACAAATTCCAAGGTACCTTCTGCCTCTGTACTAAGTTCTATAGCAGAAGTAGCATGGAGGTCTGCAGGAGAAGTAAGCCCGCCTCTTGTGCAGAGCTCTTCCCTCTACTCCCTTACCACTGCTACAATGAACTTTGTGACCTTGAGCAAGTCACTTCATCTTTTAGGACCACACAACTCAAGGTTTGATTCAGTTGACTTTTAAGGGCACGTTACAGTGGAAGGAACAGATTTCAAATTTTTAGTAACTTTGCATAGCGTTATTGGTACTACCTTAAATCCTAGGAATATCTGCATCCTTCTTCCTGGCTACCTAGAGTCCTCCACCACTACAGAAACAAAAGAGGGCTTGACCTTCACTGAAATGACTGGAGGGTTTTGGCCAGCAGATAATAGTTTATTAATTGAATGTGTATGTGCATGCCCCCTGCTTGGAAGTAAGGTGAGTAGAATTAGGGCTAGTCAGCAAGATGTGAAGGGATTTTTCCTAATTCTGCTGGTCCTCTCTATTTAGAACCTGGGTCTTCCCTTTCCTCATGCTCTCCTAGCACCTTATACATGACGTGGCAGTTGTCCTGTGTTGCTTATGGGTGAGTGGCCAGCGCTGGGTGGTGAGCAACTTGAAAGCAAGGTTTGGATCTGACTCATAGGAGGAACTCAATAAATGTTTCTTGAATGAACCTGCATAATATTGACTATTTCATCATATCCTTATTAATTACAGCATTAGTCCTGAATTTCAGGGCTAGCATCTTGTAATATGGCTTGTAAGCTAGGCCTGTAAGCTTTTCTTCTGGTTAGTTGGGGCCACTTTTCTTGTCTTTCAGTTACACTTATCCGTCTGCTACCCAATGGTGAAACCAAGGCATACTTTAAAAATGCAATTTCTAAATGATTTTTAAGTAAAACTCTTCTTTCAGCAAGGCCAAATAATATCCAAAAGGTTTTAATCAGTTTTTAAAAATCATTGTATAAGCTGCAGTGTTCAGGCCTTTGTAGCAGATAGGTGACCCTCAGAACAATTTTTTAGACTCTCAATTTCTTCCTAGGAGACTATCTCATACAACATAATACTGTACCACTTTTAGTTGAACTTCTTTTAGAAATATGCATTTGGGCAGATAAAATTATGGGGGTGAGAAAATGGGCCAACCTATAGGACTCACGATATATGCAAACAATAGTCTGTAAGCGTAGACATTGTTCCTTCAATTCTAAGGGTTCATGTCTGTTTTTGGCCTGGGGTTTACATAGTGATTCTGCTGAGATGCACGGATAAACTGCTTGCCCCATGCCACAATTGAAAAACAAAAAGAGTACCTATTTGGTTTAAGTTTGGAAACAGAAGGTTTTTTTCCCAAGTTAACTTTCTTATCCGTCTTTTATCTTTCAATTATGTCTGTGCCTCTGCTAACACCTAGATTTATTATTGGTGCGTTTTCCACAATTGCGGATTCATTAGAATAGTAACAAATATTAGGTTGTTTTGTTTTGATTCTTTTTTTTTTTTTTGAGACGGAGTTTCGCTCAGGTCACCCAGGCTGGAGTGCAGTGGCACAATCTTGGCTCACTGAAACCTCTGCCTCCTGGGTTCAAGTGATTCTCCTGCCTCAGCCTCTCGAATAGCTGGGACTACAGGTGCACGCCACCATGCCTGGCTAATTTTTGTATTTTTAGTAGAGATGGGGTTTCACCATGTTGGCCAGGCTGGTCTCGATTTCTTGACCTCGTGATCCGCCCGCCTCGGCCTCCCAAAGTGCTGGGACTGCAGGCATGAGCCACCGCGCCCGGCCGTTTTGTTTTGATTCTTAATCACCAGTTAGACTTGGGGTCTTTTCGTTGCTGTATGGATTGCGCAGCAGCCTGAAAATTTCTGTTCTTCCTTTCGTTTCTACACGTTTGGTCTCTCTGGCAGACTGAGACTCAGCCTGTCTTTTCAGAGAACCAAGGGAAATTATCAAGCAGGCAAAATCTACCTGCTCTTCTGCTTTACCTTTTAAAACTATGTGCTGCAGCTGAAATCAGTTTTGATTTAATTTGATCAAAAATAAGTGTCTCATGCAAAGAAGGTATGCATAAGAATTGGGGGTAGGGGGGATTTAGAGTCACCTTCTTTGTAGAATTTTGGTTTGACCTTCAAACGGGACAACTTGTGTTCTAAGTTATTCCTGCATATAGCATCTACGTGGGGTCCACAATTTGTCATGGCCTAGAAGGGGGCTTCCATGGTCCCACTGATGGAAAAAAGTGATAATACTAACAGCTCACATTTTCTGAGTGTGAGACACTTTTAAATGCTTTGCATGTTATCATCTCTTTCAGTTTTCACAATGACCTTCTGAGGCTCGTCTAATTATTGTTTCCATTTAAAAGATGAGGCTACTGAGTCCCCCGAGAGTTTTGTTGATTTGTCACAGTTAATGAATGGTGGAACAGGGATTCAAACCTGGACATTATTGCTCCTGAGGCTGTGTGACTACGACTCTGATGACCTCTCGATGTTGGTCCTAGAAGGAGACCAGTGGATTTAGGTCTTCGGAAGACTACCTATGCTAGTGGAGCGTGATGGAAGGGAAATCTTGAAGGTTCACACCTAGTTGTTACTTGTTCCATTTACTCCCTGCCTGGGTCTCTCCACTCTGCCCTGACCTCAAGGACAGGGAGACGCTTCTGGCTTGCTGGGGTGTTAGTTCTTTCTCTTGCCCTGCATGTGGCCCACTAGCGATGGTTGTTGTGAAGATATACTGTCTACTTTATTTGTTTCCCTCCCAAATTGCCACAGTCAAAGTCTTCTCTGGGCTTGAGCACACATCTAGAGGACCACTGCAGCTGCCTTTGTGTGGGGATAGCCTGTGTGGGTGCACCCTTTTTTGACACACAGAGTGCTTTCCAAGAGCTCCAAGTCCTTGGTGTTAGAAGGATACTCCTGCTGCAAAGATCCCATTGCCCATGGGGAGCTCTGAGCTGACATTCCCTAACAGAACCCAAGTAGTGGTCAGAGCTTGGGGCTCCTTAAAGGCAGGGGTGCTGCTGGGTCTGAAATAGTACTTTGGATATTGCAGGTGCTCCATACATATCCATGGACTTAGTTGATTTTTAGCCCTGCAGGTTGTTCCTCAGCACATGGTTCTTCTCTGAGCTCCATACTGCCCTCATCTTCGCTCATCTGTGACTGTATCTAAACTCTTCTCAAACCTATGAGTATTTTTGGCTTCTGCACCTCCTGAGGTGTGATGAGTTCTCTGTTTTTATGAAGAAGAGATCTTACCTTGTATTGTTCTAAAGCACCATCTTAATTGAAGGTAGGAGGAGGAGTTTGGAGCAAACCAGAGAGGAATATGGACAAATGAGGGGCAAAAGAGAGCCAGGGCACAGCAGAAGGGGCCTCACCAGGGAGAAGAGGAGCTGCCTGTTCTGTCACTTAGCTCTCCATGATGTGCTGGGATGCTGTCTGTGAGGCACTGGACGAAGGCAATTTAGTGAAGTCACATTAAAGTGGCTCCAAGATTTGATGTCACAATAGGTCACTTTGACCTTCTATTTATGATCAGCTCTTGATGTACACATAAAATTTTGGGAAGTAAGTAAAATGTATATGGAGGTTTGGCTTGCGTTCTGGTGAATAAGGTCCAGGAGGTTAAATCTCTGTGCTTTTAGTACAGCTACTTGGTATCTGGGCCTCATTTCCCCACCTGTAAAGCAGGGGTAACAGTAGTTCCTTCCTCATAGTGTTGATGTGAGGACTGAGAGATACAGTTCTTGTAGAATTTTCAGTAAAGTTCTGGATCCACAGTGAGCCTTCTATAAATATCAGCTGTTATTATTAGCAAACCACCAAGATGCCCACTATTGTGCCTCATGATGGCAGGCTCAGTGGGAAGCCAACATGTTTTCTCCAAAAAAGTAGAGCATGACTCTAGGTTTGTGGTGCTTGTTAGATGGAAGAGTCGAGCTTTTGCTGGCTCTCTATACCTCTCGTGTGGAAGGTGCTTAGCATGTTTAGGCCCCATTGCAGTGACTATCAATGTGAGTCCAAATTCCCTCCACACTTTCTGTCACTCCTTTTGGACATACCATATACTGTCTCCCATCATTTATCACTGACTGGCCACATGGCACCGCTTAGGAGCCAGATGCTGGGCTAAACATTGAAGTGACAACCATCTGGTTTACTGCCCCTCCCCTGCAAGAACCTGAGGGCTCCATGGATGGAGGATGAAGGTACAAAACACAGGGCATGAGCAGGGAATCATGAGTGTTTTGGTGCTGTTGAAACAGAAAGCTCAGGACGTAAAGTGGTGGAAGAAGAGGCTGGTGAGAGAGGCAAGGCATTAGGACGTGGAGGGCCTTATCTGCCACGCTCAGAAGCATAAGCCCTATGACATAGGAGAAGAGAAACTATCAAAGGATTATAAACGAGGGTGTGATGTCATCATGACCATACGAAAGATAGGTTTGAGACCAAGACTGGGTGGAGGGAGGTCGGTGAAGATGTTACAGAATACTCAGCAGAAGATGTTGAAGGGCTTCAAGTAGGTGAGTAGTGGGTAGAGATGGAGATAGGAGACCATTTTCAAAATATATTAAGGAGTCCATTGAGTAGACAGGGGGGACTGAGAGAAATCAGGGATGACTTCCAGTTTTCTGGCTTGGAAAATGGTGTTACTAGCCAATTTAGGTTTTGGAGGGAAGATGTTTGGTTTTGGACATGCGACGTTTAATGGGTGTATTTATGGTCCATTCTGAAGGGATGTCTGGTAGTCATTTGGATGTATAGGACTAGAGTTTAGCCAGAGGTCTGGGTTGCGGGTATAGACATTGCAGATGGCTGAAATTTCAGAGTGGATGAAATTGGCAAAGCACGTATAGCAGGAAAAGAGAAGAACAATGGCAGGAACTTTGGGAAACACAAGATTCAGTGTATTTCTGAAGGAGGCGATCCTTCAAAGGAGATGAAAAAGGAACAGTCCAGTTGGCGAGGAGCACCAGGAGAGTGGTGTAGTAAACACTAAGGAGAATATAGTCAGCATAATCACATGCAGCGAGATAAGGACCAGTCTCCTGGGATTTGGCAACTGGAAGCTCCTGGCTTTTTGTTAGAGGGTTTACAATAGGATGGTGTCAGTAGAGGCAGTGGATGAAACGTATGGAAGAGGAGGGGCTGACTTGACTAAGGAAGAAACGGCATGTGTATGAGGGAAGAGACCTCACATTTAAGAGGGGCCCCTTTCAAGTAGTTGGTAAACCTTTTGGGGGTTGGAATGCCTTGAATATGTGTGGCTTCCTTTTTTTTTTTTTTTTTTAAACAATGCTTATTACAGTCCTTTATTATTATTATTACTCTTTTAAAAGAGGGTCCATTAAATGGAATAATGGTATTGCCTCTTTAACACCTGTACCTTGGCCAGGCGCGGTGGCTTACGCCTGTAATCCCAGCACTTTCAGAAGCCAAGGCGGGTGGATCACGAGGTCAGGAGTTCGAGACCAGCCTGACCAACATGGTGAAACTCTGTCTCTACTAAAAATACAAAAATTAGCTGGTGTGGTGGCACGTGCCTGTAATCCCAGCTACTCAGGAGGTTGAGGCAGGAGAATCGCTTGAATCCGGGAGGCGGAGGTTGCAGTGAGCCAAGATTGCACCGCTGTACTCCAGCCTGGGCGACAGAGCAAGACTCTGTCTCAAAACAACAACAACAACAACAAAAACACCTGTACCTTATGGCTGGGCACTGTGGCTCATGCCTGTAATTCTAGCACTTTGGGAGGCCAAGGCTGGAGGATCACGTGAGGTCAGGAGTTTGAGACCAGCCTGGGCTACATAGAGAGACCCTGTCTCTCTACAAAACAAACAAAGAGACAGACAAAAAACCTGTACCTTCTCCTCTACATAGGAGTGATGTGGTCAGTCAGTTTGCCTTGTGCATGAGTAAGTATATATGTGTCATATAATCTGGATTCTTGCAAAGGACAAATAAGAATAAAGTCATGTGATGACCAATACATTTTTAAACGTCTTTATTTTTTTGAAATTACTTTTTTAAAGTTTTTAAATTAAAAGTGAGTTTTAAAGAAAATTAGAGACAATGTCTTGCTGTGCTTCCAGGCTGGCCTCAAACTCCTGGGCTCAAGCAATCCTCCTGCCTCAGCCTCCCAAGTAGCTGGGACTACAGGCATGTACCACTGCACCTGGCTCCAATAAATTACTTTTTGTGGTGAATTCTTCATTGTTTCATATTATACACATTTGAGTAGCTTTTATTTTAAAATGTTCTTTTATTCAGTATATATCATTTATATGTGTTAATATTAATTTATATTCTGATATAAGTTGACATGTCTTTTAATAGAACATACATGAATTGAATGTCTAAATTTCAGAATATAGAAAAATAAGCTAAAGTTGGGCTTAATTAAAAAACCAAAGTCGATGCTCAAACTCTTTAATTATAATTAAAGGACATTAGAAAACAATTAATTTGTATGAATCATTTCTTTTGGAAGAATTTGTTGCTTCTGCGCTGTAGCATCTGACTCTTGGCATTGGATATAGGGCCTCTATCATCTGGGTATTTGCCTGTGAGGCTTGCTTCTGTGTGAGTTTCAGATACTGGAATTGCTCTCGTCATGACCCTAATCATGGCATTCAGGTTGCTCATGGCTCTGCCACCTGCACCAGGGCTTTTCTATATTAATAACAAGGTGTAATCCATGTTTTCTAGCAGTTTACCAGCTAAAGGACTGCAAAGGAGGGCCAACTTAAGACTAATTAGTATTGCAAATAGGTCTGGTAAACCCTGAATGTCCAAATGCTAAATCTACTTTTCTAGCTGTTCCTGCTTTTTAAAGAGGTGCTTAGGCCTCTATTTTGTGATAGCTTTTGATTTCTTCTATTCTTTCACCTAGATTTTATTGTGCTTTTGGGGGTAACTTGTGCAAGGTCTCCAGACGCTTAAGAGAACACTTCCTAATGGTTATATTTTCCCAAATTACGAGAAAACTTGGAGATGTCTGAGCGTGTTTCCCTCCTAGAAACTCTCCCAGCCATACCTAGTCAGTGCTGTTTAAAAGGGGTTTTCACTGCATTAGGCACCAGCTAAGAGCCACGAAATAAGTCAGTATGGCTCTGTCTTGGGCATATTGAGGAGCTAATCAAGAAGGTTGTATCTTGGGCAATGTTTCAGAGTAGCCATCATTTTCAGCTTTCTATGCACAGATTTCAAGGTGCTAACATAGACACGACAGTGTGCGTAGTGTGGTGGATTGAGACTAGATGTTCAAGAAGCCTCAAGGAAACTGGAGAGGAAGGGCAGAACGTGTGATTGTTAAAAACGTCAGAGAAAAGGGCAAGGTTAGGTAAGGCATTTTGACTACTCAAGGTAGAAGTCTGAGAAGAGAGAAAGCTAGTAAGTGGTTACTGATATATGTTTGGAAATTCTAGGGGAGAACTCTGGGTTTTTCCTAAAAACTGGAATAAAACAAGGGATTTTCATTTCAAGCCTTAGTCGCTTTGGGGTTCATTGTGAAATACGATGCAAAAACAGTGTTATTTGTTGTGAAGCTGCCTAAGAAAAGGTCTCACCTCGCACCACCTCAGAAGCCTTACAAAGGTGTAGGGTTTTTCCCTGCACCTTTATCCTTTTTATTATGAATGAGTTCTTTCTTACCTCCCCAACTTCATTTTATTATTCAGAGTCTATGCAGCACCTGCCTACACAAAAAGAAATCAACCATCTTTGAAAGATGTTGGCCCCCTCACAATAGAATTTAAAAACTTTTGCTCCTTAAATGTTTTATCTTATTCAGATCTAAGTGGTGGGGAACAATAATGGACTTCAGATGTGAGTCTTCTGATGGGGTAGGCTGTACTTTTTTTCTGTGGCTCGAAATGACATCCCTCTGGACGGATCAGACTTAGGAACCAGAAAACAGAAGACCTAATGAAAGTTACATTTGAAAGAGAGAAAGAGAAAATAGGAAAATATATTCAAGAAGTTCACCCACCTTGACATCTTAGAATAATCAATTTCTCACCTACTTGTAAAAGTACATCTTTAAAAAAAAAGTACTCACAATTATACTATTCAGTAGTGACATGTACTATGAAGTTGGGGTTTAACTTTTTAGACCTTTATAATTATGTGAATATAAACATAAATGTACCTTTTTCCTTTTTCCAAAATTGTCAATCCCTTATAAATAATTTTATGGTTTATTCTGTGTGTATTTTTGTAAGCTGTCTTAACAAACCTTGTTTGGGACAGGATAGGACTAAATAAATATGAAGTCACATTGTAGTAGAAAAGTAGCTGTGGTCTGAAATGTGCCAGTCCTTTGTTGATTGTAGCTGTATCTTTAAAAAGCTACAGAGCAAAAAAAAAAAAAAAACCGCAGAGCTTTACCTAGAAGAAGTTTGAAATGCTCAGAATTTCTATTTTTGTCTGATTTTGAGTATCATGGCCATATTGGTTTACTAGAGAATAGGAGAGATTGGAGTAGAGAGTAGGAAATAGGATGAGATAGTAAGAAAAGTATTTCAGGAAAGCTCAGACCTTACCAGCAGGTTAAAAACTCTTAAGTATTTGAAGTCCTTAAAGATATTTACTTCAAGTTAACTATTGGTGTGATTTATTTTAAGAAATGATGGCACTTTTAGATTTTCAAAATGGTTTTTTTTTTTTTTTTTTTTGAGACGGAGTCTCGCTCTGTCGCCCAGGCTGGAGTGCAGTGGCGGGATCTCAGCTCACTGCAAGCTCCGCCTCCCGGGTTCACGCCATTCTCCTGCCGCAGCCTCCCAAGTAGCTGGGACTACAGGCGCCCGCCACTACGCCCGGCTAATTTTTTGTATTTTTAGTAGAGACGGGGTTTCACCGTTTTAGCCGGGATGGTCTCGATCTCCTGACCTCGTGATCCGCCCGCCTCGGCCTCCCAAAGTGCTGGGATTACAGGCGTGAGCCACCGCGCCCGGCCCAAAATGGTTTTATAAAATGGACTTGTTTGGTAGGCTAAGGCAGGCAGATCACTTGAGGTCAGGAGTTCCATACCAGCCTGGCCAACATGGTGAAACCCTATCTCTATTAAAGATATGAAAAGTTAGCTGGGTGTGGTGGTTCAGGTCTGTAATCCCAGCTACTTGGGAGGCTGAGGTAGGAGAATTGCTTGAATTGGGAGCCAGAGGTTGCAATGAGCCGAGATTGCGCTATTGCACTCCAGCCTGGGGGACAAAAGCGAAACTCTGTTTAAAAAAAAAAAAAAAAAAAGTCTCGTTTGATTATTCCTGTGAGAAGAATCAATTTCTCACCTACTTTAAAAAATAAGTATTCAAAAAAAATCACTCAAAATTGCACTGTATTAGCCTCAAGACTTGAGTAATTCATAAAGGAAAGAGATTTAATCGACTCGCAGTTCCAAATGGCTGGGGAGGCCTCAGGAAACTTACAATCATGGCGGAAGGAGAAGCAAACACAGCCTTCTTCAAATGGGGGCAGCAAGGAGAAGTGCAGAGTGAAGTTGGGGGAAAGCACCTTATAAAACCATCAGATCTCGTGAGAACTCACTATCACAAGAACAGCATGGAGGTAACTGCCCCATGATTCAGTTACCCCCCACTGGGTCCCTCCCATGACACGTGGGGATCATGGGAACTACAGTTCAAGATGAAATTTGGGTTGGGACACAGCCAAACCATATCATGCACTATTGAGCAGTGGCATGTGCTATGAAATTGGGGTTTAACATTTTCTTTAGATAAATAGTTCCCTTCAGTACCTTTTAAGTATAAATACCTCTAGTATATTTAAATTTTGTCTTGGTCTTTAAAATTTGACTTAGATATCACTTTGAGGGATTAAAGCCAGTTAACAAAGTATGTCTGTAAAACTCTAGTTTTTGCTTTGCCATATTGAGTATCAGCGTAGGCTAAATCAGTGGCTAGTATATAACAATGAAGGCTTTCTCTCTACTTTGAGTCTACACAGCCTAACACCTCTTTTTCCCTTTCAAAGTGGTGCTTTAGTCATGATTGCCAGCCAAAGAACATTTCTGATTGATTGTAGAAATTGATTGTAGAAGAACCTTGGAACTTGTTTACTATTAGAATCAAGGGAAGGACGTGCTATGTCGTAAAGTTGCTGGGATAGTCTTCTAAGGCTTCCAAGAGTGCATTATTTATTGGAAAATAAGGAGTATTTAACATTTTAAATTTCACCTTGGCCATGGTAAGTGCCAGTGAAATATTAATATTTGTATCTATTTGGCACAATTAGGAATAGCTAAATGTCTCTGCTTCGGATACCACTGTGCAAGATAAAAACAATCCCAAAGCTTTAAGAAGCCAAGAAATTGAGCCTGAGTTCATCATAGTTTTATGCGTCCAAATGAAAATGACTTTGCTTTTTGCTATTTCTCTTTGCAGCATATCCACTGGCAGAATTTTCAGTGAAACAACTCTTCTGTAAACTTAGAAAAGTGCAGGCTATATTAGAAGCTTAAAGTTAAGTCTGTCCCTCAGTGTGGATTCGGTGTTTAGCCCAAAAGATTTTTGTTGATAGTAGAAGTACATTTTCCATAAAACCACTGTGTGTATTTTTAATAATGGATAAAGATTGCCACAATGTAACCCATTCCCAAGGATGCTATTGAGTTGTGAACCGAACGTTACTGCAGTGCTTTAGCCCTGGGAACAAGCAGTGAAGGACACCTTTTCCCTATCTGTTTGTAATTTCAAAATGAAAAGAGAGTAAAAAGACCAGTTAATAAAATAATCCATATGTTTCTCTATGAGGAAAAAAAAAGATTAAGGAGAAACTATTCGATCTTAGCTGTGACCAGTCTTTATATGGGAAAAGATTAATTCTGATGGACTAACTATATCTAAAATTAGAACTGTGGGAAAAGGATTATATGCAACAAAATGCAAAAGATTAATGTGGAGGCATGATGCCTAACGATTGGATACCCTTAAAATATTAATCTACATCAGGCACATTTGCAGTTTCATGTACCAATAAGGAAATAGAGAAACAGAAATGATATCATATCAAGAATGATACGAAGCCTTTTAACCAAAGGTTTTGTTAATTTGTCTTTGGTTAATAACTACTTTTATAAGACATCATCTAGCTTTTTGTATATGGTATCAGTAGTAACCTGTAATTTAATACTGCTCATTACTCATTAGGGGAGGCACTCAGATTCACATTGTAGGTGTCACACTTTGGTTAGCTTTTTTTTTTTTTTTTTTTTGAGACGGAGTCTCGCTCTGTCGCCCAGGCTGGAGTGCGGTGGCGCGATCTTGGCTCACTGCAAGCTCCGCCTCCCGGGTTCACGCCATTCTCCTGCCTCAGCCTCCCGAGTAGCTGGGACTACAGGCGCCCGCCACCACGCCCGGCTAATTTTTTGTATTTTTAGTAGAGACGGGGTTTCACCGTGTTAGCCAGGATGGTCTCGATCTCCTGACCTCGTGATCCGCCTGCCTCGGCCTCCCAAAGTGCTGGGATTACAGGCGTGAGCCACCGCGCCCGGCCTTTGGTTAGCTTTTAACCTCAGGAGACAAACTTGATTGTGATTGGAACTCTCTTTTCAAGCCCACAATAATTACTAATTTTCCTCTCTAGAATAGCTAATAGTAGTTGACTAAATAGAGAGATTGAGAGATGTTTGACCACATAAGAGATCCTGTCTTCAAATGCATAAATATTGTGGATCTTGTTTGTGCCTGTGGTCCCAGCTAGCAGGGAGGCTGAGGTGAGAGGATCCCTTGAGCCCAGCAGTTGGAGGCTGCAGTGAGCTATGATTGTGCCACCGTGCTGTATAGCCTGGGTGAAAGAGCAAGACCTCATCTAAAAAAAAAAAGGAAGGGAGGAAGGAAGGGAGGGAGGGAGGGAGGGGGAAAAAATTGTGTATCCCAAAGTGTCTCAGGAAGGAAGGAAGAAAAAAAAATTGTGTATCCCAAAATGTCTCTCCAGAAGATACGATAGAAGAAGTCTGTAATGACTGTATTTAGGTACACTAAACCAGCAGTGCATATCTGCAAATTGGTCATGAGATGTGAGAAAGAAAGGTAAGAAAAGTATATCTAGGAAGGTACTAGGTTAGTTAAATTAAGTTGATTTCTGTCTAATGTAAGACTTTAATGGCTGAATCTGGGTTCCTTTCATGCCTCCTGAAGTGAGTGGGCAAATGGTTACAATGCCATTTCAAGCGCACCTATTAAAAATTGTGGACTACAGTAACATCTTTTAAAGTGGTCTCTAGGAAGGGTTATGTAGTGGAAACTGAATAGGTTTTTCTATTGTGTGAGATTGGAAGTGAGAATAAGATCTTGAGGTTGACCTTATCGGGGTGAATTCTGAAAACGCCCATATACCACACCTGACTTTTGCCTTGAATTCTCTGGGGAATGCCACCATACCCCTTGCCTGTTAATGTATGTATTGAAGCTAGCTTTGACTGAAGCTGCTGCTTACTACCATTCCCCTGGCTAACAAGCCTACATTAATTTCCCAAATCCTTTGTCAAAAAAATGATTAGGTTGGTTTGAATGATTACACTTAGAATGTAGGATGCTGCATCCATTCTGTGTGTGCCGTCAGAGGCCTTGTGTGGGGGAGGTGAACAGAATCTAATCAACTTGGGTTACTTGATCAGAAGTGGCTCTTACGCATGTTATTTTTGCAATCGGAGAGAATGTTAGGCTCTCTTTCCCTGCTACAGCATGATCGTTTCCAATGGGCCATAATACTTTATGAATATTGACCAGAGGCATGAATCGAGGCTTTCCAAAATATATATTTTTAAATTTGAGATAGGATCTCACCATGTTGCCCAGGCTGGTCTTGAACTCCTAGGCTCAAGCAGTCCTCCTGCCTTCGCCTCCCAAAGTGCTGGGATTACAGGTGTGAGCCACCACACCAGGCCCCAAAATATTTTCAATGTTATATACTCTTGGTATCTGTATTTTCACCCTGGAATAGAGGTTCCACAAAGGTAGTCAAGGTTATGGTTCTGCTACCTCATCCTCATTTTCATTGTTTATTATTATTATTAGCTAATACTTATATGCTACTTACTATGTACTACACTGTACTAAGCATTTCATGCTTATTAGATCATTTAATCTTCAACCTAATGAGATAGGTGTATATATATATACAGATGAAGAAACTGAGGCGCAGAGAGGCTAAGTGACTGGATAAAAGTCATACAGCTAGTACACGGTAGGGCTGTGGTTTGGACCCAGGCATTCTGGTTCCAGAAGACTGCACTCAGGACTATTAATTTTTAAAAGATTGAACACGGTAGGGAAAAAAAAAAAACAAACCCACAAATATTTTAACCTGGGGGTTGGTTGTAGCTGATATCAGAGAGAACATTTTTTGTGGTGGTTGTCTAGCTGTAGGCTCTGAAGAAATGCCGGCTGTGGGTGTCATGATTCTCATTTTAGAAGATTAAAAAAAATAAATTTAGTGTGTTCTTTTAAGGTTTTATTTCTTTTGTGTATTTGCATATATTACCATGCGTGGTTATCTGTGAAAATCCTTAAAAATGTGTAACACAAATTACCCTTAGAATTACTAGATTAATCTTTCCTTCTTAATCTGAACTATTGACTTCTGATATTGTCTGATGTGCTTAGAGAAACTGTTGGGCTCCTTTGATAATCTCATGTTTTTGTAATTTTATTAAGGATATACCTATAATTTAGAAACATTTTATTTGTATTTTTATGAGACTTGGAAGGTGGCATCAGATTAGATCAATTTTTCTATTCTCTATTAATAATTTTGAGATTATATATACACATACGTATATATGTGTATATATATATATACCTGTATACACATACATACATACATATATATTTATATATTTTTTTAGACAGGGTCTCGCTCTGTCACCCAGGCTAGAATGCAGTGGTGCAATCATGGCTCACTGCAATATTTTGCAGTATAAAAAACTGATTTGGAATCCCTTGCTTTGTCTCTGATTAAGCATTTGTATATTTTCTTAAGGAAATAAATATTCTGTAAGTCATACTTTTAAAGTTATATAGTTAGAGTATGCTTAAAAACATAAAACCACATTAAAGTTTAACTTATTTTTGGAAGTTAGGTTTTAATGTGGTCAGCAGCACCAAGTAAAAGTGTAAATTTAGAAACAGCTTTTAAAAGTCTTACTTGAAAGAGAATAGTAAGTGTGTAAGAAAATACGAGGGAGATATTTGGATCAATATAATTAGGAACCCCAAACATTTGCTTTGGGTTATAGTAAATAAGATGCCAGATAATGGCTTTCCCCATAATTAGGATTTTGCTTGTAATAAGACCCTAAAAATCACCCCAGATCACACTAAGGGTAAAAGGAAGAGACTAGAGAAATCCCCATTTTGAGAACTTTAAAATTTTTCTAAGGAAGAGGAAATAGAGCTTTTTAAATTCTGCTGTGGAAGAGGAAAGACAGTCCAAGTCTGGAACTCAGCATGTTCTGCAAGCTAGAGATCTAACATGAGTGGAGGTCCTGGGTTAATAGTGAGAACACTCTGAGTGCTAGTATTACAGAAGGTGATCTCCATAGCTATACTCTGTGTCTGTATGTAAAGTGCCCTATGCTTTTAAAAAAATCTCATCTGTGAAGGGAGATGGAAACCCAAGTGCTGATCTTTTGTCATCAATAACAATCCCTAGTCACATCTTTACAAGGTAAGTGTTACCATTCATTTGGGTTGACTGTGTTTAGCTTTCTAAAAACCTGCTGCCATTTCAGTTGAGTGAAGCATGATTCACTTCCTGCCCTGTAGGGTATACACCAGCCTTAATGGTTTCGTCTGGATGTGGCCAGAGCTGTGGAGGATGGAGGGAATGGCAACTTTTGAAGCAGTGGGGTTAGAGGTTAGAGTGGCAGTCTCTAACGTGACTTTCTGAAGGAATTGAATCCAGGCAGTTGGCTCCACGTGACTTGTGTTCTCTTTTGTATTTCTTTGTCAGCCTCCCTGTCCTTTTACTGAAGTAGAATAGACACCGTCTTGGTTTCTGGTGATTGGCAATAGCCCTGAACATGCAAGAGAAATGTTCTCTATATAGGTGTCATTTTCAGGAGGGCTAGTTTTGAGTAAGGATCTTCCTGAATAGGAGCTGATTCCCTGGGGGCCCTGGATATTATAGAGTTGTTTTGAACACATGAACACATGAAAAAAGGTAAAGAATTCAGAAATTTAAGAACACAGTATAACTTGATTAATTTGAGCCCAGATGTTAATAATTTGTGGTATTGTCATAAGGCTTTTTGCCTTATATGAAGGAGTGCTTGTAAACAGACTAATAGTAAATAAAGCAGGCATGGGAAGGACATTTAACCTATTCAGCAAGATAAACTACTTTTATTTAGAATAATCTTTTTTAAAAAAGGGAAACAATGAAATAATTGCAAATAAAATTACCAACTAAAGGATCTTAAAGGACATTTATTTGGCAAATATATGTACTCTATATATTTGTATATACTTAAAAGTAATTCCAATTTTCTATTATTCCATGTCACCTTCCACTAGTGTGAATTAGTAAATATTTTCTATATTTAAATAGACATTTTCATTTTCAGTTTCTTTGTATTTGGTGGGAAAACTTTTTATATTCAAACCTAATTGAAAAAGAATGATTTTTACATTATAAAAAAGAATCTTAATTTCACAAAAATTTGACCTTAATATTCATCTAATGGTAAGATTTTGCCCTACAAATGTTTTGCAGAGACATGTCAATTGGATAAATTGAGTACACTTGCTTTTTGCTCTTTATGTACCTGTTTCCAATTCCAGATTAAGGAATGTTTTGTATGTGTCCAGAGTCACCAAAAAATGAACTTATGTACCTGCTCTTAAGTCTCTCACTTGCTTCTGAATATCTGTAGTCCTGGGGTCTGCTGAAGGCACTGATCACCTCCCAGATCAGTCTTGGTGTTAGTCTCCTGCACTCATTAATTTGTGTTATTGTGGATGAAAATATTTACTCTTATGCATTAATTTGCATGACCACATAAAAATTATAAGGGATATTTGTGGCTTTGCATATTTCATTTGTTTATGAATTGCTCATTGAGAGCAGTTTCTTTCTAGCCATAGTTTTATTTTAGAAGTGAAAATTGAGAGTGAAAGCATTTGTGTTAATTGAGAGTGAGCACTTGAGTTTCAGGAGGAAGAGAAAGAAGTAATTTAAGACTTAAAAATAAAATGTATTGTTATGAGCTATGAATAACTCAAAAATAGTGCTAACTCATATGGAAGTTTTTATGGGATAAAATCTTTGAGTAGAAAGGTAATGAACTGAAAACAAATTATTTTACATATCTCCATAGGACAAATGTTTAATAAAACTTCAGCAGCATAATTAGGGCATTGTATTAAAATGAGACTTCATGTGTCTTGTCCTGAGGAATGTTATGGTTCTATAGGATATGAATTCAGAGCTTTTATTTAAATAGGGCAATTTGTTTATGAGTTGAATGAAGTTATAATGTACTTTTACTGTTGAACATCTTAGTGCAAAAGAATTGGGGCAACTGTAAATTTTAACACTCATTCAATATTTGATGATATTAGGGATTATTATTAAATATGTTTTAGATGTGATAATGGTATTATGGCTATATTGTTGAAAATAGGCCATAACTTTTAAAGGTACACTCCACAGTATTCACAGATATAAGTTCTGGCATGTGCTTTCTATAATATGGAAAGGGAATGTGGGTTTGGGGTATGGATGAAACAAGATAGGCCATGAGTTGAAACTGGTCGCTGGCAATTTATTACATTCTGGCAACGCTTGTATGTTTGAAATTTTGAACAATCCAAAGTTTCTTAAAAGACATACGTGTATACACCCGGCTTATTGGGGAGAAATACATTGATACTTAGTCAAAGGTACGGAGGGTTTCAAGAGAAAGAGTTGCCTAAAAATATCAGAGGTTTGATTGCACTGCAATTATATGCAGCTATATACAGCTACGTAATTTAAAAACCCAATAATATTGTAGTTTTATTTTAATTAAGATAAGCTTCTACTTAAGTGAAAGGAAAAAGAACACTTGCCTTTTGGCTACAGTCTTTAATTCAGCAAACATTTTTTCAAGCCCCTCTGTGCCAGGTACTGTTGAGATTGCAGGAAATTCAAGGAACAGCACAGATACAGGTAAAGTAGCTGGTGAGATTTCTCCACATCATTCCACAGCGTGATGTGATAAGAGCTATAACAGACTTACACAAAAGTATGATTGGCACACAGAAGTTGGAATGATTTTATTCTACTTTCATAGGGTGGAGGGAGCAGGGAAGGGGCATATTTCGCAGGGCAGAGAGTGCAGGGAAGACTGCACAGGGAGTTGGCATCTGATCTGCCTTGAGGAATTAGCAGCATTTTTCTACCCAGAGAAGATGGGAAGGACTTTAAAGGCATAGGAAACAGCATGATCAGTAGCACGAAGGTGGGAAAATGAGTTCAGTGAATGGTGACTGGGTTCACTGAGTGTGAAGCCCAGGATGGGGTAAAACGGGGTGGGAGCAGATACTGAGAACATGAAAGTAAGACTCAGTATGTGGGTTTCTCCCTGCCTGGAGAGCAGCATTGCTTACACCTGTCAGCCTGAGTTTCTAGGTCCTGTTCCAAACTGTGCCTGTGACTTTGGATGGACTTTGATTAGAGCAGTTCTAGGTATCCTAGCTGCAGGGTCACTTCACTTGGGTAGACAAACTGGCATTTGTGCACAGGTGAAGTTAGCTTACAAACACCCAACAAGACTCTACTCCTCTGCCAAACAGGTTGCTCCCAAGCTTTTGTGGGAGTTCTGGTTGCTTTCCTGTTTTATGTTGAAAGATATTGGTGGAGTTTGAAGGCCACCGAGTAGGAATGTAGTTGGTACTGTCTACTGGAATAGAACCTGGAAGATCTGACTCTCCCAAAACAGTGGAAGGGCTGACTGGCATCGTTGAAGAAATAGTCTACTACAGTGCAGGACCTAGTGGTCCATGACAAGAAGGTGGAACTACTTCTGGGCAGAGGAGGACTTTTTCCATGAGACTAATGAAACTTGACCTCAAGTTCCTTCCCTTGCACAGCCCTTTACAAGGTTCAGCGAGGGGCCCTAGAAATTTCATATAGTCGTGCTTTACTTTTTTTTAATTAGTAATTTTATTTTATTTATTTATTTTTTTGAGACCGAGTCTTGCTCTGTCACCCAGGCTGGAGTTCAGTGGCCCTGTCTCGGCTCACTGCAAGCTCCGCCTCCTGGGTTCATACCATTCCCCTGCCTCAGCCTCCTGAGTAGCTGGGACTACAGGCACCCGCCACCATGCCCAGCTGATTTTTTCTATTTTTTAGTAGAGATGGGGTTTCACGATGTTAACCAGATGGTCTCCATCTCCTAACCCTGTGATCCGCCCGCCTTGGCTCCCAAAGTGCTGGGATTACAGGCATGAGCCACTGCGCCCGGACAGTTATTTTATTGTTAAAGGATAAAATATTATAGACTTCAGGCCCTACAAAACTCGAAACTCCCCTTGCTTCTGAGCATTGCATGCAAGTTTCTTTATGCTTTATTTTTTCTTTCTGAAAAGAACAAATAGCAATATTTTCTCTCTCATAGATGAGTCACAGATTACTATGCAATTATATATGTAAAATGGAACCAGATGCAATTTTCCCGACAAGTGGAATGTGATAAATAATTTGGTCCTGGCACAAGCAGGGAAGTAACCCACACCTCCTGGGCAAGCTCTACTGGTTCTGAAGAGTCTTTGCTACATTTGGCCCTGCAAGCAGACTGGCTGGTGTGCTGGCCCTTGTTGCCACCATCTTGCATTATTGCTTTGGAACTCTGATCTCTGTGTTCTCACTTTTCTCCTCCCTGACCTTCAGCTGCCCATGGCTTTCATAGCCCAGCTGTGTGTGGCCAGAAGCAAAGCCAGTTTCAATGTGACTGCAAGTGAGCACATGGAAAAAGCTGCACTCGCTGGCTACTTTCTGCAGATTGACCAGTGATGTTTCCATTCTGCACTGAACAGATTGATGCTTATTTTTATATTGGAAACCACCAAGTCAACATGTTACCTTTAAAAATATGGAGCATGACTTGGAGAAATGGCTACATTCTTGGGCTGGGGCAGGGAAAGTACAACATGGGCCTGAATATCTAGTTGAGCCAGAAAGTAGGGGGAATTGTCAAAGAATCAAAAAGACACAGGGGCCAGTTTGATGGGCTCCCACTGGACTAATTGGGAGAATTTAACCATCAAAATAAATATGGTAATGAATTATAACCAATTAAATAAAATAATAATTTATAAATCCATACTGATATAGAAATTGATGACATAAACAAATGAGGGGAGAGGTAAAAGCTCTTGTTTAGAGAGTCAACTAATAAGTATAAAAAAGGACATAGCATTATTTCTGTGTTAATGTGAAAAGTTACCAGAGTCTAATCATGACGAAACATCAGATGAACCAGAACCAAGGGTCAGTCTATAAAGGAATGAGCCTCTAATATTCAAAAATGTCAAGATCAAGAAGACAAAGAACTACTGAGGAGGGCAAGGGTGAGGGTTGGGGCCACTGACATGGCAAGCTGGAAGAGGAGAACAAATACTTCCACTCTTTCCATTGATTGTGGAAGCTTTGGGTTAAGAGGAGGTTTCTGAGCCAGTTTACAAAGTTTGCTCTTTGAGGTGGTATAGGAGAAATATTCCTTTTAAATGAAGATTACAGAAGACAAGTTACAAGTGGGGTATTCTCCCACAGTAGGGGTGAGTAACAGGAAATTCCTTTACCAATGGCAACTTGAGTTTTCCAGCTCTATTCTATCAAATCATTTATATTTATCTAGCCCTTGTTACCTAAATGATGTCTATCAAATTCCACTATAAGGGGAAGGGGACAAAGCTAGGATGACTAAGTGAAATCCACACACAATTATATGAAAATACTTCATTGAAGTGTTATAAATTGGCAGGATTGATTGGAATGTTCTAGTCCTGGATTGGCCATGTTAACCAAAGATGACTGAACATCCATGTGTTTGCACGCATCTCTATCTGTGATATCCTGTAGAAAATGATGCAAACTATTGAATTTTTCCATTAGTAGGCTAATCCTCAGTTGCATCTCATACTGTCTTTTTCCAGCCTCCTCTGAGGACTGCTAATGAACAAGGAGGTGGCCCAAGGTGATCAAGAAAAAGATAAAAAGGCCCATCCAGCAGCCACCAAATAATTAACGTGGCTGTGTTACAGAGGCCTTTGGCTAATCAGGCTTTCCTTGTTTGTTGTATAATGTACAATAATGTTGTTTAATTATTGTGCTATGCCATGTTTAATACATAGCATAGGTAGTGTCAGTTCATGACTATAATGTGCTGACAGCTGGTTAAATGTTTTATGGCTGTGGTTTTTAGGATTTAGCCATAAATAAAACATTTCGGGCCCATTCTGACAGGTGCACAAATACTAATCTAAGAATTCATTATTTATACTTTCTAAAAAATTACATCACTCTTGTCCTTTCATGGGTTGGTATGTATTCCATCATATGAAATTGCTTATTTTTTCTTACTAGGATATTTTATGCTAACCACAAAGCTAGGTACCACTTCATGTAACTTTATTGGTAGTTAGGGAGTGGATAATGGGCACGATTTTGTTCCTGTGGAAATGACTGACATTCAAGAAGGGTGGAGCAGTCTTACTAGGATTTGAGCTGCCTGCACCCGGAGGGTTATCTTTCTCTGTGCCCTTTTGTCCATTTTTTGCTTTTTGTAGTTTGCTTTTCAAGTCCATGTGACTTTGAATGTTGCCTTTAAATTTAATTACTCTTTCCTGTAAGTACTTTTCTCCACAAGGCTTTTTTCCACAGAAAGTGTTTGCTGGTCAAAGTTCACTTTTTAATACTGCATGAATGAGACTTTGCTCAAAGATGGGGTTGTACCCACCACCAGGAATATGCAGTACTGAATGCAAATGCCGGACAGTCAGGTAGCCATCTTATTATTAGAGCGTATCCATCTTATTATTAGAGCGTGAAGGAAAGGTGTGAAGAATGCTGGAAAAACGACGATAGGTAAAGTGTTCGTGTGGAAGGCATCTGCCGTTTCCCCCTTTCCACTTGCCTGAACCGTTGCACTGTGCAGTGTCGCTGTGCCTGCTGCATGCAGTCGTAGGGGGCTCATTGCCCCTGTGCAAGCGTTTTGTTGGTAGTAATGAAATGCCTTTAGAATAGGCCAAAAACTAGGACATTTTACCGTCTGATTTCCTTACTCAAATTTTAAAAAATCTTGAGATGATCATCGCTGAACTAGAGTTGTTCATGTATCCTTCTTGCTGGCTGGTGCATTCGTTGGCTGCAAAGGGACAGTTCACGCACAGGCGGCTCCACTTATACCAGTCACAGCCTCCTCTTTCTCCCACCCACCCCGTTTTCCACTTAAGATTCCTTTTAGTTTTTGCAAAGCAGCCATGTGAGAGGAATAAAATAATTTTGAAGAGCATTATATGGTGGGAATTTTGACAATGAGTGGAAGATGGTAATTACTCTCTTCCATTAGACTCAGTGGCTTTGGACAGATAAGCTGTATTGAAACGTGTGACCAGGGCATGGGATCATGGATTGTCTTTCACTGTTGTCATGGCGACAGTGATGCAGGTGGCCTATAACTGCCGGGCTGTCAGATCTTATACATCAAACTGGTGCTAAGTGAAAATATGTTAGAGGCATTGGGGAAAAAATTGCCAGCAGTGTTTATAGGATCAGCTGGAGAAAAGCAAGCCTAGTTGAAGGAAAGCTTTCTGTTATAAGCTCTAGGAGATTCTGAAGAAGTAGGAGTTACTTTTTATTAATAAGATGAAAGTGGACTATTAAAAGAAGAAATCGTTTCTGGGTGTTGCGTGGCTGTCTGCATACACATGGTTAACACGATGCCTTTCTGCTTCCCCCTTGATCTACTGTGTTAATGCAGTAGCTTCAGAGGAGGCAAGGAGACACCGTGTGGTCTAGAAGCTTTGCTTGGGGGCTAGGGAACTAGTTCTGCACTCTGAAAGAGGTTTCAGTCCTCCTTTTTCCAGAGAGCACCCCTGAATTTTTGCTAGTGAGAAGTATAAGAAATCATTATCATGAAATTCCAATAGGGCACTGTAACTACTGCATAGAGTATAGAGTTGTAGTCTGTTATGCATACTGGACTACATCTACTTGAATGTAGGAGGATACCTTCAACTGTGGAGGGGTTCCTTTTTGTCAAGCATAGTTATCACACCTCCCCTTTCCTCTTTTTTTCTTCTCTCTTTTCTTAGTCTCTTCTCTTTTAAACATTGATAAATGCCTTCAACTGAAACCTTCAAATGTTGAGACAATAAGTGTAACTTGTATGTGTGAGTGTGTGGTGCTTTGTCTCAACAAGTTGAAACTAGCTTTATAGTTCTCATTTAGCCATGCAGTCTTGTAAATAAGAAGGAAAATATGTTTCTATATCTATGCTATACTTGAGAAAAAAGAGGGACCAGGAAGTTTAAAAAGAAGTAATCCTGGGCTGGGCAGTGTGTTCCTTGGAGAGCCAGGCACAGCAGATGAGGCAGTGGTTGTTTCCTGGTAGGGCCCCTGAGTCAGGCAGTGTGGCCCCAGCTTCTGACATTTCACTTAAGTTATCTTCTTTGGCATATTCTTCAGTATTCAAATTTAACTTAACAAGAGTAGGTGAAAAGATTACTCTTATATCCCATGGGATATAACTGATCAGAGTATGAGAGATTCAGTTTAATCCACCACACATGGATTGAACATACACTAAATGCTGGGAATTTTGCTTGGCCCTGGTAATCAGAAGGAAGTAGAATCTAACATTTGTTGAGCATCTAGTATGTGCTAGGTCATTAAATCTTTTAATCTCCACAATAATCTTGAAAAGTAGATATACCATTATCATTTCGCAGATAAGATCCTTGACAAAACCAAGATTCAAATGTGGTATGCCTGACTTCAGACTCTTTGTAGTTTTTCTTTGATCTGTGGTTTCAAGAAATGTACAGACCAGCCTTGCCATCAGGGAGCTCACAGTTTTGTTGGAGACTCAGGGAAGCATTAAATGACGACAGTGCAGCTTAAGTGCCATAATAGACATGTACTGGGGAGCACGAAGCAGGGGACAGCCTGCTCCCAAGAGTAGCCCGTGGTAGAGCAGGTTATTAAAAGGATAATTTGAAGGTAGATGAAGAGGAAAGGGCATTTCAGGCTGAGGGGCAGCATGAGTAGAGACATAGAACAATGAGGCCGTGGCCCACATGTGTATGTTTGCACATGTGCATACATGGTGGGTTGGGAGGGATAGAGGATGGGGAAAGGTATATAAAGTGATCCTCTAGAGTTTGCAGGACAAGCCCAATATGTCTTTTGTCATATATGTGATTGGGGATTCAAAGATGATGGTTGTGGTTATTTCCTTTTAAGTCTTTACAGGCTAGAGGTTGTTAATTTGCATGGTAGTTCCCTGTAGATTTTGTTTTGTTTTGTTTTTTTCTTCCCCCATTTCTTTTTTGTTCCTCTCGGTGCCTTTTCTCAGCATATGTATTTGCTCACCCCACCGTCATTTTTTTTTTAATCACTCTGGCTGAGGGGTCTTTTCTACCTAAAGAAGCATTTTTTTGGTCGGGCATGGTGGCTCATGCCGGTAATCCCAGCACTTTGGGAGGGTGAGACTGGTGGGTCATCTGAGGTCAGGAGTTCAAGACCAGCCTGGCCAACATGGAGAAACCCGATCTCTACTAAAAATACAAAAATTAGCCATGTGTGGTGGTGGGCGCCTGTAATCCCAGCTACTCAGGAGGGTGAGGCAGGAGAATCGCTTGAACTCGAGAGGCGGAGGTTGCAGTGAGCCGAGATCGCGCCACTGCATTCCAGCCTGGGTGACAGAGCGAGAGTCTGTCTCAAAAAAAAAAAAAAAGCATTTTTTTCATCTATAGTCTGTGAGACCCTAAATAAGAGGACATATCAGACAGAACAGGTGAAGAGACTGGTAACCCATCAGTGCTAGACAAATAATCTAAATCATTAAAATGAGGAAGGTTTATACAGTCAAAGGACTCAATGGTGATGTAAGCCCCAAGTAACTGATTGAAAACTAGACTCAGATTTAATCTCTGTGTTAACCGCTGACCAATATATTTTCATTGTGTAGTTTATATAGTTTATATACATTAAGGAGATTGGTCCTCCATTCAGTAATGTTTATAAATTATCTGCTTTTTTATTTTCTTGTTTCTATAAAAATACCACTCTTTGGCTGGGCGCAGTGGCTCATGCCTGTAATCCCAGCACTTTGGGAGGCTGAGGTGGGCAGATCACCTGAGGTCAGGAGTTAGAGACCAGCCTGACTAACATGGTGAAACCCTGTCTCTACTAAAAATTCAAAAAGTAGCTGGGCATGGTAGCAGGTGCCTGTAATCCCAGCTACTCAGGAGACTGAGGCTGGAGAATCGCTTGAACCCAGGAGGCAGAGGTTGCAGTGAGCCGAGATCATGCCATTGCACTCAAGCCTGGGCGACAAGAGCGAAACTCCATCTCAAAAAAACAAACAAACACCACCACTCTTCTTAAACCTAACTTGTTTATTAACAGGTTTTACTCCAGAATTAATCTCAGGATTTTGCTAAGCCTTCATATTTTAGACTAGAAAAGAAAATCAGTGAATTGCTTTCAAGCTGTGATTGGTTGCCAGTGCTTTACAAATAGTCTGGGTAGTTGCAACACCAATGATTAAGAAAAAAGGTAAACATTAAAGCCATTAAAAGTGATGAAATTGAGTATTGGTGTGTAGCAGTCTCCATGCTGCAATGAATTCCTATACAATTTTAAATCCTAGTACTTTAGAGGTATTTGGAAATACTGATTTTTTTAAATAAGAAAGCAGAGTTAAGGTCACAGTTGCATAAGGAAGATTCTTCATGACTTTCATGGTCACTTCTCCGTGGGTGTGCACACACATGCCCACACACAAATGCATGCTTCTGTTGGATTGGTGCTTCTAAGACTAGGAGCATATAGCAGTTTACCATGTGTATCATGTAAGGAAATTTACTTGGGAGAGTTATAAATCCATTGACCAGAATGGGGGCTTATGATAGTTGAGAGCAATTAGAAGGAAAAGAGTATTTCTGTGACAACCAGGGCTAATTAGAAGGATTAGTCAATCTACCCTTGCTTCCAAGCAGGGAATGTCTAATCAAAGAGAAAGATTTTTGGAAAAACAGGAAATGGAAAATTAATTTGAGCCTCCTCTCCCCAGATTGTTTTAGATGCCTCAGGAGGGGCTCTTTTTTTTTTTTTTTTTTTTTTTCTTGAAGTCAGTTTTACCAAGAAATTTCCTGAAGTAAAGACGACGAGTGATTCCTTCGTTTTGGGATGACTGCCCCTAGTGTATAGCATAATGCAGAGTGATGGAATTATTAGTGAGGAGTCCTAAACGTGGGATTAGGAGTCATTGAGGTAGAAAAACCAGGCTGGCTCATTTCACATCTTTTGAATTTGGAAAGCTATAGCCACCTCGCATTCAGCTATAATTTTTTTAAGGATAGAAATGTTTTCTCCTAGTTATTTCATCAGGTGATTTGCACACCAGGATCCCAGGAATCCAGCATCCTTATCCTGGGCCAGGCCAGTGTCTCCATCACTTGATTGATGTGTGATGGGTGTATTGACCAGACTGGGGAAGAGGATTTTGTTTTTTTCCTCCATGTCCCCCACAGGCAACTTCCCAGAGTTACATGCTCACTTATTAATTTCTCAGTGAAACTATTTAAACAGGCAGCTGTTTGTTATACTTTATCAATACGAGGCTTTGTAAACAAGAAAAATGAGTGCGATCTAACTTGAAAATGCCCTGTAGAGAATAATCCTGTTTTGTCAGACAGAGGATGGGCTGACCCTTTGGGTTTTTTCATGTTTAATTCCTACTATTTATTCCATAAGGTACTAAGAAGGTCTGTGGGAATCCTTGATACTTACCTGGGCTTAGTTTAGCTCTAAAAAAGTAGCACAGGAGCAGGAGACTTGATGAGAACTTAAAATGAAGTGTCTGGCTAAGACCAGGATAGTCGAGTTGCTCATGAAACCTCTGGATTCACCGCTGGGTAAATCTGGTATCATGATTGTTTTGATCACCATTTAAAAATGTCTTTTCTCCAGTTACAAATAAGATGTTTTATCCAAGAATGTGCACTAGCACAAAAGGACTTTATTTTGCACAACATCTTCTCTTTGATAGGACACAATTTTCTCAGGCCTGAGTTACATGATGGGGGTGGTGGCTTTGAGGAACATGGAGGGTCTTTTTGTGGCAGCTAAGTCAGGGAGTTTCAGGATAAGGATGCTGGGACATATTTCTGTTAAGCAGGGGATTCTGGTGGAAATACCAGGACTTTCTTTTACTGCTTACATAAACACTCTGGATCCTCTGTGCCCACTCAGAAAGTTTAGGGAGAAAAGCTGAAAAGGCCTTGAATTAATATCTCAGATGAAGGACAGTGCCACTAACAGTCTATTAAAATACACATTAAAAATATGTAACTTTAAATCCCTTTGGTTTGGTTTAAAAAAAATTAAAGTTTTATAATGATGCCTTTATTCTTTTATTTAAGGTACTTAAAAAATGTATATATTATGGCCAGATGCAGTGACTCATGTCTGTAATCCCAGCACTTTGGAAGGCCGAGGCGGGTGATCGCTTGAGCTCAGGAGTTTGAGACCAGCCTGGGCAACATGGCGAAACCTCATCTCCACAAAAAACACAAAAATTAACTGGGCATGATGTTGCGTGCCTGTAATACCAGCTTCTCGTGAGGCTGAGGTAAGAGGATCACTTGAGCCCAGGAAGTGGAGGTTGAGCCCAGGAGGTGGAGGTTGCAATGAACTGAGATTGGGCCAGTATACTCCAGCCTGAGCCACAGAGCAAGACCTTCTCTCAAAAAAAAAAAAAAAATTATATATATACACACACATACATTTATATATGTATATACACATTCGTGTATATTATATATTATATTATATATTATATAATATATAATATATATATATTATATATATATATAAAATAGGTTTGGTTTTTTTTTTGAGACAGGGCTCACTGCAGCCTTGACCTCCTGAGCTAAGGCAATCCTCCTGCCTCAGCCTCCTGCATATTGGGACCATAGGTATGTGCCACCATGCCTGGCTAATTTTTTAAATTTTTTGTAGACATAGGGTTTCTATTTGTTGCCCAGGCTGTTCTTGAACTCCTGGGCTCAAGTGATCCTCCCACCTTGGCCTCCCAAAGTGCTGGATTACAGGCATGAGCCACTACATTTGTTCTTATTATTTATTTTTAATACCAGATGATCATCTCTATTAAAAACAGAAGTGAGTGATATGATGTGTACAACAGTGCACGTACTGTATCTTTACTGAGAGAATAGTGGAGAAATACCCTTGTTTGAGTCATTTCCTGAACAATAGGATGGGGTGGTTTGTAAACCAAAATTTGGTCTCTGCTTTGGTGAAGCTAAGAATGCAGTTTTGATCTTAATATGCTAGTAGCCAACACAACTGAAGGTGATGCAGCATTTTTACCTCATTAGCAGTGTCTTAGGCTTAGCTGGTAAGGCTTCACCAGCTTGCAGTGCCCAGGAAGCTGACGTAATAAGCAGCAGGTCATGGGCAACACGGATGTCATCTTGGTCCAAGATACATCCATCCTGCTGTGTCTCATATTTGTTGTAGAATGATTCACATAGAAAAACCATTTTGATTTTTCCTGTCTTTTAAAAACAATACTTCAGTTTGTCTTCATGCTTTCTGTAAAGTTGTATCTCCAATATGCCGGTTTAATTTTGTATGAAACTGGAATTTTAGATGAAAGGCTTTCTAATGCACAAAAGAACCTCAGCCCTTTCTCAGAAGCACAACAAACACACACATAAACAACAACAATAGAAGAGTTCCAATTAGGATTTTCAGAACACAAATACCCATTTAAATGTACCTAACATTTCTCTGCTAGAAGCCACTTTAAATTATTGTTCTTTTTAAAAGGAAAATCCAATATAGTTGAAAGCTTGTGCTTTATAAATATGTGATGCTTCCCTGCATTATCTGAAAGAGGGAGAAAAACCATGTCTTGCTTTTTGGGATTTAACCTGTTTTAGCTGATCACAAAATCTTTATTAATTGCATTTATTAGCTATATAGCACTCCAAGGTCTTTGAAATTTTTTGGTTGCAAAAATCTGATGAAAAAATTAAATTGTATATTATCTTGTAATTTTGCAAAAAGCATGTGATTGAGTTGTGCCCTGCCAATGACTTCTAGTAGCAGAGCAAGCAGTGGTCCTTCCTCACCATTGAGAGTGGCGTCGGGGAGTTTCTTGCAGTTACAACAAAGCCCAAATTATGGGGACGGTGAGGGGAGTCTTTGGCCACAGAATAGGTTTGGGTGTGAGCTGCACTTTCTGCCTTGCTAAGTGTCAGTTTTTCTGGATTTTACATTTGTCTTCCTATAGCTTCAGCTTCCCTTCTTTCCTTTACTTCCTACTGTGGCCTTCATTCTCTTCACTTGGTGGTGATGAGTAATTTTACACAAGGCCATTTTCTCTGGACATAGACTGAGGCAGTGATGGGATGGTGAAGTACCACGGATAGTAATCAGGGGGACCACAGATAATGGCAGGGAGCCAGGGTGTCTACCCTGGCTCTGCACTGACTGGCTTGGTGATTTGTAGAGTTCTTAGGGACTGACTCATGTGCCTGCAAAATTCATAGGCTGAAACCCTAATCCTCAATGTGACTGTATTTGGAGGGCGGGCCTTGAAGGAGATAATTAAGGTTAAATGAGGTCATAAGGGTGGGGCCCTAATCCAGTATAACTGGTGTCATTTTAAGAAGGGGAAGAGACATCAGGCATAAGCATGCACAGAGAAAAGGCCACATGTGAGGACACAGATAGGAGGCGGCCATCTGCAAGCCAAGGATAGAGGCCTCAGGAGAAACCAGCCTTGCTTGGCACCTTGATCTTGGACTTCCAGCCTCCAGAACTGTGAGAAAATAAATTTCTGTTGTTCAAGCCACCCTGTGTTATTTTCTTACGGCAGCAATAGCAATTGCTAAATACAAATATAGGAGAAAAATGAAGTCTCTCTAGGATTCCATTTCCCATCTTGAAGATGGGGCTAGAAATCGTTTCTACAATAGAGAGTTATATGAGAATAAACAACATAATGTAATCAATATAGTGCCTCAATTCATGCCTTCTCATAGATGGAGAATTTATGCCCACAAGCACAGGCTAGTGTCCATTTTCTAATAACTCAGCTTTTTGCTGAGTACTTAGCATTAAAACAAAACAACACAAATCATTTATACATGTTAAGTTTCAAGTTTCCCACTTCATTTTGCCTGGCTGATGGCTCTTAGAAGACACAAACTTATGGCACAGATGACTTCTTCTGGTTCTAACTTGTGTTATCTCTTTTTCAAAAGTTAGTTAAATTCTCCATATATTTTAGTGTTGTTCTATTGGCTAGAAAGACAAAACAAGGGGAATCTGGCAAATGTAAAAAAAAAAAAAAAATGCTCAGCTGACCCAGCACGTGGAATTGCATTTACTAATTTAGGCTATTTTATATAGTGGAATAACATATTTGCAAAATGATGATAGTACCTTGAGTTTACCTAGCCTTTTTTTGGCCAAGGAACTGAAGGTGTTTTCAGTCCATAACCTGATTTCATTTCTAATTTACACTGATCTAAGAGGTATCACGTATGCTTCTCTTCATGTGATAGCTAGGCAAATGAAGACACAAACATTTCTTCCTCATATACACAAGAGATGTGGATGGTAAAAGACTGAAATGGAGGGTCTCCTGGCTTCCTGAGTAGAATTCTACCAAATTGTTCCTGAAGTTATTAACCACATTTGCCCCAATATCTGTTGACAGATAGAACAGCTGTGGGTAAACTGAACTTATCTGAAAGAAATGTGTATTATACATTACACAAGTGCATTACAACTGCAACTGTCCAAGAGCCTGGTGAGTTTCTCATCCCTTCAACTAGACCATCAGTGACTTGGGAGCTCTATTCTACACAAGGCCACTTTCCTCCCTTTAGAGGAAAAGTGTTCTATTAGGTAGGGTAGGACGCTGGGCCAAAAGGGATTAAAATTGTGTTCCTGTTACCTATTGCTAACTAGCAAACCACACCAAAACTTGACGGCTTAAACAACCATTATTTGATTATATCTGTGATTTTGTTCAAGCAGGGCTCAGCTGAGTGATTCTTCTATTCCATGTAGCGTCGACTCTGGTCCCTTGCTGTTAGTCAGTCAATGGCTGCTCTGATCTGGAGGATCCAATATGGCTTCACTCACCTTCCTGGCACCTTGGCAAGGATGCCTGGAAGACTGAGCTCCCCACTGGGCCTGTCTGCCTCTCCATGGAGCCTTGGAGCCATTCCATGTGGTTTCTCCATTAGGGTACTCATATTTCTTACAGGGAAGCCCAGGGTTCCAAGAGACCAAGGCCAAAACTGTTAGTCATATTAAGCACTAGGTTTGGAAATGGCATAATATCACTCCCATATTCAAAATCACTCCCATACTTGATTGGTCCAAGCAGTTATAGGCAACTCACCTTTAAAAGTGGTGGACGCAGGTTGTGGAATAGACACATCTGTCCATGGAAGAAGGATCAAAGAATTTGTGGTCATTTTTAATCTACCACATATGGTGTATACCTCTGTGGTTTGCTGAGGTTTTTGAAATCTTTTTTTTTTTTAATACACCTAAGACTTCATTTTAAGTGCATCTTAGTTTTGCCAGAATTTGAAGCACTTTGGGAATGGCTTGCTCCGTTTTTACATTATACAAACATACACACACATATATATGTTTTTCCACTAAGAAATGCCTCTATTCACAGGGGCATTGTTTAGTTACTTCTATCCTCATTCTGTCCTTTCAGTTCAATAAATTATCTGTTTGGTTTTATTTTCTTCTTGCAAGGAAGGATAAAACTTGAGGACTGTTTGTAAAAATGAATACAATTTGGTCTCTGTCATGGAGGAACTGAGTCTAGGGGGGTGGACCCTCATAGATATGGATAACTGGAGAACAAAAGTTTAAATAATAAACTTGAGAAAGGCATAGACACATGAGTGGAGGCTTGAGTCAGCAGAGGAAATCCGGGAACGTTGCAGAGAGGAAGTGGCACTGGGGCTAAGCCTTGAAGGAGACAGTGATCTCTACAGATGGGAGGGGGTGGAGTGGGGCTGGCATCCCGGAGGAGTGGCAGTGAGAGTCCATGCACCAGAGCAGATGGCATGCTCCACTCACAATGACTGGGTGCCTGGAACGTGGGGGCTGCGGTCGTTCAAGGGGCAGGGGTGGGGTGGTCATGGGGGAGTTGAGGCTGAACAGATGGGTTGGGGACACGTGGACTTTCTCTGAATGCAGATTTGTTCTGAATGTTATCACCATAGGAGGATTTGTGACAGGGAGTGCCATGATCAAATTTCTGATTTTTGAATGTTGTTTGTAATAGCAGGTTTGGGATGGTTTGAAGGAGTAGTAGACAAAAGGCTGAAAACCCTGTCGGAGAGCAGTAGTCCAGGAGAGATGAAACTGAGTGATAGAATGGAAAAGAAAGGTTTTGAGAGGTGTGTTGGGGAAGGGAGGTTGGAGAAATAACTTTCTGATTGCCAAACATGTGTTCAGACATTCTGCTCATCCTTTATCTAATTTAATTTTCACCAAAATCCATTTTTCATATGCAGTAACTGAGGCTTTGAGATGTTTAAAAACCTCCTAGCTAGAAGTGAATAGGATTGAGATTCAGAGCCAAGCATGTTTGGCTACAAACTGTCTATGATTTCCCATGAAACCTTGCCTTACCCACTGAAAATAACTCCAGGCGGGAGGATTGCTGGAACCCAGGAGTTCGAGACTGCAGTGAGCTATGATGGTGCCACTGTATTCCAGTCTGGGTGGCAGAGTGAGACCCTGTCTCTAAAAACAAAGACAGAAAGAAAGAAAAAAAAGAAAATAGCTACAGATTTCTTACTTGTGAGACTGGGTGGATGCTTGTGTCAGTAACAAAATTAAGAACTCAGTATTTTGCTTAAGGCTTTTAAAAAAGTTTTGCTCCTGAGTTGTTTGTGTGCACGTGTGTGTGTGTGTGTGTGTGTGTGTGTGTGATATACTTCCAATGTGAACAGAGTTTTATGAACACTTAAAAGTTTTTAGCTAGTGTCTATCAATTCTATCAACAGGAATGTAACAGATCAAAAAGTACTGTAAAACATACAATTCATGTCAATTTTACTGTCCTTATTTTTTTGTGCATAAATTATTCTTGGCCTCATAACTGATTTTATTGCACATTACAATCTTGTAAACAAAGAGCCTATTGTACCACATCTGGAACAGACCGAGACATCAAGGGAGGGCTGGGAAGCAATGGGGAGGAAAAGTAAAAATGAGTCAGAGAAACAATGTAGCAGTTCATGTGGGAACTTCCTCTGAATAGAGGGTATCCCTCCCCCACCTCAAAATAAGTCACCTTTCTCATTTTAAGAGCAAAAAGGCAAGAGAGACAGCAACCTATGTCTCTTAAGTTCTATTTCTGTCTAAACCCTGGAGGCCAGGGTGTGGGTGGCTCCAGGGCTCTGCTTTTGGGTCCCCAGGTGAATAGCCCGATGCAGACCAGTAGCCACATGGCCTTTGTGCCCAGGACTCATGGGCAGCGTGAATCTCACTTGAAAATTCAATCCTTGGTGCAGAGCACCATGAGATATTGAAAATAATGGTGTTTGGCATTGGTACTGCGTCCAGTTGGTTTCATTTTCACAGGCTTTCAGAGCCCCTGAGAAGTCCTGGTGATGATACGGGAAGGATAAGAAAGGGGGAATCTGGCTTCTCCCTTTGGTTGGTGAGGCTCTGTGTTTACAACACAGCCTGGCGTATACGAGGTGCTCAATAAATATTTACTAAATGCATGATTGCTTGAATGCCATGTGCCAGCTTCTGTTAAGTGCTTGCCAGCTGATATTTCACTTAATCTTCATAAAAAATGATGAAACCTAGTTCCCCATTACACAGATGAAGAAAACAAGGTCTAGAGAAATAATTTGCCCAAGGACGTGCGCATTGTATGTAATAGAGCTCGGATTCAAAAAACCTTTGCCCTTTTGAGCATACTGCGAATATTTTGAGTGAACTACAAATGTTCTTTATCACAATATTGTTTGGGTATAAATAAACACACTTCACATATGCAAAATAGAAGTTCTCCCAGTTTTTGAAAATGTGAGAACTCTTAAGAACTCCCTGGACCGAGCACATAATTAATAGGTGTTCAGTAAATGTTGAATAAATGAACGATAGCTTATTCTCTCTATTCTAATACTTCGTAGTGGAGAAAAACGTGGAGGACTTGAAGGCTTTTAGCTTTTAATAAAAATGCTCTTTTCAAGACAGGTTTCTTAATACAGGCAGGTTGACAAAAATGCCAAGCCAGTCAGTGATAGCTGGTTCATGCCCTCTATCCTATGCCAGTTTGGAAATATTTGGTGGAAACACAGTATTGGAAATATTGTGGTAACTTTTCCCATCTGGTTAAAAGTCTTCACTTCCCTCTTGTCACCACGAAGGAACGTGAGCTTGGAGATGAGGTTGTGAAATTTCCAGTTTTGCAGGTATGGTCAGATAAGTGGCCAAACTTTAGCTTCTTTCCCATCATTCTGTCCACTTAACTCTTTGGTATTATTTATAAAATTAACCTTTTTTTTTTTCTGGCCACTCTTCACCCCGTCTTCCTTCAGTACATTCCTTCTTCAGTATCCGGTTTCAGGAAGATTTTCCCTTTAATACTTCCCAACTTTTTTTTAAATCCCATTTCAAAGCCCCATCTTTTTGAAAAATAACCAGGTAGCTCTCATCCTTCCCTTCTTTGGATTTACTTTGGTTGTACTTGCTGACCCACTACGGAAATGACCATGGGACTGTAACAACTCGAACAAAACCTCGGCTTCGTCTTCTCCTTCTAAGCAGCTCCTGTACACTGAAGGAGCTGAGATGAGGTGGTGAAAGGTGGAGGGAGAGAGGAAAGGAGAGAGAGACTGAGGAGAGTGGGTTATCAAGACCAAAAGAAGATTATCATTTCCCAAGTGGAACCTGCCTTGAAATAGACTCATCTCTTATGCTCTTGCCCTGAATTGAAATCTTAGTCCGTTTGTGTTTTGCATGGATGGGGAGGTGTGGGACATTCTATATTTGGTAGTTTTCTGGCAGATAGTGTTTCCTGTTTCACTGTGTTTTAAAATAAAACTAAATATACAAATGTATTCTCCAGGGTATTGGGCTGTTTTAGGCTGTGCACTCTTGGTGGGCAAGGCCTGTGCCGTGGCTACTTAATAGTTCCATGCTGGATGAAGTTAAGCAATGGCTCATTTGTCAGGTATCTCAGCAGCAAAATTTCCAGATAAATGCAATCTACTTCAGTAAATGCTAAAACTCCTTAAAAAAAATCACCTTGATAGAAATCATCTTAAAATATTCTCTCAACTTCCTTTTCTCTGCAGGTAGAAAATATTGCACAGAATGTAACTCTCTCGGTATCTTGCTCATCATCGTGAGGGTAAATATTGTACCTTTGTGTGATGGTGTCATTAGGGTTTGTTAATATGTGTGGAACTCATTGTCCCTCAACATGAGCCATCCCAAGACTACTATGTACTTTGTGTTCTTTTAAGGTTTGTCAGGGTTCTCTTCTGCACTGCTCCCACGTGTCAGTCCCCAGCAGCCTCTTGCCACCTCGCCTCTTCTCATATTTTACATCAAATAACTTGCTGTGACTGAGGAATGAGATCGCATAGATTATCAAGGTGAATGTTAAGCAAGAATAAATAGGCCCTGAATGCAGACTAGATGACCCCTTCCACAAGTTACCTCTTTAACTTGTGTGTGGACAAGCATGTGAACTTTCGGATACGTATTTCAGCTTCTCAGAAGTGTGTCTGACTGAGGGTCCATGCTGTATTCTGGTTAGTTAAGGTTTCAAGATAAATGAGCTGTCATTCTGTGACTCATCGAGAACTGTTTTAAGCAGCTACACAGCCTTGGAGAATAAAGGATGTCTAATCATCTCCAGTTTCCTGTCCTGGTTGACGTCATTGTCACCGTCATCATCTTCAACTCCATCAAGTTATTAAGTACCCCAAAGTGCGTAAGTTGCTAGACAAAATATGTTCCATAGACACAACCGTTGGTGTCTAGGAGTCTGCCTTCTTTAAATAGGTAGCACCAGAATGGGTCTAAGGCATACTTAGGTATTGATTGCCCTGTGGTAGGTAATAGAGAGCATCAGCTAGTAATCTGAAAGTACAAATGCAATATCCCAATTGCTGAGAACCTGCTGTGTGTAACAGGAGCCCACAGTGTGTAACTGGGTGCTGAGACTACACAGGGAAATATTACCCAGTCCCTGCCCTTTAGGAGCTTGATCCAATGACAGAAATGTGTATGAAGCACTTAGCCCAGTCTGGAGGTGGGGAGTCCGTGAACAAAGTCAGAGTTATTAGCTGGGTGAAGGGGAGGAGGGGCCTTTCTCTGGAGAGGGTGGAGCCTGAACAGGAAGCAGGAAGCTTCCTGTGGCGGGGTAGGAACCAGTGCAGGTCCCTGCTGCAAGGATTGAGTGGGTGACAGTGGAGAGGAACATGGGTTCTCAGATGTTATTGGGGGGCTCGGAGGGTAGGGCAGAGGGACACAGGGCAATGGAGTTAGAATTCTGTGTTAGGCGGCCCCTGGAAAGAAGAGGGGGCAAGAAGGGCAGTGAGGAGGATGGATTTGGGCTTGAACTAGGGCTGTGGTCTTATCTCTAGATTCTGGGGGCTGGATTTGAGAAATGTGTGTGAAATAAAATTTAGAAAGCTTGCAGAGGATGTAGGAGATGAGGAGAGGGGACAGTTAAGCCTGACCCTCAGCCTGGAGCGCAGGGTGTTGTTGCCAATTGGGGGTCAAGTGGGAGAGAAAGATGAAGGATTCAGGTTTGGATATGCAGATTTGACCGTCTGTGGAGATGCTCCAGAAGCAGTGGGGGGTCCAGACGAGGCTCAGTGTGATCTCCAACATGGACAGTGGTGGGCCTACTGATTTGCTCTGTGAAAGTTGGGGAGAGCAGCTGGGATTTCTGGGAATAGATTAGGCAGGAAGGAGAGGTTCTTCCTATTCAGGCAAATTGAATCTGAAAAAAGAGAGCAAAGAAAGATGTGTGGCACCCCAAGGGCAGGTACTCTGTGACGTCCTTTGAGAAGGAGGCGGGGCTCCTGCCTGAGGCAGGGTCAGGGCAGCCCCAAGGCTGTGGGTGGCTGCAGCCTGGCTGCGGAGAGGCACCTCTGCTGCAGTCAGGGGCTTGGATCCGTCCTGCTGATTGGCCTGGGTTTTGCTCTTGGCACTCAGTGGCAAGCGTCCAGACCTCCACTGGGCTGCCACGCACAGCTAGAAGGGTGGGAGAAGAGGAACTGGTCTTTCCATACAGCGTCTTCTGGCTTTGAGACAAAAGAAAAAGAACAGCTTATTGCACACTTCATGACACAGAGAGACAGCTATTGATCAGCTGAGAAACATTACAGACAGACAGACAGGAAAGGAGGAAGGAAGCGGGAAGATGATCAAATAGTTTGTTCAGCTTGAAGCCGCATTTTTACAAACACAAAGAGCCCAGAAGAAGAGAAAGTTACTTTTGTGTGGGTCCTTAATTAGGAAGTTCACGTTGGCCACCGGCTATCTTAGGAACTACTCTCCATTGTTTGAAGTGCTCTGTCTTCATCAGAGATGGGTCAGGGTGATGACTTAAATGAGCGAGAAAGGAGTAAATTGGTTCCAAGTTTAAGGTTTTCTTAATTAGAAGGCCTGAGAGAAGATGAGTGAGGACAAATCCGAGTTTCCCTGTGTGTGGCTGGCCATGGTTGGCGGTCGCAGCATCACAGCGTTGGCCGGCTGCTGCTTAGCTTTATTTTACTTGTGATTTTTCTTTGTTATGCACCGAACAGATTCCCCTCTCTGGTATTCAGTGGGGAGCATATAGCCGGAGGATAGCAATTAGCTATAGCTAGGCCTGCTCCTCTTTGCACAGCTCAAGATGACGTGTACAATTACTTTGGCACCTCACCAGCTCTTTCAGACCTTTTCCATGCATGATGGGAAGACAGGTCCATTCTCTGAGAGTCCCTCACTCCCTCCCCCTCCCAAATTCCCCCTTACCTGGATGAAATCCTGATGTAAATGGACCTTGCCTGCAAATAGAACTGAAGGGACCTGTTACGTCATCAGGCCTGGCAGAGCTCATTGGCAGAGAAGTTAAGAGTTTTATTTTAGACCCAGAGACCAGGCTGTGCAGATCCAGCTAGAACAGGTCTCTTCTGGCTCAGCCTCAGCTGCTGGCCCTCCTGCTGTGGTTACTGGGGCTCCAAAGGATGGAATGTCAGGGGGATCATGCTGCACAGTGAGCAGGACAACCTGACGGCCAGACCGAATGCACTCCAAAGGAAATCTCAGGCTAGGGTAATACAGCCAAGGTGCTGCCTCTACAATCATGGGAGGTTTCAACCTTCTGGGAGAAAAGCCCTAATGCAGCACATGATGGTATAGATTTGATCCAGGAAGGCAGAGTAAACAAACTATTTAAAGACATGAGTCTTGGCTGGGCACGGTGGCTCACGCCTGTAATCCCAGCACTTTGGGCGGCCGAGACGGGCGGATCACGAGATCAGGAGATCGAGACCATCCTGGCTAACACGGTGAAACCCCATCTCTACTAAAAATAAAAAAAAAATTAAAAAAAATTAGCAGGGCGTGGTGGCGGGTGCCTGTAGTCCCAGCTACTTGGGAGGCTGAGGCAGGAGAATGGCATGAACCCGGAAGGCAGAGATTGCAGTGAGCCGAGATAGTGCCACTGCACTCCAGCCTGGGCGACAGAGCGAGACTCTGTCTCAAAAAAAAAAAAAAAAAACAAACAAACATGAGTCTTAGCTTTTGTGGTTAGGATCCACTGAGCAACCAGAAAGGATATCTTTGCAGAACTGAAAAATCTGGACACATGGTCTGGCAAGCTTTTTTTCTGATTTAGTTATAAAAAGTCACATCTGGTTGTGCCTTGAAGAAATTTTTTTAAAAATGAAATTGTGTTACCAAGTATAGAATGTATCACCAGTCTATAATATGGCAATAGAATGCAAATATAATTTTTAGATATTTCAACTCAGGACCGCCTAAGAAAATTCATATGTTCCTCACACTTTGGGGCCAAGTTATAGATGGGTGAACAACATCGTGCCTGGAAATCTGCTCGCATAAAAGAGCAGCGAGACCTATAAAGTTTTCCTGTCTTCACATTTGTAGGCTAGCCCTGGGTGGATTTCACAATAATACAGTGCAGGAATCCTTGCCACTTCCTCTACTTGTCTCTTGTCTGCTGTCACACTAAGCTGCTAAAGTTTCTGTTGCTTTAATATCACCATCCTTATTATTGACTTGGTACTTAGGGCTCAAATTTTTCTTTTTGGTTGCCTCAGTGTACAGCCAGGCACAGCACAAAACTGGAGTGTGGTCAGGTAGTTTTGGGTCCCTTCTGGAGCTGTTTTGGGAGCCTCTGCGATAGGAGAATACCTTCCAAGCTCCCACAGAGCAGCAGGGAATGAGGTGTGGGCTCCACCCGCCTCTGGAAGCCAGTCGGCTCTCCTCCCGGTGTTTTCTGTTCTGCTGTCGACTGGGCCTGGCCCCTGATGGCACACATTGAAACGCAAATGACAGCAGTAATTGGCTGAGAGATAAACCACGATGAGTGAGTGAGCAGTGCGGCGGGGAGTTAAGTGGCTAAGTGACAATTACTGCTCTGCAGCCTCCGGGATCAGGAGCGGCCGCGCCGTTTGTTCTCGGTTTTAAAGGAGCAATAGCACATTAATTGGAGGAGGGCTTCTCGGTTAACATGCCTCACCCGGCTTCTCATCTGATGCTGCTTTGAGGAGTAGGAGTAGGTGAAGGATTGCCTTGTTGATGATCTTCCCCCAGTCCCACTCCCCCTTTTGGATTAGAATTTTGGAAACCGGTGTCCTTGATTCTGGTAGAATGATAGTTGGTTTACCTTGAAGATTTTCTGAAAGTTTCCTTGCAGGAGGAAGGCACCTGTTGATGCTCAGTCGCAAGGTTTCGGTGTCTGCATCGGGGAAAAGCAAGGAGTTAAATTAAGTCTGAGTTCCCATCTTTCCCTCCAGACAGTTCATTAACCCTCTGATATTATATATATATACGTATATATATATATACGTATATATATATATACGTATATATATACGTATATATATATAAAGTTTTTATCTCAAAAATGATCTATAAGCTAGATAGAGCAATGGACAACAGAGATGATACCCCACTGCTTTTTGGAGTGTATAGTCTCGTTTGAAGATAGGAAATAAATAGATAGGAAATAAATAAAACTATGGCCTGCTGTTTTACCTGCTCAGAGTGGGGATCCTTAGTAAGGAGAATCCTGGGGTCCTTGGAGAGAAGAAGGTTGCAGTCCTCGAAGAGAGGAAGGTTGCTAGCCTGGGTCTGCCCTGCTTTCTTCGAAAGGCCATTTGAACCCTGTTCTGGGCATAAACAGCCATTAAGATGATTAGTTTGGGCTTGATAAGTAGACTAAACAAACCCTTGAACTAGTTGGGAGCCCTTTCTCTCCTGTAATCTGCCTTTCTACTGCATTCAAACTAATTTCTCAGGGTCTGAATACCTTACAAGTACTATCTAATGGGTGTATTGTTTTTGTTTATGTGGTTTCCTTCAGCCTCAGCAGCTTGGTCCTTGGTCCTGTTTTTTTTTTTTGTTTTGTTTTTGTTTTGTTGTTTTGTTTTGTTTTACACTAATCATTCCCTCTAGTTGAAAGGGTTCTAACCAGCCTCTTGCCTTGTGCAAGGAATTAGTCATTTCAGGAACAGGAACTTGTCTGCTTTGGGACAGATTTCTACCCAGAGGCTTAAACCTACATAAAATAGTGAAAATGATTTAAAGAAAAGGTAGACCCTAACTGGTGGCAGGTAGGAGAAGCTCAGCCCCTCTCTTGGCTTATCTTGGAAGGCTTTAGGAAAAAAATCTTGCCTGTCAGCTAAAGCCAGCTTTGCTGCGAGCAAGGAGAATGGAATAGGAAAAAGCAGTTGTACCTGATTGTGTAAAATAGTGTATGTAGGGCTTTTTGCTATGCAGACTTCATGAAATTACCAGGCAGAGATGGAGATGCTGGCTTTTCCTAATTAGAAAAAGCCCTCTGTCCAATTTCTTTCTCTGTCTTTTTGTTGTTTGTTGTTGTTGTTTTGGTTTTGGTTTTGAGACAGAATCTCGCTCTGTTGCCCAGGTTGGAGTGCAGTGGCGCAACCTTGGCTTACTGCAACCTCCGCCTCCTGGATTCAAGTGATTCTCCTGCCTCAGCCTTCCAAGTAGCCGAAATTACACGCACTTGCCACCATGCCTGGCTAATTTTTGTATTTAAGTAGAGACGGTGTTTCACCATGTTTGCCAGGCTGGTCTCAAACTTGCAACCTTAAGTTATCTGCCAGCGTCAGCCTCCCAAAGTGCTGGGATTATAGGCCTGAGCCACCATGCCTGGCCTGTCCAATTTCTGAAGAAAGCCTAGATAAGAATTTGTGGAAGCATGTAGTAGTAGCCACAGACTCTCCACGAAGATGAATAAGTTATTCTTTCAATGAAGCTTTTCTAGGCAGCTTTAGCTTTGTGGTAAGAGTTAGACTGTCTAGGTTTGCATTCTGACTCCGCCACCCACGGGCCAGTTGACCTTGAGAACATTGTTTGATCTTCTCAACTGTCAAATGAGATAGCAGTATAACCCAGTACAGGATTGTTCTGAGAACTAAATGAGCTACTGTAGCACTTCAGCTGTAGGTAAGCACTTAGAACAGTGCCTGGAACTTACTAAGTGCTGATTAAATGTTAGCTGTTGCTATTATTGCTGTGTTGTTATTGTCATTCCTGTTGTGTGCCTCATATCTTTAGTTTGAATCACAAAGATAACAACAACATTCTAACATTCCATGAAGGCCACACAGGTCCTGGGCAGCCCTAGAATCATTTCCGCTAGAGTTCATTTCGCTGTTTCATTGTTGGATATTCCACACTGGAAAACAGAGCTACACAGAAGCACTCTGTAGAATGTCCATTGAAAGATTAACACCACCACCACCGTAAAAACACACCGCAAATTATTTGGGTGTAAACCTGTTCATCAGTCTTAAAATGGCGACAGTAAATCCAGAAGTTTGGTGTTAATTTCTTGGGGGATATTGTCCAGCTATTATGTCATCAAAGATGCATTGGATTTGGAAAAATAAATTTTCTAATACCTTAAATCATTTTAATTCACATCCAGTAAAATGTACTCTTTTTGGTGTACCTTTCTGTGAATTTTGGCAAATGCCTGGATTAACCGCTACCACATAGGGTAGGGTGCGGTGGCTCATGTCTGGAATCCCAGCACTTTGGGAGGCCAAGGCAGCAGGATGGCTTGAGGCCAGGAGTTCAAGACCACTGCCACAATCAAGATGTGGAACAGTTCTCTTACCCCACCCTCAAAGAACATTTCCTCGTGCTACCCCTTTGTAGTCAAACAATCCCCTGTACCTCCAATCCCCAGTAACCACTGATCTGCTCTCCATCCCTATGGTTCTGTTTTTTCTGGAATGTCATGTGAATATCATCATAGAATAGGTAGCCTTTCGAATCTGGCTTCTTCACTTAGCATTGTGCATTTGAGATTCATTCATGCTGTTATATATATCAGTAAAAAGCTTATTTTAAATACTCATAAATCATTGAATTCTGGAGCTAGATGAAATCTGAAAGATCAGAGCCAAACATTCTCATTTCCCAGGTGAAGAAACAGAGACATCCTAGGGTGAAGTGACTTGCCCAAGGTCATGAAACTAATGAAAGAAAGAACATGAACTTGGAATTCCAACTATGAGTTTAGACAGTGTCTGTTACATCATGCTGGGATTAAGGAGAATGTGTAACTGATTGTCAAGGGGGGGTTTCCATTCTTTTTCTTATTATTATTGGTCAAAATCTGATCAAGCAAACTAAGCCTTGCCTTACTTATAATAACAATTTTGGAAGGATTATATTTTTAGGACATGCAATTTCTTTAGAAAGTATATGGATTAGTGTCTTGGTAACACATTTCTTCCTGAGGCACATCCATATCTTTGCTGGTGTCAGTCATAGGTATGATATGATAATAGAGCTTCACCTGAAGGCCTGTCATTTATTTTGTGTTTACAATAATTTCTTTTCAAAAACAAATTTGTGGGAGTATTTTGAGTATTAGTATCTTCCTTGTCATTGATGTTTTAAATACCAATATGTTTCTAGGTGGCTTATTCTAGAGCACTCAACCAGTGGATTCAATAAAGAGCAATTGGTTCCGTAGTTCATTTGTTCAATGATGATTTGTAGAAATTCCACACTGAAAGCACCGAACTGTGGGAGATACAATTAAGATACTGATTTTACTCAGCTTACATCTGATGACTGGGTATTGTGAAATAGTACACAGAAAACTCTAAATTAGTTCTTTTGAGTACTCTTAGAGTCTTGCTAAGCACTATGATAAGCACACTCACATTCCTTAAGAAGCTTTTAAATACCAAAGGAGATACCAGTGAAGAGCTCCTGGCAATGCGTTTTCTTGGTGAGAGCCAGTTGGGATATGGTTTGTCAGTGCATAAAGCACCTCAGAATTTTGTACACTGCAGAAACAAGGTCAGAGCTGTACTATAGGAAGTTCCTCTGTTAGTACCACGTAGAATAGGACAAAGACTAGAAGCTGGAACATGAGTTTGCTAGTCTGGGCAGAAATGAGGAAGGCCCAAACCGTGGAGCAGTGGGAATGGAAAGGAAGAGGTGTTTTGGACATAGAGATAACTGTTGAGATAAGAAGGAGAATCATTCAAAGGATAAGACTACATCTTGATGACTTTTTGGACAGCCCTGTCATGATGGAGAAATTGGGGTTTGTCTGAAAGAAGGGGATAGGGGAGAGAGGAGGGAAAGGGTTCTCCCTCTTAGACCAGGTAAATTTTCCTTCCTCCCTTCCTTTCTTCCTTACTTTTCTTTCTTTCCCTCCCTCCCGTCCTCCCTCCCTTCCTCCCTCCCATCACACTTTTTTGCCCAGGCTGGAGTGCAGTGGTGAGATCGTAGCTCACCATAACCTCGAACTCCTGGGCTCAAATGATCCTCCCTGTGTAGCTGGGACTACAGGTGTGCACCGCTATGCCCGGCTAATTTTTTAAATTTTTTTTGGAGTTGAGGTCTTGCGATGTCGCCCAAGCTGATCTCGAGCTCCTGGTCTCAAACAATCCTCCTGCCTCAGCTTGGCCAATTTTGTTTTCATGTGCTTATGTGTGAACCTGTTAACAAGTATTTATGCTTGATTGTTACTCATTTTCAGAAGGCTAAATATAATCTCATTTTCCTGAAGTAGAGAATTCTGTTTTTCATCGTAAAGAGTTGGTTGTATAGTTATGATTAAACAATTATTTTTGGCCCCTTCCTCCACCTATGACATGATTCAGTGCTTAAAAAGAGGCAGTGTGAGTAGTGAAGGAGACCCAGGATGAAATATAGATGATAAATTATCACCCTGAAAAGTACACACCCTCATTAGGAGCTGAAAGAACATATATTAAGACAACTTTAAAGTGAAGTTATATGCCTAAGACACTTTAAAAAAATAAATGTGAGTTTTAAACCCAGCGTTGATTAAAATGTGGAAAAACATCTTCACTTACACTTTGGTGATGTTTCTGTAAATGGGTACAATATATCCAGGAAAGAATTTCACAATAATTAAAAAGAGGTAAAACTTTATTGTTCGTAGCGTAGAAACCACAGGAAATTCCAAATCATTGTGAAGAATAAAGTTTCTCATGGTAGCATTATTTCCAGTGAAACTGAAACAGTGCAAATTCCCAAATAACAGAATGTCAAGGCAAATATTGCTTCGTAAGACAAAAATGTCTTTAGAATGGGATGCTATGGCAGGGATGAGTATATGAAGTCATATTCATTGAGAGGATATATAAGATAGCATGGACCCTCTGATTACTAGTAAAAGAGAACATCACTAGTAAAAGAGTCACACAAAAAATAGAAAATTTCAATTCTGAGTAAGGATTGGTAGGAGAATGTTTTGTATTTTCTTTTTTGAGATGGAGTCTTACTCTTGCCCAAGCTGGAATGCAATGGCACGATCTCAGCTCACTGCAACCTCCACCTCCCAGGTTCAAGCGATCCTCCTGCCTCAGCCGCCCTAGTATCTGGGGTTACAGGCACGCACCACTATGCCCGGCTAAGTTTTGTATTTTTAGTAGAGACGGGGTTTCGCCATGTTGGCCATGCCGGTCTCGAACTCCTGATCTCAGGTGATCCACCCACCTCACCCTCCCAAAGTGCTGGGATTACAGGCGTGAGCCACCGTGCCCGGCCTATTTTCATTCTTTTTTCAAAGTGAGCAATAGGGACATAGCTTAAAAGAAAGAAAATTTCTTTTTAAAATCTCTCTTTTTTTTCTCTACTCCTACGACAGGTTAGAAACAAAGAAAATTTCTAGTGAAATGGTTTAATGTTCATGGTCCCCTTCCCCTCTTCTCTCGTTCACCCCACCCCACCTTTAAGTGGTTCAGTTTACATTTAGGTTTACTCTATATTATGAGAGAGAGTAGGAGGATGAATTCACCATATTCGTGAGGGTCTGAACACTGGTACTTTAGTTCTGATTCTGCCATACCTGTAAGATCTTGAGCTGATCGCAAAATAATTGATATTTTAAATGCCTTTTTTTTTCCCTTAAAGAATGATTGAAATTTCTTCATCCTCTCTGTTCTCACATTGATACTGAGAAGATCGTTGGAATAAAGCATGTAAAACCACTTGAAGCATTTGGACGACGAGACAGTGTATTGTTTAACTCTATTGTGGGACAAAAGAAAATGAAAGAAATGGATACTGGAGATGACCTGTTTGAGTCCAAGCATGTGTGCTTATCAAAGTGAGATTCAAGGAAGAGAAGTTTCAGGGGACGCTGATGGGGCAGGGTCTTACCCAGACACATTTGTGAGGTAGCGCCTATGTGCGGATGGTGGAGGGTCAGATCAGCTATTCCCGCCTTAGAGCAACTTTGGACACATCACTGAAGCTTTTAATGTTTTATGTATATGTACAGAGAGATCCTCTTAAATTGGAAAACAAACATTTGAGGAGGGCCTGTAAGAGCCATTTCTTAGATTAGAAAAGACTTGTGCTGAATCCAAGAAAAGAAAACATCACGGTGAAATGGAAAGTTTACATGAGTTTTAGTTAGAGCCAAAATTTTCTTCACTAAAGTAAATTTAGACCAGTAGTAGTTAAAGGGGAAAGCATAAATTTTCCACTGGCAAAAATGATAGAGGCCAAGAAGAAATCTGTAGGACAAATGGCCACAGATATAAAATAATTAAAAAACGACGGTTTTCAGTGCAACTGGAGCTACGGTCTCTGAGAAAATTTGACTAATGAAGGCAGCAGCTACACCCAATAGGTAGGATTTTGGGTGTCTTATTCTTTATTTTGAAACTGTATTTATTATACATGAACATTGAAAGGTACCCGTGGGTTAAGCATGCTCTTGTGTGAGAGACAAGAAAAGCAATCGGAAGTATTTTCAGAATTCTTTTCATGCCCATGTGTTTGCCCGTTTTGGCCAAGCAGCTCTGGAAACAGCTGCCCTGACCCTTCTAAGAGGTTTGCATAAGGGCGCAGAGAATGGAGTTCGTAGCGAGTGGGAGGAACCAGTGCAGGTATCTATCATTTGTTTTCCTTTTCCTGAGTCAAATGGGGGCAAAGTAGAGAACCTTTTAGCTTCTGTACATGTGCACAGTGTGATTCAGGTAACCAGGGGTGGGGAATGGAGTAATTCCCTCCTCGGGTTTTATGAGGGTGCCCTGGGGCCTGCGCTCTGTCCCCTGGGAAACAGATCCAAACTAGGGTGTCCTTTGAAGTTACTGGCTGCTCCACTTAGACCAGCTCTATGACTGCAAAGCAAGATGAGTAACTGGTCGCAAATGTTTAACTACCCATTACCCGTTTGTTAAGAGCTTGGGAAGAAATACGCAAGGAAAACACAAAAACAGATGAGACAACAGGCATTTAGACCTTATTTGTTTCTTCGTGCTGTGGCTGGTATGTAAACAAACCCTTGATTTTGTGAACTCTGTTCACATCCTGCTAACAGCTTCACTGTGGTCTGGGGGCAGATACTGGGATGCCAGAAGCATCAGAGGGGATATTCAGGGGAGCATTTCCAAATTATCACCAAATGATAGCAACAGCAGCCACAACAAGGACTATAACCCAATGTAAACCGTTATAGCTATCCTCCCCTGCCGCCCCCCGATGTTTTTAAGGTTACATTGGACTAGGGTGATGCATTGTAGGGGAAAAAAAGGTAGTATTTTAAATACTAGACCTTTGTATTTTTCCCATCGTTTGACAAAACCTTGAACACAATGTGTTCAAGTCATTTGTTAGTCCTCAAAGTAGGTTAAAGGATTCTCTTTCTTTGGAAAAGTAAGTTTTGTTTCTGGGGCCCAAAAATAGTTGCTAAAATTTTTTCCATTTTGTTTGTTTTGTTTATGAGTCGTTTCATTTTGGAGGTCAGGAAATAAATGCTGGCGTTAGGTCGTGCTTCATAGTAACGAGGTGAAAAGTGGAATATTAGGAATAAAGTGGTGGGAAAGGAGGTAATGGGGAAATCTGAGACATAAATACTCAGATACAGGAAGTTGAAGAATTTAGGAATAAATAAACCTTCAAATGGCTGATCTAGTAGTGAAAATGTATAAAGAAATACACAGCATTACTGTTGTCTTTGAGGAGCCTGCCTGATATTTAGGGTGGCAGTGTGCCAGGTTTCATACCTTCATTCCCTGTGTATACGTGCACATTAGGTTGTGCACGTGGCAACAAACCATCAAAAATAGTTGAGAAGAGTTTTGTAAACAAATAAAATATTTAAGTGATTGTAACAAGACAAGTAGGCCTGGCTGTAAAGTTGTGTCTGCCACTAAAGGGTAAATCCCTGAGTAGTCATCGGCCCTTTGCTTGTCTAGTAATTTAGATTTTCAGAAAGCGTTTGATAAAGTTTCTCTCACGTGCATATTATCAGATAATAGTAATCATTCATTCATGCATTCATCCAATAAATACTTACTGAGTGCTAAGTGATGGTGACATATTATAGATTTCAGATTTCTAGAAATAACCAGAACTGGGGAGATGGGGTTGGCCATTCTCTGCTGGCAGGAGGGTGAGTTCCATTATTCTCTCTCTCTCTCTCTCTCTCTCTCTCTCTCTCTCTCTGTGTGTGTGTGTGTGTGTGTGTGTGTGTGTGTGTGCGCGCGTGTGTGTTTCAATCTAGGGTGTTTCTTTTGCCGTTGGGCTTTTCTGTAGCCTACAGGAGTCAGTGTGTTGGGGCGAACTTAAGGCCTGGAGGAGGAGTGGAGTGGGCCAAATGCTTGTAAACTGCCTGGGAGAGAGGTAGAGAATGGCAAGTGGATCTAAAACAAAATAAAATACCCAGACCCTGCTGTTGGCAAAACATCAATTGGCCTAGTTAATACAGGGGAAACTTAGGGGAACCTTCTGGTTAGACTGAGAGGTAAAACTAAAGAATAACTGGAGTTGCCAGAAAAGTGGATGGTAGCATGATGTCATAAATTTGACAGGCAGACCTGCATGTTAGGAAAAGCACACGGTTCAGGAAAGGCTCAAGTGTCAGGTCTGAGAAGCCCAAATAGCATTTATGTGCAAACAAGGAACATATCCATCTGTATTCCTTCCTGTTTTTCTGACTACTTAAGATTCCATATTAGATGCTCCTGACCTCCCTAAATCTGGCCCAGGGCAAGAAGGGTGACTGTGCATTGGAATGGCATGCATGGGAGTGCTCATTTATTCAGAAATCATTTGCAGAGCAGCAACCATGTATTAGTTATATGTGTAAAAGTAGTGGGCATTTTCTTCCAGCACCTAAGAGGAGTGGGCAATGTGGGGAAAGATAGGGGAAATGTTTTACAGATGCCACAAAGATGAAGCTTCTTTCAGAAGGTGAGCTGTAATGTAGTGGAAAGAGACAGACAAGACCTGAGCTTTATTTGCGGTTCTTTACTTACTAGCTAGGTTCTGAGCCTTCGATTCTTTTCCATAAAATGGAGATAATAATTTCTATCCTTTTCCCTCCTAGATTTGTTGTAAACATGAAACTATTCATAGAAAGAATACAGAGTAAACTGTTAAGCACTATATACATGTTTGTATAATCAGACGATTGTTTTCAAAAAGTAGTAATAGCACACCCTGAGCGGTTAGAGTTGCTGATGAACCTTGCCTGTTTTCAGGGATTGCCTCCTTGGTGGAGCATCATGAGTCCAGTTCACTTGTAAATAGAACCTTCCCTGGTTCTTTTTGAATTTAGGGCTACTGGTACGAGCTCAGCCCCGGTGGGACCCAGGAGTTTCACAGTGGTCTCCAACTTCGGGATTTCTGACAAGCTCCTAATACAGTTTATTTAAAAAAAAAAAAAATCCTAGAGTGGTTGAGTTGCCTTCTGGGGAAAGCCTGGTGGGGGTGCGTTGGTGCCTTGGGATGAGCAGGACTTTGTGCCCGCCCCGTGTGAACTTTTACTTCCTGACAGCAATAGAGATGGACTTGCCTGTGAGGTCGGGAGCTGTATGCTGGGGACTGCAAAGGCCATGCCTTGGTATGGGCTAGTGGCCATAGTAACGACACTACTGTGGGCAGAGCTCCATGTTAGGCCCAACAGGCAACCAGGCAGGGAGGAAGGACGCTGGGAAGCAAATACAGGCAAACAGCATCTTCAGATGTGGAGGTGGTCCCAGCCAGTACTGCAGGCCCACCTTCCTCTCAGAGGCAGTCGCTGCTTTGGCCAGTGTGTCTGTGTGGTTTGTTTTAAATTAGACGAGGCCTGAAAAATGAAAGGAAAACGAGAAGAATTTCACTATGAGAACATATGGAGATGACCAGATTCGTCCCACTTGAGCCCCTGGGCAGAATAAACTTGCACTGCTAGTGGTGAACAGCAGTGTGCAATAAAACATTCTTCCCTTGAACCCTTTGACTGTGAAAGAGGCACAAGGGGAGAACGCAGCAGGAATTCTTTCTTTTCAGCTGCTTCCTACTCTGTTGCTTACATTCACTCCGCAGATCTTATTGGTCTGCTACTGTGTGTGAGAGGGAGAAAAGACTGAGTGTGTGTTTTATGGAGGAGACTGATTAGCTTTGGCCCTGTTTTTGTGTCATTGGTGGTGCTATGGATCCTATTTTATGTTTACTGCCCCTTGACATTTCTTAAAAGGAGTCTTCAAAGCAGAAGGTCCTATTCTGAAGATAGGTTTCTGGGCAGTAAAGTTGACAGGGTTTAACATCAGGAAAATAAACCTAATAGAAAAAGAAAGAAGCATAAACAACTCCAGCTACATTCCACAGTGGCCTTTGATGGGAAGAGGCCTTGTTTATGGAGATCTACGGGCAGCCTAGACGGTTCACATCCTCTGGTGTTGTGCAGTGTGAGGTCTGTTTCCTACCCTCCCCATTAGATGACCCCAGCATTTGTAGCAGCGGCTACATATTAAAGCCATTAGATAAAATCATGCCAATGAGACTTCAATGTTTACTCACAGAATTTCTCAAATTGGGGCACTGTTGACTTATTCCTCCCTCATCTATTTCTCCCTTAGCTCAGCCAATCCCAGTGCTCTCTCTTCTTCAGCCAACCAATGCCTGCATATTTAGTGAATTTTGCATTTATGTTATTGAACTTGAAAGCAACTTGCTTAATATAACCAAGGAAGTACCTAAAAAGCTTTATTTCAGTAAGCACGATATTGGTAAATAAGGAGAGTGTTGTCTTATGGTCCTTGGATATACTATTTTTCTTCTCAGTGATAAGACAGTGAGTTAATGAGGATTTTGCTTGTGGAACTTCGGGTGTAGGTTGTAGATGTGTGTTTACATTTTGTGTTCATGTACAAATGTGTATGTATATTTGTTTTTTTTTTAATGTGTTTAATCTCCTGACAAAGACATGTTATTTTCTTTTTTATACCCATACCTCTTATAAACAGAATTCCAGAGGGAAAAATCTAGGCAGAGGAAGCCTAAAATATTTTTAGCAGATAAAAAGTGATGTTGCTATAACCACAGATATTCAAACAGAAAGTAAAGTAGACGTGAGAGAATGCAATGTGGTCTATGCATTGTAACATTTTCCTTCATAGTAAGGCATGGGGGTTAGGGGGAAGAACCCACCTAACAGCTCATATATTTTGTGTTTAATGATGTGTAAATATTTGGCTATATTTAATAATTAAAACTATGGATTCCATTTTTCTATATAGACGCCTGCTCAATTCAGAATTTCTTTTTATATACAAACAAGCAAAAAGATTGAGTGGGATTTTACCTTATGTGGAATAGCACAACAGTATAAAGCCAGGTGTTGGTTTTAGTGGAATCAGTGTTTCAGGCAAAAATAGCCATCATTGCTGCCTTTTTTCATCAGTTTCTATACTAACCAGGCAGGCCTCTGCATTGGGAAAACATAAGTTGGAGTGGAAACCGAACAACGGGAAGTTTTCATATATTTTCTTACCTCCATGTTGAGTGCTTACCAACTGCAATTTTAGAGGGTAGGTTTTTTAGAGGTGCTCTGCAAACTTCCTATGGTGAAAGACCAGTTTCTTCTCCTTCTATTTCCAATCCATTTCTCACTGTTACATTTAGAAAATACAATAAAAATGTACTACTAGAAAAGTGATCATGTGCTCGAATGTTCCTTTAATTACAGATTGCTGTGGGCCTCTCACCATGCACTTTTAAATTTCTGTGCCCTGTGGGTGTGGAACATTACCGTTTAAAGGATGAGAACCAAGTCCAGACACCATGCTTTGAGTAACACCATCTTTGGGCACATTCAGACCCATGAGTAGAGCTCCTGTCTGTGATGGTTAAATGAGTGAAAAAGCCTAAAGAAGAGACATTTCAGCTGTTTGCCTTTTCTGCAGGCATTTCTGTGCTAGCTCCTTCAAGCTCCCTCTTTAGTCTTTGCCTCCCATTCTTTCTATTGTGTACCTTTGGGTTAATTACACATCTTAACTTCCCGTTTCCTGCAGATTAACCTTCACTTCAAAAATGTAAGTGATTACATGCACTTCTTTTTCCCAAAATTAACTGCCATACACTCCGTATTCATCATTCAAGGGAGTATCGTATTTTTTATTAATACATTTGAAATAAATCCAAACACCTGTCTTGCATTTTGTAAACATTTTCTCAACTCCATGTTGAGTGCTTACCAACTGCAATTTTAGAGAGTAAGTTTGTATCTTAGAGTGAATTACACCTTCTATGAGTACATACATTTTACAGGTCAGTCTGAGACATTTACATAACAATTAAGAAAATTAATATATTGCTGACTTCCTCTCTTTGGCTTTGAATGCCTATAAATGGCACTAAATAAGAAGGTCATGGTATTAGTAATGCAGAATTCAGTCTTTGGTCTGGGGTCATTTGGGAAATATTAACTACTTTCTTATATATGGTTAGACCTTGACTAAATGCTTTTTAGTATTCTTAGGATTTTTGGGGGGATGGGAGTTGTTTACTCTTTAGTTTCCCAATGCAAGGAGGAAAAATATAAATATGTAGAACTATGGCCAGGTGTGGTGGCTCACGCCTGTAATCCCAGCACTTTGGGAGGCTGAGGCGGGCAGATCACTTGAGGTTAGGAGTTTGAGACCATCCTGGCCAACGTGGTGAAACTCCATATCTACTAGAAATACAAAAATTAGCAGAGTGTGGTGGTGGGTGCCTGTAATCCCAGCTACTCTCGAGGCTGAGGCAGGAGAATCTCTTGAACCTGGGAGACGGAGGTTGCAGTGAGCCGAGATTGTGCCACTGCACTCCATGCCTGGGCAACTGAGCAAGACTCCATCTAAAAAAATTTTTTTTAAATTAATTAATTAATTAATAGAACTATAATTTGCTTCATGTTTCCTCCTTTCAGAAGGATGTTCATTCACAAATCTAATTTTCCCTAATTTAAAATTCCTTTTTTAAAAAGTCGGTTGACTATCATGGCTGAAGAGGTTACCTTCCTTTCTGGAAACTGAGTCAGAGGTCTCCTTACCAGTGGTGGGCACTGTATAAAAGAAGGCACTGAGCTCTTGATTCCTGCTTTTGCCTTCCTTCTTATCAACTCCAGCATGGGATTCAGAAGGTGGACTTCCCATATCTGTATCAGCAGAGACCTGCGAGGTTTTTCATATACCATTGTAGACATAATTATAATTTAACACCCACCCAGACTTTCTCTCTCTGTCTGCTGCCTCTTTTTCCTCCTGTGACAATGGTCTCTAAGGCCTGGTGGTTGGAAATGACCCCTCTGTTTCCTTTCCTTTCCAGCCCTCATGGTGGGCCCTGGGAGTTTGTGCTGAGCTGGGAGGGTGAGTCCCTTTTCTTGGAGTCCGGCACGGAGAAGTTCCTTTCATCCTGGCAATGGGAGCTGGAGACAAAGCTTAATTTCTTTGACTCTCTAGCTTTCTTTTCATTTTTATGCCTGCCTTGTCAATTCTTGCTCTAGTCCCTCTTTTCCAGGAATCTTTAGCTTTCCATCATTTTACTGTTGTTCTGAAGGCACAGATTGCTCATCAAACCTTCAGGGAGTTCTGGGTCTTCCGCCCAGGCTCCCTCCTCCAGCCCCACCCTCCCCCATCCTGTGGCAAGTGAGATCCCTGAAAGCAGAGAAGCTTGGAGTGGCCTTCTCTGATTACCACAACATCGCTGGTGTCACATTAACAGCCCTGAGCTCTTGTAGCTTTCCTCAAAGCTCTGTGTGGGAGGCATAAAGTGTAATACAAATAGTAATGATTAAAAGAGTCCTATTTTTCTCTAGCATTCTCCCATTTCTAAAGTAAAGCAAGGGTCGTACGGCTCCTGTTTAGTAGCTTGATAAAGTTGGAAATTATTAGTATGGGAGAGGGTGATTTTTTTTCTTAAAACCAAAACATCTGATGCCTTTTCCTTGGTGCTAGAGCTATGGTGCCTTCTTGTCCTTTGCCTATACTTTTTATCCCTGTTGTTTTCAGACCCTGTTACAAGGACAGGGAGTGAAGAAGGGAGGACTTAACTTCTAGGAAAGACTGTTGCGACTGATTCATTTCCAGAAGTGTTTGGGAACAGAAAAACCTGTCTTTATTTATTTATTTATTTATTTATTTTTTTATTTATTTGAGACGGAGTCTTGCTCTGTTGCCAGGTTGGAGTGCATTGGCACGATCTCGGCTCACTGCAACCTCTGCCTCCTGAGTTCAAGCGATTCTCCTGCCTGGGCCTCCCGAGTAGCTGGGACTACAGGTGCCCGCCACTATGCCCAGCTAATTTTTGTATTTTTAGTAGAGACAGGGTTTCACCATGTTGGCTGGGATGGTCTTGAACTCCTGACCTCATGATCCGCCCACCTCGGCCTTCCAAAGTGCTGGGATTACAGGCGTGAGCCACCATACCCGGCCCCTCTCTTTATTTTTAACCCTGCTTTGCTCAGAAAGGGATAGTGGCTACCTTGGTAAATAATACTAGCCTACTTCTATGTTCTCTGTGCAAAGATTTGATATATATTCTGCCTCTCAAACCCCACCGCAACTGTAAGATAGTTACTATCTATCATCAGCCCCACTTTGAGGATAAGTGAACTGAGGCTTGGAGTGGTTTAGTGGTCACAGAACTTTATGATAGTTGGAATTTGAATTCTAATCTGTTTGGCTCGAAAATTCAATGTTGTATTGAGAAGGGGGCAACGTGATGGAAGAAAGCATTGGCCTTCCCAGTGGAGTGATGCTTCAGGGCTGCCTTTGATGCGGGGCTGCAAGATTTTGTTGGGTGAGGAGGGAACAACCCTCTGCTTCCTTTTATGGCAGTACTGATGGGGGAAGTTTTGTATGAATCAGAAACATTGATTTTGTAAGTTATGTTGATAAGATTCCTGCTTAGACATGGAGAGATCAAGAATGATTCTCTATGGCATTTCAGGTTAAAGAACTTGAAAATGTTTGTTGGAGATAGGATTCCTGCTAGGTGCGGTGGCTCATGCTTGTAATCCCAGCACTTTGGGAGGCTGAGGTGGGTGGATCACCTGAGGTCAGGAGTTCAAGACCAGCCTGGCCAACATGGCGAAACCCCAAAAATACAAAAATTAGCCAGGTGTGGTGGCGGGCGCCTGTAATCCCAGCTACTTGGGAGGCTGAGGCAGAGTGAATTGCTTGAACCCTGGAGGCGGAGGTTGCAGTGAGCCGAGATTGCGCCACTGCACTCCAGCCTTGGCAACAGAGTGAGACTCCGTTTCAAAACAACAGCAACAACCACAACAAAAAAGAAAAAAACAAAAACAACAACAAAAAAACAAAAACGAGATAAGATTCCTTCCCTGTGTCTGCCCGCGAGCTGTCTGGAACCATGCACCAGTCAGGAAATGGCAACTTGTGGCAGCCCATCTTGGGGAAGAACAAACTGGATGGTTAGAAGGGACAGAAAAGATGCAGACAGGTTTCAGGGAAAGATGGTGTCCACACAAAGGCCCATGTGTTAAAGAGGCCAAATACTAGCTCAGAATCAGCAGCTAAGAAAAGGCACTTTCTGGAAGCCTCAATAAATCAGGCAAACCAAATGGCAGCAAGAGAAGTAGGCATAGGTGAAGCAGGACTTCCAGGGGCCTGGAGCCTAAGACTTTGAAGAGACAGGAGAAAACTGCAGAGTCAGTACAGGATGGAGGAGAGTTTTTTCATTTCAACCACAAAAGTCTCATTTGTCTCCTTTTCGTGCTCACACCTTATCCTGAGATCTCCACCAGCCAGGAAGTTTGCCTGAGCTTTATTGCTCTTGTTTTACAAAAAAATGCATTTTCACTTTGAACGTACAAAATTAAAATGGTAACTTAAAAATATATTGGAGAAAATATCTAAGGGAGCATCCTTAGTCCCCATAATATCTTATTTGATCTTCACAGACCTTGGTTGGGGGATAGAGAGGGAATATTCCTAGAAAGAATAAATAATAACTTTTATATTATATTATATATATATAAATGGGCCAGGTGTGGTGGCTCATGCCTTTAATACCAGGGCTTTGGGAGGCTGAGGCAGGACGATCACTTGAGGCCAGGTGTTTAAGACCAGCCTGGGCAACATAGGGAGGCTGGGTGTGGTGGCTCACGCCTGTAATCCCAGCACTTTGGGAGGCCAAGGCAGGTGGATCCCTTGAGACCAGGAGTTCGAGACTAGCCTGGCCAACATGGCAAAACCTCATCTCTACTAAAAAGACAAAAAATTAGCTGGTTGTTGTGGTGCATGCCTGTAGTCCCAGCTACTCTTGAGGCTGAGGTGGGAGAATCGCTTGAATCCGGGAAGCAGAGGTTGCAGTGAGCCAAGATCATACCACTGCACTCCAGCCTGGGCGACAGAGAGAGACCCTGTCCCCCTCCGCCCCCACCCCCAAAAAAGACTAGCCTGGGCAACATAGGGAGACGTCATCTCTACAAAAAAAATTTGAAATTGGCCAGTCATGGTGATGTGTGCCCATGGTCCCAGCTACTTAGGAGGCTGAGGTGGGAGGATTGCTTGAGCCCAAGAGTTCCAGGCTGCAGTGAGTTATGATAGCACCATTGCACTCCAGTCTGGGTGATAGAGTGACATCCTATCTCTAAAAATAAAATAAAATAATATGTATCTATGTTTAACTTTCACATTGTGCTTTAAAATATATAAAGTGCACATACATATATGTTCTTTATAACGCTCTATGAGGAAAATTGGTTAGCGAACTCATTAATTGCTAAACATCTAGATTTTGATGTTAAGAGCACAAGAGACTTGCATTTTGTTAACTTGTTTTTTTCTACACATCTATATTTTACTTTTTTCTTAATTCTTTAATGCAGTTAATTTTGGAAAATCTCAGACAGGTGAAAAGTACCTTGACACTGGAAGGAGACATAACCTGGAACAAATTCCTGTCTCTGCCACTTGCTAGCAATGTGACCTTGGCCAAATAGCTTAAATTTCCCAAACTTCAGCCTTCTTATGGATAAATTGGCACTAATAACCTGCCTCACAGAAATGTTATGAGCATTAAATGAGATGATAGATCTAAAGCACTTAACAGTGCTGAGTCTATCATAAGCGTTCAGTAAAGTAAACTACAGGTTGAGTATCTCTAATCCAAAATGCTTGGGACCAGAAGTGTTTTAGATTTTGGATATTTCTGGATTTGGGAATATTTGCATATATATAATGAGATATCTTGGGACTGGGACCCAATTCTAAACACGAAATTCATTTATTCTTCATATGCACCTTGTACACATAGCCTGGTAATTTTATACAATATTCTTAATAACTTTGTGCATGAAACAAAGTTTGTGTACATTGAACTATCAGAAAGCAAAGGAGTCACTATCTCAGCCATCCATGTGGGCCATCTGTGGTTGTTTGGCATCACCGTCATTCCTGACTGTGAATTTATATGGCCCCTATAAGCAATCATTTTCTTACACTTACACACATAAGTACTTAACACTAAAATATGACATACTATGAATACAGTGAAAACTAATGTGCTCAGGGTAACTAAGCAGCACAGTAGCATCACCAGAAGAGCTGGGATGCGGAATAGACTGCATGTTGTGTGCTTGTATTTTGACTGCGACCTGTCATGAGGTCAGGTGCAGAATTTTCCACGTGGGGCATCATGTTGGCACTCACAAAGTTTCAGATTTTGGAGCATTTCAGATTTTAGATTTTTAAATTAAAAATGTTCAACCTGTATGACTGTTGCTGTTAGCTGACCCTTCCGAGGTCATTTGTGGTGGCAGCTGAGGATTCTGCCTTATATGTTTTCAAAGGACCAGGGGGTTGCTGGTAGGTACAAGGAAGGAAGAAGCTGGGGAATAGCTGGGGATGAATAATGACCCTCTCCCTCATAGTACACATGTCCTCTTTCTTTCTTTCTTTCTTTCTTTCTTTCTTTCTTTCTTTCTTTCTTTCTTTCTTTCTTTCTCTTTCTTTCTCTCTCTCTCTCTTTCTTTCTTTCCTTTCTCTCTCTCTTTCTTTCTTTCTTTTTCTTTCTTTTTCGAAGTCTCACTCTCTCGCCAGGCTGGAGTGCAGTGGCACAATCTTGGCTCATAGCAACCTCCACCTCCCGTGTTTAAGCTATTGTCCTGCCTCAGCCTCCCGAGTAGATGGGACTACAGGTGAGCGCCACCATGCCCGGTTAATTTTTGTATTTTTAGTAGAGATGGGGTGTCACCATGTTGGCCAGGATGGTCTTGATCTCTTGACCTCGTGATCTGCCCGCCTCGGCCTCCCAAAGTGCTGGGATTACAGGTATGAGCCACCACACCTGGCCACGTGTCCTCTTTCTGATTACTTTGCTCCCTGCTCCAAACCAGGCCTCCTGTTTGATTTTGGTGACCCCAGTTTCTCATTAATATCCTCCTCAGAACTTTCCAATCAAGGCACTAAAATGAGTTGCAAAAAGCAACATATGGATTATTTTGAAGACTATTTTTTCTAGCTTTAGAAGCTGTGAATGTTGCTTGACTCACATACACCCCCTGTCCCCAAAATGGCAGGCGGAGGGTATGGATATCCCCATATCTCATGTCTCTTGTATACTGTGGGTGCCTGGCACAATACCTCACAGCCAGGAAGTAGGTGCTCACTGCAGGGTGGGAGAAAGATCAAAACACCAGGGAACTCATCTATAGTACCAGAGTCTCTCTGATGGAAGTCTATAAGAAATTTTGTTGAAAAAGTGAAGGGTTGGGCGAGGTGGTTCACGCCTGTAATCCCAGCACTTTGGGAGACCTACGTGGGTGGATCACTTGAGGTCAGGAGTTTGAGACCAGCCTGGCCGACATGGTGAAACCCTGTCTCTACTAAAAATACAAAAATTAGCCGGGCATGGTGGCAGGCGCCTATAATCCCAGCTACTTGGGAGGTTGAGGCACGAGAATTGCTTGAACCCAGGAGGTGGAGGTTGCAGTGAACCAAGATCTTGCCACTGCGCTCCAGCCTGGGTGACAGAGAGAGACTGTATCTCAAAAAAAAAAAAAAGAAAACATGGATATAAATTGGTATGGAAAGCCAGATGGTTGCAGATTTGTTGATTTCCAGTTCTCCCATAGATTTTATAGTGCTCATGACCAGCCATCCTCCTCCCTCCCTAGACAAACACACTTTCTGTTGGTCAGGTTGAGAGGCGACTTAAATTTAGAGAAATTTCACCCAGGAAATGCTCATATTGGGATGAACACATAGGACCCCCTGTTTCTTTTTACATCTTCTGTGTTAGCCCAGAAGAAGTGACAAAGAAGTGGCAACTTCATGCAGCGTATCCTCTTCTACCTCCCTTTTATATTTTTCTACTGGTGAGGTACAGCTGTCCCTTGGTGTCCATGGGGGATGGCTACAGGACCCCCTGACAGACACCCAAATCCAGGGATGCTAAAGTCCCTGATATACAATGGTGTTGTATTTGCATATAACTTACGGACGTCCTCCTGTATACTTTTTTTTTTTTTTTTTGAGACGGAGTTTTGCTCTTGTTGCCCAGGTTGGAGTGCAATGGCACGATATTGGCTCACCACAATCTCTGCCTCCCAGGTTCAAGCGATTCTCCTGCCTCAGCCTCCCAAGTAGCTGGGATTACAGGCACGCGCCACCATGCCTGGCTAATTTTGAATTTTTAGTAGAGACGAGGTTTCTTTATGTTGGTCAGGGTGGTCTTGAACTCCTGACCTCAGGTGATCCGCCCACCTTGGCCTCCCAAAGTGCTGGGATTACAGGCATGAGCCACCACGCCTGGCCTGTATACTTTAAGTTATCCCTTGATTTCTTATAATACCTAACACAATGTAAATGCTATGTGAATGGTTGTTACACTGTATTGTTGAGAGAATAATGACAAGAAAAAAGTCTGTACATGTTCAGTACAGTCATAATTTTTTCCTTCAAATATTTGGAAAATATTTGGAATATCTGTTGGTTGAATCCACAGATGCAGAATCCATGAATACGGAGGGCTGACTGCACTCATGTCTAGAGAAGGAAGGATTATGGCAGCTACTGAGACCTATCAATGGTTTTCTTCACTTTTAATACTGTTGAGGGAGTGGGTGGAATGAAAGCCGGAAGTGTCTGGGTGACAAACCAATGTTGAGGTACTTGTGGTTGCTTTTTGGATCACAACAGGCTGTCTGTTCTCCCCCTTCCTCCCCCACGTCCACCACATGGGTTCATATCTCAGACATGAACACATTCTTCAAATATTACATTCTAGGACATTCTTGCACCCCACACCAGCCTGCCCAAGGGACTTTCTGATCATGAATGAGAGCTTTCTTAACTAACAATATTCTTGACCATCTGTTCAGCTGGTCACTGAGAACATAAAGCAGATGCGTGCCTTCTCTCTCTCTCTCTCTCTCTCTCTCTCTCTCTAATCCTGGTCCCTGTAAAATTATAAGTGTAAAGATTTTCTGTGTATTGGATCTGAAAGAGAATGTACGCTGATACGTTTCACTGTGGATTTTTTTTTTTTTTTAAACTGTGAGATCTATGTGGCTGTGGGTCTAAGAAATGAAGGGATTTGTTTTTAAGTCCTGGGCTATTATGTATGTGTTTATGTTTATTATCATAGGCCACTTTGCATTTCTTGACATTAAAAAAGTAGATGTCTTGAGTTCTCTGTTTTTAACATTTAAAACTAACAGGGTTAATGGGAATGTCCACGATAGCAGGGCTGGGGACAGGGGTGTCACCTCAGTGTAAAAGCTGTAAAATTAAAAAGCTGGGCAAGTATCTGTGCCTGGATGGTTTCATGGAGCTGCAGGAATGTGTCTTCTGGAGATCCATTTCCTTGCTAAAGAAGGAAAAGGCTGGTGGAGTCAGCTGGATGGGACAAGTTCTGGGCAGCCATGCAGCTCTCTCAGATGGTGTTCCTGAGGGGAAGAGAGGGAGAGAAAGAGAGAGAGTGTGTGCGGAGTCTGTGCACACATGGGTCGTCTGCAGCAGCTCTTTCAGACAGCTTGTGAGAAACGCCAGTTGTTTTTGTCCTCCCAACAATGACAAGGTGCACAGTATGCATCCGATAGACAAAGGAGGCTTCAGAAGATGAGACCTAGGCGAGTGATCCTGGAAGCTGGAGTTCAGGGCAGAAAAATGCTGCCTTCCTCCTTAGGTGGCACATTATTATCTGCTGTGGGAAGTTTGGCAGTGCCCACGAAGACCCCAGCGCCACATTGCAAGGTGGCTGCAAGGCCAGACCTAGCTGTGTGGTTATTAGCACAGAGGAGGTTCCCCTCTGGAGAGGGAAGGGGCCTTTCTACTTCCTAATGATGTTTAATGGATGACTATCTTAACCAAAGGGAGAGGGGAAAAGTCATTTGTGTGTGTGCAAGTCTCAATCAAGTTCGAATAAAGATAATAAGCTAAAGTATGAAGAAGTTGCCTTAGGTAGGAGTCCTACCTTCTGAAGTGGCTCATCTGAAGGCATTTGTCCACTGAGTGTTGAGGCTTTAAAACTGTTCATTGTCACATAGGTGCCATTTGTAGTATTTCGAGGAGTTTTTATGATTCTGACTTGGGCTTTGCTGAACAAATTCAGTTTCATTTCGGTTCTTGGGTGTCAGTTGTAGAGATGCTACAAGGCAGTTTGTCTGCCTTTTCTTTGTGGGTTCTGCTTTCAGTTTTGAAGCTTTTCTCTTTTTGTTCTTCTAGAGTGTGTTCTACTTTATTCTGAATATCTTCATCAGTGAACTGAAAAAGTAAGCTCACCTTCAAAGAGAAGCATTTTAATGATGGCAAAACAGGCTTACTAAAGATTAAAATGAGATTGTCTGTAGGCCTCAAAACCAAAGTACTTGGGCTAAAATATGAAGAGATTTTTTCCCAACCATTTATTTTAACATGAATGTATGCTACTCATTCAACAAGTATTTCTGAAGCACTTGCTAAGTGGGAAATATTGAAGCTGGAATCAGAAATGCAGTGGTGACCAAGACAGTGTCCTTGTCCTCACAAAACTTAGAGTCTGGCTCTTTTTTAGATTTTTATTTATTTATTTATTTATTTATTTATTTGAGATGGAGTCTCGCTCTGTCTCCAAGCCTGGAGTGCAGTGGTGTGATCTTGGCTCACTGCGACTTGTGCCTCCCGGGTTCAAGCAAATCTCCTACCTCAGCCTCCTGAGTAGCTGGGATTACAGGTGTGCACCACCACACCTAGCTAATTTTTGTATTTTTAGTAGAGACAGGGTTTCACCATTTTGGTCAGGCTGGTCTGGGACTCCTGACCTCAGGTAATCCGCCAGCCTCGGCCTCCCAAAGCGCTGGGATTACAGGCGTGAGCCACCATGCCCAGCCTAGATTTTTTTTTTTTTAAGGACTCCAGTTCGATCTTTCTCCATGGTATGATTTTACTATGTATTCTATTCTGTAGTCCTTCTGCTACTAAATGCATCCCGGCTCCTTCTTCTTTCTTCTTTCTTCCTCCTTCTTCTTCTTCTTTCTTTCTTTTTCTTTCTTTCTTTCTCCTTCTCCTTCTCCTCCTCCTTCTTCTTCTTCTTTCTTCTTTCTTTTTCTTCTTCTTCTTCTTCCTCCTCCTCTTCCTCCTCCTCCTCCTCCCCTCCTCCTCCTCCCCTCCTCCTCCTCCTTCTTCTTCCTTTCTCCTTCTCCTTCTCCTCCTTCTCCTCCTCCTCCCCTCCTCCTCCTCCTTCTTCTTCCTTTCTCCTTCTCCTTCTCCTCCTTCTCCTCCTTCTCCTCCTTCTCCTCCTTCCCCTCCTCCTCCTCCTCCTCCTCCTCCTCCTCCTCCTTCTTCTTCTTCTTCTTCTTCTTCTCCTTCTCCTTCTCCTTCTCCTTCTCCTTCTCCTTCTTCTTGGACAGAGTCTTGCTGTGTCACCCTGGCTGGAATGCAGTGGCGCAATCTTGACTACTAGAGAAAAAGCCAGCCCCTGCATAGTGCAACCAAGTCAAAAGACTCCACATTTCCCCTTCTACTATGGGACAGAAATGTTTTGAAGTTGCAATAATCAAGGTGAAATTTTTTTCCCATGTAAAGTCGAAGCTGATAGAATCACATATTGATTATGTGGTTATTCAAGCTACTTAGAAAACCTGATTTTTCTAAAAGCTACCCATCTTGTGGTATTTCCATTGTTCTTTTTCACCTTTTTCAGAATATAAAGAAGGGAGGAATGAGAAGTTCAGAAAGTTTGACCTGTCAAATTATAAAATTCGTCAGCAACTCTTTCAATGTTTGGTTGCAATAGGGAGGTAGAGAGGAAGATAGAAACCAGACAAAGCGAGGGTAGTGGGTCCTAATTACATTAATAGCTAACATTAACTCAATGCTTACTATGTACTAGAGAGTGGCCTAAGACTCTTCAAATAGTAATAATGATACAAAAACAACACATATTTATTGAGTGCCACTATGTGCCTGGCTCTGCTCTTCATCTTTTATAGGTATTTACATATTAAATCCTCACAGCAATATGAGATAGGTGATATTATTTGTTATTGTTTTAAAAATGAGAAAACAGATTTTAGAGAGGTAAAGTAATATATTTTAAAGTCCAGCTTGGAAGTGACCGGGTTAGGATTTAAATCCATATTCGTTTCATTCTAACACTGGGAGAGTGAGCTCCTGGTAGAGTTCTCTTTCCAGAACAGTGCTTGTTTGCATTCTCTTGCAAATTTAAGAAATGACTCAATCAGTCTGAAAAGTGCCTAGGTAGAGAGAGACCCTTGTTTAAGCACTCACACCCACTACATGTCTTTGAAAATTCCTTTGTGAGTGCCTTCAAGTTAGTGATCATACTGTACCTTCCCCTTGAGAAAATAATTCATGATATGCTTTCCAAAGCATTTACTGTGTACAAAGCCTGTGTGTGCTCAGGTTGATGGGAGAGTAAAGTATCTGCAAAGATTATAGAGAATGCAAAGATTAATAAAGCCACTGCGGCAGTTGCAAAACATGGCACCAAAACTAGTTGACACTCTTCCCATTGAGAGGTGAGGTCTATGTCTCCTTGCATCTGGGTGGGCTCGTGACCACTTGGACCAAGAAAATACGTGGGAGTGATGCTGTGTGACTTCCAAGGTTTCCAAGGCTAAGTCAGAAAAGGCCTTTCTGTTCACAAAAAGCAGATTAAGAAAGGTTAAGATTGCCAGGTGCGGTGGCTCACGTCTATAATTCCAGCACTTTGGGAGGCCAAGGCAGGTGGATCACCTGAAGTCAGGAGTTCGAGACCAGTCTGGGCAGTGGTGAAACTTTGTCTCTACTAAAAGTACAAAATTAGCCGGGCGTGGTGGCATATGCCTATAATCCCAGCTACTTGGGAAGCTGAGGCAGGAGAATTGCTGGAACCTGGAAGGCGGAGGTTGCAGTGAGCAGAGATCGTGCTGTTGCACTCCAGCCAGCCTGGGCAACAGGAGTGAAGCTCCATCTCAAAAAAAAAAAAAAAAAAAAGATTAAGATTGACATTTATGTATTACCTGAAATATACATTTTAAATGTTTGAAAGCTTTAAATGTGGGAAGAAATTCAGACTTATGTTATATTTATTATCACAAATAGAATTAGCTGCCTAATCTTGGCCATTGAGTATGCTTTTTAAATATTGAGACAATACAGAAAACTCTGCTGTTTTAGGAACTTAATTCTATCAACCATACCCCTCCCCACCTTAATTATGTTTATATCCTAGGACATGACAATTTAACTACATATAGACATTGTTAGCAAGTTTTATTGTAAATAATACGTATGCTGTCTCCCTCCCTAACCTTGTTGGCTATCCCAAGCACTTCTCTAGAATCTGTGTGACAGATTTGCAAACTCTTGGCCATTTTGATAACTGGGCTCAAGTCATATCCCTGAGCAGTAGAGTAAATTAAATCCTTTCTGAGAGTCTTAGATGTTTTTCTATGTCTCTTCTTTCTTATTCTCTCTCTGTTTCTTTCTCTCACTCACACACACACACACACACACACACCCCTAAAATTTGTTCTGAATGGCCCACTAGGGCTGAATCATTTAGTGACTTCATTGATTACTATCCTGAGTTCTTCTTCCTGCTTCCAGACTAGTGAAAATATTCCAGAAAGCTTTAATATTGGAGAAAAGGCATGCCAAAATGTATTATTCAGGGATTCATAGATGAACATTATTGTTGCGGTTGCTCGTAGAAGTCATGCTGGCCCTAACCCATTTACATAAAAGATTGGAAACCTTTGAGATTAAAAATAGCCTGTGTGGTATAAAATCCCTTTCATTCTGTATCTGAAAAATTGGCACTAAAAGATTTGCAGTTCATCTCTCAACACAGATGTGCAGATATTAGGTTCAAACTGATACTAATTGAGACTTAAATTGGATGGGTTCTCCCAGAAAGGAAGCAGCAGTTGGTGGGATAGGTAGATCTGGGGCAGTCCTGGCACTGCCTGACAAGTGTTTGGCTATTCTAGGCCAGGTCCACACAGGCCTCCTGTGCTGTGTATATTCCCTGCCTCTGGTGACCTTGCAGGAAATAGAGTCATTTTTCAGCAATACGATTTTTTTTCCTGCTCCTGTTTTTGTGGATATCCTTGTATTCTGAACTAAATTGGAATTCCCTGCTCTGAGATTAATTCCTAGGGCACATCTTTCCACATACATGTCAAATTGGGCAAGCTGACTTGTGTGGCCTGAGAAGTCTGTACTTCATTAGGGAGCACTCTGGGTTTTAAGTGTCAGAATGGTGCTTTCTAAAACCTCTGTCAAGAACAGCAAGTAGAGCGATGCCAACGTTATCCAGGGAACCTGTTGCACATATCAGGAGCTGGCCTTTATTCCATGTCTTCTATGCAATAAGGCACTATGTTAGCTACTTAATGATGTAGTTACTCCTGACAGCAACTTCAAAGGCATTATCCCCACCTTCATTGTTAGAAAGCCAAGGCTAGAGTGATTATCAGTCCTGTTTGATAACAAAGTTGTGATTCATACTCAGGTCTGTTTGCTGCTCAAATTCATTCACTTCTCATACACACCAGTTTTGAAAAGCAAAGGTCTAATCTGGGAAGTTTCATATGTCTGATTCACTTATTTTCACACATCTTTTTTGGTCTGGTTAGTGGACACATGGATGTGTTTCTGAAAATTGTGTGTGGGTCAGTCACCAGTAACAGTGTGCACACCAGTTGCACATATCAGAGGTCTGTGTAAGCTCTTACAAATGAGGAAAACTTTGAGTAAATCCTTTTGTAAAGTTAGGATGTCATTTATGCATGGAGCAGATATTTATTGAGCAGCCTCTTCATGCCAGGAGCGGTGCTGTGGTATGTTTCCTTATGGACCTTCCTGTTTGATGGAGGTGCTGGGAATCGTGGTGGTGAGGTGGGCTGGGCAGAGGAAAACCCTTTTTATGATGAGAATAATCTCACATGGATTCAATTGGTCTATAGCTTTTGATATTCATGAGTTCAATTACTTTTTAAAGAGGGAATACAACTTGTAACTTTTGATAGCCTAGGAGAGACATAAGGCAGGTCTGTTCCAGAGTGGGTTCAAAAACCTTAATGTGGATGAGTCAGGGTCCAAATTCTCACAACAAACTCTGCTAGCCTTGCTAGTCTGACAAGTGGTGAAGGTCAGCAGAGACTGTCTGCATCGAGTTTATTCCAGAAGGTCTTGAAGATGGGAAAGCCACGAAGTGTTGATTTTGAAAAGTTACAGCTCTGTGGGTGAAAGGCTGCTCCTGGTTTCCAAAAGCAGAAAGAATGGGCTGTGTTTTATATGAGAAACAGCACCATCAGTAGAGCCAGCTGATATGTACAATAATTACTTCTTTTCTTTCCGCTTCTATAAAATAAATACTAGAGAGATCGGCTTCTACCTTGATGAAATTTTTCTCGGGGAAAAAAAAAAAGCAAACCGTAAGTCCAAATACAACTGAGTGTTCAATGTTAATTTAATGTATACTTTTCACATCTCTCACTATATGTAACTTCACACAGTGGCTTTTGGATTTTACTCTGTAGAAAAGCAAGTTTATACTTCTGTTTTGCTACTAGGTCTTGGCATTTAATGGTAGAGACAACTTCATGGATAAGAGTTTTACCCCACAAGTGACTTTACATGTCCGTGAAAAGGCAGAGACGACCTCAATCCAGACTGACTGGTGGTGATTAGAAAAATGTCATCTCTGTTTTCAATTTAAAGAGTAATTGAGTGATTTGGGTGAAAGAATCTTCATTTTCAGCAGATGGAAAGTTTGGAATCTTTGGAGCCTTCCAGCAATTTGAAAAGGGCCTTGAGAAGACCTTCTAGTAATTAGAAGAGCTTCAAGAAACAAAACTTATAAGTCTCCCCTCAGTTTTAGGGCATAGCTGTTGTTCTGTTGTTTTTGGTAAGGCGAGTAGGGATGAAGGTCAGGAGAGAGAAGTGGTGATTTGCTGATAGGTGGACAGAGAAGGAAGGCGAGTTCTTCTTGAGGGACAGACTGAGCTGATGAATACACTCTACTGTTAAATATTGGCTTCCAAAGAGGACCAGGCCACAGCAGAGTCAAAAGGGACTCAAGTTTTGTTCCTTATTGATCTGCTGGGAACTAGAAGCCCAAGCTGGATGGTTACCTTTTACCTTTCATCGAGGAATCAGCCCAAAAAACTCGTTCTTGAAGTGTGGAAAAGCAGAAAGCCACCCTCTAACCCAACTATGTAAACAACAGAAACATTTACACATCAGTAAAGCACTTTTATGTGCCACCAATTGAGAAAGTTTGGATACTTGTGTTCCCTTTACATTTCATCTTATCAAAACGCAAAAGGCTTTGAATGTCCTGCTTACATTTCCCCTGGCATGAGTGTTATATCAGAATGCTAAGATACCTTGCTTATGAAATAATTGGATTTACCTCTCAATTCAGTCATTGCAGTAGGTACTTTATAGAATACATTTTTTTTCCTGAAATACCTCCACAATGACCATAGATTCTTCAAAGAACCAAATCAAAGGGGATTGTTTGAAATTTAGAAAGCAGAGGCCCATTTATGTGATTAAATATGGATTAGAACCAAATTATTAAAATACAAAGTTTACGTCTGATTTTCCCCAGTAAGAAGTGGGGACGATGTAAGAAATGGGGACAAGGTAAGAAATGGAGTTTTCCCAGGAGTTCTAAGGAGGAGAAGGGGTCTAAGAAGATACAGGGTGTGTCTTGATGCTTGATGAGCACATTCTTAAATAACCTCTTTCAGCATGCCTAGTGTGACTTATTTCATATCCACCTATAGCATCTGTTTGTATATTCAGTGTTCTAGAGAGCACCACACAACGTATCATAGTGCTACCGTATGTTTAGCAAAATCTTGGGCTAAAAGAAAGACAACTTGAAATCTTTCCTTTTACTTTTTTTTTTTAAAGCAAGCAAGCAAACAAATAAACAAAGTAAGAAGTAAAGAAGACATTTATAGTGTTCCAGATGGTCAGTTACTGTCAGTTACAGTATTTCAGTCTTCTGCTGGAAGATTCTAACTTCATGATGTCTGCAAATAAGAAGATGATGTGTGTTTTAAACAAGCTTAAATAATAACTGTAAAGACCCCAAAGCAAGCTATAAAAGGGAATATTGGCCCCTGTGGGAAGTAAATTGGGAAATCCATTAAGGCTACCCAAAATGTGGACCAGGTAGGAAGCAGAGATAGTGCTGAGAGGGCCCCACAGTGAGTGTGTGGGAGGAGGACAGGGGACCTCTCTTACCAGGGACACTGGCAGGCTTTGGCTTTCCAGACAGAATGGCATGACTTGAGTCACTTGTCTTCCTGATTATTTCCTAGGAAGGATCTATCTATGCATCTTTAAATACTGACGGCTTATTACAGTCCTGTCCTCCTCTTGAGATTCATTTTCTCTCTCTGTGGCTTTCATTCCCTCTCTGTGTCTCTGTCTTCTAAGTTTTGAGTTCCGGCCTGGCTGTCTCTTTCCTGCATGGTCAAGAGATATTAATAAAAATAGGTAAAATTGTTTGGCTTTGAAATCCAGCGAACTTGAGTTCTGGCCATGCTTCTTAATAGCCCTATGGTCTTAAGCAGATTACTCAATAGCAAATTGCCTCTGTTTTCTCATCTAGAATGGGGCTAATAATACTTGCATCATGTTGTGAGGAGCTAAGTAAATAATGTATATAAAATGTTTAGCACAGTGCCTGGCACATAGCAAATATTTAATGAGTGGTAATACTTTCTATGAAAAATATTAAGATAAATGTTGCAGTTACTCACTTGTAAACTACAGAAACGTGTTTATCGACCAGAATTCAGTATCCAGCAACCTCTTCTCCTGATGAGTAGACTCAAGGAAGTACTGTGCAGTTGAGGAAATAAGTGGAAAAGACTTCTACATAACCAAAATAGATACTCAAAATCTATGTCCTGGAACTGTGCACTTTCCTCATAGCGGTGCTTTTCCCATTCCTAAGCAGTTGTTTACTCATTTCATCCTACCTATTTGTATTGTATATGTGATTTTAGCAACTGCAACAACTGATTTCTAAGCTTATAGCAGATTAGATACAGCAAATTAGAAGAGAGTAGAACTAACAAAGGCAGCTACCTGGTGGGCAGAAATAAATAATAATAGCAAGTAGTAGGAAAACCCATTGAAAGCAGACAGAAAACTCTCAGAGCGCAGCAATTTAGAGTCATTTAGTAGCTGACACTGGTCGTTAAACCTTAGCCTCCATCACAGTCATCTTGTGGGCTTGCTTAAACATAGATAGCGTGGCCCTGCCCCAAGAATATCTGATTTAATAGGTCTGGGAGGGGTCTGAGTACAGTATTTGCAGTTCTGTCAAGGTGATGCCAGTGCTGCTGGTCCTGGAACCATGATGGTGTGGGAGACAGTTCACCACTGCCTGTTAAACTGTCTGATTTTCATGATCCAGAGATCAAGAAAAAAGTTTAATTTTGTTCATGTTCTCTGCTTAAGAAGGCAAAAGGGTCTGAAGGTATGTTACTCAAAATAATTTTTTAAAAAAACCTTTTTCAGTGTGTGAGGAGGGAAACTTTGAACTATCCAGAAGAGAGATTGCTGTCCACAGTGATGCGTCATCTGAGGCTCCTAAGTAACCAAGTCTGCTGGGTGTTGTTATAATGGGGGCGGGAGGTATCTGTTCCTACTTGACAATGCTATTTATGGTTTTTTGGAGGTATTTGTGTTGGGGATTGCTGTACATTCTCCTCCTTTCTTAGTGACTTTCTAGACAAAAAGACTTCAGAAACAGATGTTTTTTTCTGCCACACCAACTGTCTGATTCAATGTAGCTCTCATAAATAGTTGAGTTTGTTTCAGTAACAATGTCAAAACACTGGGCTCTGTGGCAGTTGCATATACAGGCACCATATTGTCATTCTCTTCTCAGTTCCTTTTGCCAGTTAGTGGTAATTTCTGCCAACACCAAATGAAGTCTAAGTAACAAGCTTTGGACTAAGGTGACCGCTTCTGAGAGAAGCAACAGCCTTCCTCATGAAAACCATTTCCATTCTGAACATCATATTTTCTTATTTTTCATTAAATAGGTGAAAACTATGTCTAGGTTGGCACAAATTTTTACTGGCCAAGGTTGTATTTTAGTAACTGCATGCAAACTTGGTCTTGTTACTTGCCTTGAGTTGACGTACTGGAATTCTTGCATCATGGTGAACTTTGATCATTGTTTTGATTACAGAAATCCTTCAGAATTCTTTCATACCAGAACTTCTAAGAACAGCATTTTGTTTCCTGCCAATCTTAGCTGTGCTAGATTGCTGTCTTCCTCCTGTATCAGAGGCAGTATGTTTTTTGACTAGACAGTGAATGCAGTCTCCCATATCGTAGTTAGGAGGTTACTTTCATTAGGCAGATCTCTCTCTCTGATAAATCTCCTTGGTGCACTGAACTGTTTAACTTACTTAGGGACTGTGTTTTCTTTTGAGTCCGATTCCTGTAAAAAGCGATGACTGTTCCCAGGGTGTTCACTGAAAAATGAAATACGGCTCTAGGATTTGGTGCTGGTGGCTGAGGGAACAGGAAAAATAAAGGGAAGATGAGTAGAGCTTTGACAATCCAATTCTGCTTGTGGGGACCACGTAGAAGTCCACATCAAACGTGCGTGCCTTTTTGTCACTCCTGACTGTATAAAACCTGAGCCATCATATTTCTTCATGGTAACTTGGAATGAAAACAAAGATTTCTGGGGCTCCAGTTGCTGCTTTTCCCTTCCTATTTAACTTAGCAGATGATGCTCTGCTGAATTTCAGCTAGAACCTGGGCCCTGTGACTGAAATCCAATGGCATATGTATGTAGATTTCCACTATTATATGTGGTCACGCTGATTGTTATATTAATATCGTAATTAGGAATAGGTCAAACATTTTACTTTTATATGAATAACAAAATATTCAATACCTGTATTTAAATGAATTCTAGAATATTTGAGGGCATCAGAATATCATTTATAATAGTGACATTTTACTTAGGCAATGGTTATTCAAACACTATTTTATAACATTAATAAAGGATCTGACACTCTTTGTAGGAGAAATCCGTAAAATAAGCAAGACTGTTAACTTTCCTTTTAATTTAGTGTCTGTCTTTGAAATGGCATTCTATGCATTTGCTGTGACTAGACATGCCCTGTTCAAAGATCTAATGCCCTGTTCAAAGAAATTCTTATAATGTTTTTCAGAACTGTGTTACTGAGCTGTATTGGGGAAGCATATTGGGGGTTAAATTAAGAGAACTTAGCCCATCTTGATTCACAGGCCTGACTTTGATTTCAGGCTTGTGACTTTTTTTTTTTTTTTTTTTTGAGACAGAGTCTTACTCTGTCGCCCAGGCTGGAGTGCAACGGCACGATCTCAGCTCACTGCAACCTCCCCCTCCCGGGTTCAAGCAATTCTCCTGCCTCAGCCTCCTGAGTAGCTGGGATTACAGGCACCCGCCACCACACTCGGCTAATTTTTGTATTTTTAATAGAGACTGGGTTTCACCGTGTTGACCAGGCTTGTCTCGAACTCCTGACTTCAGGTGATCCACCCGCCTCAGCCTCCCAAAGTGCTGGGATTACAGGCGTGAGCCACTGCGCCCAGCCTAGGCTTGTAGCTTCTAATGGCTCTATTGTTCCTTTGTTTTGATGTCCTTGCAAACCCCAGCTAAACTTTTCTAGACCTTTATTAATTGAAATAAAAATAGATATTCTATCATATATATCACATCATATCAAAAATTGGGGATCTTTTGACTTTCATATATCATAATTATTTTGTTGGAGAAAAACATTTTTGCCAATGCTTTAGATGCCTTTTGCTGTTCTTTTTGAAAAAGATGCATATTTGATTTTGCCATTATAATGCTATAGAAACCCTGACAATTTCTGCAAAACTAACAAATCCTTTAATTTTTTCCTATATCTTATCTTGGTCTTTAGCTCTTGTAGACACACTTAAAATTATATAGGTCAGTTTTCACCCCAGCCTCCTCTCAGTGAGGAATATGCTAATATGAATTTATGAAATTTGACCTATATCAGACTATCTTCTGGCCTAGATGTGGTAATTCCTTTCTTGACATTCAGCCATTTCTTTATGCATTTCTTTTATGAGTTTTTAAAATAATAAGTATTTTTAAAATCTCCTTAATAATCAGATAATGAGAATGTCAGAGCATTTCTTTTCACCTTTGCCCTAAATCATCCTCAGTCAGCAGCTGTTCCTGAGCACATTCCTTAGGAACTGGGTGTTATCAGATGTTTGAAACTTTTCCATCCATAAGTCTGTGTACAGTAAAGAGAAGTGATTTCCTTCAGGGAAAGGAACACCCTCCCTGCCAGCAGGCATTGCTCTCAGAAGTGTTCATTGAATCCCCACTTTGCCTTGTGACTGTGTTGATTTTACCTGGTATGCTCCCGTGACTGTGCTAGGGATATTACAATGAGTAAGAAAGAGGTTTTCTTTTCTTCCTCAAGCTTAAAGATGCCCTAAAGCTTTTGGTAATATAAAGGTACCTGTTTCTTTGCTTCTTTTAGACAGATTTTTTTTAAATGAAAGTAAAGCTCCAGTAGAAATAATGAGAGTTGTCCTAGAAAGCACTGCCTTCTGATTCTGCTCTGCATTTAAATAATCTAGGCAAAAGTGAAATCACATTGAAAAAAACAATCTTCACCTGAATCACAGTGTTGTTCAGCATATGCAGAAGAACAGATGCCATTACCGGCGTTTTATATAGAAGATGCCATCTTCTCAGGAGAAAACATAGCCCCAGACTCTTCTTTCATTTGTCTCATACCGATTCTCTTTTTCTTTTTCTTCCTTTATTCTCTGTTCTAACTGTGTTTGGATTTCTTATTGGGCCAATAACATGAAGGTCCTTGTTTAGACCCAAAGGATTAATTCAGAAGAACAGGAAAAAAATTATAAAACAAATTAAATGCTCAAATAGGAGACTAATGAAACAAAATGATAGTGGATTAAAATAATGGGAATACCAGAAAGCTAGAACATGATGAGTTAGACACTATGTTAAAACATGAGAACATGAAATAACTGAGACAGGCAAGATACAAATACTAAGAAAATATAGATTAACAATAATGCCATATATATATATATACATGTATTATATCTAACAATATAATTTTATTATATATAATATATGTGATTGTTCATTTTATGTCCAATATCTATCTACTCAGCAGGAATAATGAAAAAATTACATCAAATGTTAGGTTCTCTTTTCTTAGCAAAGAAACTTAAATTAGTAATTTTTAAAAATACTCTAAACTTGGGGCTAGGCACGGTGGCTCATGCCTGTAATCCTAGCACATTGGGAGGCTGAGGTGGAAGGATTGCTTGAGCCCAGGAGTTTGAGACCAGCCTGGGCAACATAGACCCACTACTAAAAAAAAAAGTACTCTGAGCTTGAAGGGCTTCAAAGACAAAGTGTTCCAAAGGGAAAACATGGGTCTATTTTACTTTTTGAAAGAGTCATGCAATTTTTTCCTTCCTTGTCCATTATTTGTTAATATTTAATTTTGAAAGGGTATGGTACCTTTTAACTTCTTAAATGAATAAAGTAAAACTTCTTCAGTAATCTACATTCCATTTTTTTTAAAAAAGCATTTTTAAAAAGGGACAGAGTAACTGTACGTTTAATCAGAGGTCTTTCATCAACCTCAGTCATCTGAACCTGGAAGTGAGTTGAAAAAAAAAACCCCACAACTCAGAGAAAGGTGGTGGTGGCGGTGGGGGCCTTCACACTGAACCCTGGCAAGGCATGGAGTCACTTTGAGATCCTCCATAAGCCAACCATGTATAAAATGAGGAAGAAGACTAGAAGCAGGGTGAAAGCAACAAGGACAAAAATAGCAGAGAACAGGAAGAAAAGAAATACAAAAAGCAGACTTGGAGACCTGGAAGACATGGTATTTGGGGTCCTTGAATGCAAGATCAAAAAGCCCTAATGAGTTTAATACCTCCCCAACCCAAAGATAATTGAATTGCAGCCCATTATTACTACTAATATTCATAACGATGATCTCATAATAAACCATCAAGAATATGGTATTTTCTGTTTAAGAATACAGGAATATAAATATCTAATGTTTTAGAAAGATTTCCATAAAAGTGCCTTTTACTTCAGCGATAATCTTCAAGTTATCTGGATATTCAACTATGCGGAATATTGCGTTTCTCTTAAAGACTGATAAAATATTATCTTAGCCATCACCTTAGAACATTCTTTTGCTGACCAAGGGGCTGTTCTTAGGTTTCTTCTGTTTTAATGTTGGTAAAACAGAAAAGATTTAAGACAAAAAGATTTTGTCTTCTTTCTGTAATTTCAGAAAAAAAAATCTTCTGGCAAATACTCCTGGAGTCCATATTAGTCTTTTGGGGAAATATATATATAATAGAGACAAGATCTCGTTCTGTTGCCCAAGCTGGAATGCTATCATAGCTCATTGCAGCCTTGAACTTCTGAGCTCAAGCGATCCTCCCACATTAACCGCCCAAATAGCTGGGACTACAGATGCATGCCATCCCACCTGGCTAATTTTTAAATTTTTCGTAGAGACGGGGGTCTTGCTTCATTGCCCAGGCTGGGCACTGGTTGGCTTAAATCCTGACTTTGTTATTTATTATGCTTCTGATTTGGGCAAGTTACTAAGCTTTTCTAATCTGCATTTTTTGTTGTTGTTGTTGCCCCAGAATGGACCCCATGTAATAGGACTGTTGGGATAATCCATTAATGTTCCTGGCTTCGTGCCTGCACAGAGTAAGCACTCAATAATCATAAGCTATTATTGTAACTCCTGATTGGTTTTTATGATCAGAAGACTTAGAGTGGGATAGAACCTTTTTTTTTTTTTGAGACAGAGTCTTGCTCTGTCGCTGAGGCTGGAGAGTGCAGTGGCACATCTCGGCTTATTGCGACCTCTGTCTCCCGGGTTCAAGCGATTCTCCTGCCTTAGCCTCCCGAGTAGCTGGGACTACAGGCGCCCACCACCACCCCTGGCTAATTTTTTGGTATTTTTTAGTAGAGACAGGGTTTCACCATGTTGGCCAGGTGGGTCTCGAAATCCTGATCTCAGGTGATCCGCCCGTCTCAGCCTCTCAAATTTCTGGGATTATAGGCGTGAGTCACCGCGCAGGGCCAGAACCTTTTCTTAATGACTCTAGGAGAATACAAAAAGAAAACTAAGGCTGAGGCAGGAGAATCTTTTGAACCTGGGAGGCAGAGATTGCGGTGAGCCGAGATCGCGCCATTGCACTCCAGCCTGGGCGACAAGAGCAAGACTCTGTCTTTAAAAAAAAAAAAAAGAAAAGAAAAGAAAACTAAGATTAGCTGAGGGCATGCTGTGTGCCAGGACTTGAAATAGGTGCTTTTTAGAACAGATGTCATGACACCCTTAGAAAGTACTTGGGAAACTGGAATGTAGAGAGGTGATTTCTTACTCTGAACACCAGTTAATTTGGTAAAGGGAATTCCCCCTGCAGCAGGAGCCATGCCGCATGGAGGACTGCATACACACATGGAGCTGGCGCCCCAGTGCTTTCCAGTATTGGCCTCTGGGAACATCTCAGCCATCCTTTCTTCTCTGTCAGTGTCTGGGGCTCCCAGCCCTTACTTCTAATGCCACACACCCCTGTTGCTGCAGCTGATTCTCATCTTGCCTCATTTTCCCCTTTCTCTTCTTTCCATGTGCTTTTCTTTTTTCTGTTTTCTCTCCTATCATCAGTTCTCCATTTCTAGGTTTTTGGATAATGTCTTTTATAGGTACTGCAAGCCAGTCAATGTATTTCTTACCTTTTTTTTTTTTAAACTACTAACTGGCCCTTCATTTGGTGACCAGTGTAAATCCTTCAGTTAGGATCTGGGTCTTTGGTCACCATCTGTCTCTGGTACTTAGAGCACTGCCTGACTGCCCATGGTGGGTACTGAGTAGATATACTTGATGAAAGAACTCATGATGTGTAATTTTGTACCTTTGGCTTTTTGTAGTCATGTTTACATGTAGCTGAGTGCTCAAGGAGCTATATTTTTACCTCCCAAGAGGTGGTAAAATATCTGTTTCTAAGCTCCTTTTGAATCTGGGGATTTTGCAGAATTCTAAAGGTTCTAGAAAGCCAGATTCAAGATAAGCAAAATATAGATGTATTTATGATTTACATGTTGTCGTCCAGGCAGCTGATTAGTGACAGCAACCCAGTAATATAGTGAAAAGAATAAGCAAACAAATAAACAAAAACAATAAGCAAACCATCCCCAGGGATCTTTCTAAATAAGGGGCAAAAAAATTCTCACTGCTCTGGGATTTTTTTCTTCAGGTTAGTGCTGGTGGTTTATCATACATACCAAGCCTGCTTAAAACAAACTAATTAATACCATCTTTATATACCCATAGAATTTCAAAAAATGACAAAGAAGTAGGTTTTTTTTTATTATCTGTGTTGTGAACTTGTCACCCCTGTTACTTTGAATCACTTAATTTTAAGAAATAAATGAGATATTTGGGGTAGGGGAATAGAGTTCATCAGAATAAGAGATTCTTGAGTGAGAAGGGACTTTAGAGGCCGTGTGGTCTGACCTAAATAATACAGGAATTCCTTCTACAGAATCCCTGACAGATGGTCAGACACTTGTGTTTTGAATACTTTTTAGTGTCAGGAAATTTGTTATTTCAAGAGGTAGCATATTTCATTGTTGGACAGTTCTAAAAGTTAAGAAATATGTTTAAAAATGAAGACAAAATTTCTATCTTTCTTTCATCCACTGATTCTAGTACACTTTAAAAATATTCTACAGTTGTGTTTTAGCATAGGTTGACCAAATCAATAGCTGTCCAGTATTTGTGGAAGACAGAGGTGGGGACTCATCGCTGTGCTTGGTGCCTTGGAGGCCACTGAAGATTCTAAGGTGGTCCCTGCCTGTGGGGAGCTGATATACTAATTAGGAGACGAGATTAAACACACACTAAATTAACTGACAAGTGATGATCAGATGACTGAAGATTTCCCCATACTGTCATAGATGTGGAAGCCTTGCAGGAGAACGTTAGGAAATAAGAAATAAGCCTTGAAATATGAGTGTGATTTTGCCAGGCAACAAACGTGTGAAAACAGGAGAGGTGCAAGGCATCTTAGGCAGATAATGAAGAGACCACCATCCTCATAGAAACTAAGTTAAATAGGAAGAATATGGAGGAAACTGAAAGCTCTAAAGAAATCTTTATTTTAATCAACAAACCAATGAATCAAGTCTTATGTTACTGTTTTTCTTTTTTCTTTTCTTTTCTTTTTTTTTTTTTTTTGAGACGGAGTCTCCCTCTGTTGCCCAGGTCGCAGTGCAGTGGTGCAATCTTGGCTCACTGCAGCCTCTTCCTCCTGGGTTCCAGTGATTCTCCTGCCTCAGCCTCCCGGGTAGCTGGGATTACAGGCATGCGTCCCATGCCCGGCTAGTTTTTGTATTTTTAGTAGAAATGGGGTTTCACCATGTTGGCCAGGCTGGTCTCGAATTCCTGACTTCAGGTGATCTGCCTGTTCCGGCCTCCCAAAGTGCTGGGATTACAGGCGTGAGCCACTGCGCCTGCCCATGTTACTGTTTTTCAGAACATAAAAGTAATATATGTCTATAATAAAATACAGACATGTCTTAATTTAAAAGTGAAGAGAAAAAACCTTGTCTTTTGTTCTACTTCCTCTTCTTAGACCTAACCACAGTTTTAACCACTTGACGTACATTCTGACCCATGAGCCAAAACCCTAGCCTGCCTGATGTTTTGTATGGCCCATGTGCTAAGAGTGATTTTTGCAAGTTTAAATGGTTGAAAAGATTTTCAAAATAATGGTAATGTTTCATGGCATGTGAAAGTTGAACAAAATTCAGATTTTAGTGTCCAGAAATAAAGTTTTGAATTTTGCCAACCAAAAATTTGTAGAAATGTGTTTTCTCCCTACATTAGAGCCTCGATTTTGTCCTTTGGCCCTCAGAACCTAAAATATTTACTAAATGGCTCTTTACAGAAAAAAAGATTTGCTGGCCCCTGATATATTCAGTCAAAAATTTTAAAATAAATATGTGCATGCATGTATGTTACCATGTTTGGTTTTGTTTATAAAAGTAGAATTGCATGGACCATGTTGTGGTGAAGTTCTTTAGATATGGCACGATTAAGTTAAGGTATCTCAAAGCCCGATGGCCCAGAGGAGAAAAGCCAGGATCTGGGAATGTGGCCCCTGCAGTAATACTGGTGTAAAGTGGTATGCTCCCAAACAGAATTACCTAATTCGGATGGGAATGGGAAAGCCAGATGTGAGACATTCCAAAGCAGTGGTCCGAGGGGCATGCTGAGTCAGTGAAGGAGATGAAGGGGAGTAGTAGGAGTGCCCCCCATTTCCAGGTTGGTGTTGAGAGAATGCTGCTGCCATGAAGACATGAAGAATATTGGAAGGGGCTGTTTGGAGAGACAAGTTTCCAAACAGCCTATCCAACACTAAACCAGGAGCACCAGTTGTCGGTGGCTGCTGTTCATATTACCGTCTGAGGAATGTGTAACTACCCAGAGTGTATTTGTCTCTTATCATGATTGACTTAATACACTTTTAGGTTTTGAATGAGGGGGTTTCTGTGGGCCTCTTTCAGCTCTATATACCTCATAAGTGCTGTCTGTTAGGGTGATACTGGATATTGGGCTTTATATTAAAACAGTTTCTGGAAAAGAACTGATTCATGGAGACAAATTTATCACCACTTACTCACTTTCCCTGTTAGGAGGAAATAGTTGCAGATATAAGAATATTTTGAGGGAAGGAGCTTCTCATCAAATAGAAATATATGGGTTTTTTTGCCAGGCACGGTGGCTTACGCCTGTAATCCCAAGACTTTGGGAGGGCGAGATGGGTGGATCACCTGAGGTCAGGAGTTCGAGACCAGCCTGGGCAACATGGTGAAACTCTGTCTCTACTAAAAATACAAAAATTAGCCGGGTATGGTGGTGTATGCCTGTAATCCCAGCTACTCAGGAGGCTGAGGCAGGAGAATCACTCGAACCTAGGAGGTAGAGGTTATAGTGAGCCAAGATCACACCACTGCACTCCAGCTTGGGCAATAAAGTGAGACTCCACCTCAAAAAAAAAAAAAAAAAGAAATATATGGGTTTTTTGAGGGACATTTAAGGATGCCATTTTGAACACCCATACCCCACTGAACAGATTCCTACACGGGGTCTAGGTGATCCATGGCAGAGTCACACAATTACACTTTGCACACCCCACACAGATGTGTGTTCAGGTGTGTTCTGCCAGTGGGAAATTCTATGGAAAAGAATGAAAATGTCACTGTTGTGCTATTAATTGGTTATGTAGCTGGCTACCCCGCAGTGGCTCCACCTTGTGGATCCGTGTCTCAGTGGAGAGCCAGTATAGCTGCTTTTCTAAGTATCCTTTCACTTAATACTCATTTTAGTGCTAAAACATTAGAGTTAGGTAGGTATAGGTGGGTAAATTTAGCCTTTTATTTAACTTATGTGTGAACCATTTCTGGGCTTTTCGTAGGTTTTACTTAAGCCTCCCACATTCTCATTTTTTTCCTTAACCCATTTCATGAAAGCAACTGATAAATGAGGTCACAAAGTAAGAAACTTAAAGAAGAATGGAAATAGGGCCATTGCAACTCTGAGACGGTAACACAAATTAACACACAGGGGTGAGGTATCAGTAAGAGGTCTGAGATAGTCCTCACAGGGCTTCAGAGAGAATTGCCTGGTTCTGGTGGCCCAGTGGCTAAGTCACGGGCTTTAAATCAGGAAGCCTGGTTCTTATCCCGGCGCCTCCACTAGCTTGCTCTGTGACGTTGGATGAACTGCTGAGCTCCTCTGTTTCTCAGTGGGAAAATGAGAATAGCACAATGTAACATCCAGTTATTCCAAGTAGAATGGTTGGGAATAAAAAGCAAAATATTTGCATAACACTTCAAGCATCCAGAAAGAAGGGTAATATTTAAATTTTCAGCATTACTTCTGTTCAGTGTGTACCTATCTTGGTGAAGATTCGTTAGATATTCTTTGTCAAAAATGAAACAAGCTGTACCTCCTGAACCATTAATTTAATTTTTTTTTTTTTTTGAGACTGAGTCTCATCTCTGTCACTCAGGCTGGAGTGCAGTAGCTCGATTTCGGCTCACTGCAACCTCCGCCTCCTGGATTCAAGCGATTCTCCTGTCTCAGCCTCCCAAGTAGCTGGGATTACAGGCATGTACCACCACGCCTGGCTAATTTTTTTGTATTTTTAGTAGAGACAGGGTTTCACCATGTTGGCCAGGCTGGTCTCGAACTCCTAACCTCAGGTGATCCACCTGCCTCAGCCTCCCAAAGTGCTGGGATTACAGGCATGAGCCATTGTGACTGGCCTGAACCATTAATTTTATAATCATCTGACTTACTGCTCTTGACACCTTTAAGATGGTTTTAAACTCAGTGTCTATTTTAGGGTAAGTCAAGGGTTCTGTTAATGATTTTGTTTCTTGCCCTTCCTAGACTTATAGATATTGTCCTCAACATAGAGGAATTTTTGCTATGCCTTCAGAGAAGTATAACTGACTTCCATAATTAAATGGATTTCTTTCTCAATGGGAGGGAATTTCTGCCATCTGACTAAATGCATAGAGTAGAAGGGATGGATTAACTAACAAGCTATTGTATAAACTGGAAGTGGAGTTTCTAGATACCTTGATTGTACTAGTGCTTCATATCATATTTTTCCCTGTATAGCAAAATTCAGTGGATACTGAGTAAAACTTTCATTTTTTTTCCAGGATAACTTCATTGGGTATCAAACAGGATTAACAAGTAATTTCAAGGTAGCGATTCTGAAGGAGGTGTGGGCTCTTCTCAGACTATGTTTTCTGCCTCTTTTGTATAGAATCGCTGCGAGAGTTGGTCACTTTATAGATTGACAGCGTGTTGTATTCCCATGGGTGAGGACTCCTGCCTATAGAAGGCCCTGATTTATAGGTTCAGAGGCCATCCTTAGAATGAGGGGGCTGAAAATTTCCTTCTCCAGGTGTTAGCCCAGAGCAGAGAGAAATGTGTTCAGTGGAGCCCACGGCAGTGGAACACATGGCTGCTTTGGAGAACCTGGGAGGCGGTGCGAGGATGTACAGCTGTACCCCGAGCAGTAGGTGTCACTGTAGTCAGTGGCTTTTACTCCTCAGAGCCTAAGGGGTTAATTGGGTCTGGTTTAGAAGGGCAGACAGAGGCCCATCTGTGCCCTCCAGAGTGTTGGGCTTTGTCTCTAGGGCACCAGTTGACTCCAATGAAAGACCCAAGTTGACTCCCATTTTTTTCTCTACGAACGAAAGAAGGATGCTTTCCCATTTATATTTTAGGGTCTAAGGCTAGGCTGTTAGATGTTATGCAGTGGGGTGGGTTGGGATGGATAAGTAGGTGAGATAATCCTTCTAAAGTTTGGCGGGAAGACCTAGAATAGAGGGGAAGGCAAATTCTATTAAGAGAAATGAAAGAATATGGAATAGCAGAATACATTTCCTTGTTGTTATTGGCAATGAGCCCTGTTATATTCAGGCAGTGTGAGCTTTCAGAACTTCTATCAGCATCCTTCTTAGAAATTTCCCTTTTACCACAAAGGAGGCAAAGGAAAAAAAAATCTTTCTAGCAGAGATGTTTCTCTGCTAGATTTCTCTTTTGCCACTTTCCACTCCAGAAAGTTAATTTTCAAATGCTAAAATGGATTTTAAGATTTAGAAATAGCTACTGTGTTGACTAATTAAAAAAAAAAATCCTGTGATTACGTAGCCAATTGCTTTTTCAAGTACACCCACTTTTACTTTTTCTTTTCTAGTAACACCCTGGTGTGAAAACAAAGTAAAACCGAGTAAACTCACTGTAGAATTTTAGATGCATCTTATCTCTTATTTTTTGCCTAGATAACCATCTTTCTCCCCACCCACCATCCAGGCAGCACAGTGTAGTCTGTCCTTTTAAAAAAAAAGGAAGGCAACATGTATGATTTATACGTAGATACTCATTAAAAATAACTCCTGTCCAGTCTTTGCTCTTCCCCCATAGCCTGCCTGTTGGTTGTTGTTAACACCCTGATTAAGCCTTGCTCTTAATAGTACAATATATTAAGCTCAGCCTGCTCTCTCTTCCCCCCTCCTCTGTTCTCCCTGTGAGTGAGTGGCTCGTTTTAAACCATCCGCACACTTGCTGAGCCAGGTGGCGTTGCTTCCTGCCTCTCCTGCTCGCTGTTGCTAAGTGAGAGGCACCATATCACACATAAAGCTGAACCAATAGCATCCTGACCCCCATAGGCTGGTAAAAGCTGAAGAAAGAGAATCCCACAGCGTTGTCTGTGACCGGTGGGTCCTCCTCTCCCTCCCACCTTTTCTTTTCCAACAGGAAAGGGAGGCGGCGAGGGAGATGGTAGGAGGAAGAGGGAAGAAAGAATGGGGGAGGTGAATCCTAATATGCCTTGCTGTACTTGCGATAAATGCCATTTTTTTTTCTTTGTGAAGAAAAGGAGTGGTAGCTTCTCTTGTGCAATCACAGAGCAGCAGATGCGCTTCTTTCTGCCCCCAAACTGCCTGTGTTGACAAAGCTCAAACTCTGAATAAAGACGTCTGTTGACCTGCATATCTGCTTTGCTCCTCTCTCTTTTTCTTTCTCTCTTGCTATGAATCTTTGAATCCCCACAGTTTTGCACATCTTGGCACCCCTGTTCATTCTTCCTCTTCACCTTTCTTGTTTCATTTCTGTCTCACAGTATTCTTTCCAGAAAGCATTTCCTTTGAATGTAAAAATTAGCAAAGTATTCCGTATATCGTCTTGTGAGGAAGTCATCAGATCATCCTAGGGAATGGGGCAAGGGAAGGGGAATATTTATAAAGGGGATTTTAAAAAACTCGTTACGATTTTCAGTCTTGGCAGGGTCTAAGCAAGCACAAAGTGAAATGTGAAAGGCTGTTCTTAACTGGATAACTGCCAGTATAGACAGCCAGTGGTATAGTTGAGATTATACAGAGGAAATGACCTTTCTCCTGTAATTACCTGGATATTTTTGGCAACATCAGACCCAAGTTACCTGGGTAATTATGGCTTTGTAGATCTGACCTTAGGACAAAACAGATTCCAGTTAAGTTTTCCATGGAAAACATTTGCTATCTTTGGTAATAAACCTAGTGAAGGCACCCACTGTTTTTGCAACCATGGGAAGCCCAGTTACAAGGAGACTTTCTTCAGTTCTATGCCCAGTAGGTTCCCAATAAATTTCTCCTGACCTTTTGGAGATGGCTTTATTATTTGGTCACTTGTATGCCTTTTGAAAAGATAACCTGTGTTTATTTCTGAATCAAGGGTATTGAGGTTTCCTGTAACCTCTTGCTGAATTTGCACATGTTTTGGGAAGATATCAAAAGAATGATATTCATCCTTAAACTGTCCATTTCCCTCAAGAAATTTCCCTTTCATTCTTGAAATACTGCCCTACTATTGGGCCAGAAATCCAGTCCACTCACTCAGGATCACACAGAAAAGTGATCATTAGTCTCCCACTCCACCTGCTTTTTCCCAGCGTTTACACTAACTTTTGTGTTTGTTTGAACCAAAACTAAAATGTCTTCGTAAAGGGACATTTAAAGGAAGTATGTGGGGTCAGATTAAGCAAAAGGGAATTCCTGGGGAAAAGCCTTACCAAATGTTGAGAACTGGAATGTTTTTGTTCTTGTCTGAAGAGCCTATCTTTTTCTTAGTATCACGAAGTTAAAGATGGCCATTGCCGCCAGCGCTGACTTACAATATTTAAAGCTAAAATTCACAGACAGTCTTCAAACTTCACTCCATTTAAGTTCAGTCTCCTCCAAGCTAAACCAGAGCTATTTACAGGTATCCAAATGCTTAGATCTGAGCAGCGCGTCCATCTTCTGCTGTGCCCATTTTGGGGGTGGGGGGTGGGTGTAAATATCAAACTCAAGCTCCAAGAGCGGGCAAAGAAGTTTAAAAATAAAGGACTGGCCGGCAAGTCCTGTAAAACTGGCTTGTCCTGCAGTTGGCCGGTTGGTTGGGATATTATTAGGTATTATTCATTCATCGCTCTTCTATTTTGTGCTCAGCCCTGTGCTGAGAGTTTGGAGCTGGAAGCTCAGCGTGAGCCACGTCCTGGCTCCGCGCCTTCATCTCTGGGTTGCAGCCCTCTCGGTTTCACCAACTTCATTATTCAGATACGGGCGCTGCAATTCCGCCAAGTAAACCTGCCAGGACCAGCTCCTCTTGCTTCTCTTCTTCCTGGTGTATAATTCTCTGCCTTGAAATCCCTGCTTCACACCCACCTCCGCTGCCCTGAATTTCCTAACTCAGCCAGCCAAGCACAAATCCCTCTAAGTCCCTCAGTGCGTTCCCCCCAAATCTGCACTTGCCCAACAGTCTGTCTAGGCACTAGCTATGACATCGCTCTGGATACCTGATCAGTCCTCTGCTTTGTCCCCCTGTGTCTTTGCTTAGGCGGCACCCTCCTTCCAGACCGTTTCTCCCCTGATCTCTCCCTGTGGAAATCTTGGCCTCAAAAGCCCATCTCAAATGCAGTTTCTTCACTGAAACCCTTCTCCCAGTCTCTCAGACGGCATCTTCCAGTCCTTCGAAACACCATGGCCACTTTTTTCCGACCTCTCCTTCAGAACTTTCCACCTTCTACTTAGAGTTGTCTTTACTGTTCCCTTGGTAGTACCAACAGCAGCTCAGAGGAGGTGTTTAGCCACTCTCCTATATTCCACACGAGCCTCTCTGCAAAATTGCCTCAAATAAATATATAATATATATAGACTGCATTTACTATGCAAACACAGCTTCAGTACAGTCCCCCCTACCCCTCCCCCTGCCCTTTGCGACCCAGTTGCCAACCCTAAATTCCTCCTTTGTAGAAAATGTGAAACCGGATCCTCCCTACTTTATCTTAAGTGATTCAGGCCCAGAGCTGTGTCTTCCTCATCTTTGTATTTCCCAGTATTTGTATTTCTCACTTAATGTAACTGTCTTGCAGCCAGTAGGCACTGAAGAAATGCCTGTTGAATTGTTACGTAACGAAGACCAGAAAACCTGAAAGATTATGTCTATAATTCGCCAGGTTTTCAAACTGTATGTGTAGAGAAGAATGAAGTTTTCTGTGAATATTTTAAATTAGATAATGAGATCACAAAGAAGTTCAATTAAATCTTATTTATCAGTCAGGAGAGCCTAGGTGATGGTATAGTAACAAAGAACCCCCAAATCTTAGTGGTTTAAAGCAACAAAAATTTAGTTCTTGCTCATGTTTATTGTGGGTTGGTGGGGAGACGAGATTCTGCTTATCATTGTTACTCAGGGACCCATTCTCACAAAACTAGCCACGATCTCACACTAGTGGTTACGCTGAAGGAGAAAGAGCTCCAGAGGGTCTAACATCAGCAATTTAATGTCCCTGCCCAGAAATGGTCCCCATCACTCTGCTCACAACTTATTTGTCAGAACTAGTAACATGACCTCATCTAACCACACAAGAGCCAGGAAGTACAGCTCTTCCATGTGCCTGAAAGATAATTAGAAATATTTAGACCATAGCATAAATAACTCCCATGTTTTATTATTCTCTCAGGGTTTTTAGAGGGCATTTATATTTCATATTGACTTTGGAAGCATAGAGAATATTCATGCAATTCCTCTCCCTTTGCATATACTATTCTTTTTCTCACGCACCAAAACATGTTGCTGCGCTTAACCCTAGAAGACTAGGCCACGGCAATTAAGGGATAAGTGGTTCTATTTTCTCTAAGTATAAAATGGAGAACTTGCCCATTGTTTATAGCTCTTCAGCTGCTCTTACCAATACTTCAGAGGCTCTTCTGATGGGTCAGTGAGGCTCGAGACCCCTTTCCAAGGGCTGCCCCAGGTTTACTTTGAGTGTTGCCATACTCAGGATCATAGGAAATCAGTACAGGTTTTATAAATTTTTTTCTAAGAAATTAGTCAGAAAGTGTGAAAACATTATATAGTAGCTGAGTTATTTTTTATAGTGAAAAGCTGCAAGGAGCATAGATGTCCAACCACAGGAGATTAGCTGTGTAAGTTATGGTATATGGAGAAAATGGAATACATATAATCTTTAGAATTACACTTTAGAAGAATATTTTAGATTGAAAAAAAGTCCCAATACATTGATTGCAATATTAAAAAAAACAAACAAACAAAAACAGGCACTAGAACACAATATATAGCAGATTCTTTTTTTTTTTTTTTTTTTGAGTTGGAGTCTTGCTCTGTCGCCCAGGCTGAAGTGCAGTGGCACGATTTCAGCTCACTGCAGCCTCCACCTCATGGATTCAAGCGATTCTCCTGCCTCAGCCTCCCGAGTAGCTGGGATTACAGGCACCTGCCACCATGCCCATCTAATTTTTGTATTCTTAGTAGAGACAGGATTTCATCATGTTGGCCAGGCTGGTCTTAAACTCCTGACCTCAGGTGATCCACCCATCTTGGCCTCCCAAAGTGTTGGATTACAGGCATGAGCCACTGTGCCTGGCCCAGATTCTGTTTTTTAAAAATACATTAAAACTGGGAAGAAAAACACTAATATGTGAATGTGAACAAGGCTTATCTCTTTCTCTCTGTGATGATATTTTGAGTAGTTTTTGTGCTTTTTTTCTTTGATTTTTCTTTCTTTTTGTTAAGTAAGCAGGCATGACTTTTGTTGCACATAAGGAGATATGTAAATATCTCTGGCCTCTGAAGTGTGTTAATTTCAAGTAGCTTACATGGTGTTACTTCTTTTAGGTGAGTAGTTTGATATAAGAGGCACACAAATGACTCTCATATGTCTGTGGTGGAATGAGCCTGGTGCCAAGACAGAAATTCAGGAACAGTACTCCTGTGGATCGGGAGACAGTTTGACGTCAGTTCACACATGTCCAGGCATAAGCATTTTACCATTTCTTGCCCTTTCTTCTGCTGAGGCGTTGTATAGATCTTCCATGGCATTTTGACTTGACATTTCACAGCTGCTGCAAATCCACTAAGCAGGGACATGACACAGGCACTTTGAGGCCGCTGGTAGCACATTGGTTTGTAAAGAGATGCTAAATTTGCTGAGATAGTGAAAAACTGGCATGTATTTATTTTGGGATGAAACGGACTCTTGCGAAATAAGGGCCCATTCTGGAAGAACTTGTAACACTCATTCATCTTGTGTTGTGCACTGAGCTATAATGCTACAGCTGTCATCCACTTTCAATGAACGATTGTCATATTGTCAATCCACAATAATACAAAACAATTTTCATTCCCCATGTTGAAGCATCGCCATTGTAATATAATTCAGTTCATATTAACAATGCTTTGATGACAATTCCTTTCCACTCCACCCTTTAAGCCCTCCCTCTCTCCTTTCCTTAACCAAAGGGAAATGTATTTTGACAATATATCTCCAATGTTAACAGTTTTCTGCTTTTAAAACGTCTCGGGCCCATAGCCCTCATTGAAACTGCCGAGAACACACCAATCTTTTTTTTTTTCTTTCTTTCTTATAGAACTGTTTTGGGATTAGGTAGTGCCTTATTCAGGAGAACTGAAAGTATTTTTACCCATTTGTCTTGTTTATTCTTAAAACATCTCCATGAAAAATGAACGGGTATTATTTATTCCCTTTTTATCAGGAGCACAGTTAGAACTTAACTCAGTTCGCTTTAGATTTATAATCTTTTCATTAAAAGACGCTGCTTACTTTTCCTGGTATTAACAGTGATGTCAGTTGCTATTTACATGGAAAAATTAACTACCCTAATGAATTTATATTCGCTGATTTTCTCTAGAGGGGAAATTGATTCTATGTGTGAGTCTTCACTGATTTTCAACGTACTTTTCTGTCACAATAGACTATTTTAAACTGATAGTGTTGTCTTAGTTAGAATAGTCCCAAGAGCTGAATCTAGGTGGGCACGATTGATAAGATTGAAATATACTGTGTGTACCCGTGTAAGCTCTTCCAGGGACAGTGCTGCCATTTTTAAAGAAAAATTTTATTGTGGCTGTTGGCCACTTTCACTTTTCTCATTTTTAAATTCTTTAGTAGCTCAGATACTTGCCTAAAAATATGTGGCAGAATGTGGGGATATGGAGAATTTGAGGAAGGGAAGAAGTTGAATGTCAGAAACCACCAGAAATTTTTGGAAGGTCATGAATCCCCCAGATGACTGCTTGGAAAATGCTACAGTATTGCTTTCCTGGGGCCTGTTTCTCGGCATTCCTATAAAGTAAAAATTAGGGCTTTCAAAACAGCACATTCTTCAAATATAGGAAAACAGATTGAAACTGAATGAGGAAAAGAATTGTGTTTGGGATCTAAGAGGTGAACAGAGCCGTAGGTAAGTCAGTCTAGATAGATTTAGCAGACCTAAGTGTCTCCTATTCTGCATCCGTAAGTGAAGACTTGAGAAATAAAGAGAGAAGAGGGGTGAGAAGCAGAGGGAAAGGGAGAGATACATTCATAAAATATGCAGGTCATGTTCAATTTGTCATGTCCTTAGTGCTATAGGGCATCTGGGAACAGTCCTGAATTTGAATGGCTTGTCTTTTTTTCCCTGTAGGTAGACCTGTTTTTTGTTTTTTGTTTTTTTAAAAAAAATCAGATTTGGGTCCTTGTTCCTGGCTTGGGCAGCATGGTCACTGAGCCTGTAAGGGCATTACACCACTCAAGTCTAAATGCCTCTGAGACTTGAATTATGAGACTCACCCAACATCTTGGAACAGGAAGTGGAGACCCTGCCACTAACCGAAGCTTCAAACTTCATGTAAAGTTTGTGCCCGGGTTGGAATGTTGCCAGGACACCTCTCCTCTAACAGTAAGCAACATGGGGCCCACAGGAAGCTCCGCAGTCCCTTATGCATTTTCATCTCATAGCCAAATCCCCGCAACACTGTCTTGTCACATGGCCCCTGTGTGACTGGGTCAGACAAATGAGACATCAACCTTACTTTTAACTTTGCCACATTTTTTTTTTCTTTTTTTTGAGATGGAATCTCTCTCTCTCACCCAGGCTGGAGTGCAGTGGCGTGATCTCAGCTCACTGTAACCTCCGCCTCCAGGGTTCAAGCGATTTTTCTGCCTCAGCCTCCCAAGTAGCTGGGACTACAGGTGCCTGCCACCACACCCAGCTAATTTTTTGTATTTTTAGTAGAGATGGGGTTTCACCATGTTAGCCAGGATGGTCTCGATCTCCTGACCTCGTGATCCGCCTGCCTCGGCCTCCCAAAGTGCTGGGATTACAGGCGTGAGGCTCTCCCTCAGAGTGGGGTGTGTTTAGGGGAGGGACAACTGTGAGGCATAGTTTTGTTAAGCCATGGTTTGTTCATAAGGCTGTCCTTTGTGGTACAGAAAACTCTGCCAGCAGCCTTTAAAGCCACAAGTTACAAACAGCGAGCATAGCTTTTGCATTCATTCACTTATTCACACATCCACTCATTCACTAATAAAATGGCTGGGTGCTGGGTTGGGAGTCGGATACTTGGGTTTGAATCCCAGCTCTGCCATTTCCTGACTGCATAATTTGGGTACATTACTTATTTCTTATTAGTAAAATGTGGATAATAATACTTCGTACTTCACAGGAGGTTTGTGAAGGTTAAATGAGTTAATACATGTTACCAATGGTACCTTATACCTAGTAAGACCTTAGTAAAGGTTAGTTGTTCTATTTTTATCTCTTGAACAAGAGATTGCTACCCATATAGTCTTACTAAGAACTTCTCTATTAAAAGGTTTCTCATGAAATAGGCTCTCTGGATGAAGGAATTGCAGCCTTCCATTTAAATCCAGAGGTGTGTTTTTTTCTTTGTATTTATCATTGTCTGGACTACTTAAAAAAATATTTTCCCCATGTTAAACATGCTAGAGGTAAGATCATTCCTCCAGTTGTTGGAAGGAGGTGGGATGGATTTAATTCCAGTTCTTCAATTTGGAGTAGTTGATCCTCCTGCCTTCCTTGCCCTCTCTTCCCTTCTCTTCCACTCCCCTTTTCTTTTTGAGGCAGTGTCTCACTCGGTTGCCCAGGCTGGAGTGCAGTGGCGTGATCTCGGCTCACTGCAACCTCTGCCTCCCAGCTTCAACCTGGTCTGCCTTAGCCTCCCGAGCAGCTGAGATTACAGGTGTGCACCACCAAGCCCAGCTAATTTTTGTATTTTTAGTAGAGACGGGGTTTCGCCATGTTGGCCAGGCTGGTCTCAAACTCCTGACCTCAAGCAATCCACCCACCGCTGCCTCTCAAACTGCTGGTATTACAGAGGTGAGCCACCATGCCCTGCCTCTCTTCCACTCTCTGTTCTCTTTCTTCCTTCTTTTCCTTCCTATCTCTGGCCTACTCCATGAAGTCTGAGCTAGCAAAGGCATATTTATCCAGTGGTATGTATATAACCATTCTCATTCAAGTTGATGCTTCAAGACCCACTCACAGAATGTGTAATTTACCTCTCAAAAATTCAGATACCTCTGTATGCATTTGTATAGAAATGCATATTATTGGACATCAAATAACTCCCATCTATATAAAAGAAAATAAAATCTTATTTTAAATGTTGGGAATATAAGCATTTTAAAAATGTTCACAGTCAAATCATTTTGTCAAACAACAAAATGATTCCTTGGTGTCCTCCATGAAAGTTTCATAGACAATTTCAGAGACAAGCAGAATGGGTCAGACACTCGCTAAATAGTAATTGTAGTTCTGTTCTCTCAGGGACTTGAGTTGAATTAAATGTATTAGCTCAGATTGTCATAACGTCTCAAGAATAGAAGGAGGGTAATGTTTTATGTTTATGTAATAAGTGAAAGGAGACTATTATTATGCATAATATATATATTTGAATCCTATTTAAATCGGCAAAGAGTTCATTCTTGACACTGATTCTCCTACTCTGGCAAGATAAGGTCAGTAGGAAAGACATAAATATGGCAATTACTCTGTGTGTAATTTAACATTTGCATTTTCCACAAAATTATAATGTCCTTTTGTTCATCACCGTACCCTGTATTGTTGATTTTTTGAAGGGGTGTGCTTTGAAGTTTCTAATTTCTGTTGAATGTAATATTTTAGTGTGGCGCCCAAGGGCTAGAGGAAGGAGGGATGGACAGATTGGTGGATATCAACCATATAAACGTTGTGTAGGAGAGGGAGAGTTGCATTACTTGTTGATGTTCAGGTGGGAGGGACCCTTGTCCTCTACCTGGAGATGAGTTCTGTTTGTGAATCCCACATAATTTTTGAAGACTGCACTTGATGAGTACCTCCCTCTCTGGAGTTTAGGCAAGTTTTAAGATGTGTCCCGGAGTTCACGGTATATTTCTTTGTTTCCCTTTGCCTCCCACCCAATAGCCATTCACTCTTTCAGATGATTGGAGCTGCTCTCAACACTACAATGGAATAGAAATGAAAATGGGAAAACATTCCTGCCTTCAAGGATCTTGTTAGATGCTCTCTCTCCCACTTCTTCTCCCTGTGTGTCTCTGAGACCAGATATAAGTAAATACCTATAAAGGAAAAAAGTCAGAATTCGGTAGCACCCCACCCCTTTCCTGGGCCTTTTCGACCCTAACCCCTCTCTTGTTGACTGCATTCTGGTCTCACTGGTCTGTCCTCTCATGTCTTTGTGCACTCCATTTTCCTCATTCACTTATTTAGTTTCTGTGAGTGTGCGTTGTTTGCCCGCTCCAGCAGTAGCAAATGAGTTGGCCTTTGAACTTCCTGCGTGTTTCCATTTCTTTCTTGAGGGGTAGGGATAAGAGGAGAGGTTGATAGTGGTGATAATAGAGTATCTTTGCTCCTAAAAGGTAAAAGAGGAAAATCCCAGGCATTGTACAGCAGTGCACTAGCACCCATGTCAGAGTAGCTCTTGTTGCTTGGTGCGTATTAACTCTGGGACAATCCACTGAAGTGGCCTCTTTGTCAAATGCATGCCTGGCCCTGCATTCAGACAGCATTGCAGGGCAGTATGAAATACAGAGATGGAATGAGACAAGCAGTGGCAATGCCATGTCACCTGCACAGTCGGGGTGGGTGGGCTGTGCCTACAGTGCTATGGGGGTCAAGAGGAGGAGCAGATAACGAAAGCCTCTGGGAGAGGAGACATAACCTTCAAGGTTAGGGGCCTGGTGATTCAGAGAATGGTAATGCTTCTGATCAAGGCATGTTTAGTCCTCAGACCACTCATGGCACAAGGGTAAAGACCACCATGCATGGTCAGCCATGGTTCCATGGCTGTGGGCTGTGGGAGTTAGTGGGCCTGTGGATTTCCGCTAGAACATGCCCAATTGACCGTACCAGGGAGCAGTCCAGCAGACAGGTTGGGACATGATAGGACTGTCATCCAAAGCTTCAGCGATGCTTCCTGAAATTTCTGTGAGGCTGGTGTGGTTCTCCCCTTTGAATTTACTCTTCTTTCTGTGATTTCCCTCAGTCTTCATCCCAAGAAAGTTATGGCATTGTGTTTAATTTGCCTTAATTTATCTTTTCTTTTTTTTCTTTTTTTTAGACGGAGTCTTGCTCTGTCTCTCAGGCTGGAGTGCAGTGGCACGATCGATCTCGACTCACTGCAACCTCCACCTCCCAGGTTCAAGGGATTCTCCTGCCTCATCCTCCCGAGTAGCTGGGATCATAGGCGCATGCTGCCACACCTGGCTAATTTTTTGTATTTTTAGTAGCCCGTGTTAGCCAGGATGGTCTCGGATCTCCTGACCTCGTGATCTGCCCACCTCAGCCTCCCAAAGTGCTGGGATTACAAGCATGAGCCACCACGCCCAGGCCTTATCTTAGTATTATTCCTGTATATGCAGAAGTTGCCCTGTCGTTGCAGCTGTCATTTCACAAGCACCTTCATGAATAATAATAGCCGAGCTTGCAAGTGCTAGCCTCTGTTCCCTGTGTTTTATGTAGACTAACTCTTAATTATTGTCATAACCCTGGGAGGTAGGGACTATTATCCTCTTTTACAGATGGGGAAGCTGAGGTACAGGGCATTCAGTACTTGTCCAAAGTCACACGTGTAGTAAGTAGCAGAGCTGGCATTATGGACCCAGGCAATCTGGCCTAGGAGCCATTGCTCTAAATATGTGTGATACTTCCTCAGGACAAACAGTGATCATGTTTGGCCCTAGGAAGTCAGGGAAGGAAAACATATAATCCTTGCCACCAGTAGAGAAAAAAGACACACCCATAAAAATATCAGAAGCCATGTAGGATCTCTCCATACTGATGTGCTGCCTGTTTTGTTTGCTTTTATCAGTCCAAATATTTTTCTTTGGAGCCACAAGAGGTGCACCATTGCCAGCCAGCTGGGTGACCTTGGACAATTCATTTCACTCCCTGCCGTATCTGTAAAATGCAGGTGTGAGATCAAATCATCTTCAGGGTCCTTTCCAGCTCTGAAGTTCTGTGGTTCTGTGGTTTTGGAATGTTTTTGCGTAAAGCACTTGGCAGCACTAGAAACAGTCAGCATTTCCGAGTGCATTTCTTTCTGACTCTCTTCTTCACCCATGTAGAATTTCTGAAGTATCCTGTGATCTTTATTAATCACATAGGGACTGTCATCTTCTCAGACTAGTGGAATGGCTAAGGTGCCCTCTGCAGAAGATATCTTAGCTAATGTTCTCATTACTGACTAATTGGCTAACGAGACTTCTCTCACATTGCATTTAGGCTGATTGATAGTTTTCTATCACCTGATGGGTGGAATGGACAGCCAAACCAATTATCACCACAAAGAGAGCCCCATACAGCAGAGCAGTGTAGCTCGAGACAAAGGGCCCTTATAGATTATGTCTAATCAGGGTGCCTGCTGAGAGTTTGTTAAACAAAATGATTTTCTGAAAAGTACAGTTTAACATGCGTTGAAATACACGTACCTTAGGGTCATATGTAACTCAGTGGGCCTTGTCTTATTGAAAGCAATGTGTTTCTGATTATGTAAATATGGATAGCCTGCATAACTAGTTAGCTGTATAACTAACACTAGTTAGCTTTGTGCTGAATGAAGACGTGCGTTTGTTTGTTCAAAACTGAAGCTGCAGGCCTCCTGTGAGTCACATTGTGGGAGACATGCTCTACTTAGATGGAATCTTGTAGACATAGGGCATTACTCAGATTCCTTTTTGTATTTTCTTTTCATGTTGCTCAGGCTATTTAAAGGAAATAATATTCAGGTCACTTGCTTAGTCATTTAAATTGAGTCCATTTCTTTGTAGCTAATGCATTAATTTATTGAAATCTCTATTTAAAGTGCAAACTCCAGTTTTAGAGCAGAAAGATAATAATGTGCTAAGGATTCGTGTTAAAACCTAACCTGAGGAACTTCTTGATCCGTTCTTAGTTTGTTTTTTGTTTTGTTGCTGTTTTGTTTTTGTTTTTTTTTTTTCAAGCAGAGGGTCAGAAGTCATTTATAGTGCTTCCCTATACACAGTCTTGAGCTTCAGGTTTTCTGGGAACAAAAACATCAGGGTTCTTAGTGCCTCACTTTCCCAGTAATCTACTGAACTGTGTTATATGATCGTCAGTGGACTAAAAGATACCAGTGAATTAATATAAAGTCTTTTAGTTCTATTTCCCCCAAGCAGGGCCACAGCGATGTCAGCTGGGATCCTTGGAACTTGTGACAATATCAGTCTGATATAAATTCTTGTGTTGAAGCAAGTTTCAGTATTGGAAAGTGGGACTGAAGAGCACAGAGCACTGACCATAGCAGCAGCATGTACCATAGTGTGCTTCTGAGCCACCGTCATCTTCAAGGTGTTTTCTAAAATACACACCAAGAGTTGGATTCTAAAGATTGGCTCTAGGAGACAAACTTTTGGGAAAAGAAGTGAAAGAAAGCATGGTTATTTTTATAACTTAACAATTTTCCAGTAAATTATTCTTGTCTGACTGTTAAATAGAGGGACAGAGGAAGAAAGGATATGCCACTTGGAATGGGAAAAGGAGGGCTGGAGCACAAAATTGGCCGTGGTTGAGGTAGAAAATAGGCAGCTGTTCTTCTCATCTTCTCCTGAGCCTTCTGCTCCAGGAGATTCCTGCTGGAGCTGTGCTTGGACTCTCTGGCACACCGTACAGTCTACACTGAGCCATCAAAGAAGTTGCAGGAGAGGTGCTGATCTAGCTCAGCACCCGACTTGAAAGGGTCATTGTGTGGCACAGCAGTGGCATGGCTGTTTTCAAGGGAGCAGGTTTTTAATCGCGGTAGCTGTTTCATCCTCCCTGTAGTATTCTCTGACAGTGAAGATGGAGCCAGTAAATACTCATGTTCCTGCATGCTGGGTGACGGAGGTCTTGCTTTACATCCCTCTCTCCAGCTGCTGTGTCCACTTGAGGCAAATGTATCCAGGAAAGCAGTGAGGCAGGCAACGACAGGGGCCATTGGTAGATGTTCCCTTGGCTCATTTTAATACATACTGCGTCAGAATGGGCCTCACATGTATTAGAAATCACACACACTTGTTATTCAATGAAAACCTTGACTGACACTGTGTGTAAGCTCAGTTAACAGCAGAAGTACTGTTGACAACAGAATAAGGCTGTAACAGTGGCCAGTCATTTAGAAAAGGAATCGGTCCTAATCCTTACTTTCCTGTATAATCTATTCCCTTTCGTGGATATGCTTTGTTTCTGGTTTGAGTTCATCTCAATTCATTCTCAACTATGCTCTTTGTTCTTTGAACTCCCCAGTAAGAAATACATCAGGATAGAACTCTACCCAAAAAGTAGATAATGTGTTCCGAAGGGAATTAAACTAAAGCATTACCGTTCAACCTCAGGTAGAGCAATTTGGTGCTAAACTTTATTAATGTTAGTTTTTTGTTTTTGGGTTTTTTTTTTTTTTTGAGACGGAGTCTCGCTCTGTTGCCCAGGCTGGAGTGCAGTGGTGCAGTCTCGGCTCACTGCAACCTCCACCTCCCGGGTTCAAGCGATTCTCCTGTCTCAGCCTCCTGGGTAGCTGGCGTGCCACCACGCCCGGCTAAATTTTTGTATTTTTAGTAGACGGGTTTTCACTGTGTTAGCCAGGATGGTCTTGATCTCCTGACCTCGTGATCTACCTGCTTGGCCTCCCAAAGTGCTGGGATTACAGGCGTGAGCCACTGTGCCCAGCAATGTTAGCATTTTAATGGAAAGATTTTTACATATATTCCCTAGAGGTAAGGATGTGGTTTGTAATTTAAAAGCTATATGTTATTAAGTGATGATTGCAGTAATTATACTATTGGATAAAACAAGGAGGAAAACCTGGGTCCTGTGTTCAGATATCTGATTTGGAAAGGACTCCGTTGATTTCACATATTTGGAACATGAACTTTCTGTTTTTCAGGGTTTCACCTTAGAATTTCCTTGGCTTGGCCGGGCGTGGTGGCTCATACTTCTAATCCCAGCACTTTTGGAGACTGAGGCAGGTGTGTCACTTGAGGTCAGGAGTTCGAAACCAGCCTTGCCAACATGGTGAAACCCTGTCTCAACTAAAAATACGAAAAAATTAGCCAGGCATGGTGTGGCAGGCACCTGTAATCCCAGCTACTCAGGAGGGTGAGACAGGAGAATTGCTTGTACCTGGGAGGCAGAGGTTGCAGTGAGCCGAGATCATGCTACTGCACTCCAGCCTGGGCAATAGAGCAAGACTCCATCTCAAAAAAGAACTTCCTTGGTTCATATTGTTGGACAACTGAATACATTTTTAGCTTGTGTCTGGTAACTGTTTCCCAGTGGGGTTTGTAGATGTTGCTTTGCCTGCCTCTACCCATGTATAACCTCCATCAATATGTTATTTGATTTGGTTGTATATTATTAACTGGAACTTCCTGGAATTAGACAAGCAGGGATTCAAACTACAATCAAATAATAGCAATGCCCTCTTTGTTACTTTCCTTTCAAATCTAAAGCAAGACAAAAATTCAGCTACTGAATAGTTGAATACTGAAAATCAGAGGTATCTTCACAGAGCTAGTAAGCATCAGACTTGGTTTGAATCCAGGTACTCTGATTCCAGATCTCAGTGCTCTTAACCACTGTGCTATATGGCGTTATGGAGCATCTAGCACAAAATAGACATTCAGTGAGGTGATCAGACATCATTTGGGAGTTGAGGTGCTCCTCAGGTTGGGCCCACCCAGCCTTTCCTTCTGATCCTTGTTCTTCAGTATTCTGCCACTCAAACCCAGTAAAATCTTTCTTTCTCATACCATATGTCTTCCAACTCCATCTCTTTTTCAAGGTATGTGTGAACATTGGACATCAAAACTTCAATGGTTTATTAAGAGTTTAAATTTCTAAGTAATCTACTCCATTTCTGTCTAAGTCAAATCACAACCAGACTATCTCACATCAGATGTTCATTTATAAGGAATTAACTTCCAGGTTGAGTCTAAGGATCAGTTTGTATTTGGTCTGTCTCTTCATAGGCTACTTTGTAAGCTATAAAGAGTCCTAGACAAGAACGCAGAAACCCTGGGTCCTCGTCTTGCCTCCATCCTGATTCTTGTCTGGCTTACCTCATGGAATTCTTGTGAATGAGATAGAAGCCTTTTGTAAACCCTTGGTTGCTATACAAAGCTGTTGTTGCTGTTGTTGTTGTTATTATTATTGGTCCACACTGTGAGAAGGGTGGTATATAATGATGACTCTGAGACCCATTGCAGGGTGGTTAGTCGTCAAAAAACAACTCATTTATGTTCAGGCCATTGTAGTTCCAAAGGTGGGCACATTCTTTTATAGACCTCACAAAGATTTTAAAATAAGAATGCACACTTTAAAAAAGTCTCATAGCACTGCTTAATGCAAGCAGACATTATTCCATTGTGTGCCCAGTGCCATGCCAACATTTGAACATTTATTCAGTCCTTACACATGCATACTTAATCATCCCGATAACCCTGTGTGGTGAGTACTGTTGTTATCCTCATTTTATATATGTGGAAACTGAGAGCTTAGGTGACTTATCCAAGATCACAGAGCTAGTAAGCATCAGAGTTGGTTTGAATCCAGGTGCTCTGATTCTAGAACTCAGTGCTCTTAACCACTGTGCTATATGGCCTTATGGAGCATCTAACATAAAATAGACATCCAGTGAGGCGATCAAATGTCATTCGGGAGTTGAGATGCTCCTCAGGCTGGGCCTGCCCAGCCTTTCCTTCTGATCTTTGTTTTTCAGTATTCTACCACTCAAACCCAGTAAAACCATTCTTTCCCATACCGTACCTCTTCTTGCTCCATCTTTTTTTCAAGGCTGAGCCCTTCTCTGCAAAGCCTTTCCTCGCCACTCAGGTTTTGCGTGAGCTTCTTCCTTTTCTAGATACCTACATTTTGTATTTGGAAATTAATTACGGCCTCTATTCATGGTCATCTTTTCATATGTTTATGTCATTGCCACAGGGCTTAGTTATAAATGGCATGGAAAAGCCCTTGCCATTTGTTTCGAATAGCTCTTAGTGCAATGATGTTCACAGGATGTGTTCAATAAGTGCTTCTAGGTCTATTGATTATGTGCAATCCATATAGGAAAAGGATGTTCAGCCAGAGCCTTATTCTTGTATGCTTTTTGGAAATTCCAAAACAGACTCATGCTCTGAACACCCGTTCATGGTTAGAAGCTGGTGGCTTTTCCCAGGAAACACAGTTTCTCCCTTTCTACAAACTTTTGACCAGAAAGAAAAAAATCACCCAGTGCACAAGAGCCCGATATTTTCTTGAAGGATAAGCAGCCAGTTGCATTCTCTCACTTTTTTTTTTTTTTTTTTTTACAAACAATGAGAGGTTTTTTTCCAATGGTAGAAATGACATAAATTCATTGTAAGGAACTTTGGAATTTATCAAAAAGTGTAAAGGCAGAAGAATAAAAATTGACCATATTCCTAGATGTCGAGTAAGTTTTCCTCAGAATAAATCTTTAGAAATGACGTTGACAGAATGAAGAGGGTTCAAATATTAAGTTTTTGGTAACATACTGCCAAATGCCCTTCAGAAAGTTTGTACTAATTTACCCATTTGTATCATTGATATGGATGTGAGTCTAATACTTTCAGTATTATATAATGTGTAATAAAAATTATTTTCAGATAACTTACAGGTTTAATAGTCAAAGTACAGTACCCAATTGCTTAGACTTGATGAGGAACTGAATGGAAGTAAAATGATTTTAAATATCTGGTTTACTAAAACCAATTAACAATTTCACTTTCCTTAAAAGCAGAATAATTTCAAGTCTGAAGTTTTCATTCAGGTTAAAATCAGTCTACATTCAATGCTAGAGGTTCAACAAATTCTAAGACAGGTCATCCGCTACAAAGATAGGCTGGAGCAGCCACTTTCAATTTTGCCTGAATTTTATCACTAACTGTGATAAAAGGGCACTTAACCTCTTTTAGCTTCCCTTGCCTTGTCTTTGAAAATGAGTGGGTTGAACTAAATTATATCTACGATCATTTCCAATTCTGTGATTCTAGAACCATCAATCTAAATCTACATGGATACAACCAGAGCTATAGGAATACTGTTTAGTGGGTGGGAAAATGAAATGTGCACAGACAGGTAAATTTAAGGCTAAGTAGAGTTAAGATCCAAGTTTCATATTTTCTTTGGAAAAATTTTGATTTATTTAGTGGTTGCTATTTATTAAGACCGTTGGCCAGTCAGCCAAGGCAGACAGAGACTGCAAGTTAGTTCCAGTTGCTGAAAAAGTTGCTTCCAGTAAGAGTTGGGGGTGAGGGAGAAGGCAAGGCTGGAAATAGAAACGTAGGAGAATTTGAGCATATCTCAGAGTACAGAGAGATCACTCTCAGCTGGGGGAGAAGGAAAATCTCTGTGAAAGAAGAAATTTTTCAGATGCACCTTGGCAGGCAGAAATAGTAGAAGGAAGTTTCTGATGAAGGTAATCTTGTCATTCCCAAAATATCATGATGACTAACCCTATGAAAGTTTAAAATGTATGGATAAAAGTTTCCATGCCACTACAGGGTTATTATAAAATTTAACTTAAATCCCACTTCAACAAATGTCAGTCATTGAAGATCTTTGTATAACCAATATTGCAAAACCTTTGCTGATGGATTACTTATTTGAATCAAAATTTAATATAGCAAAATTTCAGTGAAGGAGATGTGACGGGCTCATAGGGTTTGTTGTCTATCCTCTAATAACTTTGTAGTCTCCTCACATCCAGTCACAAACTTCCTCTGAGTTGGAAGCCATATGAAACTTTTTGTTCTCTGCAGCAGTCTATAAGAAAAAATTACTTAGTCCATTTTTAAATATTTATTCTTTCTATAATAATATTATACACACAAAATCTCAGCTTTGACCCTCGGAGGAGAGCCGAAGGTCCAACGTTCTGATGATTTCATATGGACATACACTAGCTGTTATTTGAAGAATAAATATTTAAATCATAGAATGAGTAAGCATTGGAAGAATAATGATGGCGTTTTCTTTGTTGTTAATCTATTTGTGCCTGAATTTGCTTTAAATGCCCCTTTAAATTTTTTTCTAATATAGTGGGACTAAGGAGAGTAATCATAACTCGTGGCAATATCGGAGGACAGGGGTGTGACTGTGGCCATTTAGTGCAGGAGCACAGCATCAGTACAGTCTGCGGCTGTTTTCTGGTGGGTTTTAATCTCTGCTGTCGCTGCCTATCACAAGATAACTGGAGCCCAGGTTTTTCAGACGGTATTATATGCTGATGCTGTGTTACCAACCTCTGTAATTTCTGAGTTTCTCATTATCAAAGGTGGGAGCCTCATCTCTGCTTAACACAGCAGTGCCTGGAGAGGTAATAATGATGATGATTTTTACCATCCCTGGGGTTTAGAATGTCTCCTCTGTTATGAGGCTTGCCCAGTGGCGGGAGGTAGCCTCAGAACTCCCTACCCCTGGAGCACTTAGTTGGCAGCATTTGGAAGTGTGTGCTTGTATCTCCGCAAGCTGGGAGACTGGGATGGAGAGCCAAAAAGGGAGGGAGGAGGTGAAATGCCTAGGGAGTTGAAGGGAAAGAAGTGAGATGAGGTAAAGGAATCTTGAGTTGTCAGGAAATACAGAAGCAAAACCAGGTAGAAAAGAAAAACAAAAACATGGGACAAAAAGGAAAAGGTGGGAGGAGGTGGATGGAGGTGAGGATGGCATGCTTTGAGATAGCTGTTTGGAGCCTGGCCCTTATTTTCCTCTGTCCAGTAAATAAAACTGAATTTTGTCTTCCTGTGGCATTGATCTTCACTCTGGGCAGGTAAGACTTTCCCCTGGTAAGTGTTGAACAATTTAGGGCAGGCCCCCTGCCAAAGCTAGTGTGTGTTGTCCAGTGCCTTATATGGTAGTTTATCAATAGGTGGTTGTAATTTTAAAATAATCTAATCTCCTGTCTCCAAGGAAGCTGCCATGAAGTCACTGACGTGTGATCGGTGGGACATTTAAAGATGAAGAATACAGTTATCCTGAAAATGGGAGGGGAGGAGGGAAATGAACCAGGGACCGCATCAGCACCAGAACTGAAGGAGTGGAAAATAATTAGAAGGGAAATAAGACACAGAGAAACCAGGATGGGCAAAGAGAAATGTGTGATTGGGGAAAAACAATATCCTTACCTCATCCTTTTCGTTTCTTCCTACTCACAGAATGTTAAATGCACTCCTAAATGAAAATAGTGTGGATGTGTGAGTGGCTGTCACTCAGACAGAGGAGGGAAAAAACCCAACTTATTTCATCTTCATCATCTTATTTTGTCAGACCAAGCAGAATCCTCCTCAAACTATCCAGAGTAACTTTGGTTAAAATATGGGTGTGTGGCCAAAAGCTTTGGATAGATTTATTTTGTACGAATTTTAAAAAACAAAATGTTAGCATCTTTGCTTATGGTAGTTTTGAAAGAAAAATATACATATTTCCTAAGCTGATATTAAAAGTGGCATTTATGTAATAATTATGGGTGACTTGTTTCAGTCTTTTTAGAAGACACATAAAATTGAAATGATAGATGTAATATTTATAAATAGTATTATGCTTACTAATATAGTAATAAGCCCTCTTTTTCTGTAGTTTATCCCTAATGAAATATTTTCTCAAAATTTTCCCTATTTTAAAAAATTTATTTTTGTGCTACAATACAAGGTGAAAATTAGTTGGTAATTAATCCAGCAATAACAGTTAACAGTCTCAAATTCAGTTACCACACAAATAAGAAAGGAATACAAAAAGAAGGAGGGGATGTACTTAAATCCAAATGTGAGCATGGATATCACCCAGAAAGAGAGAGAATTCAGCATTTCTCCTAGTTTGTGGTCTTTGAGGCATAACTGATAAGTGGGAAAACAGTTGTTCTAATCGCAGTGGCAGTGTTCAAGGGAGGAACCATTGCTGGAAGTGACCAAGTGTACTATTTTCAGGTGGCAAACTCACCAATAGGGATCATTTCCCTTTTCTCTAGTTGAATTGGTGTTGCTGCTACCCTGTGCTGAGCAGGGTTTGGTTTTACTGATTGACTGAGAAGATGGTACCTGTCCCCCTGGGCTGAGAGCAGGTGTACCTGGGCAGTCTCTGACCATTTAGCTGGGTCCCGTGGTTCTGCAGCACTTGTTACCTTGCAGAATTGGGGCAGGTGCTTTACTCAAGGTCAGCGGTTTCACCTCGAAGACTGGACATCATTGTAAAAACCAGACGCAGTCTAAAAGTGACAATGACAACAGTGCAAAAATAGAAGGAAAAAAAGGAGAAAGCTGAAAGTAAATCAAGTCTGTCTATAGGACTCTCACAGGAGAGCATGAATCATCAAAGAGGTTCCAGAGTTACAACCAAGAAGTATTTATGGCGATCAGTGGTGCAAAGGGTAATAATACAAACATAATAAAGAAGAGAAAGGAAAGCATACTAGAGATAAAGGAGGCCTAGCATTAAATGAATAGGGAGATAAGCTTAATGATTATGCTCAAATGTCTGAGCTATTGATGGCAAAATGGCTGAGCTTTGGAACTGCTTTTTAAAACTGGCCTTTAAGAAGATAAATAAGGATAATTAAACAGTAATGAAGACCCGTTTCATTAAAAAAAGAAGAAAACAAATAAATAGGCAAGATCTTAGATGATGTGTTAGCCAGTGTTAATGGAAATAATAATGAATTCCTCAAAATATGGTAGCTCTCCTTTGGAATCACGAAGAATAATGAGAAAGAGAGAGAGAGAAGGAGAGAGATGGGGAGGAAAGAGAGAGAGAAACAGACAGACAGACACTGGAGTAAAGACTGCATATCCAGTTCTCACTTGTTCAGAGTATCATTGGCAGAGATATCTCAGATTCATTCTCTTGTCTTATTTTAGCCACTTTTTTTTCAGAATCCTTACCCCAGGAACCTCTTTATCAGAACTGCCAGTTAGAAGCCACACATGCTTTCTCTCTTCTTCCTGCTTCATCTATGCTCCAGTGTTGCTAATGTATAGTAAAAATAAAATGAAAAATAGTTTAGGAGAGACATTGTCCTGTACACTTCACAGAACAAGAGCCCCTGAATAATTAATTTCTAAATAGAATTAGTGTTAAACCTATTCCAAACATAATACTTGCCCATAATAAGTATTCCATAAACATTTGTTGGATAAATAAGTGAATTAGGAAAACTACATTGCTAACAAATACTAGAACATTTGAGAGGGTAAATATGTGAACATCTATGAGGTATTAGAGCCAAGAGCTACAAACAGCATAAATCTATAAAGCTTTTTCATGTTATACCAACTTAATCGATTTTTTGTTTTGAAAATTGGAAAACAGTGGACAAAAAGAATACACTAGATATATTATTATATCTAAATACATCCAGATGTTAATGGAAGAATTGATAGCAGGTCTCATGAAATCTAGTTCAGAAAATGAATTCAAATTGACTTGAATGTGTCAAATTGATTGAAAACTGCCTGAAGGACTGAAAGTGTAATGATAAATGGCAATGTATTGAATCTGGACGAGTGTTCAGCATGGTCTTATTTAACATCTTCATTAATTATCTGGGAAAGGATATAAACAACACATTCATTAAATTTGTAGACGCGAACGAGAGAGGTGTTTTTAAGCACTGGGTAGGGCAGAGGGCAACTTGAAGGGAACTACCCTGCTCAAGAACAGAATGATGTTAATAATTTGATGAAAATCTGCTAATGGCCTGGCAGTGTTCTGTGCAGAGCACGATCCCAGGCACTGTAGGTGATTAAAAGATGAGTTAAAGCATCTCAGCAGACAGAGTGCAAACAACTAAAGTATACCACGGGAGAAGGGGAAGGAAGTGCTGCATTAGAAGTGCAAGCAAACTGCAATGGAAGCAAAGAAGTGATGAAATTCTAAAGAGAACAGTCAGGACTGCAAATTCACATTGTTACACCATGAGGAAAACAACTGGAGCAAGAAACATCCCAGAGAAGTAACTAGGGTTAGATAAAGGATAATGCCATGGGCTACCAAGAAGCAACAAGACGGGGATATTTTTCTTCAAGCACGCCATGTGAGTCACAGATAATAGAGTCGGGACATTGGGCTCAGCCAGTGCAAACTCACTGCTCAACAGAACCTGTCTTTTTTTTTTTTCCTTTTTCTACTATTTTTCTTTCTTGTGTTAAGGTAAACTACTAGGTACTGTTTTTAATTTAGTTTTTAATTATGATCTAAGGATCAGTACTATGGAAACACACATAATTATATAAGAAAGTATTGCACATATAAAGCATTATTTATTTTATAATATTAAATAAATGGCAACAATCTAATGTTCAATAGTAGGGGAAAATTTACAAAACTTTACTGTCTGTACTTAACAGGATATTCTCCAGCTACTAATGGGTGTTTATGCGGAATTAGAACAGGAAAAAATGCCCATATTTTAATGTTAGGTGAGAAAACTGGGATGCAAAATTTACCATAGAGTGTGATCAAAAGCAAAAAGCTAGTGCATTTTTAGCAACAAAATGTATCAGTGGCTGTCTTTGTGTAGGGGGAAAGAGGAGGCTAGAAAATAGTATTTGTTGAGTCCAACCAACTAATTTGTTCAATGTTTCTTTCTGTCGTAAAGGTTTTTATTTGCATTTTAATATATGTTTTGACCAGATGTGGTGGCTCAGGGCTGTAATCCCAGCACTTTGGGAGGCTGAGGCAGGTGGAGTACTTGAGGTCAGGAGTTTGAAACCAGCCTGGCCAACGTGGTGAAACCCCGTCTGTACTAAAATACAAAAATTAGCTAGGTGTAGTGGCGCATGCCTGTAATCCCAGCTACTTGGGAGGCTGAAGCATGAGAATCGCTTGAACCTGGGAGGTGGAGGTTGCAGTGAGCCAAGATCACGCCACTGCACTCCAGCCTGGGCCACAGAGTGAGATTCCGTCTCAAAAATATATATAAGTAAGTAAAATAAAAATTTAAAGATGTATATATGTGTATATGCACACAGACACACACACACACATATATATGTTTTGATGAGCCTCTAATAAGGCACTTAAGGGAAGTTTAATGATTTAGTTATATGGTTATTTTCTTGGAAAAAAAAATCGAGGTTCCTAATCATTAAGGGATATTAGTTGTCTTGAAGATTGACGTATGTTAAGCACACCTGGAATAACAAACAAATTTGGCTGTTAGGTATAACCCAATGAGTAAAAGACAAGGATGTGCATTATGACATAGCCACAGTGATCAGGGAGGAGCTGCCCATGCACACAAACTCACACATTCCTGCACACAGGCATACCTCAGTAATGAAACCACGTACCCCTAAGGACTGAGAGCCAATCCATGGGAGAGGTTTTTAAACGCCAAAACACATAAGGTGGGCAGAGATCCGAGACTCATTTTATGTAGTATTTTTCAATCGCGGTTGAGAGCATTGGGTAGAAGGACACTTCTAGATGAAGTCGAAAGTGGCAACAGTATATCTAGAGCTGACAGCTGGTGTTGTAAAATCTTCCTGAAACAATGTTGGCACCGTGGCTGTGTTTCTCTTGTCTTCCTGTCTGTCTCTGGTCCAGGTTGCCCTATGCTCTTCCCTTTATTTCTTATTCTTTTTCCTGGCCTCAGTCCTAGGGGAAGTGAACTGTGTACCCAGGTGTGTATCTGGCATTTCTCTAGCAGGTTTTTAAATAATTTTATCTATCATAATTATTTTCATCAGGACAGAAATCTTTCCATATTCTTTATCAAGATACTCTATCATGAAAATTGTCAAATATATGCAAAAACAAAGAGAATGACCCTTCATATACCATTACTCAGATACACTGAGTACCAAGATTTTGTCATACTCAGTTCATCTGTCGTCTCCCTCTTTTTTGTCAAAGTAAAAATCTCAGATGTGTCATTTCACCCTTATTTACTTTAGGTTATTTCTCAGAAAAATGGAGAGTTCTCATATAACAATGATGCTATTATCAAGCCTAACAATATTAGTATCATCTAATACCTAACCCATAATCAAATTAACTCAATTGTCCCAAAACAGCCTTTTCCAAGTAGGTTTGTGTCAATCAGGATCCCGACAAAGTCCACACATTACATTGGTTGTTATATCTCTTGAGTCTTTTTAATCTGTCTCTGCTTCCTCACTCTCCCCCATTAACACATTAGGGAACATGTTTTGAATAATTTGGAAACATAGCCATCGAGTACTCTTAGGAAAGAGTAATGGGGTTGAGGATGGTTAATTTAGCCCATCCTAACTTCTGTGAGATTTTTTTCAGAATATTTTGGATGGTTCTCTCACTTTTGTTATTAAGCATTTGGGAAGAAGATTCTGCAGCCTACTCAGGTGAGCCAATCTCATGGCATTGAACAGAGAAGATATGTTTTCACGTCTCTAACCAGTGTTTTTCATAGTGTAAGTCAGGCCTTTCTCCTTTGATCTAAGTGGAACCAAGAGGTTAGATACTCCCTTTTCTTTAGTTATATTATGGGCTTCATGTAACTCCAAATTGTATTTCTTCCTCAGCTATTTATATATATTTTTTGGTGGTGGTTCTATTGTTTTACAAATTTAAGCAAGAGGTTGAATAGCAGAGTGATTAAGAGCAAAGACTGCTGGAGTCAAATCTTGACTCTGGGCCGGGCTCAGTGGCTTATGCCTGTAATCCCAGCACACGCCTGTAATCCCAGCACACGCTTGTAATCCAGCACTTTGGGGAGCCAAGGTGGGAAGATTGCCAGAAGCCAGGTGTTTGAGACCAGTCTGGGCAACAAAGTGAGGCACCCATCTCTGTTAAAAATTTAAAAATTAGCCAGGCACAGTGATGTGCACCTATAGTCCCAGCTACTCCAGAGGCTGAGACAGGGAGATCATTTGAGCCCAGGAGTTTGAGGCTGCAGTGAGCTGTGATAGCACCACTGCACTCCAGCCTGGGCGACGGAGCAAGACACTGTCTCTAAAAAAAAAAAAAAAAATCAATCAATCCATCCATCTTGACTCTGCTGCTTACTACTGGTATGTGACCTTGGCAAGTTACTTATCCTATCTGTGCCTCAGTTTCCACATCTTGAAAATTGGATAATAATAGTATCTATTTTATAAGGTTGTTAAGATTGATACACACATATACATTACTTAGAATAATGTTTGTCACATACTAGGCATGTAGATGAGTGTTAGCTATTGCTGTTATATCATTAATATGCTCTTGCTATAAAAACAAGAAAGTAAAAAGTCAGTTTCAACTTGTAGAGAGGTAGTACTTTCCACACTGTTTTAAAGGAGAGTAATATGTAAATAAAAGTAAAAGGTGAATAATTTTGTGAAACTGTGTGACAGTAATATATTTTCAATATTAGGGACAATCCTTTGGCTTATGATAATTTTTCCAAAAGAAAAAGTTAAAATGTCAGAATTAACAGCATTTCAAGTGAAAACATCTTAGAATGTGGCCTAAGAGTGTAGACCTAAAGAATCAGTTGTAAGAATTTGCTTCATTTCTCTGTTTTGGGTGAATTATGTTTATTAAACTTGCATATTTAAATGAAAAAGCACAAGAAACTTTTTTAAAAGCCATGTCTGAATGCCAGCAAATATTTGAAAGAACAAATATAAGCTTGTTTTAACAATTCTCTGCAAATTTCCTCCCTCCACATATCCCCCTGACAAATAGCCTTTGCAATGTGAGTACTTCGCTTGGGCATAAAGGACTGAATGTGAAGATGTGTAAAAGATCCATTGTCTAGGCTGCTCCTGGGTGATGGAAGTCGCTTCTGAGGTGGGCTTAGCAGGAGGGCACATGCTCACTCACCAAGAGTGTATCCACAGACCTCAGCTTCCATGCGCATTGATGATGGCCATGGAAGCACATGGGTTGAAAATACCCTTAGAGCTGCATGACTGGACAGAACGTCTAGCTATTATGTGGTCCATCTCTCAGGAAATTGAAGTCCAGGGAAGCTGGGCAACTTCTCTAAATCACACAGGAAAATAAGATAGGAACTTGATTTGCTCTCTTCCTGGTTCAGAGTTCTCAGTATCATTCTGCACAAAGATGTGAATAGGGGTTAGGTAAAAAGGATTATATGGTCAAAAGGCTTGGGAAAACCTGGGTTCCATATATTATACAGGTGTCTTTCCTGCAAGATGTCTCAGAGCCTTCAATATCTTAAAAGGGGGATTATTATGCAGCATTTCTCAGATTTATTTGACCATGGAACCCCTTTCTTCACTGAATATGCTTTGGGTAAAAGCTACTCTGTGCTGTCCCTTACTTGAATAGAGTATACAACATAAGAACTGAGAGAGAAAGTCACAGCATAAGCTCATAATATTTATAATAGCCATCTTGACCTGTATTTGAACTAGGGTTATACATTCTTCTATTGAGTTAGTAGTGACAGATGAAGACAAGGAAGGAAAGGTAAAAATTGATTAAACTGCTTATTTAGTGGGCAGAGGGAAAAAGAGATGGGCATATTTTGTCTATTCTCAATTCCTTGAATCTTATAAAGAAGAGATGAATTTTTCTTCTGACTGTGCCTCCTGTCCCATTGCTTCTTGTCTGGCCTACACACATTTTGCTATTTCTAGAACCAAGTTAATACATTGTTCTTTGCTGGGCATCTTATTGATCTTCCATGTTATTAATATTCACTTTTGGCTGCCAGATTAGCTCTAATGAACCATTTACATTTATTTTTAGCACACTTAGAAAGTTGGGACGTATTATCCAGATTGCATTCTACTGTGCAGGAATTGTATCTACAAATAATGAGAAGTCTTACTTTCCTCCTTTTTCCGATTTCCCTTACTTTAACTTTACCCCAAACAGAAATAAAGGAAGTCTTCAATTTATGAACAGGCTGTTCCAATAGTTTTTTGGGGGTAACTCAGAATTTATGTTCCCATAAAAACAGTGTTCCTAGGCTAACCCACTAAAAAAACATTTTACCCATAGTGATTTTAAAAGTATACATTTACATGTTATTTACAACAAAAGGGAAGCAATTTGGTTTCACACATCATAGAATGTATTTACCCCTATTTGAAACAGGTCCTCCTCTCTCATGCTCACACTCACTTGCTGGAATTTGCAACTTCCCTTGGGTCCCTCCAGGGCTGTGGCACCGTCTAGAGTAGGGCTGGACCAAGAACTCTGGAGCCAGACTGTTGAGGTTAGCACTCCATCTCTGCTACTTCTGTGTCCTGGTAGGCTATGTTACCTTTTGGTGTCCCAGTTCCCATATCTCTAAAATGGGGATAATAATGGTATCCATCTCATAAGGCACCTGACACGTAGAAAAGTGCTAATAGGTATTTGCTCTCATTATGATGACAGTGCTGATGGAGTGGGGTGGACCTGATGGGGCAGTGGGATTCAGGACAGGACTTAAGCCAAACAAAACTGGAGGAAGGATTGGGATCAGTGGCACCAGGAAGCGGAGGAAGAAGGGAGGTTGGTGAGTGGATTCAGGAACGTTAAACTGGATAAAGAAGAGAAAGAAGAAAGAAATGAGATTCCCAATGCAGTTATGACCTGAGTAGGATTGGAGAAAAAGGAATCAGAGAGGGAAGAGAAATTCTTGGGTCATTGTTTTAAAAATAAGGAAAAAAAATTAGGTAAGGAATATGGGTAGATATTTTTGCCACTTTTCAGCTTCAAGACGTAGATCTAATTACTTAGCTACTTTGAACCTTATAAATTGGGAATAATAGTATTAACCTTGCAGGGATGTATAAAGATTAGAATAGTGTATCCAAAATGCCTGGCACACATTAGGTAGGCCCTCAATAAATGATGATATTTGTTCTTACATAAAGGTTATGCTGCTGAAGTACTTCCAGCAAATCATTCTTTTTTTCCAGCCCTAGTTAATTTCTATTGCTTAAGTAGTCCATACTCACTTCTAAAAGGTAGAAAATTAAAAATAGTTAAGTAACTTATCTAAGCTCACACAGTAATGGAATGGTTAAACTGGGATTCAGAGCTTGCAAGTGTAACTCCAGAGCCCGTTCTCCTAAATAACACACATATTTGTAAGTCCCAGCAGGTACAGTTGTTTTATTTCATATGGCTATAGCTACAGAAGAGAAGCAGTCTTCTTTTCTCCACGTATTGTCTATTTTCATCTCTCTGTAACTCCTTGGGTACTTTAAAAATGAAAAAGTGACCTACACCTTTGTTTCTCTGGATCGGATGTCATCTAGGAAGTATGTATTTGGCTTCAGTTTGTTTCACTGGCAGTTTTTTGCAACTATCAGAGGATGGAATTTTGCTTTGTCATCTGACCCAAGCACAAACTTAGGTAAATTTATGAGAACGGGCCAATTTCTACAGAAAAGCTGACTCTAGTGAAAGATTTTTCTTCCCCAAGTCAATTTTTTAATTTGTATTTGATCTGTTCTGCATGGTGTTTGGCCCTCCTCTTTGCAAGTTTTGCAATTTCACTGTCCAACAAGCAGTATCTGGTAGGAGTTTTAATAAGACTCTTCACCCTTCTTTGTGCTCAAGAAAATATTGTCAGCACTCTTCCATTCCCTCAGAAACAGGATCCCACCCACTCTGACATAGCTGTTCCACACAAGAAACCAAACATGTAAACCCTAAACAAAGAGAGTTTGATGCCAAGGGTTACTTTTTCTCTTTATTCTGTAATATATTTATACACTTTTGCTCAATATCAAACTATTTGAAGTCATTATAAATAAATCCAGAAATATGTGCTTTATAGCCTCAATATGAGCAAATACCAGGCCAGAACTGACCAAATGCACAAACAAAAAAAAAAATCAGCCTCAAATTAGATTTCATGGTGCAATTATTTCATATATTTCTGAAAACTGTTCTTTTAAAATATCTACTGTTTTCTTCCATCTTTTCAATTGTCTCCAAGTCTTCTGCCACCCCCACCTAGAAAAAGAGTCTTTTGTTTGCATTAGGACATTTACATAGGCATTTCTTTTCTGGAGAAATATGACAGCAGCTGAGATAGCACAGGCCTTGTTAATACTTAACACTGAATAAACAGGGCAGGTAATGACCATTGTAATACTTCCAAATGCAGTACAGCAACACAGTTGACAAAGGTCAGGAGGGAAAAAAAATAGCATTGGTGTTTGCAGTGGGAAGAATCTTCTGAAATGAGACTTGAGAAAACAAGGCATATGTCCTGTGTCTTAAAGCCTTTGTTGAAGGGAAGACTACCAAGCTCCCTCAGAACTGGTGTTCCAAGATTTGTAATCTCAATACTGAGAAAGATGGAAACATAAGGACAAACTTTAGTACTAGGAAATCCTCACAGTACCCAGGGCTTTAATATTTCGTCATATAAATTAGGCAGTCAGGTCAACCTACCTAAATATTGTATTAAAGGCACCCTTTTATACCAACTTCGCCCAAAACACTCCCAGCTGCTCATTGTACACTGAAGTTACACAGTGTATCTTTTCAAGGACCTTGCAGTCTTTGTGAAAAGGACTTCGGTGCTTCCAAGAGTAGCTCTCAGGAGACACCTCTTAGATGAGGTGTTGTTTTCTGGAAAGGTGCCTAAGTTCCTAGATTGTATAGCAGTGGAAAGATTGAGGCTCTAACATATATTTCAGAGAGCTGCCTTATGTTGTTGGCCGTGTTCATAAGCAAGATCCAGTCATCTGGGTGAATGAGGAGCTGCCCATCTTCCTAGGCCAGAGGCTTAAGAGTCTATTTGTTCATGCATTCATTCCTCACTCATTAGGTATTTATAGAGTAGCATCTGCTATGGGTCAGGCTGTTTTCTCAGCGCTGGGGATAAATAGTGAACAAAACATTGTCAAAGAGCTTTGGGTCTAGTGGGGAAGACAGACAAGTAAACAGATCATTGTAATATGGTGAAGTAATTAATTACAGGGTGACTAAGGTATACTTCACTCAGGCTTCTGAGGGACCTGCAAAGGTTTTACATAAAAAGTGTCTTTGAAGCCCAAAGATTTATTAGGATTTTGTCAGTGTTGTGTAGGGAGAGTTTTCTAAACTGAAAAAACATATCCAAATCCCTGGAAAAAGAATATGGTCAGTTAGGGGAACTGAAAGTAGTTCAGTGTGGGCGGAGGGCAGAGTTAACCTAAAAGATTAGTGAACAGAAAAACAATTAGAACCCAAGTTTGTCAAGAGGTTGAGGTTTAAACAACAATTTGGAAAAGAGAAAAAAAATTATTCTTCAGTTACTAATTTTGCACATATTAGCAATTTGAATTGAGAGGTTTTGTAAGACTTCATTTATTTTTAAGTATTTTTTCATTTTTCTTGTCTTTTTTATTTCTAGTTTATTGTCAGTTATGACTGCTCTGTGTTAATTATAATTATGAAAAGTTGAGAAAACATATATGTGCCCCAACATTAAGGGATTAGTTACATAAGTTATAATAAGTTAAAAACACTATGTCCCAAAACATTATATACAAAACATTAAACTAAGCCCATTTATTTAAAACATAAAATCATAAAAACATGATTAGCAGAAACCATTTCTATTTTATCTTCTTGCCTCTCTAACTGCAAAGTACCTGATAATAGACTTCCAAAAATTCTTGTGGATGAATTAATGAATGAATGGAAAAAAAGTAAGCATGGCTGCAAGCAACTATTAGACTTTACCTTCCACAAAGAAATGCAGAAAAGTTGACAGAATATTTTGATTATTATTTGCTTGGAGTTTGTAACTCGGGGCCAAATACCTGTCCTTTGCTTTTTCCTATTCCTTCCATGTAGTGACATTATTAATATATTAAGATAAACAAGATTGTTTTCTTCTTTAAAACATTTGCTCTTTCACTGCTACAAAAATATTATAGTTTATGCTTTTGTTTGATCTTTCCATGAGTAGATACATGTGTATTTGTTTCTAATATTTGCACATTCATTTTCCACTTTGACATTGTGTAAAGGGTTTTGGTTTTTTTATTATGCGTTATACATTTGTTTGGCTTTTGTGCGGTTACATATACCAGCAGAAGCTGCCACATAGAAAAGGGGAGCACCCAGAGGTTTAAATTAGAATCTGAGTAGTTCTCAAATTAAAATTTTAGGTTATTTGAATTGGAGATAGCTACACCAGCAGTTGTCTGTAGAAACCCAATTAGACTTAATAGAAAATTAACCCCACCCTAACTAGCACTAATAATCTAGCGTATTCATTCCTTTTTGTATTTTTAAAATTAACCTTTTTATTTTGAGATAACTAGATTCACATGCAGTTGTAAGGCATGATACAGACACATCTCATGTATTCTTAGCCCAATTCCCCCAAATGGTAATATTTTAAAAAACTATAATACAGTCTATCAACCAGGGTATTAACATTGATACAATCAAGATACAGAACATTTCCCTAACCACTAGAATCTCTCATATTGCCCTGTTATAGCTACACCTATTTTTCCTCTATCCCCCTTTCTTAACCACTAGATACTCATTTTTATAATTTTGTCATTTCAAGAATGTTATATAAACAGAATCACATACTGTAAACTTTTGGGATAGGTTTTTTCTTTTTTTCGCCTGCTCAGCATGATTCTCTGTTGTGTGTATCAATAGTTCATTCCTTTTTATTGCTGAGTAGTATGCCATAGTATGGATATGCAATACTTTGTTTAAGCATTCATCCCTTGAAAGATAATTTGTTTTTTATAGGTTTTGGTTATTTATGAATAAAACTGATATGAGCAATCATATACAGGGTTTTCTGTGGATATAATTTTTATTTTTCTGGGATAAATATCCAGGAGTACAACTGCTTGGTCATATGGTAGTTGCATGTTTAGTTTTTAAAGAAACTGCCTATTTTCAACAGGGGCTGTATTATTTTACTTGTCTACCAGCAATGTACAAATGGTCCATTTCTCTAAATCTTTGCCAGTATTTGGTGGTGTCACTGTTTTTTATTTTAGCCATTCTGCTAAGTGTATAGTGATGTCTCATTGCGGCCTTAATTTGCATTTCCCTGGTGGCTAATGATGTTGAACATCTTTTTGTGTGCTTATGTGCCATCTGTATGTCATCTTCAGTGAAATGTCTGTTCAAGTCTTTTGCCCATATTCTAATTGGAATGTTTTCTTACTGCTGTGTTTTGAGAATTCTTTATATAGTCTAGATAGAAATCCTTGTTAGATATATGGTTTGCAAATATTTTCTCCCAACATGTGATTGTTCTTTCGTTCTCTTAAGAGAATCTGTCACAGAACAAAAGATTTTTCACAGAACAAAACTTACCAAATTTTCCTTGACTCGTTATGCTTTTGGTGTTGACTTTAAGAATTCTTTCCTAGCTCTAGCTCCCAAAGATTTTCTCTTACTTTTTTTCCTAAAATCTTTATAGTTTTACATTTTACATTTAAGTTTGTGATCCGTTTTGAGATACTTTCTGTATAAGGTGTGAGGTTTAGGTAAAGGTGGGTATTTTTGGTTTGGTTTTGTTTTATGTTTGTTTTGCCAATGAATGTTTAGTTGCTCTGGCCATTTGTTGAAAAGTCTGTCCTTCCTCCGTGAAATTGCTTTTGCAACTGTCAAAAATAAATTGAACATATTTGTATTAGGTGGATCTATCTCTGGGTTCTCTATTCTGTTTCATTGATCTAGTGTTTGTCTCTTCACTAGTACCCCACAGTCTTGATTACCATAACTATATACAGTAGTAAGTCTTGAAATCAGGTACACTGATGCCTTCTACTTTATTCTTTTTTTCAAAATTGCTTCCATTATATCAGTCTCTTTGCATTTTCACATACATTTTAGAATATTTGTCTTCATCTACAAATCTATTGCTGGGATTTTGGTAAGAACTGTTTTAAACTTGTGTATCAAGTTAAGGAAAAGTCACATCTTACTATGTTGTCTTCCAATCCATTAATGCAGTATGCCTCTCCATTTATTTAGATCTTCTTTGGTTTTTTTCATCAGAATTTTTTAGTTTTCAGCACATAAGTCCTGTATTTGTTTTGTTAGAGTTATACCTAAATATTTCATCTTTCAGTAAGTGTAAATGGTACTCTATTCTCAACTTTGGTGCTCACATATTTATTGCTAGGACATAGAAATATAAATTATATTTTGTATGCTAATCTTGTATCCTGTTATCTTGCTGGACTCACTAGTTTTAGGAGGTCCTTTTTTTTTAAAGATCTCTTGAGATTTTCCATTTACACAATCATGTCATTCATAAACAGGAACCAATCCTTTTTCATCTGTATACCTTTATTTTTATGTATTTTTTTGAGATGGCGTCTTGCTCTGTTGCCCAGGCTGGAGTGCAGTGGCACAATCTGGGCTGACTACAACTGCCGCCTCTTGGGTTAAAGCGATTCTCATGCCTCAGCCTCCTGAGTACCTGGGATTACAAGCGTGTGCCACCACATGTGGCTAATTTTTGTATTTTAGTAGAGACAGGATTTCACCATGTTGGCTAGGCTGGTCTCGAACTCCTAACCCCGAGTGATCCACTCACCTCGGCCTCTCAAAGTGCTGGGATTACAGGCGTAAGCCACCACACCTGGCCCATCTGTATACTTTTAATTTTATTTTCCTGCCTTATTGCCCTGGCTAGCACTTCCAACACTTTGTTGAATAACAGGAGTGAGAACAGACATCCTTGCTTTGTTCGTGGTATCAGGGAGAAAGCATTCAGTCTTTCAACAATAACTATTTTAATGATAGACTTTTTTTAGATGCTCTTCATCAATTTGAGGAAGTTTCTCTCCATTTCTAAAAATTAAGAATTTGAAGAGTAAAGAAGTTCGAATATTATAAATCTTATAGTTTATTATTTTTTACCTTAAGAAATTATAGAGCTTCTGTTCTTGCTAGTTAGTTATGTCTTCAGGACTTATGCAAAACAGGGTAACCCAGAGTGATAGACATCCTTTTTATTGATGTTTCATGATTTTAAATTTCATTCTCTTTTTTCTTTGCGTACTTGACTTTGCTTTTCTTTTTCTGACTTTTTTCTTTTAAAAAGTGCATCAGTAGACAATACTTCTGTGTTGTAATTGGTCAGTGGAAGACTTTTAATTCATACTTTAAAATAATGTATGCTTACAGGGAATATATATTTCAAAGAGCTATCTGAAAATTAGTTTCAATTGGAATTCAAACTAATCTTTATTTGATTTGTACTTGCCTCATTTTCACTTTAAATTTTTAATTACTTTTTAAATTTTTTGAATTTTTGAATTTTGAAATACTTTTCAGTTTTAATTTGAATGTGCAACTTTACTTTCTTCTGTAAAATTTAATATTGCCAGACCAACTCACTTGGATGTCTACTTTTATGAAATAATGCCAGCTTTTCCATTCTTCCTATACACATATAATTAGGTCTTTCAGTATTTTAGTCTTTTCAATATCCTAGTGTCCCTAAGGAAGGGAGTGATTGAAGTTTACCACTTCCTATGACGTTAATGCTGAACTTAAACATCTTCAAGGCAAGGTGTGAACACAGAACAAATATATCTTCAAGTTATGAGCAACAGCAACAACAAAAAAACTAATTCACACAGATTTACTCTATTGTAACCTACCACGTCACCCAGCAATATAAAATTGTTTTTGTCATTATATATACTTCTGTATCATCATTTAGACTCTAAGCACCATGAAGGCAGGTATCATTTCTTTTTCATTTACCTCATGTACATGAGGCACTCAATGAATATTTGTCGAATGACTAATTTCTGATGACTGTGTGGTATTCCGTTGTTTGGACACACCATTGTTTAGTTAAGCAGTCCCTTTCTTTTGGACATTTAGGCTGTTCCTAGTTTTTGCAATAATAAACATGTAACTAATCTTTCCAGCCCCTCCCACTTTGATGAGTCTTCTAATTTTAAATTGTGTCTACATTCGGCTTTTGGACATCTATATTTTTTGATCATTTATCGTGCTTTGTCATTTTAATTTCTCTACTCTCTGGTTGGTTGGATATTTATGTCAAGCTGCTTAACAAATGAGCATATGGCATTGCTTTACTGCTTTACTACAGTGTTGGGAAGTCAGAATAGTGTTAGATGATGAGCCCTTTAGAAGAATTTAGAAAGAAGTTGACTAGAAAAGATGTAAAAGTTGTGAAATATATAAGGCCAATTTAGGAGATCACAGAAAGATGGTTCCACATTGTGGAGCATCTGTAATGTTGCTCCTGCAGCGATTGGCTTTGCCCATACCACTGAAAGAAGCCTCATCCCATTCTCAAGTGCTTTCAGAACAGCTGAAAGTGTAATGGGATCCACACCGCATTCCTATCAGAAGGTCCAAAGAATCTCAGCACCATCATTTATATACCTTTGCTGAGTATCTGTTATGGTCCAGAAAGGTTCTCTATTGGGGACTGTGGAGAGGCACCTAGGTACCCAAAACACAGTGCTTGTCCTCAAGTAATGAAGGAATTTACACTGGGGATGGGGAAGTAAGACTGAAGCCCTATGGCATTATGGTCAGAGCTCATGCTCCAGAAATGGACACACTTGGATTGGAATCAGGCTTTTTCTTGGTTGTATGACTTTGAGCAAGTAATCTAATTTCCATAAAGCTCAGTTTATTCATCTAGAAAATGGAAATAATAGTGTCAAAGGTTATTTTGAAGAATACATGGAAAAATGCATTTAAGACTCTTAGAAAAAAGTTTGGCATGAGGTAGGTGTATATTTTTTCTTGAAAAAGAAAAACGGGCACAAAAGACAGTGTGGTATCATGTCAGAGATAACATAGGATTTGCGGTAACAGAGACTACTTAATGGCTAGTGAGAGTGAGGAGGATGTTATGGAAAAATGTAGAAAATCACTTGCATCTTAAAGAACAGTTAGGATTGCAGGTGGCTGAGGGAAAAGTAAGGAAGATATTCCAGAGGAAGAAACGGCATATGCATAGGCAAGGGGAAGAATGCAGGCTGTGTTCATGGACTGTAGGGAGACAAGATGGCAAGGGTGAAGGCGGACTGAGATGCGTGCGTGCCCCTGATGAGCTAATCATTTGACTCCTTAAATATTTGACATTTTCTAGTGGAAGAGTAAAGGAAAGAATGGTTTTCTATTAATAAAATAGGTATACCCAAATAGTTCTTTCTTTATTTTCAAAATAAGATGTCTGTTATATGCTGGGAATGCAACATGACATTTTAACCTATTTGGACTTGTCTTTCATTTTTTAAAAAGCACTCATAATTGGATATGATTAGTCATACGCACCACGGATAGAGGTCATTTCCGTGGATACCGGCACTTGATCTCTTTGCTCAGGGTATATTGTGTGCTTTTATGGGAATGGCTCTTGTTTACATTTTACCAATGAGTAAGGAGTTTGAGGGTAGAAACCTGAGTTAACCGGCGCTGTATTTCTAATTGATTAGTGGTGTTTCAGTGCCCCCTATGGGATGGTGCCAGGGCAGTTGTCTCATTGGATATCTGCATAATTAGACTCAGGATGAAGGAGAGGAATAGAACCTAGACCTCAAGAGGTGGTTAGGGCCAGATCCTGGGGAAACTTGACTGGCTGGGTAAAAAGGTACAGATTTTAAATTATTAAGCAAAGCGGTCTATAGAAAGGCTGTTAAACAAATGCCCAAGATGGAACTTAGGAACATTTTATTTGGTGGTGAAGTTCATGAGACAATGAAGACAGGAAGCTGATGTGGTGGTCACTTTAGAAATACAAGTGTGAAGTCCTAAGTGCTGGCCTTGGACAGGAGTAAAGTGAATGGGAGGAAACTGAGAACTGTAGGCAAGAGGAAGAAAGAACTGATGAACTGGACGACTGATTGCATACAGGAGGCTGGGAAGAGGGAGCATGCTGAGACAACAGAGATCTTGAGTCTCGTTGACCTTCCAGGTATGTCTGTCACCTACAGCCTATAACACTCATAATTTATGTCCTCTGACACATAAAATATAACAGGTTATTTTCTACCTCGTAGAAACCAAACCAAAGCTTAAATTTCACAAGCAAAACTTGTTTTTCACTCTATACAACATTAATTCTTTTATCTTCTTTTTCTCATTGAATAGCTCCAAAATAAAATTTTTTGGGTTGCCAAACTTATAAGAATTCCCTGTTTTTCAAAACTTTCTATTTTAAGACCCCTTCCTTGCAATAAAATATGGCTGATTGAAGAGGCATTACATAATAGGTAATTGCCTAAAACATCTGTAGACTTTTTTTTTTTTTGAGATTTAGATCACTTCTGTAATGTATGATAAAAATGAACTTAGACTTACTAATTTGGAACTTTTAATAATTTAGGCAGGAAGAAATTTCCATTGTAATTCTCCATAAAAAAGTTTTTCCTCCCTTTTCACCTTTTTTCAGTGGTGGAATGTTTAAAGTGGATTAAATATGAGAATGAATCATTAATTGCATTTTAGAAAAGTGCTTAGTATACTAAAAACACCTGTCCTCTGCATATACAGAAACTGCAGTGCACAAACAGGCAGAGAGGTTAGATGTATTTAGCCAAACCTGAAGCAATAGTAAAAATCATTAAGGCCATTAGTTCACCTGAACCACTCCTCAACCTCCCATAAAAACAAGAAAACGGCCGGGCGCGGTGGCTCACGCCTGTAATCCCAGCACTTTGGGAGGCCGAGGCGGGTGGATCATGAGGTCAGGAGATCGAGACCATCCTGGCTAACAAGGTGAAACCCCGTCTCTACTAAAAATACAAAAAATTAGCCGGGCGCGGTGGCGGGCGCCTGTAGTCCCAGCTACTCGGGAGGCTGAGGCAGGAGAATGGCGTGAACCCGGGAAGCGGAGCTTGCAGTGAGCCGAGATTGCGCCACTGCAGTCCGCAGTCCGGCCTGGGCGACAGAGGGAGACTCCGTCTCAAAAAAAAAAAAACAAAACAAGAAAACCTTGAGTAAAACCAATCAATGTCTTTTCTCTGTTTGGTAAAGTCATCAAAGTAAAGTTTTTTGGGTCTGTTTGTCATATATATATATATATATATGCACACTTTATATATATAACAAAATATATATTTGTCAGATATGTATAAATATATATGACATATATGTCATATATATAAATATATATGACATATGTGTATATATATATATATACACACACACTTTTTTTTTTTTTTCGAGACAGAGTCTAGCCCTGTCGCCCAGGCTAGAGTGCAAGCAGTGCAATCTTGGATCACTGCTACCTCCGCCTCCTGGGTTCAAGCAATTCTCCTGCCTCAGCCTCCCAAGTTAACCAGGATTACAGGCACTTGCCACCATGCCCAGCTACTTTTTGAATAGAGACGGGGTTTCACCATGTTGGCCAGGCTGGTCTTGAACTCCTGACCTCAAGTGATCTGCCTGCCTCGGCCTCCCAAGGTGCTGGGATTACAGGCTTGAGCCACTGCGGCTGGCCTCATGTATATTGTTTAATGGGATCATTATGTCATTCATTTCCCTTAATTCAAGTTAGAAATAGCTTGATATTTTTATCAAATGCACCCCGTTTCAAAATATTTTGGCATTTTTTTTGTTTTCACTGATCTTAAAGGATTTTTCCTAACATGAGCAGACCTTATGAAACTGTTGTAAGTATATGAACATACTCAACAAAATAAGTTCAAGTAGACATCTTAAAAACGTATTACTGGGCAACACTTATTGACTTATTTCTAGTTAGCAATGCACTTAAATAGTATTTCTTTAAATAAAACTTCTTGGTTCTAATTTTTAAATTGTTTAAACTGATCTACCCCGATGAAAAGAAGGAATTAAAAAGCAAATATGACTATACCAACAAATATACATATAGTTACATATTCACTTTCAATGAACGCTGACATTTAAAAAACACCATACGGCACAAACATAAATATGTGTGTGTGTATAGGTGTGCTTAACAGTGGTACAAATTTCCAGTCACCCCAGTCAAAACATCTGATTTAAATTTGTTCCTTCTGCTGAATGCCAGATATGCAGGTTAGGATCAAGTGAAATGAGCCCATTTCAATAAAGTCTAGAACTAACCAGTGCCCTCATATTTGTGGTACACATTAATTTTTTTAAGTGAAGCATAGTAGAGAATCAAGAATGACGTTTTTCTTTGTTCCTTCACTTTATGTTGTAGATTTGATGGTACTCTCATACATGTAAGGGTAAAATTACCTCTTTGCAATGGAAAACAAAATTTTTTGGATGTGGAAGCACCCAATAAAAGCAATGCCTATTTCCACACAGTCTAAGTTGAAAACAATTTCTCTGGATAACCAAAGTTGCTTAATTTTCTATACCATCCAGCCATTTGCTAAACCAGTGGTAAGCCCAGTCCTAGAATGTCTAATTAATGATATTATGAGAAGATACATTCTATCCCAAATGAGTTTAGCTTGAACTGATAAAATTCCTGTGAATCTAAGTACCTTCCCAGATTCTTATGAATCTAGGCAAGCATCTCAGATGTCAGCTCCTTAAGGACAGGGATTTTTGTCTCTTTATTCACTTCTGTATCTTTGACTCCTAGAATAGTTCCTGGTGCACAGCAGGTACTCTTTATGTATTTGTTGAATTAAATCAATGCAATTAAATCTTGTGCCTGGATTGCTCAGAATAGTTTCCTTGACTTAGGGAGAATTTAGTGAAGTGATGTTTAAAATATTATTATAGCATGTTACAGTTGAATGGAAGAACCAACTAATGTAATGATTCTTAAACATTGGTCAGCATGGTTAATGGAGGACAAAAAAAATTATAGGAAAAGATCTCTTGCTAAGAATAAGATTGCCCACAGACAAAGGCTGAGAGAGTGCATTCTCCACTGGACTGTAGTACAGACTAGGGAAAGTGGGTCAGGATCGGGAACATCTGTGAATGGGAGGGCAGCGGGAAAGCTTGTCCTATAGAAAATTAAAAAACAAAAAACAGAGACACTTCCTGTGCAGCACAAGGCCTGTGGGAGCCTGGGGCTTGTTGGTTCGTAAATTTGACCACTCTCTGCCTTCCTGGCAATTCCCATTTAGTAAACCAAAATTCTAGGGACCAAAATGCACATGACTTGTAACAATAGGCACAGGCTGATGTTTTGTCTCAGCATTAGGTGTTGTCAGATTTGAGCATGTGTACAGTAGTGCAGATACATACTATATGTTGGGTATCTATCATGCTATTATATTAAGAACTCAAAGTCACGGAAATTAACTGTAACATTAAATCACAGTTTAAAAGGTATTGGAATTTGGGAAAGATGACCCTTTTAGATATGCAAAGGTTTTAAGATTAAGCCAAATATGCAAATTATAATTTATGAACAATTTTGCGGTCCCTTTTCTGTCAGATTAATTGGTAAAGAGTTTTCGTGGTGGCGAAATAATACACATGGATCCACATCCCTGTAAAGGCTGCCAGGTCAGTGCCTGACAGAAGTGTCTTTTATCGCAAGGAGTCAGTTGCAGATCAGGTTAATGTTTGTGTGTGCGCGTGTATAAAGGTTGTTTACAGATAAAAATTCATCTCTTTTTTTCCATTCTCATAAATTTTATTTGTTTATTGGAGTAAGACACATTGAGATTATCTGGAAGATGAACTATGTATATTCAGCATCTGAAAATCAATATAAAGGCAGGCTTTTAACTTGTGAGAGAAAAAAAAGAGTAAGACCTGTCATTTGCTTTTTCATCTCTTACCAGCTCACAGTTCCACTTCGTAGTTCCTTCAGGGACCAATGTCAAAAGGGAATGATAGGCTGTAAACCGTGTTCCTGATAAACCTACCTTATTTGAAAAAGTGTTTGGTCAGAAAATGCTTGGTCCTTACCATGTGATAGGATTCTAAAAGGTCAGAAACCTGTAAACACCATGCAAAAACACTTTTAAAGATTCTTTTTTTTTTTAATTGAGACTGAGTTTCGCTCTTCTTGCCCAGGCTGGAGTGCAGTGGCGCGATCTGGGCCCACTGCAACCTCCGCCTCCTGGCTACAAGCGATTCTCCTGCCTCAGCTTCCCGAGTAGCTGGGATCACAGGCATGCGCCACCACGCCCAGCTAATTTTTTTGTATTTTTCGTAGAGACGGGGTTTCACCACGTAGGCCAGGCTGGTCTCAAATTCCTGACCTCAGGTGGTCTGCCCACCTTGGCCTCCCAAAGTGCTGGGATTACAGGCGTGAGCCACTGCGCCCAGCCTAAAATCTAACTCTGGGACTAGCCTAGGGTAAATATCACAAATATTAATCCTAGACGTTTGAAATCTCTTTACTCAGCAGTACAAATTGACAACGCTGCCCAACAGTGCCATTTCTTACCGATGAAAAATTCTCTTTGATAGTAGAGCCAAATAAATGACTGTGAGTTACTAGATTAAGGTGACCTACAGGGCCGTGTCCTTAAAATGGCAGGAGGTTTCAGTGCAAGAGCAGAGAAGCAGTTCTGGTGGATGGAAGTCAGTGGCTTCTTCAGGATGGTGTGGGAGAAGGCACAGGGTCAAGAATTGCAGCCTGGTAAGGCTGGTCGCTTTCCCTGCCTCTCTGTTAGCTGTGGAGGAAAGAATGGGATCAGCTTGGCTTTCCCATTTCCAGGCCATCCAATGGCTGGTGGCTTTGGAATATAACCTGATCTTACCCCGACCACCTCCCTTTTGTTCCAAATGGGTGAGAAGGTAAAAGAAACAGATACAGAAACCTTTTTTTGCTGTTTCTCTTTCCTCTTTCTTTCTAGATCTCTGAGGCATTCCCTCCCCACTGCCCTCCCTTTACTGGAATATAATGGAATACAGAAACGTCTCCTTTCGCCTCATCTTCCATTCCCTTATTATTATTTTAGCTACTAGGAATTAGCATTAGGAAGAATCCCAGGAAGGAAAAGCTGTAATAAAGATTATCATTTCCAAGAAGGGACCAGCCCAGTGTTTTGTTTTGTTTTAGATTTTAGGCTCTTTGAGTGCAATTTTCCTCCAGTTGGTGATAAATTTTTAGCCGCTATGAGGTCTTTTCACTTTTTATCACGTATCCTCTTGTTTTCTCTAATCTCTTTTAGATCTTACTTTTCTCTCTACAAAGATTAGTATTCTCTTCAGTGGAAATTTATGAACAAGGCTATTTAAAAAAATGCCGATAAGCTATCCTTGTATGTTTTCTTCATATAAATATTTGCCCCAGCAATATATACGGCAACATCCTATGTTATAGGATATGTGGACTCAGATTCCTTTTCAAAACTATCACCTACCTCTATCCTATTTTACCACCAAAGCTTATTTTACCAAAAAGCTTATGAAGCTTTTTGTTCTTTAAACATAACCAAGTTTATATTCATTTGTATATGGCACCTACCTCAAGGGGTTGACGGGAAGATTAAATGAGTTAATATATCCAAAGTACTTGGATTAGTGCCTGGCAGCGGGTAAGCTCTATGTAAGTCTTTGCTATTATTATTTTTTATTAGCTTTTATTATTTTTATTTGATAGACGACTATAGAATATCAATTTTAATTCATCTCCAGCTATGGTTGGATGCAGTTAGCCCTGCAATTGTTTGAACTTTAGAGGTCAACAGATGTATTTCAGTTGAATGAGAAAATATGCTAACCACCTTTTTTTCTGCTCTGCCCAGGGGTCTTCAAATGTCTCCTAATTCACTTTTTCACTTTTTTTTTTTTTTTTTTGAGACAGAGTTTCGCTCTGTCACCCAGGCTGGCGTGCAGCGGCGCCATCTCGGCTCACTGAAACCTCCATCTCCCAGGTTCCAGTGATTCTCTTGCCTCAGCCTCCAGAGTAACTGGGATTACAGGCACCCGCCACCATGCCTGGCTAATTTTTGTATTTTTAGTAGAGTCGGGGTTTCACCATGTTGGTTAGGCTGGTCTCAAACTCCTAACCTCAAGTGATCCACCCCTCTTGGCCTCCCAAAGTGCTGGGATTACAGGGGTGAGCAACCGCACCCGGCCTGTTTCCTAATTCACTTCTTGTTCACTCTAATACCAACCAGGAGAGGGGAGTGCTATGGACCCCTCCCCCTTCCACTCCCTTTCTTCCTATTGGCCCCCTCGAATTAGGAACAAGACAGAAGCATATGTTTTGGCATCTTATGTGTTCTCATAAAAAAGAGTCATCTTACTCGATAAAGTCCACTTAAATCTGGAAAGCCCTTGCATGGCACACGATATCTCAAGTGGCAGCCTCCAAACAAAAGATGACTATAGAACCCCCGAAATTCAAGGTCAGGAGACTGAATAATGAATGTCTGTTTATCCACCTGGTGCTTTAAAACTGACCTATGTTTCCCATAAGATGTCTTGAGGTTGAATTATGTCACAGCAGTAATGTCTTTAACACTATTGGGTGAGATGATTTGAGAGAGATCAGATTTCATCTGGTGAGTGACAAGGCTTCACTCCCTCTTGCAGTGTATTAAAACAATTAAACATCAGATGCATTTTACTGCAGTCTGTTTGACTCACGTGTGCATATTAGAATATTTTTTTCAAAAACCTATGAAATAGGAGCCTAGCTCCCTGTGAATGTTTATGGCGCTCATTAACAAAGTTCATCTCCAGGATGTATGATTTTCAGTTTTCTCTTTCTAATCTTCTTTTGGGAGGATGGAGGATGGGTAGAAATCAATTTTCCCAGCTAGATCTGCATTTTTCCAGTTAGAAAAGATGTTTCATTTTAATTTGTTGTCTGATGGTATTGAAATATTTTTCCAATCTGTTGTTATTTAAAAGAGCAAGCCCTATTCCTGTCATCATCCATTACCTGGAGCGTTATTTAGTAAGTGCTTTGTTTGTAAACAGATAGTGGTTTTAAACAGATCTAGTCCTGTGGTGATCATGTTTCCAACATTGGAGGACAGCTGCCTGGCAGCAGCACTTTTCTATGTTTAGTTTTTTATTTCAGTTCTTCTGAATTGATTATTTCCTCCTAATGTTTCCAGGTTAAGGAATATTTTATGCATATTATTTGTCAAATTCACATTTCTCTTTCTGCCAAGGAGGATTAGGAATCTCTAGTGAATCAACCTGCTCCAGATAGTTTCTGGGAAAGAGGAGAGGTGAAACAGGAAAAATCCTAGCCCTCTGCATTGTCTTAACCATTTGAACTAACCAGGACAAAGGGTAGCAACACCACTGAGTTAACCCACTGCATTGTTCAAAGCCCGTCCTCCACATTCACCAGCACCCCAGCACACTTAACCAAAATGTTTTCTACCTGTGTTTTTTGAAGTACAGATTTTAGCTACTTTGCTGAACTTTTGTTTTCTTCCTGATTATTTTGTTTCACAAGAATTTCTAAACTCTTAAGGAAACAAAAATCATTCTGTTTGGTTTTTGGTAGTTGAAAATACAGCTATATCTGGGGAATATGATGATAGGGAGGAGTTATTTCTTATGTTAAAAAAAAAACCTAAGGAAAACGGTAGCCCTCCTTTCGGCTAGGAAATGACCATGTGTCTCTCTACTGGGGAGCAGCTGCTGGGAGCCCTGGGCTGGCAGGGAGAGCGGGTCTGGGAAGGGAGCTGCGCCAGGCTCCCTCGCCAGCCCCGTGAGCGCTGCGTTTTTCCTGGAGCCGTCATTGTCTCCCTGCGAGTCTCATGGCGTTCTTTGTCTGCGGTGGGTATCTTGTGTCACACACTCGCAGCCCGTTGCACTAAGCCACTGTTCATCCCATTTTCTTTCTTTCTCTCCTCACTACTCTCCCCTGCCCCCTCCCCAAACCCCTCCCTTTCTTACTGGTTTTGTGATTCAAGGAATTTGAGATCATTTAGGTGAAGTAGACGCTCAGAAGGAGAGGTTTCTTATGAGCTTCAAAGAAGTGAGGAAACAAGATGCGATGCCTTTAAAACTGACAGTGCCCCTGTGTGGATCTGGGAATTACGTTCTTGAAGTAACAGCTTTTAGTTAAAAATACTGGGTGCTAGGGGAGTGGGGGTAAATGGTCCTTCCCTAGCACATTCATAATAAGTAAAGAAACTGTGCCATTGAGTAATACCCCCATCCACCAATATTCTGGGGTGAGAATATTGAGAGAACTGCCAGTGCCTTCTGTGCCATTGTTAATATGAGACAAAGTGTGACAACAAATGCCTTGTGAATTTAAATAGCCAGGTATGGTGTTCAGAAAGGCTTCTGAAATAAACACGCTAATCCACATTCTGTCTCGTGCAAAGTAAAGCATTAAGGGCTTGGTGCAGCCTTACCTTAAAGTGCCTGTGTGCAGTCTCTCTCCTTTTCTTCCCATTGCCTATAGCTTACAATGCTTTCTAAGTGATTCTCTTGCTTGTGCGGAGAGCAGGAATGGGAGGAAGGTTGAGTTGACAGGGCTCTTAAAGCCATTTGTAATTTACACAGAAACTTTCCTTGTGGGAACTTAAAGCACTTCACGTATGGAAATCATATACCTGGGGCAGACTTAATTCAAGGAGCCCAATCCTTGATTGTCACAGACATGGAAACTGAACTTAAGGGATGTTTTGGGATGTTTCCTAGGACACAGAGTTCTAGCTGAGCTAGGACTTGAATCTGGTGCTCTTTCAAGACTCCTTCAGAGGCACATGTTAGTATCTCAGTCCCCTTTGACAGACGTTGCTGGCAAAATGTTATTATCCTCACTTTAAAATGGGGTACACGAAAGCACAGAAAAAGAAAATTGTCTAGTGTTAACCCTTTGTGACAAAGCCAGTGAGATAGGACACTGTATTTCTTGCAGCCCTTCTCAGCTATTCGAGTTGAATCATATTGGCCTCAAGGACATCATCCTTGGCCCCTGACATGCCAGGATTCTCATGTCTGCTTGTCTTTCCTGCACTGTCCCCTAGCCTATTACCCCCCAATACTATTTCGTTCTTTTTCTCCTTATGCCCAAGGAGTGTCTTGTGTTTCTCTTTTACTAGGTACTTTTCTCCCAGTATATCTGGAACTTTGTCCGAGAGCTCCCTCTAGAATTTTCCCTTAGGTAACCCAGACCCAACCATGTTTACAAAGGAGCAATGCTGCTGTCACTTCCAAATGCACCCCAACCCAGTGGTGTAGTAAAAGCAGAACTGGCCTGGGGGCAGGAGGTGAAGTCCTCGTGCCATCAACAGTTCATGATACTGATTAACTCCCATGCCAAGTTCCTTCCAGCTCTAGAACCCTAAATCTTCATAGAAATTTGCAGAGAGGAATTTTGAGAAAGAAGTGGTAAATTGAACCATCCACCAAGTTGAATTGTTTTAAAAGCCTCAGACTTCTGGACATCCAAATTGTTAGTCTGACTTTGGAGCTGGGTGCTTGTCCTTGCCATTACTTTCCTGCCACCGTAGTGGGCATGGTTCCAACAGACCCTGCCAGTGCCTACCTGGGGAACCACTGCTGCTGGTAAAGTAGGTCCCTTGGGAATTCTGCAGTACAAGGGTCACTGTGTAAGTGGACAATGAATTTTAATATGCACAAGTTTCCTTTCTGCCAACTTGGACTGGGTATACCTAGTAAACAAATCAAGCGGTACTTGCCACTATATTGTTTTGGTTTTCTGTGGTGTGAGAATATTGTGACTCTGCTCCAGGGCATATTATCCTTGAGGGCAGCCACATAAATGATACTGTGTTAGGCAGTGGGAGGTTGCTGCGTAATAAGTAGTTAATGATGACAAGTCCTAGATCTTCCGATTATAAGGCTAGTATTTAGAACCTATAGTATGGTGGAATTTAAAGCCATTATTGTCTTCTGAACATTTACAAATGTATCATGAAAATAAATTTGATAGAAAGTTGACCAGTCTTACTGTTTCCCATCGTGACTTATTAAAAATCATATTTGTGTTTTCTGCTTTTGCTTCCACCTCAGACCTCAATGGAAATAACTTTTCAGACTTTACATCTATTCAAAATGTAATTATAAGTTAAACAGGGCAGACATCAGGTAGAGAAAAAAATAAGAAGAATCCAGGCACAGGAAGACAAATGTGCATGATCTCTCTTAAATAGAGAATCTAAAAAAGTTGAACTCCTAGAAGCAGAGAGTAGAATGATGGTTACCAGGAGTTGGGAGTATGGTGGGAGGGGGTGAGAGTTGTTGGTCAAAAGATACAAAATTTTCAATTAGACAAAAGGAATAAGTTCAAGAGATCTATTATACAACGTGGTGACTATAGTTAACAATGTATTGTATACGTGAAAATGGCTAAGAGTAGATTTTAAGTGTTCTCTCCACAAAAAAAAATGATAAGTGTGTGAGGTAATGCATATGTTAATTAGCTCAATTTAGCCATTGCATAGTGTATACATATTTCAAAACATGTTGCACACCATAAACACAATTTTAATTTATGAATTAAAAATTAATTTTAAAATAATACTGTTCATTTGAATTATTTTCATCTTTCCTTTGAAAAAAGCATAGTAGTCTCTGTGTAAACCTGGTTTGTTTTTTTGAAAAGGAAAAAGTAAAAAGCCTCCCAGTATAGACTGGCAGTATTTGTTAGGCCAAGGATATGATTAAATAGAGGTAAACTTTTGTGAAGTACAGATACATTTCATTATCCAAACAAGTTACAGTACCTGGGGATAGACTCACAGTTTTTATAGAATCATCTGGATATACTGGGAAATATTGTTGGGTTAGTTAATACACAAAATAAAACCTTTGGTGGATGCCTGTGTGTATGGACATGCAGACAAGCAGATTATTTCTCTGGCCTTTTGTCCCTTCTGATTTTGAGCTGTTCTTTACATAAGTGGTGACCCAGGACAGGGCCAGCTCGGTGTCTTAAACACAGCTCTGTGCCGACCCCAACAACTTTGACTTTTTCTCACTCTGCGACTTATTAACTCTGAGACCTCTTGGGGGTATGTTTTAAGCACTTGGCTCTTCTTTTACTGGAATTATAATACCTGCTCCCTACCTTCCTTAAATGAATATTGTAACAGTTATCAGGATATATGGGATAACATCTCCCATAAGAAAGCAATTTGGAGCCTTCAAACTGGTTTCATTATAGAGAAGAAGCTCTGCAAATGTGTTTTAACATGGTAAGAACTGAACGTGGCTAAAACTGCAACTGCTCATGGAGAAAACTGGAGTAGTATGTTGCAAATTTAACACACATCTATTCCATTCCAGGCTGAAACAGCAAAATCAATCTATGTTTTGATAGTTTGAGATTTGGTTCTTTGATCATACTTGCTTTGCATTTAAAGCAAAAAAAGGCCAAATCTTTTCTTTTCTTTTTTTTCTTTTTTTTGAGACGGAGTTTTGCTCTTGTTGCCCAGGCTGGAGTGCAATGACATGATCTCAGCTCACCACAACGTCCACCTCCCAGGTTCAAGTGATTCTCCTGCCTCAGCCTTCCCAAGTAGCTGGGATTATAGGCATGTGCCACCAAGCCTGGCTAATTTTCTATTTTTAGTAGAGATGGGGTTTCTCCATGTGGGTCAGGCTGGTCTTGAACTCCTGACCTCAGGTGATCCACCCACCTCGGCCTCCCAAAGTGCTGGGATTACAAGCGTGAGCCACCGCACCCAGCCAAGGCCAAATCTTAAGTCTTTGTTCTTTTTCAATTGAGGGTGTTATTAACACAGCTAGATCATTGAGCCAATCTTTGTCCCGTTCCCCACCGCCATTCTTCTTCTCCTTTAGGAAGAAAATTCTCAAGAAGTGGGCTGGGATAAAGGTTTGGGTAACTGGCCCTATAGTTTGGTTTTGATGTAAGTAGAGGGAGACTGGGCTGTGGTGATTAAAGGTCATTCTGGGCCATTTTTCTGGTTGTTGAACCAATTTGTTACATCATCTCAGGCAAGTACGTTTATGTGCCTTTAAGGAGCTAGTATTGATTTTTAACTTCACCAGCTGTGGTGAGTTTTAGTTGATGATGGCAAAGCTCTTTTTATTCCCAGGTTGAATCATGCCATAGGAAGTGCTGTGTTGTTTTTTTTTTTCTTCAGGGATAGGGGAATAGAGGTTATGGATCTTCTACTGCTTTGCTGGCTCTTTTTATCTCATAATTTTAGTCAGATAGCAATAAAGAGCCATTGAAAGTAATGAACAGTCTTTACTGAGGTAAATGAAGATGACTGTGACAGTTTTAATATATTAATCAAATGGTATTGCTGTTTAACCTTAGCAACATCTCAATCAGATGCTTGCCTGAGATTAACTGAAAAACCCATTGTGACTTTGAAGAGAAAGATCATTCCAAAAAGTAAAATTAGTTATAATTGGATGTTTTGGGGGAGAGACTTTTAAAAAACGGTCATTAATCATATTCTTCATATGACACACTTGGTATACATGTTTGGTGAAACATAGTGGGCAGAAATATCATAGAAATAGGGGGAAAAGCACATTTCTTCCCCAAATGTACCTGGTAATCCACATCTGTGAATCGTGGGTCATTTACTGAGTTCTTAATGTATATCCAGAACTGAGGCCCCAAATGGCTTAACCTAAATCTTTAATTTATCAATTGTGTTTTTATTCCCTTATAAGAAAACAATCCACAGTTTCGAGTTGGTTCTTAAGCACTCAAAAAGACAAATGTTTTATCACACCTACAAATAACTGCATGACATTTGACACTATACAAGTTATATTGGATGGGATGTCAATAATCTAGACTGCCAAGCCTCTCTGTAGTATCCCCAGCATTTAAAAATAAATGTTGGGTGGGACTTCCAGCTATAGCCAAGTAAGGAAGTCAACAAATCTTCTTAAGAAAGCAAATATAAGGCTGGACAAAATGAACAAAAACAATCACTTCAGTGCTTTGGAAATTGAATAAGGCATACGACAATCGGGGAAGCATTTATACTAGAAAAACTGCTGAACTTTTGTTAGAACAGTGGGAATCTGTGGAATTGTTGCCTAGGGTTGCATCCATCCCTAATGCAGTTCAGTTGTCATGGAGATTCTAGGAGTAGAGGACCACAGTCCATAAAGGACAGGCAGGTTGCTGCTGCTGTCAAAGGCCCATTCAATTTGGATGGTGGACAGTGCTCATGACTAGTGGCATTGTCAGTGGCCATAATGATCTTGGTGGCTGTGGGTTGGGTATGGCCAGTGGGCTCTATTTTCCTGAGGTTGCAGTTGTGGTTGGAGTAAGCATATCCCCAGATGAGGCTGCCCACGTATGCAGCAGACAACAAAGAGAGCCCAAGCAATCTACACACTCCTATCTAGTCTTGAGGCTGAGCACATGCATCGAAGAGATGAGGAAGAGTCTAGTGGAAAGCATAGGCTGATATCTACTTGAAAATGGCCTGAACTTAGAGTGTGCACCTCTACCCGCAGATAGATCCATCAGCAGAGAATGGAAGTCTTCCTGGCTCAAGGTGTTTGATCACAATTTGTGTCCAATCATTGGCCAGCCATTAAGCCATGCAGAAACAGGGGTAACAAATAGGAAGCCAGGATTAAAAATGAAAAGAAGAGTTTTTTTTTTAAAGGCTGAGAAGAGACATCAGTGACCTCATACTGCCAGGGAGACAGAATTCACAGAATTAATCCAGGCCAGTTACTAAAGAAATAAACAAAAACAGAAGCAACAACTTTCAGGGGAAAAATACCAGAATCCAGAATTGCTGCATTGTATCATCTTTAATGTCCATTTTCAACAAATATTATGAGCTATGCAAAGAAAGAGGAGAGTGTAACCCATACTTAGGAATAAGAGAAGTCAATAGAATCTGAGTGTCCCCAGATGTTGGACTTTCAGACAAAGACTTCAAAACTGTTACAAATGTGTTCAACATTATGTATAAAACAAGTATAAAAAGACTTTGAAAGGTTGAGGAAAGGCAGACCAGCTTGGGACAAGATCTGGAAGAAACCATGTTTAAAGCATTAAAGGAAAGTATAACAATACTGAATCAATCAAACATGAATCAATAGAGAATCTTAATAAGAAAACAGAAATCTATTTTTAAAAAATTAAAAAGGACCAAATTCTGGAGTTAAAAGTATAAAAATTTAAATTTTAAAAATCATTAGGTGGTCCAACAGCATATTCAACAAGACAGAAGAAACCATCAGCTAATGTGATAGATCAATAGAAATTATCAAATTTGAAGAACAAAGGAGTAAAGGATTGAAAAATTAGCAGAGCCTGAGAGACTTGTGAAACAATTTCAAGCATGCTAGCATACATATAATGGGAATCCTAGAATGAGAAGACAGAGAAAGGAGCAGGAAAATATTTGAAGAAATATAGTCAAACACTCCCCAAATTCCTTAATATACACACCCAACAAATAGAACTAACTCTGTGTAGGATTAATATCTAGATACATCATAGTCGGATTGTTCAAAGAGAAGACATTGACAGCACCAAGAGAAAAATGGCTTACCACATATAGGGAGCATCAGTCTGATGAATGGCTGGCTTCTCATTTTTAAAAAAAAGAATGACAGAATACTAAAAGAAAAAGATATCAGCTAAGAGTTCTGTACCTTCTGTACCTAACCAAACTATCCTGCCAAAACTGAAGGAAAAATTAAGACATCCCGAATTTAAAAAAAAAACAAAAACAGAAAAATGGCTGTTAACATGCCTTTCTTACAATAAATACTAAAGGAAATCCTTAAAGCTAAAAAGATGACTCCAGATAACTGGAATCCATAGGAAGAAATAGCACTGAAAATGGCAAATATGTGGGTTCATATAAGTGACTATATAATTATATTTATCTTATTTTTATACCTTCTTTAAAAGACATGAAATGATATAAAGTAATAATTTTAACACTCTACTATTAAGTCTATAGCAAATGTAGATGTATATGACATATAATATATATCACAGTAACAGCACAAAGAGGGTGGGAGGGAATGGAGCTCTATTGGAGCAAATTTTCTATATTTTACTGAAATTAAGTTCGTGTTAATCTGCAATAGATTGTGATAAGTTAAGGTGCATATTGTAACTTTCAGAGTAACCATGAAGAAAATAACTCAAAAATTAGTAAAATGGAATTAAAGGAATTAAACTGGTAGTCAGAAAATATGTATTTAACACAAAAGAAAGCAGTAAAGGAGGAACAACTACAAAAAAAAGTGACATAGAAAAATACCAAAATGGCCTTTTAAAATCCCAACTGTATCAATTATGTATATATATAATGTGTGTGTATATATATATACACATATATATATAAATATTTTTTTGAGACAGAGTCTCAAAAAAATTTATTTTATTTTATTTATTATTATTATTATTTCTTGAGACGGAGTCTTGCTCTGTCACCAGACTGGAGTGCAGTGGCGCGATCTTGGCTCTTTGCAACCTCTGACTTCCTGGTTCAAGCGATTCTCCTGCCTCAGCCTCCCAAGTAGCTGAGATTACAGGCACGTACCACCACACTGGCTAATTTTTGTATTTTAGTAGAGATGGGGTTTCACCATATTGGCCAGGATGGTCTCGATTTTGTGACCTCGTGATCCGCCCTCCTCGGCCTCCCAAAGTGCTGGGATTACAGGCGTGAGCCACCGTGCCTGGCCCAATAATATATTTAATGTGAATGGTCTAACCACTCAAATCAAAAGGCAGACATTGTCAGACTGGATTAAAACACACACACACACACACACACGATACAACTATATACTGTCCATAGAAACGTTACTTTTGACTCAAAACATATTAGTATAAAAGTAAAAAAGTAAAAAATCATTTGCTATGCAAATACTAATCATTATCATCAACAAAAATATATTTTAAGAACTATTACTAGAGACAGGGATATTTCATAATTATTGATATTTCATAATAATTAAAGGATCAATGAATCAAGAATATACACCAACTATGTATTTATTAATATATTAAACTAAGTACAGAGCCTCAAACATGAAACAGAAACACACAGAACTGAAGGAAGAAATAGACAATAATTCAACAACACTAGTCAAAGATTTCAATACCCCACTCTCACTATTTGATAGGATAACTAGAAAGCAGGGCTTTCTCTAATCACCAATGCTATAGAACACTTGAACAACACTGTTAACCAGCTTAACCTAACTGACATACATAGAACAATCCATTTAACAATTGCAGAATATACATTCTTTTCAAATGCACAGGGAATAGTCTTCAGAATATACTGTATGCTAGGCCATAAAACAAGTGTCAATGAATTTAAAAGAAATCATATGAAATATGTTCTCCAACCACAATGTAATTAAATAATAAATCAATAATAGAAATATTTGGAATTGGACAACACTCCTGAATAACCCATGAGTAAAAGAAAAAGTTAGATAATATTTTGAACTTAATGAAAATGAAAACACAACATATTAAAAATTATGGGATACAGCTAAAACAGTGCTTAGATGGAAATTTATAGCTTTTATTGCCTATTTAAAGAAAGAAAAATGGTATCAAGTAAATAACTTAAGCTTCCACTATATGCAACTAGAAAAAAGCAAATGAAACTCAAAGCAAGCAGAAGGAAACAATAAAGATTAGAGCAGAAATCAATAAAATAGAAAAGAAAAAAAATAGAGAAAATCAGTGAAACCAAAAGTTGTAGCTAGACTGACCAAAACAAAACAAAGCAAAAGACACAATTTAGCCAATCACGAATGAAAAATGAGCCATACTACTGACCCAACAGAATTTAAAATAATTATATGGTAGTATTGTGAGCAACCTCACACCAACAAATCAAATAAATTAAATCACAGACAAATTCCTAAAAGATACACATCACCAAAACTGACTCAGGAAGAAATAGAAAGGATAGAACTATAATAAGTAAGGAAATCAAATTAGTATTCAAAAATCTTCCCACACCGAAAAGCACAGGCCCAGATGGCTTCACTTGTGGATTGCATCATATATATATAAATCCTTCATTAAGCCATTCTGAAAATAGAGAAGGGAACACTTCTGAACTTAGGATACTAATGCCAGACAATGATATTACAAGAATGTCCTCATGAGCATAGATGCACAAATCCTTAACAAAATATTAGCAAATTGAATCCTGAAATATAAAAAAGATAATGCACCATGATCAGGTGGGATTTATCCCATTAATGTAAAGTTGGTTAACATCTGCAAATTAATCAATGTAACATAATGTATTAATAGACTAATGGGCAAAAACCATGTTATCATTTCATTAGGCAAAGAAAAATCATTTGACAAAATCATTTGACAAAACCCAACACCCATCCATGATAAAAACTTCAACAAATAGGAATAGCAGAAAATTTCCTCATCCCGATAAAGGACATCTATAAGAAACCCCCCAGTTAACATCATATATAATGATGAAAGATGATATGGTTTCCCACTAAGGCAGGGAAAAAGTAAAGGGTGTTTATTCTTGCCACTTACATTTAACATTATACTAGAAGTTCTAGACAATGCAATAAGGCAAAAATAAAGGAATCAAAAATGGAAAGTTTATTCACAGGTGACTTGATCCTGTATGTATAAAATTTTAAGGAATACACATACACACACACACACACACACACCCCCCACCAGCACCACCACCACCACCAATTAAAACTAATAAGTGAGTTAAACAAAATTGCAAGATACAAGATTAATATACAAAAACGTTCCATTTCTATTAATTAATTAATTCATTCATTTAATTTAGAGACTGGGTGTCTCTCTGTTGCCCAGGCTGGAGTGCAGTGGCACAATCATAGCTCACAGTAACCTCAGACTCCTGAGCTCAAGTGATCCTCCCACCTCAGCCTTCCAAGTACCTAGAACTTCAGGCATGCACCACCTTACTCCACCAATTTTTCTTCTTAGAGATGGAGTCTTGCTATGTTGCCCAGCCTGGTCTCAACCTCCTGGCCTCAAGCAATCCTCCTGCTTCAGCCTCTCAAAGTGCTGTGGTTACAGACGTGAGCCACTGCACCTGGCTGCATTTCTATTATAAAGAACAAACAATCTGAAAGTTAAATTAAGAACCCAATTCCATTCCCAATAATATTTAAAAAGAAAAGACTTAAGACTAAGTTAGCAATAGAAGTGTAAGACTTATACACTGAAAACTGTAAAATATGACTGAGAGAAATAAAAGATCTTAGTAAATGGAGAGACATTCCAGTTCATGGATTGGAATGAAACAGAATTTTGGGAGTCCAGAAATAAATGCTTATATTATGGTCAGTTGGTTTTCAGCAAAGATGCCAAGACAATACAATGGAGAAAACTATTGTCTTTCATCAGGAACAATTGGATATCCACATTACAAAAAAAGTAGACCCCCATGTCACATGAAACACAAAAATTAATTCAAAATGTATATTTGGCCTCAGTGTAAAAGTTAAAACTATGAAACATCTAAAATCATAGAAGAAAATCTTTGTTACCTGGGTTTTGGCAAAGAATTCTTAGATACAACACCAAAAGTGTAATCTGTACAAGAAAAATCGGTAAGTTGGACTTTATAAAAATTAAAAACTTTTTTTTTTTGAGACAGAGTTTTGCTCTTGTTGCCCAGGCTGGAGTGCAGTGGCACGATCTCAGCTCACTGCAACCTCCGCCTCCCAGGTTCAAGCAATTCTCCTTCCTCAGCCTCCTGAGTAGCTGGGATTACAGGTGCCCGCCACCACACCCAGTTAATTTTTTTGTATTTTTAGTAGAGACGAGGTTTCATCATGTTGGCCAGGCTGGTCTCGAACTCCCAACCTCAGGCAATCCACCCTCCTCGGCCTCCCAAAGTGCAGGGATTACAGGAGTGAGCCACTGCGCCAGGCCAAAATTAAGAACTTTTGAGTATCAGAAGAGGAGATTAAGAAAAGGAAAAGATAAGAAAAAGAAAAGAAAAGAAAAGAACCATACTGGGAGAAAAATGTTTGCAAATTATATATCTGATAAAGGACTTTTATCCAGAATGTATCTATGTAATATATGTGTGTATATATGTATGTCTATTTTTTTTTTTTTTTTGAGATGGAGTCTCACTCTGTCACCCAGACTGGAGTACAGTGGTGCCATCTCAGCTCACTGCAACCTCCACCTCTTGGGTTCAAGCGATTCTCCTGCCTCAGCCTCCCGAGCAGCTGAGATTACAGGGGTGTGCCACCATGCCTGGTTAATTTTTGTATTTTTACTAGAGATGGGGTTTCATCCTGTTGGCCAGGCTGATCTCCAACTCCTGACTTCAAGAGATCTGCCCGCCTCAGCCTCCCAAAGTGCTGGGATTACAGGCATAAGCCACTGTGCCTGGCCCTGTATGTCTATATTTTAAACACTCTTGCAGCCAAATATTAGAATATAAACAATTCAATTAGAAATGAGCAAAAGATTTAAATAGACATTTCACCAAAACAGATAAACATGAAGTATGTGCTCAATATTACTAGTTACGGGAATGTGAATTAAAATCCAAGGAGACACAATTTCACACCACTGGAATGGCTGTATTTAAAAAGACACAAAATAGGCTCGGTGCGGTGGCTCACGCCTGTAATCCTAGCAGGTTGGGAGGCCGAGGTGGGGAGATCACAAGGTCAAGAGATCAAGACCATCCTGGCCAACATGGTGAAACCCCGTCTCTACTAAAAATACAAAAAATTAGCTGGGCATGGTGGTGCATGCCTGTAGTCCTAGCTACTCAGGAGGCTGAGGCAGAAGGATCACTTGAACCCGAGAGGCTGAGGCAGAAGGATCACTTGAACCCAGGAGGCAGAGGTTGCAGTGAGCTGAGATCGCACCACTGCACTCCGGCAACAGAGTGAGACTCCATCTCAAAAAAACAAAAACAAAACAAAAAAAGACACACAATAACAAGTATTGGTAAAAGTGTGGAATCTGAAATTCTCATATATTACTGTTGGGAGTGTAAAATGGCACAGCCGTTTTGGGAAAAAAAAGTGACAACGTCTTTAAACTCTAAGGAAAACTTAACCGTGTGGATCAGCCATGCTACTCTAAGGCCATGACACTCTAAGGAATCTATCCAGGAGAAATGAAAATATAGCCACACAGAAACATACACAAATGTTCATAACAGAATCATTCTTAGCTAAAAACTGGAAACAAGCCAAGTTGTCCATCAACTAGTAAATAAAATATGATACAGCCATATGATGGAGTACTTCACAGCAGTTATAAGGAACTCAATGCCTGCTACAAGATGGATACCCCCCAAAATTATGCTAGTTAAAAGAATCCAGATACAAAAAACTACATTTATATGATTCCAATTGTGTGAAATGTCTAGAAAAGGCCGATTTGTGGAGACACAAAGTTGATCTGGGGCTGCTTTGTATTGGTTGTGGGAGTGGAAATTGACCCTAACAGGCATGATGAGACATTTTTGAAGTGATGGAAGTGTCCTCAAACTGGATTGTGGTGATGATTGCAAAGCTCTCAAATGTATTGAATTGTACACTTGAAATTTTTTTTTTAATTATATACTTAAAATAGATGGTTTGTTGTTGTTGTTTTTCTGAGACAGGATCTTGCTCTGTCACCCAGGCTGAAGTACGGTGGCATGATCATGGCTCACTCCAGCCTTGACCTCCTGGGCTCAATGATCCCCCTGCTTCAGCCTCCCAAAGCTCTGAGATTATAGGTGTGAGCCACTGCATCTGACCTGGTGGACTTTATATGTAAATTTTACCTCAGTAAAACAATTTTTTTCAAAAGAAAATCTATTGGCACAGAAGTAACTTTTTAACCTTCAATAATAATATTTTCAAGAACAAGATTTATGTTGGAAATATGTATTAAATGATATTAGTATTACCATTTAAAGTTAGTAAATACTATTCTTATTCAACATCTTTTCAGCACATGTTGATTCATGATTATTAGAAATAGTTTGGTGACCTAGGTTTTCTTGTAGGGTTTTTATGGTTTTAGGTCTAATGTTTAAGTCTTTAATCCATCTTGAATTAATTTTTGTATAAGGTGTAAGGAAGGGATCCAGTTTCAGCTTTCTACATATGGCTAGCCTGTTTTCCCAGCACCGTTTATTAAATAGGGAATCCTTTCCCCATTGCTTGTTTTTCTCAGGTTTGTCAAAGATCAGATAGTTGTAGATACGCGACTTTATTTCTGAGGGCTCTGTTCTGTTCCACTGATCTATATCTCTGTTTTGGTACCAGTACCATGCTGTTTTGGTTACTGTAGCCTTGTAGTATAGTTTGAAGTCAGGTAGCGTGATACCTCCAGCTTTGTTCTTTTGGCTTAGGATTGACTTGGAGATGCGGGCTCTCTTTTGGTTCTATATGAACTTTAAAGTAGTTTTTTCCAATTCTGTGAAGAAAGTCATTGGTAGCTTGATGGGGATGGCATTGAATCTGTAAATTACCTTGGGCAGTATGACCATTTTCGTGTTATTGATTCCTCCTACCCATGAGCATGGAATGTTCTTCCATTTCTTCGTATCCTCTTTTATTTCATTGAACAGTGGTATGTAGTTCTCCTTGAAGAGGTCCTTCACGTCCCTTGTAAGTTGGATTCCTAGGTATTTTATTCTCTTTGAAGCAATTGTGACTGGGAGTTCACTCATAATTTGGCTCTCTGTTTGTCTGTTATTGGTGTATAAGAATGCTTGTGATTTTTGTACATTGATTTTGTATCCTGAGACTTTGCTGAAGTTGCTTATCAGCTTAAGGAGATTTTGGGCTGAGACGATGGGGTTTTCTAGATATACAATCATGTCATCTGCAAACAGAGACAATTTGACTTCCTCTTTTCCTAATTGAATACCTTTTATTTCCTTCTCCTGCCTAATTGCCCTGGCCAGAACTTCCAACACTATGTTGAATAGGAGTGGTGAGAGAGGGCATCCCTGTCTTGTGCCAGTTTTCAAAGGGAATGCTTCCAGTTTTTGCCCATTCAGTATGATATTGGCTGTGGGTTTGTCATAGATAGCTCTTATTATTTTGAGATACGTCCCATCAATACCTAATTTATTGAGAGTTTTTAGCATGAAGAGTTGTTGAATTTTGTCAAAGGCCTTTTCTGCATCTATTGAGATAATCATGTGGTTTTTGTCTTTGGTTCTGTTTATATGCTGAATTACATTTATTGATTTGCGTATATTGAACCAGCCTTGCATCCCAGGAATGAAGCCCACTTCATTTTCTTACATGTTATTTTAAGCCTCTCAAGTAAATGTAAAGATTTCTCTATAGTGAGGTTGTCTGTATGACTCTATAGAGGTTGTAGTCAGCAATACTTCAGACTCTGAAAAATGTGAAAAGTGAAAAAAATCAAGATTACTTTGTCAAAACAAAACAATTAATTTCTTCTGATTCCATCCTATTTCTTTTCTTACAGTCCTGATTTTTTTCTTTTACCTGACAATATACTTTAAAGATACTTAATATTTAAAATATTTAAATTATTCTGGAAGTGATGGAAGTGAATCTCTCTCTCTCTCTTTCTCTCTCTCTCTCTCTCTGTGTGTGTGTGTGTGTGTGTGTGTGTGTGTGTTTGTTTGTGTGTGGTGGGGTGCAGGGGTCAGCAGTGGTACCAAGGGCAGAGACTGGATGAATAAAATTGTTAAATTACTGGCTACGGCATGAATATATTCACGTGTTCCCTGCTGCTATCCAATCCTTTAAAGGCCTTGGCTTTCAGTGAAGAAGGGTAGCCTGACAAAAACACCTGGGTAGGAAGACAAACAGGAGGAGGCTTTTCACCAATGGCTTGGTGTTGCATGTGGGATAGGAAGCAGGCAGCATTTCTGGGCTTCACTGTGATTCCTGTGGGCTCCATGACTCATGGACCGTGAGTCATAGCATCCCACACTGAAGATGGCTGAGCTGAAAGGTTAGACACATTCAGTGGCAAGTTCAACAAAAACTTTGTCCAGATTTGCATGATACGGGTAATAGGGAGGAAGATCAGGCAGAAGGCAGCAGAAGCCGTCGGGCGTGTTTCATCCTTAGATGCTGCCGCAGGGGAGGCCGATGGTTCTGATTTTCCTGGCCGCCTCTCTGGGCAAGTGCTCCAGAGACCTCATTATTTCATTAATTCTTACAGTGCCCTTGTAGCATAAGTAAGGTGGCACCTATTATTAGCAACACTTTTGTTAATGGGACATGAATGAGTCCATTCAGAGTGGTATTTTATTGGCGGACAATGCCTTTGGTAGTTCTGGAAGCTTTGTATCCTTGGCCAAGATTCCTGCTTCTGTCCCGTCCAGAGCCCTGTCTCTGGAGTGTGCTCTCGATGGACAGAGTTTATAAATCGTCGAGAAGGGGCAGTTCTGCCAACTGAGGCGACTTGCAATTTAGTAAGTCTGTAGCCAGCAGCTGCCTCTGCGAGGAATCAAGAGAAGAAGCAGGTTCAACAGTGAGCAGTCACTTCCATCAATGATGCTGAGCAGGGGTAGAGCAGGGTGATTCCTTCAGGAATGTGTGGTATTTGAAAGTGATTGCCCCCTGTTTAACAGGGGTAAGTAAGATAAGGACACGTCCTTCTCACTTCCTCAGCCAGTGATCTTGCTTGTTAATTGGGAGTTGCTTGTTAGTCCAGAGTGTTTAACCTCAATTTTATTGAGATGAAGTTTACATACAACAAATGCACCAATTTTAAGTACACAGTTTGAGTTCTGACAAATGCATACACCCTTATAACCACCACCCCAGTCAAGATGCAAATATTTCTACTCTCTTAAATGCCCTCTTTTGCCCCTTCCTGTCCCTGTTGTATATAAGTTTACGATGGGACAACTAAAGAACTGAAGTGATCTGTAAATGGCAGTTGGATGGCACCGTTTAATGAACTTAGACTTTTCTGTGCTCTCCAGCTCATGAAACGGGAATTTTTGCTTGTCTGGAAAAACTGTTAAAACCCAGCAAAAAATACACCTCAAGGATTAAGTGTGGGACAACTCTTCTAAGGCGTTTCCCCCATTTCAATTAGTTCCCATTATTGTTAAGCCTAAAAGTCCTTCAAAGTAGTAATGGTGGGACAGTTCACTGTTTCTTTTTTTTTTTTTTTTTTTTTTTTGAGACGGAGTCTCACTCTGTCGCCCAGGCTGGAGTGCAGTGGCGCGATCCTGGCTCACTGCAGCCCCTGCCTCCCAGGATTCAGTGTTTCTTCTGCCTCAGCCTCCCGAGTAGCTGGGATTACAGTCACACACCACCAGGCCCGGCTAATTTTTGTATTTTTAGTAGAGATGGGGTTTCGCCATGTTGGCCAGGCTGGTCTTGAACTCCTGACCTCAGGTGATCCGCCCGCCTCGGCCTACTAAAGTGCTAGGATTATACTGTTTCTTGTTTCTTCTTTCTTCCTTTTTTTTTTTTTTTTTTTTTTGAGACGGAGTTTTGCTGTGTTGCCAGGCTGGAGTGCAGTGGCATGATCTCAGCTCACTGCAGCCTCCACCTCCTGAGTTCAAGCGATTCTCCTGCCTCAGCCTCCCAAGTAGCTGGGATTACAGGTGCCCGCCACCATGCCTGGCTAATTTTTTTGTATTTTTAGTACAGACAAGGTTTCATCATGTTGGCTAGGCTGGTCTCGAACTCCTGACCTCAGGTGATCCACCTGCCTCGGCCTTCCAAAGTGCTGGGATTACAGGTGTGAGCCACGGGGCCCAGCCACAGTCCACTGTTTCATGAAAGACTTGTGCTGAACAAAGTGGCCAGGCGGGAAGGTGCACCAGACTCCACGTACTGACAGCTCTGTGATTCATGCCGAGAACTCCCACACAGTATCATCTTCTAAATGGAGATGACCGCAGGGAGAACAAAGATGCCACACCCCAAGAAGAGAAGGAACAGGTTTATATTTTGACATGCTAGAAACACAGAGAGGCTGATTTTTCTTTTTCAACTTCTCATGGACACCATAAAGAACGGCATAAGATAGAGGCATTCTGAACATTCAGTGATGACGCACGGCGTTCCCACCACAGAACAAAAAGATGAGAAGTGACATCATAACAACCCAATGCTATGGTGACCAGCAGTATTCAGAAACAATCGACATCTGTTTTTCTGCCTTACCATGGCCTCTGCCCAGTCATTTTCTTTGAGGCTGTTTGCTTTCAAAAAACTGCTGACCAGGAGACGTCGTATGATGCCAAAATATTTATAAACTGTCCTCCCTCTGGGAGTGAGGGAGAGGGATACTATTGCTTGTTTTAAAATAAACCTTAATGTAGGGCAGGTGAGTGGCTAATTTATCCATTTATCTTTTTAACACGAAGAAAAAGCAGCCTGCTTTTCTGCCTGGTCTACAGTGGGAACAGTGGCTAGCTCACAGATCGTTTCTCACACAGCCCAAACCTTTTCTAAGTGGCAGGTCGGCAGCCCTCAGGTTGATAGTGCAGAAGTGCTAAGTGCATTTGATTGGTATCATTACTGGTCTCTAGTAATTGATTACTGTCCATGGTGAAATATTCAGGGCAAGCACACAGCCAATAGCAATCACTTAATCCATCATGGCTGTTTGTTCCTCATCTCCTGAGACCTATCAGCCACATGCTATCCAACCCCACCAGGCAAATTGCCGATGGCTGCTTTGTGTGTACAATTTACTGTGTATTTACTGTGTTTCCTGCGTTAACCAGAGCCACTGGCTTTAGTGAACAGGGGAAGGCAAGGGAGGCTCTTGCTTTCCAATGTCAAGTTTGCTCTCCGGTTCACCTCTTTGGCCTCTATTTTTGTAGAGATTCATGATTCATTGGCATTGGTTTTCATTGCTTAAAAAAAAAAAAAGTAAGTCGAACAGTGTAGTGGTTATATTAGGAATATTAATTGTAAGACTTGAGATAGGTTGATTGGAATAAGATCCTGGAGAGTTGTTTGTAATGCTGATTTTTTAGAAACAAGAAGTGGGAGAATAATGAATAACAACCAGAACTAATCAGTTTTGTGTGTGTTTAATCCAGTGATAATGACTAAAAGTAGTTCTGTAGTTCTGTTAAATAAAAAGAAGCAGAAATTCAGTGGCTACACCATTTTCTCGGCTTTCTTCCAAAATGCTTTATCCTTGGATCTTGGCAAATATGCCTGTCCCTGATGTTTGCTAAGGAACTGTGATACTCAGCCCAAGCAAGAACATAATAGGAGGAGGAGGAGGACAGCTGAAAGAAGAAGAATAAACAAATGACTACTACGTGTGACAGCACTCTGATGACAAGGGATGACCCTGTCCACAACGAAACTCGGAAAAAACCCGTTTGTATTTATCAGTCCATAGGAAACAATGAGAGCCATGGGAGGCAGAAAGCACATGCTGGTCTGCTCTTCTGCTTATCCTGACCCTGCTTTCCATAGAGCTGGAAGAAACATAATGAGGGCTAGATATCTGCAAAAGAGGATGCTCCTAGTGAACTTGGGAAGCCAGCAGGAGTGAAGTTGAGAAGAGAATGACGAGGCATGGCCTCAGAGACAGCAAAGAGATCTGGTCTGTTTCCATAGCCACTCTTGAAGAGATTGCATTCCAAAATTTATTTAATGAAATTGCTATTAGGGTCTCATTGGAGATCTTTGTTTCCTCTTCTGGTGTGGTTTGCTTAAACTCTCCCTGGTGTCTGTAGCACATGGTAGAATTCTAGCTAATTCCCCACAGGCTAGGGCAAATATGGCCATGTGTGTGGTGCCTCTGAAGGAGCCTTTCCATGGGCACCTCCCTTCACAGGGCAATCCCTAAACAGCACAGAATCTTAATCTTTGTTAAGATTAATCCCTAAATAAGGAATCTATGCATTCCTTATTTGGGGCTACTTAGCTAAATGACATAAACAGCTGGTTTAAGTGATTCACAAGTTAGTTGGGCAAGTTTCACTGTTGCTTACAATCTATTTTAGCTCAAGGAAATAAATTTGCACACCTAAAGGCACTGACCTTTTGTTGTATACAGTGAGACTTCAGTTGTTGCATAGATTATTGTAATAATCCTTCTGCTTATTGGCCAACATGTGATGTACTTTATGATTTGAAGCTCTTTAAGATTTGAGCATTCCTCCTCCAGAACTCTGCTCCATGGTCATGATCAGGTTTTCCTTCTGTGTCTGGGGTTATGTTCCTACGCTCACTCTTGAGTCATTGGCATTGAAAACTAAAATAGTTGCCTGTAAGAAAGATCAACTTTATTACTTCTAGACTTGGCTTGTGCTGTGCTAATACCTGTCACCTTTTAGGAAAGTTTTAAAACTCTGTCAGCTTGGCCTGTTTTTAAAACTTTCAGAGATAGTCTTTGAGGATGTCTTACTATGCTAAAGAAAAGCTAACTTTTGTGTATAGGAAAATATAATCTAGTGGTGTTTCCATGTCATAATGAATGTCCTCTAATCAAAAACTGCCAGAATCTATATTTGCCATATTAAATTGCAGAAAGCTGCAACAGCTGTCTTGTTCTGTGTTTGCTGTTCCATTTATACCATCTGTGATGGTTAGTCTTATGTGTCAACTTGATGGAGCTATACTGCTCAGTTACTTATCAAACACTAACCTAGCTGTTGCTGTGAAGGTATTTTGTAATGTGGTTAACATCACTAGCCAGTTCACTTGAAATAAAGGAGATTACCCAGGGATATCTGGGTGGGTCTGATCCAATCAGCTGAAGGCCTCAAGAGCAAAAACTAAAGAAAGTCTGTCTCAAGACTGAAGCATAAAATCCTGCCTGAGTTTTCAGCATGCTGGCCTGCCCTACAAATTTCAGACTTGCCAGCCCCCACAGTCGCATGAGCCAATTCCTTAAAATAAATCTCATGTTGGTTCTGTTTTTTTAGAGAACTCTGATACACTATCTAAATAGTATATTTGAAAGAGTAGGAGCAAAGTATTTAACCTTGTCTTGTGATCCTCTTTTGTGTAGGCTATGCTATAATAAGTGGATGCCTAATCATGTCTGAAAATTAGGTATGTTGACTTTTTCATACAAAGCAAGGAACACAGAAATTGGTATCCATGCTTGTTAAAATATGTATGAATCCTCTGGCTACTCCTCCCCATTTACAGTTAATTTTAGCACCTTGGTTACTATCCTTTTCTTTCCATCTCAACCCCTGTCAATATATTTGATGATATCACCATCCATCTATTTTCATGGCTTTGTGGCTTCTTGATCTCCGCATTTGCAATATATTCTCCTCCACCCCATGCGAACCATCTATTCTCAACGCCACACTGTTGACCTGTCATCAGCAATAACTGATCTTACCTTCAAGTAGCCCACTACTCCAGTGCCACCTCCTGTTCTGGCCCCCACTTCCTGACTTTATCAAAACTCATCCCATCTGTGGACCCCACCGTGTTTTCCTGATACATTACTTCCCTCTTAAACCAACTCAGATCTCAGGGTCCATTATTATAATTGCATCTGTATGTCTACCCATTACATTCTCTCCCATCTTATCCTCCATTAAACTTGACTGGCAAAGTCTGCCCTGGTTAAATCCATTTACCCAACTACTGTGTGCCTGCATTGCAGCAGCTGAACATCACTGGAGTAAAACACATGGGGGTGCTGACCATTCCCTCTTGAAACTCTTGACCATGGATTATCAAGTGATACTCCACTGCCCAGCACACTTCTCTGTCTTCCCTAGTGTGTTTGCTTTTCACTTTCCAAATGATATTTTACATCTTCACCCTCCTCTAATACTGTTTTCCATGTTACCAAATCTAGCACAGATCGAGCACCCCAAATCCAAAAATCTGAAATCTGAAATGCTCCACTATCTGAAACTTTTTGAGTGTTGACATGAAGCTCAAAGGAAATGCTTGTTAGAACATTTTGGGTTTCGGATATTTTTTGGATTTCAGATGCTCAACCAGCAAAATACAAGGTAAATATTCCAAAATCCAAAAAATCAAAATTCAAAGCCTTTCTGGTCCCAAGCCTTTTGGATAAGAGATAATCAACTTGAAGTCACTCTTCTGTATTTATTTACCCCTCAGCAACATTTAACCTGTTGACTATTACCTCTCTATTATAACATAGGTATTCTAGCTGGTCTGAAAAGGCTATATATTGTATGATTCTATTTTTATGACATTCTATAAAAAGCAAAACTTTGGAGATGGTAAACAGAGCAGTGGTTGCCAGGGATTTGGGAGGAAAGGAGGATTGAATAGGCGAAGCACAGGGATGTTTTAGGGTGGTGGATATACTCTGTATAACGCCCTAAAGGTGAATATGTGACACTACATTTGTCAAAATCAATGGAGTTTTACAGCACAAAGAATGTACCTTAATGTGTGGAAATTTAAACAAAATATTTAGGAGGTCAGAGGATCCCAAGAAGGAATGCAGACTGTGACAAAAGAATCTAACTATCACGAATAGATGAAATTACCTCACTGAAGGAATTGGGCGATAAAGGTGCCGACCTAAGTAACTTTGAAAATGCATAGAGACTGCAAAACTGAAGGCAAAAGCAGTCGTATTTAAGCATTGTACTCTGATTGATAGTTTTTTCCTAAGGGGGGTGCAGATAAACACTTCTGAAACAACATATGATATATTGGAACTGAATGATTAAATAAGTAGATGGTGGGAGGCAGGTTTCTCACTATTGAAGTGGAGGTTACAGTGAAGCTAGGAGAGTAGGCTAGAGTGGTCTATGTGGTGATGTATTGGAGTTGAAAACATCAGTATGAACTCTTGTTTAGCTTAATATAGATATAGATGTATGCATATACATCAATGTTATAGATACTTTTGTGTATAGGAAAAAAGTGTATGGTATAAAGTATCATATGGTATAAACTATCATATGCTAAAGTATCTATATGGTAAAAAGTATCATATGCTAACCTATGTGGTAGGTTAGCATTCATGTATATATTCCCTTGCTCTGTCAATTGAAAGGGCCTAGAAATGACACTACAGCAACAATGAACACATGTGGGACCCAGACCTTGGTTTCTAATACCATTCTCCAGTAAAAACAACCATAGCTTCTTGAAGGAAGTGGCTGATTGTAGGGCTGGGTGGGGGGAAATATAGGAGCCTGAAATATCTTGTAACAGCAAGAGTTAAGGAAGTATTCAAAAAAACTCCCATAATAATAGGGGTATGTCAAAAGGGCACGGGAGCCAACTGAACAAGTGCCTAAGGTCAAAGCTGGGACAATCTGAGCAAAATAAATAAAGTAGCATGGGATTATAACTGAAAGTATAAAGTAAACATCCATGAATCTATACTGGTATAAATAAATGATGGGAAAAATCAATGTGGAAGAAGACAAATCTATCACACAGAAGAATTTCAAATAATTTGTGTAGAATCTCCACCATCAAGGAAGTGGAGTATAATTTCCCACTCTTTGAATAGATCTGCACATAGTGACTTCCTTTTGAAAAGTACAGTCGAAAAAGGAGGCGGAAAAGAAGGAGTCACTTTACAATGAGGAAAATGGCAAATACTCCCTCAGCCAGATGATGAAGCTTCACATCAGTCGTGATAAATCATGTCGATATCATGCATTCTTGATATGACGTGATGAGAATGGCACTTTATCTCTGTGGTCTTCTTCCTGAAAATCTATAACACGGGTCTAGTCATGAGAAAAACATCAGACAAATCACAGCTGAGACATTCTACAAGCTTGTCAGTCTCCAAATAGCTGGCCCATCCTCTCCAAACTGGTTATCTATAACAAGGAAAGCCTGAGGAACTGTCCCTGCCAAGAGGAGCCTAATGAAACATAATGACTAAAGGTAATGTTGGTATCTTGGATGAGATCCTAAAACACAAAAGTGACATTAGGTAAAAATGAAGAAAATCTGAGTAAAGTATGAATTTTAGTTAATAATAATGTGTCAATATTTGTTCATTAGTTGTGACAAATGTACCATGCTAATATAAGACGTTAATAATAGGAAAAACTAGGTACAGGATATATGGGAACTTTCTGTATTATCTTTGCAAATTTTCTTTACATCTAAAACTATTTATCATGGGCTGAACTGTTCCCAACCCCTGCCCACAATGTTCATATGTTGAATTCTAAAGCCCTAGTACCTCAGAATAGAACCATACTTGCATATAAGGGCTTTAAAGAGGTGATTAAGTTAAAATGAGGCCATTGGGGTAGGGCGCTAAGCCAATATGTCTGGTGTCCTTAAAAGAAAAGAAACACCGGGGTGTCTGTGCACAGAGAGATGGCCATGTGAAGAGGCAGCAAGAAGGCAGCTGTCTGCAAGCCAAGGAGAGAGTTCTCAGAAGAACCCAACCTTGCCAGGACCTTGATCTTGGGCTTCCAGACTCCAGAACGCTGAGAAAATAAATGCCTGTTGTCTAAGCCGCCCAGTCTGTGGTATTTTGTTGTGGCAGCTCTAGGAAACTAATATACTATTTCTAAAATAAAAGATTGTTTTTAAAAACAACATTGGCATTCTTTCTGTTCCCAACCCAGAACTTTTGCCTGGAACTCTTCTTGTAATTCAGATTTTAGCTTAAAATCAACAGAGAGGAGTATTCTCTGGCTACACAATTCTCTACCGCAGTAGCTTATTTTACTTCTCTGAGTGAGGCTGACCACCAATGGTTTTATTATTGTTATTATTATTATTACTTGTTTATTCATGTATTGCCTGTCTTCCTGCAGCAGAATACGAGCTCCTTGAGAGGAAGAACCTTGGCTGTCATGCTCACTGCTGAATCCCTAACACCAAATGCCACCATCAGTGCTGACTACATAGCAGACACTCAGTGGATATTTGTTGAATGGACAATGAATACCCCGGGAGTCTGGTGACTCTTGATTTGGACAACTTAACTCGATCATTAGACTAAAAGCACCTTTATGAGTCTTCCTAAGTTAACCGGGATCTAGAGGGTGAGCAGACTACAATCAGGGTAGCCCAGGGCATTAGATTTTTAATATGTTTGGACTCCATGTAGAGAAGTAAATCAGCCTGGGTCTAAACCAGGAATGGAGGCTAGGGAGATGATGTCTTAGCCAAAACTCTCACAAAGCTTCAGAGACTGGGGGAAAAAATCAAGTCAAAATAAGGCCACAGTAATGGCCAAAGGAGGTGTGTATGCAGAGGGTGGGGGAAGGGAATTTTCTCAGGGATCAAGGTGGAGGGTGACAACTGATTCTTAGAGTGGACCCAGTCTTTATTGTCTGTGGGTATTGAGGTTGTAAAGCCAACAGGATCCTTCTTCCAGATGACATGAGGGATCCCAGAAGCCAGGCCTCAAGCCCTAAGATAAAGAGGCTTGTCTGAACTAGGGCCTCCAGACAGCTAGCTGGAGTCCGGGCTGGGCTTGGCCTCTGGAAGATGCCGAATGCATAAAGGGAGAGCCCAGATCCCAGAAGCTCTGTAGCAGGCCAGCCAAACAGATAGTAAGATAGTCCAGAGAGAAAATAGCTCAGTGCTCAGTCAAGCCCTGAGACTGTCCGTACTCACCTAGACCCTGGGTGGGACAATGGGATATTCCTACTTACTATTGGCAGTTGTTCCAGAGAACCACTGCCTTAGTCCATTTTGTGCTGCTGTAACAACATACCCAGGACTGGGTAATTTATCAAGAACAGAAATTTGTTTTCTCACAGTTCTAGAGGCTGGGAAGTCCGAGATCACGGCACCAGCAGGTTCAGATGTCTGGGGAGGGCTACTCTCTGTCTCCAAGATGGTACCTTGATGCCACATCTTCTAAAGGGGAGGAACACTGTGTCCTCACATGGCAGAAAGGTAGAAGATCAAGCTAACTGAACACTGTGGGAAGCCTCTTTTATAAGGGCCTTACTGCTATTCATGAGGGAGTAGCCTTCATGGCCTCTTAAAGGCCCTGTTACCTCTTGATACTGTCACATTGGCAACACCTGAAGTTTTGAGGGGACACATTCAAACCGTAGCAACCACTAACCCAACTGTTAGTGGCTGGGCATGGATAGAGCTAAAGCAGCAACTAGAGAACACATGTGGACAGTATAGAAGGAGCTCAGCAGACAGGGGCAAATGGAGCTGGGAGGCAGTGGTGTCTATGGAGGGGTGGTTGGACAAGCTCTGCCTCCAAGCAGAAAAATGTGAGAAGGCATGTTTAAATGAATGCCATGTAAAAGAGCTAAAGAGGGAGCTATGAGCCAGGTAAGTCTAGACTCATTTCTAGCATGTTGAAGAGAAAGGCAACTTAGACCAAAATGTTTAAAATTTTATTTACAAGTTCTGTGGTCTCAAATCATTCTAATCCTTAGTTCTCTCACCTTTACAATGGGAGTAAAACTAATACTTTCCTTGCAGGATTGATGAAAGGCTTGTAGATAATGCAGGTGTAACACCTAATACAGAGCCGGACACATACAAAATGCTTCATAAGTAGTGGCTGATATTATGATTTTACTAGTACCACATAAGCAGGCTTGTTCCTTTGTTCTGTCAGTTTCTCTAAGGTAACTAGTCATAGAGCTCTTTGAAAGTAGTCATAGAGCTCTTTGAAAGTAGTCATAGAGCTCTTTGAAAGTGAAAGGAGGATGTGTACTTGTTTCAGTGCCATCTGGAAATGGAGAAGTGGCAAATCCGTTTCCTGCTATATAGCCAGTTCTGTGGGGAGGCCAGGTGGGCAGGCTGACTGGCAAGGTCTCTGGGGGGGATGTCATCCATGGGAGGGCCAAAGAGAGACACCAAGACAGATTAGGGATGGGGGACAAAGAGACCCAAGTCTCTTTGATAACCTGCCAGGGCCCAGATTGGAGCCCCTGAAGGAAGAGAATGTTGTGAATGCCTAGCGCAGTTGTGTGCTCTCTCTCTCTCTCTTTTTTTTTGATGTGGTTGATGCTGGGAAGTCATGGGAGGCATTTGGAAGACATAGTGAGGGTCAACTGCCCTTTACCCAGGAGGAGAAAGGGCAGAGACGCCATCCTCTGCCACTCGTTTTTAAAGCATTTGCAGATTTTCATTTTTGCAGGACTTTCCTTTCAGAGAGAAGTGGCACTTGAGACCACTTGCCACCTGTTGAGGCTCTTCTCTGCTCACTCCAACAGGCTTCCTGGAGAGGTCTTGGCTAATGCAATCTGGGCCTTGGGATAGATCTGCAGCTAGAGTTGGTGCTGAATCTTCCTGTGCTTGGGAGGCTCACCACTCCCAAAGATGGGGAGCCAGGAGTGCCATGCATCTCCACATTAGCTCACTTCCTTTGAGGCTGAAATCAAGAGAGAGACTTTGGTCCAAAGACTTTTTTTTGTAACCTTCTTGGGCTCCATTCTTCACATTTGCTTCCGAGTCAAGGAGAAGGAGCACAGACCTGAGGGATGGAGTGAATTCTAATCCAAGCTCTGAAACTGACCAGCTGGGGCCTGAAAGCAAGACTGTGACCTCAGTCTGCACCACTTCCCCTCCCATCAGTAAAGTGAGAGGATCCATTGTGCTACCTTCTGCAGTCCCTTTCAGCTTTGGTGTTCACTGATTCTGTGATGAATTTCCTGTAATTTCTGTGTAGGAACAGAAAAGAGCATAGAAGATCCTTTTTTTGTTTTTTTTTTGTTTTTTGTTTTTTGTTTTTTTGTTAGGGAGTTTCACTCTGTGGCCCTGGCTGGAGTGCAGTGGCAAGATCTTGGCTCACTGCAGCATCTGCCTCCTGGGTTCCAGCAATTCTCCTGCCTCAGCCTCCTGAGTAGCTTGGATTACAGGCACATGCCACCACACCCAGCTGATTTTTGTATTTTTAGTAGAGACGGGGTTTCACCATGTTGGCTGGGCTGGTCTCGAACTCATGACCTCAGGTGATCCAACCGCCTCGGCCTCCCAAGGTGCTGGGATTACAGGCGTGAGCTACCGCGCCTGGCCAGAACATCCTTTTAATTCTTATCTGGAGACTTAATCTATATGTTCATAATTAGTATTACCAGTAAGGGCAGAATGTTCCAAAGTAGGGTCTGACTGCATTTTTAAACAATGCAATTTGCAGAGCTCCACTCTTCCACTCCTTAGTCTTATGTGAAGGACACACTTGGACTAAAATGGTTATTGCTTTATCATAATTTGGGGATCTCTATCAGAGATGATTTAGGCCAGAGTTTCTCACCCTCGGCACTATCAGCATTTTAAATTAGATTCTTCTCTGTGGCGGGGGCCGTCCTGCGTACTCTGGGATGTTCAGCAGCATCCCTAGTCCATTTGGGCTGCTATGACAAGATACCATTAACTGGGTGGTTTATAAACAACAGAAATTTATTTCTCACAGTTCTGCAGGCTGAGAAGTTGAAGATCAAGATTCAGTGTCTGGTGAGGGCCTGTTTCCTGGTTCATAGATGGTGCCTTCTTGCTGCATGTCTCCTGGTGGAAGGGCCGAAGCAGCTCACCAGGAACTCTTATAAGGGCAAATCCCATTCATGAGGCTCTGCCCTTACGACCTGATTCCCTTCCTAAAAGCCCCACCTTCTAATATGGCACATTGATGATCAGGTTTTAACATATGAATTTTGGGGGAATACAGCCATTCAGACCATAGTACCTGGGCCTCTGTTTAATGGATGTGACACCCTCTTCTCCCCACAGTCGTGAAAACTATCTCCAGACATTGCCAGATGTGCCCTGGAGGGAAAAAAAAATCACCCTAGTTGAGAACCACTGATTTAGTTTTAATTTAGGGTATGTATTTAAAAGGCAGAAAAATAAGTATAGAATCAAACTTAATTAAGCAAATGCCTCTAAAAAACACTGAATTTTAAAAGAGGTAATAGTAAAATTTGAATTTGCAGAAATGTAGGACTTGCTTTTAAAGCTCATATCTTAAGTACATACTAACCACATATGGCTTCTCAACTGTACTTGAGATTTCTTCAATCAGGAAATAAGATCATCCACCTTTTTTTTCCTGAAGGTATCACCTATGATTCTAAGTAATATTGGATGACTGGATGTTAATGTACTATGCCTTCATAATTTCTAAAGAAATGTATGAATAAGATATTAACCTGACATAAATAGTACTTTCTTGCTGTGGCTCTAGTAAAGTCTTAACATCTGCACAGACTGGTAAAGACTTCATCACATCCCCTCTTGCTTTTTCCATTTCCAAGATGCTTATTACACCAAGGCTGATGTTAAAAAGATTTCTTGTCATCTGCTCTGATTACTGTTTTTGGGGGAGGAGAAAACATAATGAAGAGAAGAAGAAGAAAAGAAAAAAAACCAGAAGAACAGGATCTGTCTTTCCTGTATTTTGTGTTCCTGAGAGCTGATAGAGAACAAATTGTGAAATGTGGGAGGCTTTGCCCAGCATTCAGGCTGAAGTTGCCTTAAAAGGAAAGTATGGCACGTTACACATTTCCCACTTCCTTCTTTTTTAGTTTCCTTTTAGCCATTCTCAGAAATGTAAGCAGGAAGAAAATAGCAATCAATTATGTTTGGAAACAACTGAAGTTAAATCTGACTGATATTTGTTTATAAAACTATGCATCATTTTATTTTCAGTACATTTTCAGTTCCTCTTTTGCCCCTAACATTCTCCTAATTCCCATGGTGAATATATTTCCTTTAATCCAGGCCTGAACACTGAGATAGTTAACAGCCCCTGGTTGTTATTTCTTGATGAAGTCTCTCCTAGTCAGCTCCTTTTTTCTTCCCATTGCCTTCCTTTAGTCCAAGTTTTCATAACCTCTAGGCCCTCCACTTTGCAGTTCAATCTGTGAGGTTAATGACTTCACACCTTTTTCATTATATTCATGCCTTCATTCACTGGACAAATAGTTCCTGGGCCCCTATTCTAGGCCAGACACTGTTCTAGGCTTGAGACATACAGCAGTGAATAAAGCAGACAAAACCCCCTTTCCTCATGGAGTTTATACTACCTAAGGGAGGAGGGCAGTGGATAGAGACATTTTAGAAAGTAAATAAATCATATCACATGGTAGAATATGGTAGATGTAATGAAAAAAGTAGAGCAGGGAAGGGAGATAAGGAGGTATATGGGGTGTGTGTGTGTGCATGCCTGCACGCGTGTTCATGTGTGAGCCTGTGTGTATGGAAAGGGTAGGCTGCAATTTTAGATACGGTGATAGGGAAGGCTTCACTGAAAAGTGACATTTGAGCAATTACATGAAGGAGTAGCCAAACATGGAGATACCTGAGGAAAGAGCAGTCTAGGCAGAGGAAACGCATGTGAAAATGCTTGAAGTGTGCCTGGTATATGAGGAAGACTCTGAGGAGGCTGGTGTGGGAGAGGAGGACATAAGGCGACAGTTGATAGGGGTGGAAGAAGCAGATGCTGCAAAGCCTTGCAAGCCCTTGCAAGGACTTTGGCTTTTATCTGAGAGAGATGGGATGCTGCTGGATGGCTCTGAGAAGAGAATGGTGTGATCTGACTTGCAGGTTAATAGGATCATGTCACCAAGTCGTCATATCACTTCCCCTACTTAAATCCACCACTTGACAACATATAATCCCTTTATCCACAGAGACAAATACAAACTCATCTTCCCTGTCCCTAATCAAGAATTTTTCCAGTCACCCTGCACAAGCCCTCTGCACTCTTAGTAAACAGTGACCACCTCCTGCCCCTTTCACATTCTACCCGTCCTTCAAGTCCAAGCTGAAGTTTCTTTTTCCAGAAAACCTTTGCCACCTCAAAATTGATCTCTCTCTTCTCTGACCTCCTATCGTATTGATTATTTATCAATAAATACAATATAATATATGGACTTGACCATATATTATCTGGACTTCACCATATATTATCTTGGATTGTTTTCTACGTAGGCATTGAAAGGTTTATAGAACTTGAGACCTAGAAGAGTCTCGGGAATCATCTCTTCTGACTCCTTCATTTTACCAGTGAGGAAATAGAAGCCCAGCAATGTTTAGGATATTGCCAAATTCGCTCAACTAGCTGTTTAATGTGTACACTGCCTTTCTCAATGAAATTATAAGTACATTAAGGAATGATAACATGCCTTATACTTCTCCAAAATCTCCTATAATAGTGGTTAACATAGTACTCATGTAACAGACACTTACTAAGTTCAATTAAATGGCCGGGCGCGGTGGCTTACACCTGTAATCCCAGCAGTTTGGGAGGCCGAGACGGGCAGATCACAAGGTCAGGAGATCGAGACCATCCTGGCTAACACTGTGAAACCCTGTCTCTGCTAAAAATACAAAAAATTAGCTGGGCGTGGTGGTGGGCGCCTGTAATCCCAGCTACTCGGGAGGCTGAGGCAAGAGAATGGTGTGAACCCGGGAGGCGGAGCTTGCAGTGAGCCGAGATAGCGCCACTGCACTCCAGCCTGGGTGATAGAGCGAGACTCTGTCTCAAAAAAAAAAAAAAAAAACTATTAAATGTAAGAATAAATTGATTTTTAGGTGGTTTGGTTTTAAAGGAACGTTGTAGGCCGTTAATTCATCAACCACATTTTGAATTAACAGATGTTCTAAATGCAAAAAGCTATGTAAAATACTTGTATGTAATTTGGCTTGAATTTTAGGGATTTGCCTGTGAATGTAGTTAGATGGGAGAATGAGAAATTTTGCCTTTCTTGGAGGTTTTTGTTCTGATGTAATGGTGAAAGGTAATTCTATCATCTCTGCATGACACAGCTATTTTTGTTGCTTCAGCAAGATTTATCAAAGCAAGTGGTTTTTGACCATTCTTTGTCTCCAAGGGAGAGACAATTGTGGCAGCATCCCATCCTCTGAGCTGGTTTTTGTTTTTGTTTTTTGGAGAATAAGTGGTTTTGATTACAGGTGTGAACTTGTGGTATTCACAGATGTTGGTGGCCTGTCAGGACTATTTTAGGAGACCTCATTTATCCTTTGACCAAGAAATATCCTGACTGGGGCCTGACTTGAATATATAGCTCCCTGTGGGGGTGATGCCAAGGCTCCCTTCCAGTAATAACTGCTCAAGGAAACAAAGAGTTTCCAAGAGTCTGTGGTCCAGAACCTACACTTACTACACTTAACCTTTACGACGTAGACCCGCCCAAACGAATCAATAATGACTTTCCAGTGTTTTAATCTTCGCCGATAGATTCAGCACTGTTTTGAATTTGGCCTGCATGTGACCTAAACAATGGACTGAAGTAGGGAAAGCGAATTCAGCCTGCCTTTGCTATTCATGCACTGCAGCCAAAACAAAGCTCCTGAGGTTTGAAATGACTTGTTGGAGAAATCCTGCTGGTTTTAGAGAACTCTTTTAAAGCCCAATATTAGTGACCCACGGCCTGGCCCTATGACTGGGTCACTTAACTTAGTTGACCATAGCATGATTTCACTATGCTAAGAAGAAGGATGAAACACCTGAATGAGCCAAGTAGCTTGATTTATGGCTAAACACTGGATTCTTACTCTAAGTAGTCATCCAACAGCTGAATATCAGTGGTCACAAATCCAAGATAAAATGTAAATGGCTCAATGAACTTCATCAGAAACACAGTCTTACTGAAAGAGAATCCAGGTAGTATATTCATCTGAAAGAGAAAATGAAATACCTGGTATTTTTGGTGCATAATCTAGGTAATGTATTCTGTGTTGTATTTTGTTTATAAGTGTATAGTTCTCTAGCTAATCTAAATGATTGTTATTGTTTTGCTCCTTTAGAATTATCAAAAGCTTCATTCATTTATTTTCATACTTAAGATATGGATAATTCCTCTTTGCAAATTGTCGTCAGAATTCACAATTTAAAACTTTTAATTGAGGTATAATTTACATAAAGTAAAATTCACTAATTTTCAGTGCATACTTCTGTGAGTTTAGATAAATGTATACATTTGTATAATCACCATCACAATTATGATATGGAACATTGCCATCTTCCCAAAACCTTCTCTCATTTTAGCACACTTTTGCTATTACTGTTATTTGGTGGCAACTATTTTAGTGGCTTGACTTTGCAGGAAGTGAAAAAAGCATAAGGAGCCAAGTCTAGTGGCTAAGGTGGTTGTTGATCACATGGAGTGATGCATCTCTGAGTCAAAAACAAAATGTGACTATAAAGTCATGGGCCTCTGTTTTCTGATAAGGCTTGTAAACTGGTTCTGATGGTCATTTCAAAGTTGAACTTCAAGGACATTTTGAACAAAGGATTGGATATATTTTTATAATAAACCTTAGAAATGTTGCCCAATGTGGCTACCACTGTAGAGGGCAAGATTTATTTGGTTCCTTAATAGACACCTGGTATTTGCAGATTTAACATTTTGTGGAGAGTGGTGGGGGAAGGAGGGAGAGGATCAGGAAAAATAGCTAATGGATACTGGGCTTAATACCTGGGTGACAGGATGATCTGTGCAACAAACCACCATGGCACACATTTACCTATGTAACAAACCTGTACATCCTGCATAGGTACCCCTGAACTTAAAAGTTGGAAATTTTAAAAAAAAAGAAAAGCATTTTGTGTATTTAAAAGAACATCAAAAGTGTGAGATAGAAAGAAATCTGTAGTTTTGCCAAAGCATAAATTTGAATCTTGAATTTACAAGCTAAAATGGGTTCTGAGAGCAAGTGGGTCCACTAGTGAATGAGCCACGCCCACTGCTGATCCTCCCAATCTCATAGGGCCATGAGAAAGGTCCATTCCAAGTCTGGACCAGGGAATGCTCACACTGTGATTTTTTTTAAGGTGTCTTCTTTAGAAATGGCTCCCCAAAGAAAGTCAAGTGCTAGTATCAGAGATGGAAGTGAAGAAGACTAAGAAAGTAATTCTACCTAACCCAGAAAATGGAAGTATTGACCAGATTAAAGAGTGGTTAAGTCATGGCCATGAATGAATTTACCATATGAAAATAAGAAAAAAAATTAAAATTATTTCAGAGCAAAATATGACTAATGCAAAAATCACTCCTTAAGAGGGAAATAAGTCATTAGGGGTTGAGGAGATCCCTTACATTTTCAGTCATATTTATATTATGAAGCACAAGGCAAATTATATGCTATTGTATTTCTGAATTTGGGAATTCATGAATATTGAGGGTTTATTCTCTAAGGTTCTGTTGTGTTCATTCAGATACCAATATCATTAAATATAGTTATACCTGGTGTGCAGCCAAGAATTTGAGGGAAGTTGACATTTGAAACAGAATCTGTGGAGCTGGAGATAAAGAGAGTCCTTTGGACACTTTCTGTGGTTTAGTCCACAATCACCAAATGAGAGTTGATTGAGAGGGGCCTGGGAGGCTCGTGATGAGTTGTAGTTGCAGTGCAGTTTAGGTAGCCCAGAAGGTACAGTGAGAAGAGTTAGTAATTAGAGGAGATAACTCAGTGAGAAGAGTTAGTAATTAGAGGAGATAAAGAGGTTGGAAGCTGGTGGTTCCACTTTTTGAGAACTAGAAAGGAAAACTGGGATATGAAAAGAATGTGAAACTAACCCCTCGGTCCTTAATACATAGACACATATCATAATTCTAAGGCTTTCTAGTTCTAAGACAGAACTAGTTAACAGTAGAGACAGGAAATTTGGATTTTTTATTTTCTCATCTGTGATTATGGGCGATTCCATATCTTTCTCTGGAAATCAAAACAAATAGAGTAGCATGATTGGGATGTTTGACTGACTGCCATATGCTAGGTGCTCTTCTAGGCCTCTGGAAACAGTGAAAAGCCATAGGCCCTGCTTATAAGGCACTTTTAATGGTAAGAAGACAGACATGAAAGTGAACTGTGAAAATTCAATGGGAGCTGCTGTGATGAAGATCATGTACCAGGTGCAGTTAGAACCTCAGGAGAGTGAGCCCCTAAGTCCGCCTCAAGATATTTAGGCTTGTTGCTTCTCTAGCTGACCTTGTTCCCTCATTTGGAGAAAAGGAGATGGTGCTAAGTCCCTGAAATTGAATGACTTTCCTCATCATCTATTACCTAAACTGCTTGGGCGTCCTCCTAATCACCTTCTGCTTACTAATCTCTTGATTGTCTGATCCATTTTTAAAACCCATGCTCCATTTTCCTCTTAAGACCCTGGGTGGATCTGCACTGCCTGCACAGTAAGTCCAAAGTCCCTACCATGATTTCAGAGCCACCATCTACCTCCCTGTCACCATAGTCCTCCACAGACTGTGCTTCAATCCCCCTGGCTACTCTCCTGCCTTTGTGTGCTGCCAAGCATTTCCTACTTCCAGCTTTTGCTTGTGTTTTCTTGCTCATCTTCTCCACCTATCAAAATCCAACTAATTTCATCCAATGCTCTACTCAAATGCTACCTTGTCCGTGAAGCCTGCTCTAATCCTCTCAGTTCAATTTAATTATTGATTCCTTGCATTTCCACAACACTCATTTGCAGACTTCTCTGACAATAGTTGTACTTTGCTTTGATTGCAGCTCGTGTTTCTATGTCTACCTTTTTCACTAGATGGCAAATATCTGGAAGGCAGGGACTGTATCTTTCATAACCCACTGACCTCATACCCAGTAGTTAATGAAAAATCTTCATCAAATGCTGTTGAATATTGCCCAAGGTCAGATGTTAGTGGCAGATCAAGGTCTGAAAACTTGATTTATTTATATTTCTATCAAAATTTTAGGAACTCCAATATGTTACTTAACATGTGTCTACTCCATCAGGTGCTTCACCTTGGAAACACTTTTTTGTGAGTCAGTGGTGCGGAATCGCCGGTATAGTCAGGGCTGCCAATGTTTATAGTGGCAGCGAGGTTGAGGAGATAGATAGGGGAGGCATGTGTTTAGGTAGAGCATGCTTTTCTCATCTACAGTAGGCCCTATGAATATTTGAAGGGGAGTCTGGAAGCTGTTTCCTATGAGCGAGGTTAAGTTGAAATGCAAGAAGTAAAGATTAAGGAATATTAACATAAAATCTGTATTGTGAATTCTTTTACATAAATATGTTACTATTGCCAGAAGTGGTGTCAGGGAGCTTTTCATATGTCTACATTTTAATACCCAAATGAAAAGTTTGCTGTAAATTATCAAATGTGGAAATTCTTCATGCTTATAAAGGTCCTTGACAAAAGAATGTGCTGAAAGAAGAAAGAGAGAGAGGGTGTGTGTGTGTGTTCATTTCTCCAAACATATTTTTCTGATGCAAAAATGTGGGGAAGTAGAAGGGAGCAGGGGTGAAGTGAGGAGTGACTGGTTCCATCTTGAGTATTTTAAATCAGTCTGTCTCTCTTCCCGTGCCCTGCCTCTCTATCTACCTACCTACCTATCCCACGGCGGGGATGGTGGGAGTGTGCTACAAATCCTGGTCAGCCCATCATTATCTGGTATGCAGTGGAGGGTCTGCAAAGGGGAGAAGGAGACTGCAAACCTTCCCTCCCTTCCACTCAGGAAGCTCCTTCCTCTGCAGGTTATCAAGATCAGTGCTGAGTTCCTGGACCATTCACCTCAGGTCTCCCATTCACTGGCTGGCTGGCTTTGCTCCATCTCCATCCCTTCCCACTCTGGCTGGGATGGGAGGGCCGGCACCCTCTACTTCTGTTTCTCTTGCTCTGCTTGTGTTTTCTGTCAGGTCTGGCTATAGTCACTTGAGTGCTTCCAGGTAGGTTTGGGGCAGCACGCTGCTCTGCTTGCTACCCTGGGACTGGAAAATGCTGGTAGGATACAGCCTCCTCTGTCCTCCAGACATCAGCGGTGGGATTTGCTTTCTGTACTCCCTGCAACCACTAAAGTGTGTGCAAATGAAGGCATTTAAATGGTCATGTATGCTGAAAAAGTTCTTACTGAGAGATGGTAGTTAAGAGCTGGTTTCTGGAGTGGAACTACAGGATTTCAAGCCTGTTCTTCCTCTCAAGGTGGCAGAGTACTTGACCTCCTTGTGCCTTAGTGTCCTCATCTGTAAAATGGGCCTAACAGAACCCACCTCAGGGAGTTTGTGAGGATTAAGTAAATTAATACAGAAAGAGCACTTAGAGAAAGTCTGGACTGTAACAAGCACTATGTAGTCATCAAACTTATTACTGTAAGAATGGTTTTGCCTGCTGACTTGCCAAGGGTCATTAGTAACATTCTTGACCCAAGGAGAAACTGAGGCACTAAGATAAAGCAGCCAGGTAATGGGGGTCAAATTGAGTCCCTAGTGTTGTTTAACTTCAATTGCAAATAAACCTCATATGGGCTCTGGTCTACACTTCACAGATTCTTTTTTTTTCTTTTTTCTTTTTTTTTTTTTTTTTAAGACAGAGCCTCACTCTGTTGCCCAGGCTGGAGTGTAGTGGCACGATCTTGGCTCACAGCAACCTCCACCTCCGAGGTTCAGTGATTCTCATGCCTTAGCCTCCTGACTTAAAAATGTCATTGTATAAAGCCTCCTGACTTAGCCGAGACTATAGGCGTGTGCCCCCATGCCTGGCTAATTTTTGTATTTTTAGTAGAGACTGGGTTTCACCATGCTGGCCAGGCTGGTCTCGAACTCCTGACCTCAGGTAATCTACCCGCCTTGGCCTCCCAAAGTGCTGGGATTACAGGCATGAGCCACTGCACCTGGCTTTTCTTTTCTTTTCTCTTTTTTTTTTTTTTTTTTGAGACAGGGTCTCACTTTTCACAGATTCTTGAGGAAGGACAGATGCCCTAACGTGACTTGAAAGTCATGTGGAGCCTAGGGTGTGTATCTGTGGGGGTGTCTGTTGGGAAACAGAGGTTGACTTTAAATACAAGTATGGCAAGAAAACAATACAGAGTGAGATCTGAATGCAGCACAGGGCTGGCCAAGAGGCAGGGAGGCTGTTTCCCCTTTGTCCAGGCGTTTGAAAAAATCAGTTCCAAACCTGTGCCAACCAGAATCCAGTCCTGCAGACACTATGATTTTGTAATTTGCTTGCATCTGTGTTTTGCTAAAAGCTTTCAGTTTTAGATGCCCTCAAGAACTCTTCAGGCCTGGCAGGAGAGGCACACTCTCTCTCACCGCCTTATGTATGCAACCTCATGATGGCAGATCTCATTTGGGAAACTGCCGGGGATGAAGAATAGAGTGTGTGTGTGTGTGTGTGTGTGTGTGTGTGTGTGTGTGTGTGTGTCCCTTAAAAAGAAAACTAACAACATTTTTTCCACGTTATTTTTTCAAAAGGGGAGTACTGTAGGCCACAGGGAAATAGGGTAAGATTGTATTTTAATGCCAGCTTGATTCTCAATCCCTTTTCCTTCCCCTGTTTCCCACATGCTACCCACAGGAAGGGCACCAGTGAAGAGACAGAAAGGTGACCTCAGGGAAGAGCTGTGAATTTTGAGGGGGCGACTGCCTTTCATTGAACTCCTATAACTCCTCCTTTTCATCATCTGCTTCTCCTCTTTTTACTTAGCAGTGAGAAATTCCCAAATATTTATGAAGTGACCCTCAGAGAAAAAAAGAGCCTCTCTTTTCCATTGTTGCTGTGTTGATTCTTCTAATATTAGGACTTTTTTCAATTTTGATCCTTACTTTAAGTATAATTAAATTTCTTCACAATTGTTAAAAATGGCATGAATATTCTTTTATTTACCAGAATATATCTATGTGTACATGTATGTCCATGTTCATGTCTATGTCCCTCAGATCTTTATTCTTCATGTCTCTTTTTTAGTTCTTGATGTAGCTTCAGCTTATATCCAGGAGGGCTAGTGCACTTGATTAGTGGGAAGTCAGGAGGGCTGTATCGCAGTCATTCAAGAAGGTCCAGTGTTGTGAACACTTTTTCCTTTCATGATGGGTATTTTTGTCATTCTTAAAGCCTGTTAACCAAAGACTGCTCGTTGATGTAAAAAAAATTTGTTAAAATAATGCTGGACTCCAATTTAGTGACAATAATGTTAGCAATTTTGCTCTGTAACTGATCACTAGCCCACATCTCTGGTTACTGTGAAGATCCGCTGGTAGAGTCATCAGGCATCGGTCAGAAACACGTAAGATAGTAAAAGGCTTTTCTGTGGCTAAGAGATTCATCTACATGAGTGGTAAGCCCATCCTATTAATAATCCTGTCAAACTAGAGACAAACCAAGTGAATGTAAATGCATCTTAGGAAAGGCAAAGGCAGGGACATATTCTGCCTGTTTTACCTTTGATGAGCTGACTTCACCATTTTTCTAACATGAAAAATCCTTGCATGTTTCTAGTTCCTAACATCTGGAGAATGGCAGGGGGTGTACTGTGCCGTGTTCTGCATGTGTTAAAACCTAACGTGTTCATCATAAGTGGGGTGCTCGGTTAAAATGAATTTTAAGAAAAGTTCAAAAAATTGGAAGACTTTAGAAGATTCATTTTCGAAGAGTTAACAGGTACACATGATACATATTTCAAATGGTATGAAAGTGAATACAATGAAAGCAAGCAGGAAGACTTGATTGGAAGCAATTTTTTCTTGGTTTGTTTCAAGCAGTATTTTTTCATGTTGACTGCACTGCCAAAATCATTTGTGTTCAAGGTGGTGGGTGAATGGTGGTGGCTTTTTATTTGCTTGGTTTTGGCTTTTGCTGATGGAAAAAGACACAAGTATAGTTATGATGCAAATGTTTTTCTTCAAGTTAATTATATTACTTGGCCAGATAGTTTTTCACCAGTGCCCTCCCTTCCCCCAATCCTGTGAGCTGTAGCCTTCTGTGCTTTTGTGTTCTTATAAGAACCTCACTGGAGCTGGCAGTGGTGGTGTGTGCTGGTAGTCCCAGCTACACGGGAGGATCCCTTGAGCCCAGGGGTTCTTGGCTATCCAGGACAACATAGCAAGACACTCTTTTCTCTAAAAATAAAATAAAAAAGACCCTCACTGGTAATAAGCAGGTGTACTTGTGACTAAAAATATAAAAAACACAGTTTAATAAAGAATCTCAGATAGATTAAAAATAGAATGAAGAAATGATGTGTTAGAAACAGTTATATATGTTAAGTGTGCATAAAACACACCATTGTTACAACATTTTGGCTACAATTGCAGTTTTCTCATTCTGTTGTCCTTTTTAACATAAGACAGCTTTTTAAAAAATTGAAGCAAAGCAGTTCAGATATAGGAGAGGACATGAAGATATTAAGCTGCCATTCTCAAAGGCAATTGTAGGGAACATTTTAAAACATGGTGATGTTTTAGTATTTTCTGCAGATTGTTATGGCCACAGAGGCTGCCTGAGCCATGCCTAATACTTACGGAAGGGAGAGCTTATAATAGTAGGAAAAAACAAAAATGGAAAGGTTCAACTCTCAAGTTCATACAGAATTCCAAACTTTCAGTATGTTTGTGTCATGAAAATCCAAATGGCTTATAAGATTCTGTGGTAATTACACAGATCATGAGACTGTCATTAAAAAAAAAAAAAAAAACTAGCAGGGAGTTATTTTGGGTTTATAAAAACACTCATGGACTTCTACTTTTCAGTAACAAAGTGAAAGCAATTTAAGAGACAAGCTGTCTTGGAATTGTAGAATACTTTTACCCCTGCTAGATTTTTGTAATTTAATTATTAAAACAACAATGTTTTATGTCTTTGGGGTCACTTGCTGTTATGTACTGGAGCAGACTTGTGATTATGTACATTTCTTCCTAATTTTATATTCGGTAAAGCCAAGTTGGTACTTGAAATTGGCCATGCTGAGAGTATTTACATCATCAAAATTGACCAAAGGTACATACCAAGACTTCTCTTTCTTTTTTTACTTTTCCTGGAGAGCTGGTTGTTAGCTATTTGCCAGCATACCACTGGATTTAAAGCCTAATTGAGTTGCATTAATCAAGATATGGAAGAAATCTAAAATAAGTAGAAGTACATCTCTTGTGTACCAATAAAACAGAAAATAAAATTAAAAATAAATAAATAAATAAAGTAAAAGGACCATTGTTTGGAATTCAAACATTGTATAAAGGAGTAAAAAACCTGGTGGAGAACTAGACATGTGGCATTTGTGGCAGTTACCACAAATTGTAAAAAATATGGTTTTTTTTAATTTTTGTTTTTCTTTATTCTAAAAATAAATGGGACACATGTGCAAAATGTGCAGGTTTATTACATAGGTATACATGGGCCGTGGTGGTTTGCTGCACTTATTGACCCGTCCTCTAAGTTCCCTCCCCTCACCCCCATCCCCCATCAGGCCCTGGTGTGTGTTGTTCCCCTCTTTGTGTCTATGTGTTCTCATTGTTCAACTTCCACTTATGAGTGAGAACCATGTGGTGTTTGGTTTTTTGTTCCTGTGTTGGTTTGCTGAGGATGATGGCTTCCAGCTTCATCCATGCCCCTGCAAAGGACATGATCTCATTCCTTTTTATGGTTGCACAGTATTCCATGTTGTATATGTACCACATGTTCTTTATCCAGTCTATCATTGATGGGCATTTGGGTTGGTTCCATGTCTTTGCTGTTGTAAATAGTGCTGCAATAAACGTATGTGTCTTTATAGTAGAACGATTTATATTCCTTTGGGTATATACCCAGCAATGGGATTGCTGGGTCAAAAGGTATTTTTAAAAATATGTTTTTCAGTGGGTGCGGTGGCTCATGCCTGTAAAAATATGTTTTTCAGTTATTCAAAGTCATTAATGGCCTATCTTACCATTTTGGATGGAGTGAAATGAATCATATTGTTGTCAAGTGAATGTCAGCCATATGGCAGGGTTGTCTCCTGTGGAACATAGCCATCATCATCTCTTAAAATGACAGAGTACCTCTGGGAGGCTCTAAGAGTTGTGTGACATTTCTTCCTTAAACTCAAAATATTACTAGTTCTAGTTGCTAATATTGTACAGATACAGAATTTGAGGTATGAGGAAACATAGAGTCCAAATAATAAATAAAGATCAGATCATTGCTTTTACAATTGTCTCTGATGCCTCCCTATCATGGCTGGGGCACTTTGAACAAGAATAGTTACTTCCATTATTGGGATTCTCTGAGCTAATAGTCTGACCCAAGGTATAATGCCATTTTACCAATGCATTTTGAAAATTTGACACAAGGTATTATTGGCCAAGGAAAATAGAAAGTGAGTATCTGTTTGTTGGCAACTGCTTCATACCGATGTTTCATTGTCGGCCACGTAGACAAGATACCATGGTTCTACTTCTGGCCAGTTGCACTTACTTAATTACTAGTTTTTGTACCCTTGCTACTCAAACTATGGTCTGTGGACCGGTAGCTTTGGCATCAAATAGACGCTTTCTACAAACACAATCTTGGGGACCATTCTAGACCTCCCAAATCAAAATGTGTTATTTCACAAGATCCCTAGGAGATTTGTCTGTGTGTTTGTTTATTTATTTAGTTAGTTAGTTAAGACAAAGGGGTCTCGCTATGTTGCCCAAGCTAGTCTTGAACTCCTGGCCTCAGGCTATCCTCCTGCCTTAGCCTCCTGAATAGCTGGGACTACAGGGATGATCCACTGCACCCAACTTGTATGCACATTAAAGTTTGAGAAACCCTGCCTCACCTCTTCACTAACTTCATTCCCAAAACGATCTGAAGAGCTCTTTCTTCCAGGGATGTTAAAAGAAATGGTGGGTTTAAAACACGGAAAAATAAACTAGAAGTTTGGATGAATGGTTAAAAAAAAAATCAGTTTTATTCATGATTATTGCCGTTCCCTTTACCTGGCTGTAGTCTCCATTACATACTTATTTGCAGTGGTAAAAAAAAGAAGCACCAAGGCATTCCCCCATGTAACAAGAGGGTTAACCTGGAATTTCCAGAGGAACCATATTTTCTAAATGAATTGACTACTTCTAAAAGCTTGCTTTTACATGTTATGCTGCTACAGTTGAAGCCTCACTTTCAACAGCCTCTCTCTCTCATTCCTCTCTTCCTCTCTTTTTCTTGGTTTTTAAAAATTAAAGTTTTAATTTTAGAACAGTTTTAGATTTACAGAGAAGTTGCAAAGATAGCACAGAGAGTTCTCAAATACCCTATCCCTATCTTTCTTGCTTTTTGACCGAAGTTGTATTTCTACTTTTCCTAGATTGGCAGAGTTTCCTGGCTAAGAAAGCAAAGTTACAGCACCTAACACAAATAGTATTTGATTAAGGCTAATTACAGTGCTGTCACATAAAAAGGGGAGAAAAGAAAGCTGGCTTTTTCTACCAGCAATGAAATAACCTGCTGTCTATCTACTGACTTAATAGCTTTAATTGCCAGAACATAATCAAGATCTGGTGAATTTGTTTGAACATATCAGCAGGCACCAAATATTTCAATGAGATCAAGTTGTCTAACTAGTTATGCTCTAACTTGAGCTGAAATAGCTCTGACAAAGTGAGTTTTGTAGGCTAAACGGCAACACCTATTGAGAAAGGCCCACTGATATGATGAGTTGATTTATTAACTCTCTGGACAGAGAAAGTTATAGGTTTAACATCACCACTTTAGATAAGCCATAACCCTCTAAAGTGTCTAACTTTAAAAAAAAAAAACAAAAACAGGATCTCACCCTGTTGCCCAGGCTGGAATGCGGTGGCATGATCTTGGCTCACTGCAGCCTTGACCTCCTGGGCTCAAGCAATCCTCCCACCTGAGCCTCCAGCCTCTCAAGTAGCTGGGACCACAGGCACATGCCACCATGCCCACCTAATTTTTTGTATTTTTTTATAGAGACAGAGTTTTGCCATGTTTCCCAGGCTGGTCTTGAACTCCTGAGCCCAAGTGATCCACCTGCCTCAACCTCCCAAAGTGCTGGGATTACAAGTGTGAGCCACCGTGCCCGGCTTTGTGTCTTAGTTCTCATGATGCATTAGGTTAGGAATGTACTTATACTTTATTTGGAGACTCATTTTACTTCCTGTTTATTGAAAACTTTTTTCCAAAGAGTGACATAACCAAATATGGGCATTTCCTTTAACAAACTTTGTAAATACTCTTCAGATCATCAGTAAGGAAGTCACACGTGAAAACAGCCATTCTTCTACATTTTATTGTATTCTACTTTCTGGCTCATAGGAATGCGGAACTAGAAATCCAGGCACATCTAAAACAGTCTGTCCCCAGGAAGTGAACCTAACAAATGACTTCCAAAAAGGGGGGCCCACAACAGGCTCATTGTGGGACCTTGCCAGGATGATGGAATTGACTGGGTCCTCCCCCATTCTGTTTCGACTCCAGGATAATCTAATGGAACGTATTTGTTGGTAGTTGAGTGTGTATACCCTTGAGCTTTTTGAAAACATCTGGTGTTCAGGTGAAAACACCTCTTTCTGTGGAAAAGTAGGAATAATTTGTTCTCTATTTAGTAATCATTGAATTCCTCGAAGGAGTTCAAACTCTTAACAAACAAAAGCATCCAGTCAAAATAATCTCAAAAGAAGATAACTGCAGGTGATGTTTTTAGTAGCTTTGAGAAACAGGCAAAATTGCAGAGGCAAGAAGAAAACACAGCTTAGAGCCCCCATGTTGTTTCCCCAGAGAGGCCACCTCTTCAGGGAGGATGGCTAGTGCTTCTTAGCTGGTAGTGCAGTCGAGAGGTGGTCGTTACCTGCAAACCCAGATCTTTTGCCAGACTGGAACCAGTGACGTAAGCACATCTGAGAAGGCTCCATGCACCCAACAGAGCTATCTCCTGGGTCTTGACTTGAGGCTGACTGACACCTGTGGCTCCTTTTGAACTCAAGTCACCTGGGTTACTGTTGACAGAGACTTGAGGAAAAGGACTTGGGCTAAAGAACATTTGCCTCATTTTTTTTTTCTCTTCCTTCTTTCTTAGCCAGGATTATCTTGACCTATTTGCCACCAGGTTTTCCTCACAGGTCCAAAGTTAAGCAGTGGCTTCTAGGAAGCAGCTGTGGGACTCCGCTCTTTCTGCCGATTTTCAGATGTGCAGAAAAGCTAAGGATGTCAGGAGGACCCTGGGAAGGAACAGAAGTCTGGGGATTTTGCTTTTCAAGTTCCTGCTGTTAATTTTTCCCCCATTTTCCTTTGCCTCATCTACTAACTCTTTGAGGCTTAAGAGACCCAAAGAGAAGTTTGTCCTAATTTTAAACTTGCCTCTGTGGCTGCCCTGTAATTTTCATCCCACAGCCTAAATTGGAACGTGTCTCCATAGGTTGGGCTCAGAACATCTCTTTCTGTGAAGCTTTACCAACCTACCCTTGGTATAGCAGAGGAGCTCCAGCATAAAATCCAGGATTCTGTTTTTCTCTGAAGACCACCATGGGAAGAGCTTTGTCCAATTTTAAAAGGTAGTGAGGGAGAAGGGGCAAATGCAATGCTGAAGCCAATTATCTTTTAAAACAGACACATTTCAGCAGAGTGCACAGGACAGAATGTTCATATTCCTTCTTTGACACAATGAAATTCGAGAATTTTCTATTGAGATGATCCAAGCAAGATTCTTATTCTCTGTGTACTTCCAAGATTCAAGCTATGTCCTTTGTCATGAAGATCATGTAACTCCCTCATTTTCTGTAAAACCCAGCTCCATACCTTCCTCCCCCAATGTAGGGTTTCTGGAATGACCTCAAACCATCACGAGCTTTCCTTTCCTCTGAATTTCTAGGACAAGCATGTACTTGGATCTCTGTGGTTCTCTCCAGCTAAATGATAGTCTCTGCTTTTCAATTTGTCTGTGTCTATGACATGCCAGGCACAGGGTAGGGTATAGAACATGATCCTAGTGAATAGTTTTTTAATTAATGAATTCATTGTTATCTCCTGTAATGATCTAAAAGTCAAGAATTTCCTTACCCTTTTAATCATGGGTACTAATGACCTTAAAAAGTTCTACTTGCATTAGAAAAATGGAATATTTATACTTGTTATACATAAATCTGCCCCTCAAACAAAAGATACATTTATATTTCACTAGCAGCATGGAAGAAATCAGCAGTCATGATCCCAGATAGTTCTTTCCTCAATACCGTCAATGTTTTCCCAGATTAGTCCATTATAGGTAAGCTGTTCACTTCCTTCAGGACCCAGAGTGCCCCGGAAACTTCAATACCTGCCACTCGCTGAGGCGGAAAAGGCTCACATGCTCATTAAAACTGCTGCTGGCCAGTTTTTGTTTGTTTGTTTGTTTTTTAATTCCATGAGCACACCTGAAATCTCACCTTGAAAGCAGCTTTCTTTTCTGCCATAGAGCAGTACCCAGTATGAAGCAGATATGTCTTGAAACATTTCCAAGGCATTTTAAGAACTAAAGTGCTATGGAAGCCTTGGAATAAGGATTTCTGCCTGAAAGCCCCCATAGTCTGAATTCCATGGATGCAGAATCAAGACGGTTAGGAAAGGTCCACACTCCATGCCTGTTCCTTGAACGCACTGATCTATGGGCTACCTGGTTTTTACAGGTAGATGTCAAGAACTGTGAGAGCTCTGAGATTTTACCCCACTTACAAGCTACTCAGTTAACTGCCTTTCTTCATCTAGGAGATTTCAATAAAATGCTTTAGTTCTTTCTCCAGAAAAGACATATCAGTTAAACTAATGTGGTTGGTGAGAGCAGGTAGTTATAATCTGATGCCCAAAAGACCACGCTCCTTGATTCAGTCTCAACACAGACTAGTGAGCCCCACCTAGAAAAAATGGTCTCAGAACTGCAAATCCCATCCCTCACCCAGGATAGCCATTTTACAAAAGTATGCCACTGGTAGCAAGAAAAATCAACAAAGAACAATGGATGTGCTGGCATGAGTCCAATACTATTGCAAGAATAACAATGCAAGCACAAGCTCTACGAAGTAATTAGTATCATTGTCCTATGTGTGAAGGACAATAGAGTATTATTATCATTTTGGTCCTGATATTAGTAGTTTTCTGAAGGCCTGAAAACGGATAAGTACTTCAGACTCATTAAAACAAAATGGGGGTGGAGTTCTATGGACCACAGACGTAGCACAAAATTCAAGACCTGAACGTGAAGATAGGCATCAATCTGGCTCTGGTTTCTTGCATAAGTGACTCTCTTGACATGCCCCAAATTTGCCAGATCTGCTTCTTCTAGGATCACTAATGTCCTGCTTCAATGCCACCTCTCTCATGGAGCATTTCCCAGTCTTCCCCCTGGCAGAAGTCTATTCCTCTTCTGAGTAGGGTTTGGGCTCTGGCAATTGTAACTGTACACCGAACCTTTTAGCTTTATGAGTGCACTATCTGTCTCATCTTTCCTGCTAGACTATGAATTCTTGAGAATAGAAACTCTGCCATATTCATGTAGGTATCCTCCACACTGTCTTTTGAACATAGGTTACACTCAATAAATATTTATTGAAAGAATAAATGAATGAATGATGACAGAATTCAGAGAGAGGTACAGCATCTCTGGAATGTCAGCAGGAGTACCTCATCTAAACATTCTCCATATAAGATGGTCCACATGAAACACCCAGCAAGGAGGGTAGCCAGAAACACAAAAAAGAGGAAATGGATAAATGAAGACATTCATAAATAAAGAGTGATAACGTCCTTAGACTCTACTGTGTCTGGGTCAGCTCATAGAATCCCTTATCTTCATTTTATTTTTGTTATCAAGGATGGGTATTGTTTGTGGAATTCACTCAGGAAAACTTAGTAATTTTCCAACATAGTTAATATTCAGATATGAAAAATCTCTTACAGTTTAAATGGTGAATAGATGCTAATTTATACATATATACTTATGCTCAGAATGCCTAATTAATGATCTTCTGTGTCAGTCACGGATATGTTAATGAGCTTCTTTTGCTCCTGTGTCATAATTGCATTGCTCCTATCTAGCTTAAGGTTGGGGGAACATTTTAGCTGTGGACTAGCAAATGATGCAAAATAACAACAAAACAACTAATAATTATTTGGTGCTTCATAAGTTTTGGAAATGGGGAAGTAAATGATCATAATAATTTAGAGTGAGAAGATGTAAAGACAGCCAAAGAAAAAGCAGTTGGCTACTTTCATAGTAACTCTCCGTTTGTTGGGTATAAAAAGATTTGCTTGATGTGCAGGACTGTCATTCTTTGGTCCAAACACTGGATTCACCATCTTTCTAACACTGTAAACACTAAGGCTCTGTGATAAAGGGAACTCTACCAACAGGCATTATCCTGTATTTAGATGGGTTGTTTTTCTCAGGAACCAGAGGTACCAGCTTCTAAATACGTCCCATGGTCTTTGTTTCCTCTGCCTTCTTAATACATTTTGTTTTCTTCCCCAAACTCATGCTTATTTTCAGCCACAAACTTTCACACTTTAGTCTAGCAGAGCCTGGTTGGATTTGATTCCTAACTTGCTGCATTTTGGCTTTGTGACTTTGGGCAAGTTAATCAACCTCTCTGAGCCTCTGCTTCGTCACCTGTAAAATGGAGTAAGAATGCCAATCATGTTAGAACAGATATCAGGATTAAGAGAGTTAATGTGGCTAAAGCCCATTGCAAGGTATCTAGCAGGTGACAGAATTGCTCCCATTTTCCTTCCGTTTTCTGTTTCTTCCTTAGAAATGGAGTGGTTAAGACCACAGCATCTGAAAGTAGACTGGGCCTAACTCCTGTTTCTGCCATATTCCAGCTGTGTGACGTTGGACAAGTTGCTCAGCCTTGCTATGCATCAGTTCCTTGAGATATAAAATGTCACTTCTTGACATTTAGTAAGTGTGCAAAAAAAGCCAACTATTAATATCTAGCAAGCTAAGCAGCTGGGTGAAAATGGACTGCTAGCAAATCAGTGTGTGTGGATTGGTGTCATCTGTTCTAAGGGTCAGGAAGCCCTTCTCCTGGGTTCGAAGCAGAGTGTCTCGACCTTTTGTCAGGGACAGCAGGGAACACAAGCCCTTGCCCTACTTCTAGATCTGTGTGGAGGCCATTTCTGCTATTTCTCCTTTCCTGTGTGGAGAAATCTGTTTTCTCTGTGAAAGAAACACAAGAATAGATTGGTACGACCTCTCCTGAATGTATATCGCTCCCCATCGCTTTGTGCAGGGGTGGAGTCTGGAATGCCCAATCTCTCTGTTCCTTCCTCCCTCTCCCACTCTGACAGGCTGTGGGAGGAATAAAGGGCTTTGTGCCAAACCTTTCATTCGGGGACTCTATTTTTCCTTTCTTTTTATGCCAAAGGCAAATAGTTGAGTTTGCTTGTTGGAAGTGAGGCTTCTGAAATCATTCAGCTAGCCCTGACATTTTAAAGATTACAAATTATTCTCCAAGTGGTATCAGAATTTGATTTTACATGATCCTTATCTATCACTGAAATGTATTGCTCGACTTTTTAAGAACGATGAAGCAATGAATTCTAATAACTGACCCCAAAGAAGCAGTGAAATTTAGCCCCTTTTCTCCAGCTACATCCACAGCAATAATGCTAGTATTTTACATCTAGAGTTGACTTACAGATTTCAAAACACTTCCAGAAAAACTCATTTGATCCTCTCATATCCGTGAATGGTAGACATGCCAGAAATTATTGTTCCCATTTTACAGTCAAAAAACCTGAAGCTCAGAAAGATTAAGTGACTTGTCTACCAATTATATAAGTAGCAAGTCCAGTATTCTGAGTAGAATTCAGAGATTTCAAACCAGTTGCTTTGCATTAGAAAAGGTAAGGTTGTGCCACAGTAACAAATCTACCCTCCTCTAGCTCCCTTCTTGATTTCACTGGCTTAAGTACAGCCAAATATTCCCTCTATATTTCCAATTCACGTTCGTAGGGGAAGAGTGGGGAGGCTGTGCTCCACCTAGGCACTCAGGGGCCCAGGCTGACAGAAGCTCCACTATGTTATGTGACCTCCATGTTTGGTGCAGCCTGGTAAGGGAATACAGAGAACTCACAGCAGCTCTTTCTCATGGGCTATTGGCCAGACTAGTAACATGACTCCCAGTTAACTACCTGAGAGCCTAGCAAGTCTTCCCACATGCTCAGAAAAGGAGGAGAACCAGCTACCATGAGCTCCAGAAATCCCCATCACAGGCTTTTAGGTGGTCCATTTAAAGAGACTGTGTAATGCATGGGACCCATTTGGAATTAAGCACATTTCATAATAAAATTGCAGCCAGAGCATTTCATTTTTTTGAGAATGATGAAAAAAGAGAAAACAAATGTAAGTAGCACTTGATACATGAGTCAGTTGTTAAAAAGAAGAAAGAAACAATTGTAATCACAGTAGATCATGTTCACCTTATCCTTTTTGGACCTGACCTTTTAAAATTTGGGGTTTCTTCCAAAAGATGACTGGAAAACTTAGGATTTAAATTGAATACCTCTATCCCTTCTCTCCCTAATCTGTTGTACAGAGAAACTTTTAGATTAAAAAAAAAAGTAAAGTTTTCCTTAGAAAACATCAGGTTTGCTCCTAAGATATTTTAAAAATTTAGCAAATCAACCTAAAGTTTTATTATCCACTCAGTTTATTTCCCAGGGAATAAGCATCTATTTAGTTTCCCTTTTCTCTATTTTTGGATAATTGATGTAGAAAAAATTTGCAATCAGGGACTCTGAGTAACATTGAGGGGTTGGGGTTGGATGGCCTTTTAGTCCCAAAGATCTTAGAATATTCAGAGATAAAGACTAGACCTGCAAGCTGAGCAGAAAATAGAACTGTCCAGGGCCAGCCTAAGACTCCTTAAGACATTTCTCCTGCTTTTAAAAAAATGGTAGATGTTAGCTTTCTTTCCCATTATTATTATCATTATCGCTTCTTTTATTATTATCATTGTTATTCTTTAATTTTTAAAAATTTTTATCGATACATTATTTTTGTATATATTTATGGTATACAGGTACTATTTGGTTACATGCATAAACTACGTTATGATCACATCAGAGTATTTGGGTAATGACATGTGCCTGTAATCCCAGATACTCGAAAGGCTGAGAAGGGAGGATTCCTCGAGCCTAGTAGTTTGAGACCAGCCTGGGCAATGTAGTGAGACCCCATCTCAAAAAAACAAAAATAAAGACACTTCTTACGCAAAGTGAATCTCTTGCATCCACCCCCGTTCCATAAAGCAGTCTGCCATAGACCAGTTGCTGCCTGGATTTCCTTGTGTTTGAGCTGCCTTGGCTCCAGCCTCTGGACTCACCTTAATGCAGGGCTTCCCTTATGGCTTATTCCCCACTCCGTGCATTCTGGAAGCAGCTGTACTTGTCATGGGTGGAAGACCCACTGATGCGGACTCCCTGCTAAACACCTAGCAACACAGCAGAAATTCTGACAAAGGTGTTCCACGGAAACACAGACATGTTTTCTATCCCACCTTTTCTTTTTAAAATGAAGTATTTTTGATAAAGTGAATTTTAAAACACAAAATAGCAATCCCCAAAGCACAAGCTAACAATAGTAATTATAATCATAATTGGCACTTGTATATAATGTCATTTTGCAGGGGGTTCAGCCATTTTCACAGGCATCACCTAGTCTCAGCAGACACGTTTGAGTTTCCTAGGTCGTAAATCTCATTGTCTGTATTCTAAGGATATAAAATATGAAAGTGAAGCAACTTATCCAAGGTGGCAGGGAGGACACATGGACAAATGAGAACAGGGTTTCTCAAGTGTGCCTGAGCACAAGAGTCAACTGACACTTGTGAACAATTTGGTTTCCTGAGCTCCACCTCAGAACTACTGAATTAGAATTTTCAGGAAAGATGCCCAAGAATCCTTTTTATGAAGGTGTGTGGTTGACTTGTGGTACCTACATTTAGGAATAAATTGATCTAATAGAAGAAGCAACCCCTGACTCCTCTCTGCTATCAGCCTCCTGTCGCCGTTGGAATGAAAGGAGAGTCTCTAAGAGCATGAGAAAGTTAACCCCAAGAATTCAGATGCAGTATAGGAATAGCAGCTACTGCTACCCCTCCCTTGAGTTTTCAAAGAAAGTACACTTTTATGTATTTTTAAATGTCAACACTTTGTACCACTGGTTTCGAAAAAGGCCCTGGGGACTAGTAGTAGTGTGCATAAGCATTCTCCTGCTGATCTAAAAACTGGATTCTTTTAGAACTTGTGTTTTGTTTTCTTTTTTATGAGACGGAGTCTCGCTCTATCACCCAGGCTGGAGTACATTGGCGCCATCTCAGCTCACTGTAGCCTCCCAGGTTCAGCAATTCTCCTGCCTCAGCCTCCTGAGTAGCTGGGATTACAGGCACCTGCCACCATGCCGTGCTAATTTTTGTATTTTTAGTAGAGATGGAGTTTCACCATGTTGGCCAGTCTGGTCTGAAACTCCTGACCTCAAGTGATCCACCCGCCTCAGCCTCTCAAATTGTTAGGATTATAGGCATGAGCCACCGCACAAAGTTGTTTCATTAAATGTAACTTTTGAGCGGTTAACATATGCCTACGATACAAATTCAAAAGGCTAAAAACAAAATACGGTGAGAGATAAATCTCTTTTCTACCCCTTTCTTCCTGTCTCCTAGTTTCCTTCCCCAAAGGCACCCACTGTTACTATTTTCTAGCGTTTTCTTCCAGAGACGTCTCAAGCATATAGAAGTGTATATGTAGGCACATTCTTTTTTAAAAACCCAAATAATAGCATACCACGTTTAACATCTATGTCATTGTGCCTAATTAATAATTTCCCTCTGACATCACTTAGTGATTTTGTGCAGTTAAAATAACTTTTGTGATAGAGAAACCCTGAAATCCCCAGTGACCTCAAATATGAGTTTTTTTCTCTGTCATCCAACAGTCCAAATCCAGGCATTTTTTGGACAGGCAGCGAGCTCCTTCCACCTTGTAGCTCCTCCACGGATCTTGGAATCTTTTGCTTCCAGCTGGTTGGTGAGAAAAGAGATAGCCTAGGGGATTTGGGGGAGTCCTGACTTTAATGTGCCAAGCCAGGTTTTTATGGGCCAAGCCTAGAAATGGCACACATCATTTCTGTCCACAGTCTTTTGTCAAGAACTAAGTCATATATCCCCTTCTAGAGCAAGAGGAGGTGGGAAATGCAGTCCTTGGCTGGGCAGCCACTCACCAGCATCAAATTTACACAGCTGAAAGGGTGCAGACATCTTTGGTGGGCCACTAGCCATTTCTGCTGCAATTTTTATTCCCCCCAAATGTACTTGGTTTTGTTTTTTTTTAACTGCAGTGGATGGGATTTTGTTTTCCTCTTGGCACATGTGAGGACAGTCCGAGGTTGGTAGGGATTTTTACACCCCAGGTGTGGTCTATAAACTGCAGAGTTTGAGAAGCACTATTTTACGCAGGAGGCCAAACATTAAGTTCAGCTTTTGTCCCTGCTCATGTGTAACCCCAGGTCCCAGAACTGCCCCACTGCATATCTCTGGACAGAGAGACCCCCTGCCTACCTGATCACTTCATACATTGAACCACCTCGAACTAAATAACTTCCCTATTATCTAACCCAGATAGAGCCAAGAAAAGAGGGATTCCAGAATCCCCAACTCACAGTCTGCCTATAAAGCATTATAGTGATATTATAATGGCCCTTCTTTTTGTTTGTTTGTCTTTTGAGATGGAGTTTCGCTTTTGTCCCTTAGGCTGGAGTGCAATGGCACGATCTCGGCTCACTGCAGCCTCTGCCTCCTGGGTTCAAGCGATTCTCCTGCCTCAGCCTCTGAAGTAGCTGGGATCACAGGCACCCGCCGCTACACACGGCTAATTTTTTGTATTTTTAGTAGAGACAGGGTTTCACCATGGCGGCCAGGCTGGTCTCAAACTCCTGACCTCAAGTGATCTGCCCGCTTCAGCCTCCCAAAGTGTTAGGATTACAGGTGTGAGCCACTGCACGCAGCCTAATAGCCCTTCGTAAGCTTTAATTTAATGGCTCCATCCTTCTTCACCCCTTGGCCCCCCTTAATACTAGACTTGCTACCCAGAAATTTTCTGGGATCTTTTTTTGCTTACCAAACTTTCCTGCTACTGGAGACAAAAAAAAAAAAAGAACAAAAACAAATTAGCAATGTAAAGAACATTTGTTGAGTTCAGTGTTGGAGAGAGCAGTTCACAGAGCTGCCGAGAAGCCACAGCTGACCCTTTCCTCTCTCCTCTTGGTAGGAGCCAGCTGCAAGGAGAGGGACCTAAGGTGGTAGAGGGAATGGCTCCCTCCTCCACAGCTCTGCATGCGTCAGCCCCCAAAATAGAAATGCGGGGACCAAGTTGTGATGGCAGGGAAACAGCAGAAAGAGGTGAGGCTGCCTGTGCTCCCTGCCCTCCAGGCCTCCACAGGCCAACCTGTGACCTCACTGGTGGGCCTCCAGAAGCAGGGAAAGACAGAGGCCCAGCATCACCTTTCCATTTCCGCATTTGTTTTCTCTTCCTTGCTGGTGTGCATTGACTCTGTGGTCACTGTTCTCCATGTCAGCACATTCAAAATTGCTGACTGTCAACACTGAAGGCAGCGTGGCTGCTACTGAAGAAGCCACAAGGAAAACAGCTTTGGGCAATGGTGGATGTTCTTGGTGTGACACATTTCTAGCTCCCAGCACAGGCCCTTTACAAAGAACAGGGCTTTGTGGTTTGGGTAGGATGGGGAGAAAGAAAGAGGGAGGGAGAGAGAGAAGGAGGCTTGGCTTGTTGAGATCTTTTGTTAAGGAAATAAATATTGGTTTCCTAGAATTTGAACAGCTGAAATGGGAGATTGGCAGTAAGCAAAATGTGATTGTAACAATCAAACCCACGTGCAGACAGAAGTTGGGAGTCATTAGGGCAATGAGGTTGTTCTTCACGATCTTGGGAGGAAAGAAAAGGTGACCAAAATGCCATTTAGTAACCCGATGGCCTCTTCAAGCCCTTCAGGCTGGCCCAGAGCTGCAGGCAAAGCTTTGATGGTGTGGGTGGTGCTGTTCCCTTGGGCAGAGCTTGGCTGGAGGACTCTTAGCAGGGTGGCCGCAAGTCTCTGGGGCCCCTACTTGGGGACTTACACAGACCAGGCTGTATGTCTTTGTAGCTTGTCAAACCACAACTATTCACAGAAGGCGTGTGGTTTAGAATCTACCACAGTCAAACCCGGGAGAATGTGTTACCCAGTTCCAGAAAGGTTGCTAGTTTGTGTGCTGTAATGGAAAGTGGCCAACTTTATCTTTTCTTATAAGAACTACAATGGGCAATCAGGATGGAGGCTTGATCTACAGGACTCTCTACTGAGGGTCTCCTGTGAAAAAGGTGATAGGAGGGAGGTGCTGGTTGTATTAATCAGAGTCCTCTAGAGACAGAACAAATAGAGGATAAAGAGAGAATTCATTTTAAAGAACTGGCTTATTTGACTGTGGGGGCTGGCAAGTCCAAAATCTGTAGACCAGACTACCAGGCTAGAAATTCAAGTTAAGAGTTAATATTGGCCAGGCATGGTGGCTCATGCCTGTAATCCCAGCACTTTGGGAGACCAAGGCAGGCAGATCACGAGGTCAGGAGTTTGAGACCAGCCTGGCCAGCATGGTGAAACCCCGTCTCTACTAAAAATACAAAAAATTAGCCGGGCATGGTGGTGTGCATCTGTAATCCCAGCTACTCAGGAAGCTGAGGCAGGAGAATTGCTTGAACCTGGGAGGCGGAGGTTGCAGTGAGCTGAGATCACACCACTGCACTCCAGCCTGGGCAACAGATCAAGACTGTCTCCAAAAAAAAATCGTTAATATTGCAGTCTTGAGTCCAAAATCTGCAGGCTGGAAGCATAGGCAGGTTTTCTGTGTTGCAGTCCGAAGGCAGAATGCTGCTTCTTTGGGAAACCTGTCTTTGCTCTTCAGGTGTTCAACTCACTGGATGAGGCCCACCTACATTATAGAGAGTAATCTGCTTTACCCAGAGTCTACTAATTTCAACGTTAATCACATCTAAAACTAGCCTTCCTAGCAACATCTATATTGGTATTTGACCAAACAACTGGACATCATAGCCCAGTCAAGTTAACAACTAAAATGAACCATCACATGAGGAATTCAAGGAAAGTAAAGGCATGAAAATGTCAAGCAGTTAACAATCTTGTCAAAAGGAATTTAAGACAACATTGATATTTTTAGGTTTCATATCTTGATAAATTTCATGTCAATTAAATTTGTGTTTGTAAATTAAAAGTACAACATAATATTCAGATTTCCATAGTATCAAATGATGGGTATTTCTTTAGAATAAAAGTTATGTTACAAGCCAGACTGTTTCAGTGACATGCTTCCTGGTTTTTTGTGACAGATTGTACGTGGCATAATCTCTGATCTAATGGGCATTCATTGGAAATAGTCTTTTTTATCTTGGTGTCAGAAGAATAGTACATGGGCTATCACAGAGCACTGAAAGAGTGGGAGTTCAATTCCTGATACCGCTTCTATCTTATGATAAGAGTCTGAGACTAATTAATTTCTACTACTGGCCGGGTGTGGTGGCTCACGCCTGTAATCCCAGCACTTTGGGAGGCCAAGGCAGGCGGATCACGAGGTCAAGATACCAAGACCATCCTGGACAACATGGTGAAACCCCATCTCTAGGAAAATACAAAAAAATTAGCTGGGTGTCGTGCCGCGTGCCTGTAGTCCCAGCTACTAGGGAGGCTGAGGCAGGGGAATTTCTTGAACCCAGGAGGCGGAGGTTGCAGTGAGCCGAGATCGCGCCACTGCACTCCAGCCTGGCAACAGAGCAAGACTCTGTCTCAAAAAACAAAAAAAGAAAAAAAAAATTTCTACTACCACTTTTGTATTTTAGAAGCATGTCAATAAGGCGTAGAGGCTGCATGGCCATAGGGAAGAGCTTACCCCTGGAGTGAGACTGCCTGTGTTCACATCCCAACTCTGGCACTACTAGTGTATTACCTCTCTTACCTGTGCCTCGGTTTTCTCACACGTACAATGGGGATGATAGTTTCTACCTTACAGGGATCTTGTGAGGTTTAATTGTATTAATATACGTGTCCATACATAGTGTCATGTAAGTGTTTGCTATTTTAACAATTACTGATGGATAATATGAAGAGATAGAGATAAAGTATGAGAAAAGGGTTGAGATGATTGAAGACAAGTTTTTAGAAATAGATTACACTTTGGAGCTTTGCTATAATTCAGTCCATGTTTGAGACCATTTCTAGTGTCATCCTTTAGGGAATTCGGTTCATAATCCTCTTACATGAATTGAAACCAAGATGGAGCCTCCTTACATCAAATTCTGCACTGTAGTTAATAGTGTCATGGAGAATTTCCAGAGTATTAATAATGAGCTAATACACCTATGAATGTTAAATGTCTTGGAAGCAGTTTCCTGATGAGAAAATAGCAGATGTGGCAATGGCCATGGTCTAATTGCCCAAGAGGCAGTTAAATATAGTTTTTAGTCCTTTTCAAAGCAGTTATTTGAAAGCTGAAATATTTTCCCTAAAGGCCCATCAACTGTTCTTAACAGTGAAATGAAGTATTTGGATAAAGCAAAAGTGCTCAGGAGTGTGTTTGCTTCCTGTAAATCTAATTTACCTTTGTAAATTGTTGGGTTTTTCCACATAGACTTTTGTTTTGTATATTTCCACGTTTGACTTTTTAGTGTAGAGTGGTAGTTTTTATTATTTATTTATTTATTTATTTATTTATTTATTTATTTTGAGATGGAGTCTCGCTCTTGTTGCCCAGACTGGCGTGCAATGGCGTGATCTTGGCCCACTGCAACCTACCCTCCCAGGTTCAAGCGATTCTCCTGCCTCAGCCTCCCGAGTAGCTGAGATTACAGGCATGCGCCCCCACACCTGGCTAATTTTGTATTTTTAGTAGAGACGGGGTTTCTCCATGTTGGTCAGGCTGGTCTCAAACTCCCAACCTCAGGTGATCCGCCCACCCCAGCATCCCAAAGTGCTGGGATTACAGGAGTGAGTCACCATGCCCAGCAAGTGGTAGCTTTTAGTGTTCTAGAAATCCTAATTGAGAATAATACTAGTTATTGTTTTGTTTTGTTTTGATTTTTGAGACGGAATCCTGCTGTCGAAACTGAGGCATAGAGAGATTAACTTGCTCCAGGATCACAGCAGGTAGCTAGATTCTAGATACACTTTACCACTAACCCCTAAATTAAAAGGTTAATTAAGCCCCATAAATTAAAATCAGCCCTCCTTTCTGCTAGGGACATGTGGGTGCTTTGCAAGGTGTGGATTGAGCTGCCCTCAGGTCTACAGTTCTTTTAATAAATAGGACAGAGTCCAATCCACCATGCTAGAAAATTGTAATTTTTGTAGCAGCATTGTTAGTGTTACATGAAACCAGACTTTCCCAGGTTCCTGGTGGCAGAGATGTGTGTATAGCTTCTCTTCCATGGACAAGTTTCATCTCTGGAGGCGATCAGGGCAGCCTGTGTAGAAGACTAAGACTTAGGAATTGGGCTGTGAATAGCTATCCATGTCCATTTAGCAAATACCACTTCGCTATTTTAAGAGCAAGAAGGAAAATGCCATTTAAATAGTGATTTAGACTTACAGGAAGGACAAGGCAAGGATAAAATCTACCGAAGATTTTAAGAAAATCTCCACCCTAAATAAAAATTGAAAGCAGTACAATTTTCATGTCTACTGTATGTGTATTTTCAGAAAGGGACTTTTTTATGCAAAGGACACACTGACATCAATGACTAATGTTAAAAAACAACAATTGGAAAGGTTGTGCAATGTGGAGATTCTTCCTCTATATTTAGAATAAAACTTTGTGTTTTTACTGTCAGGATGTGAGCTTAATTATAGCATGTTGCAAACTTTGCTTTTCTAAAGAGAGAGAGAGAGAGAGAGAGAGAGAGTGTGTGTGTGTGTGTGTGTGTGTGTGTGTGTGTGTGGCTTACTCTGCCTGGAGAAATTTGGGTGCTATTTTTGTTTTCCTTTTGAAACATCAAGGGTTGATATAAGGTAGTTTTAGAAGTGTAGTATTTCTTGACCCTCAATGAACTGATGACCTCCCTGAGGCCAGGAAGGATGTTTTATTCAGCTGTTTTAGCTTTTATATTTTATAATCATTATTTACATGAATAAAACCAAGGATGTCACCTGGGCTGTTTGGAAGGATTTCACTTTGATTTTTGTTTAAGCAATGCACAAATTATTCTTCTGGAGATAAAATTTTTTTCTGGCATGAAAACTTGCATTTAGAAAAAAATCTGTAATTATTCATTATATTATTCCCATAATTAGCAGTTATACGTTTGGTATAGTTATTTATTGACTATTCAGGAGTTACCTTTGTGCGTTTGTACATACCTGTGTGCTTAACAAAAAAAAAATTATTGCACTGAGATTATTCACATTGTCAGGCTCGTTATACAGACTGAACAGTATTTGGTTCTAGCTGTAAGTCCTTCATATCAACCATGAAAATTTGCTCAAGCCCACATTCCCTGAATCTGAGAGAATCACCCTAGATGGTTTGTGGAAATAATTAATAAACTTCATCTCACCTTCAAAAACGGCTATTATGAAACTGATGCATATATTATCTTTATCTTTAGCTTCTGAATATAAGATTTCATCACACCTTGCACACAGTAAGTTTTCCAATGTTACATATCTTGAATGATTAATGCAAAAGAAATCAAGGTGGAACTAAGATGAATTCTTTTACAAGCTCACATTTTGGGGCGATAGCGTTCACAAGGTTTGTTGGTATTTTCCATTCTGATTCTACCATCATACCATTTGGGGAAACTTAACATTTTCTCATTAGATGTCTGGTGCTAAAATAGAATGTAGTTAATCAGGACTGAGAAGGTGTGCAGTGCATACACTTATTAAGGAGCAATCCACTGGCTCCTTATTACAGCTATTAGTTCCCAGGCAACACCTTCCACCTTTTTTTGTTTGTTTCCTACAATGGCTTATTAAAAACCACTGCCTGAATAAATGCCTTCGTATGATGTACAAGGAAAGGTAGATGAAACTGCATTGGCAAAATCATGATCTGGAGGAATTAAGCATTTCAACAATTTAAATAAAATTTTAATTTGGTTTTATTATTCATGGGAAAAATACACATTGGACAAATTTATTAAATATCTATCCTATATCAGGCTGCTTAAAATCAGTGAAACAAAGTTTGTGAACCTAGTTTAAAGTTAACATGATTTATTAATATTTGAATATTTTCATGCAATTAAACCTTTGACTTTATAGCTGAAAGAATACAGTGTTGTGGAATATGCTGGCAGCTTGTCTGTGGTTTGGTTTTCATATTAAGTATAAATGTTTGGCTATTTGAAAAGAGGTATTGGCATCCAGCAGTAATCATTCCCTAATACCAAATATGAAACTTCCAGGTATAAGGATAAATCTTTTTTAAAAAAATAAAAATAAAAAATGTTTCTTAAAGTTTTAGACAGTCATATCAGTGTGTTGCTGGAAGTCATTTAAACATCTGAATTCATCAGAAGCACATAAAATGATAATTCAAAGAATCTGCAGAAATAGGAAGAGTTGTTTGCTTTGGAATAATTCAGTCTTAATTGAGAACCTATTATTTAAAAAAGAAGAGAAGCTCATTTTTACTTAATAGCCCAAGTAAATAAGGAGAAAAGGAAGGCTGGGAGAGTCAACAGACCTTATATCAGAACTTCCTGGAAACTGCCTTGGAGGGTTAGGGGGTGGAATTTTCCTTTTTAAAATGTTGTCTTTCATTGTTGGACATTTGGGTTGGTTCCAACTCTTTGCTATTGTGAATAATGCCGCAATAAACATACGTGTGCATGTGTCTTTATAGCAGCATGATTTATAGTCATTTGGGTATATACCCAGTAATGGGATGGCTGGGTCAAATGGTATTTCCAGTTCTAGATCCCTGAGGAATCGCCACACTGACTTCCACAATGGTTGAACTAGTTTACAGTCCCACCAACAGTGTAAAAGTGTTCCTATTTCTCCACATCCTCTCCAGCACCTGTTGTTTCCTGACTTTTTAATGATTGCCATTCTAACTGGTGTGAGATGGTATCTCATTGTGGTTTTGATTTGCATTTCTCTGATGGCCAGTGATGATGAGCATTTTTTCATGTGTTTTTTGGCTGCATAAATGTCTTCTTTTGAGAAGTGTCTGTTCATGTCCTTTGCCCACTTTTTGATGGGGTTGTTTGTTTTTTTCTTGTAAATTTGTTTGAGTTCATTGTAGATTCTGGATTAAGAAAATGTGGCACATATACACCATGGAATACTATGCAGCCATAAAAAATGATGAGTTCATGTCCTTTGTAGGGACATGGATGAAATTGGAAATCATCATTCTCAGTAAACTATCGCAAGAACAAAAAACCAAACACTGCATATTCTCACTCATAGGTGGGAATTGAACAATGAGATCACATGGACACAGGAAGGGGAATATCACACTCTGGGGACTGTGGTGGGATGGGGGGAAGGGGGAGGGATAGCATTGGGAGATATACCTAATGCTAGATGACGAGTTAGTGGGTGCAGCGCACCAGCATGGCACATGTATACATATGTAACTAACCTGCACAATGTGCACATGTACCTTAAAACTTAAAGTATAATAAAAAAAAAAATGTTGTCTTTAGGCCGGGCACGGTGGCTTATGCCTATAATCCCAGCACTTTGGGAGGCCGAGGCAGGTGGATCACTAGGTCAGCAGATCGAGACCATCCCAGCGAACATGGTGAAATCCCCTCTCTACTAAAATTACAAAATATTAGTCGGGTGTGGTGGCGCACGCCTGTAGTCCCAGCTACCTGGGAGGCTGAGGCAGGAGAATCGCTTGAACCCGGGAGGCGGAGGTTGCAGTGAGCTGAGATTGCACCGCTGCACTCCAGCCTGGGCGACAGAACAAGATTCCGTCTCAAAAAAAAAAAAAAAAAAAAAAAAGTTGTCTTTAGGCCCACAACCCAACCTTAAGTTACCATATTGTATTCCAGATGTTTTATAGTGGATAATCAACAGATCGTGTTATCAGAAAGGTGGTATTTAGCATACAAAATCTGCTACTGCAAGAGGATCTCCATTGTACATATTCCAAACAGGTAAATCCATGTACATTCAGTGTAGGCATTGAATTCAAGTTGATACACATCCAGGTTAAGAAGCAAACTCTTCATCCTGGTTCTTTCTATTTGCATTTTAGCCAAACATGATTATGAATGCAATCACTTGGATCCAGAGCTGGCCATTCTCTAGAATTCCAGGAATGCTGCAGTAAGCTTATCTTCTTAAGCCTAAACCAACCTCATGTGTGCCCATCCCCCATAACCCACCTCCCACCCTATGGCTCCAATTACATGGGCTTCTTATTCTTCTCTAGTACTCTGTTTGTTTCTTCTCTACTTCTTTTCTCTATTTTCAAATCGTAGACATTTTATTTTTCCAGCCTCTGGCCACTTGTGACCCCTCTCAAGTCTGTCTCCAGGCACCAACAACTGTGGGCCCTCTTTGTTCTTTTCCTGTCAATCGTGGCTGTCTTCACCAATATCTTGTTTTACATCTGTATGCTGTAAGGATTATGAACTTCATCTCTTCTGTAAGAGAAGCAGCATTCTCTTCTTCAAACTGAAATGATTAGAAGGGGGAGGCGCTATTCAAAACAATCCTATATTTTAAGTTTTTTATTTTGGAGGAATCTTTTTATTTTAGGTGAAACATTCTTTAAATTTTTGTCAGCACCCCCATTTCACATATATAAATGAAATAAATTTTGATCGTACATTTTTGTTTAAAATTATATGGCTTTTGTTGAACAAAAACATTCAAAATACAAATATATCTCTATAAACATTTTATCCTGCAAAAATGTAATATCAGTTGTTTTGAGTTATGATAGCTGTTCTAATAGAACAGAGCAGAAAATGTTGCCCAAATTAACCTGTCAACCTGAAAATGGTTTGTCTCTGTGTGATTTCACAGATATCTGCTTTATTTAGCTTTGGGGAATAAAAGGACCAAATCACGATTCAGTTTTCTAATGTAACTGTTCCAACATGTGTTTCTATATAGTTTACACATAAGAAATATACCTAATCATAGAAAAACTATAAATCTGAGTTGGTTATAATTAATATTAGGAGTATAGACAATAGGGACATAGTTTGGCAAAAAAAAAAAAAGTAATGAAATTATATCTTCTTGAAGGTTGATTTAAATCATCTTTCTGATGACTGATTTAAGTAATATACAGCCTAAAACAAAGGGGGCCGAGTGACCTCATGGCCATGTCATAGGGCAGTGGCTCTCAGATAAGATGTGTCTGCTCCAGTTCCTCTGGACAGTGTTATGTCCACATTAATCACAGAGAACTTACTGCAGTAATCACAAAGTGGTTCCAGGCCACATGTTTGTAGCAGGGCATAGGATAGAAAATAGCAAGGCGTCTGTCTACCCTGTGTTCATCAGCCTTAATGACATGACGCTGTAAGTGGGCATGGACTCCTAAATCTCTTAGCTGGGCTATTAATGTAATAAAATCTTCTGGGTTGTGTTCTTCTTGATATTATGGCTCTTTGTTCTGGTATTAAAGGATGTCTTCCTTCCTGCCTGCCTGCCTGCCTGCCTGCCTGCCTGCCTGCCTTCCCTCCCTCCCTCCGTCCTTCCTTCTTTCTTTCTTTTTGATGGAGTTTTGCTCTTATTGCCTAGGCTGGAGTATAGTGGCACGATCTTTGCTCACTGCAACCTCCGCCTCCCGGTTCAAGTGACTCTCCTGCCTCAGCCTCTGGAGTAGCTGGGATCACAGGCGCCTGCCACCATGCCCAGCTAATGTTTTTTATTTTTAGTAGGGACGGGGTTTCACCATGTTGCCCAGGCTGGTCTTGAACTCCTGACCTCTGGTGATCCATCCACCTCAGCCTCCCAAAAGGTTGGGATTATAGGTGTGAGCCATCGTGACCGGCTTGGTATTAAAGGTTTCTAATGTGAAGTAAGAGAAGATTGTGTAATTCCTTCAGTTATGTGTAATCCTGCTGAAATATAAGAGCATATTAGACCATCGGGCGCAAAGCTGATCATCACTGTCTTGCTCCTAACAAGGTTTAGCATGTATCAACCCCCTAAACACACACATGTACTCAACATATGCTTGCACACATACATGTACATTTTAGTTGATGTCTAGTCATTACTATCATTCTTACTGTCCCCAGAATTCTCCCCCAACCCTGAAAAAATCCACTACCAATACCACCACCACCACCACCACCACCAACAACAACAACAACAACACATTAGGGTTATTAACTTGGTATCCTAGTTTTGCGTACCAGAATTAGGCTACAACATGACCCTTAGGAAGACAACTTCTTAATAAACATAAGTACTCTTGAAAGCTATGTAACTAAAGCATTAACCTGTCTCTGCATGTTGATGACTTTGTTTCAGAAACTTACATTGATACACATCAGTGGATGAGTCCATGGATCATTTTGCAGAATTTGCATAATACCGTAAGAAAACCAAGATTAAACACATATAACTAAGGCTAGAAAGTCTTCCACCCTGAAAAGAATTTTCAAAGATAGTAAAAACATAATTTATTACCAAATTCCATAATCTGGGCAGTATGTGTTGCCAATAATGTACAGCTAAATCTAAAAAGAGAAAACAAGTTTTAAAAAGCAGCATGTTTTTATGAAAACTAACAGTACTAACTCATCATATTGAAACCCTAGACCAAATCTACATTGTAGGGTGAAGAACATTTGAACATTTTAATTTATGATTGTAAATTGAACGAACACAAATGAGAGATCCAACCCATTCATCAGCATCACTTGTGATCTATATTTAACATAGATTATAGGACAATATCATTAATAACAAAGTCTGAAAATTGAACCAACTCCTAAGTTACACAAGTGAATCTTAATCAACAGCAATTCCCTGGTATTATGTCTCCATGTGCTGGGACATGGAAAAATGCAGTGTGAGTTGCAGTCTGCTCTTAGAGTGAAGGGTGGTATGTGCCAGTTATTGCATCATGTTGTGTATGTGAAGAGGGATAAGTAATGGCATCCACATCAAATTATTCAGGAATTCAGTGTGCTATGGAGAAGCCAAGTGGGGTCCCAAGAAAGGGGTCTGGTTTTGAACATGAGTATCGGGGCTCATTCGTGAAGCAGCTAACACAGATTTTGGGAACAACTTGCTTCCTTTCTCAGCTTTCTTTGGCCTGGTCTAAAAGGTACCACATACTGTTTATTGAATGCCTTCTCTGTGCCAGCTGACTTTCTCATATTATTGCCAAAGTAGTCATAACAGAATTGAGGAATTATTATCCCTTTCTACTGGAGAGGAAACCAAGACTCAAAGCAATTAAACACCTTGTTGAAAGTCACATAACCAGGAAGTGAGTTCAGATTCCAATCAATCTTTAGGTGCCCTATTAAATCTTTACATAGTGTGCAGATATGACATAGATTGGGTAGGATACACGTAGAGAAAACAAGCTTCCCCAATACAAGTGTATAATAAATATAAATACTGTTCCTAGTGAGTTAACTGAAGCAACCACAAAGCAGTATTGGTGGTGAGGGTAGTGGAGAGGAGAAGAAAGGAAGACTGTAAGGATACACCTAAAAAACAATTTGAAACAATGTGAAAGAGCTATGGCAGCTGGAAAATTAGGGCACTGACAAATTATTTGGCATGTAGAGGTACAAAACTGGTTTCAACAAGTGTCTATTGGGCTGGACGCGGTGGCTCATTCCTGTAATCACAGCACTTTGGGAGGCCGAGGTGGACGAATCACAAGGTCAGGAGTTCGAGACCAGCCTGGCCAACATGGTGAAACACCGTCTCTACTAAAAATACAAAAAATTAGCTGGGTGTGGTGGCGGGCGCCTGTAATCCCAGCTATTCAGGAGCCTGAGGCAGGAGAATCGCTTGAATCGAGGAGGCGGAGGTTGCAGTGAGCCGAGATCGCGCCACTGCACTCCAGCCTGGATGATAGTGCGAGACTCCATCTCAAAAAAAAAAAAAAAAAAGCAAGTGCCTGTTGAGAACCTACTGTGCACAAAACACTGTACTATGCCTTGTTCAGAGACAGAGGAGGTATCCCGGCCCTCACGGAATGTATAGTTGAATGGAAAAAAGTCACAAATAACAATGTATTGGGAGCTATCATTGGAGATATTAACAAGGTGCTATGGAAGGACAGGAGACAAGAGATTAAATTTTAACAGCAAAGACCCCCTTGTTGAGAATAGGGTTTTGAGCTTGGATTTGGAGAATAGAGAGAGCTGACCAGGGGAGGTGGGGGATGAGAATGGGCGAAAAGGGCATTCTAGACACTGAGATCAGTAGGCAGAAAGAGACATGGTGGGAATCCAAGGAGTGCCCAGAAGATTGGGCCTCAGGCAGTAAACCAGAGACTTTTAGACTCTATTAGCCATGGGGAGCCATGGAAGATTTCTGAGCAACTTAATGACATCTAGAGTTGGACTCTAGAATGATAATTCTGATGCCTCTGTCAAGAATGAGGAGAAGTGAGAATAATTAAAAGGTTTTTGCAATAATAATTTATACAAGAGGTATGGGAACCTCAAGGTCTGTCGCAGTGTGAAAGGAAGAAGCACATACAATCATTAAAGAGGTAGCCTCAGATGAGATGTAGAGAATGAAGAACTGCAGAGTCAGTGATAACAGCTATAGGTCTTCTCAAATAGAGGTATCATGTGTTCCCGAAAGGAAAGAAATAAAGCTGTTTGTAGACCGCAGACTTAAATGAAAAGCCAGTCTTCACAGTGCGCAGAGCGGGGAAGGATGACTGGTCACTGAGCTGTCTTTAGACATATATGCATTAAGAGTTATAAAAAGTTATTAGCAGAATTGCATCTGGGAAAGACTATAGATTACCACACGTTGCATTAATTGGGTTTGTGTATATTCAAAGGTGATTGTGCACTGGGTAGGCACTATGCGTACTGTTCGTTGAACATAAAAATTAGTCTCGTTATTTTAATTACAATACATATAATATCCATATCTTTAAAACACCTTTATCAGGGAAAAAGTGGCCTCCATTGACTTGAATTATCCATTTTTTTAAATTTAGAGTTTTATCTTGATCCATTATGTAACCCTTGAGGCAAAATGAAGGTGTGCCATTTTTTCAGAATGCAGCAGGCTATTAAAAGAGTTCATCCTCTTTCATAACCACCATCACTCTACTCCCACAAGCCTATCAGATCTCATCACCCAGGCACTATTATGATATGTTATGTGCTGACATCGTATGGGTATTAGAATGTCATTGTGTTTTCTGATTGTCTGATCTAGAGGTGGCTTGAATGAGTGTAAAAAGCCTTACTAACTGATAGTAGGCCCAGGTTCTGGCCTTAGCCTGCCTCATACTGGCTTTGTGACCTTGAGCCAATCACTTCATGACTCTGGATCTTAGTGTCCTTTTCTGTAAACGGATGGAGTCAGGCTAGATGGTCGGTAGGGTCTCCCCGACTTGTAGGATACTCTGTGCGCTTGAGGCCCAGGGCTTAGCATTGCTGTTTCCTTTCTCCCAGTCCTTAGTATTGATCATCTACCCAAGAACTGAGAGCAGTTCAAAATGTTTGCTATTGTAATTTCAGAATATGTCATTGCTTATATTTTAAAATCTTTCTGCCTTGGGGGCCACTCATAGCCCTTGGTGCCCAGACTTAGTAGGGATGTAAATATATACACACTGGCATGGGAGGCAGGGAAAGTAGGAGCACTGGGTATATGGATCAAAGCAATGCTTTTACCTTGCAGACAGCCACTAAATCAGTGTTAGTCTTTTTAGCCTCAGAATACAGCAAGGGACATCGAGTGGAAGCCTGTGCATCTTGATCTCTCTGGTTTGTAAAATTTTGAAGTCTAGGAAAATTGCATGTAGGCAGGAAAGGTGTGATGTAATTTATGGATGTAGTTCTCCTAAATTCATAAGCAGAAAGCACATCTGTGTGCAGACAAGCCTAAGAAGAAGAGACACATTAGAGAAGGGCCACCAGAACTAGAGAAGGGACAGCCAAAAGTGGAGTTTCTGCATTTGTTGCCTCTGAGGGTAAGTAATAAATACCCTTTGCTGGCCAGGCGCAGTGGCTCATACCTGTATTCCCAGCACTTTGGGAGGCTGAGGCGGGCAGATCACTCGAGGCCAGGAGTTCAAGACCAGCCTAGCCAACATGGTAAAACCCCATCTCTACCAAAAAATACAAAAATTAGCCAAGTGTGGTGGTAGATGCCTGTAATCCCAGCTACTCGGGAGTCTGAGGCAAGAGAATCCCTTGAACCTGGGAGGCGGAGGTTGCAGTGAGCTGAGATTGCACCACCACACTATCCTGGGTGACAGAGCAAGACTCCATCTCAAAAAAAAAAAAAACTCCTTTGCTAGATCATTGTCTAGACCAGACTTTTGCCACTAACTCTTAATTCACTTTATGTCATCAATAATATGAAATCTTGTGGTGTTTTGTTGTTGTGCATTGAATCTATGAAAGAGGTTAAGAGTAAAGGATTTCATTATAGGTAACAACAATGCAATAATCACATTTCCATGAGGGGCAACATTCAATAAAATTATACAGATTTAATTCATTACTGAAAGAAAAGTATCACTATAAAACTTTTAATTTGAGTGTATCTTTTAGAAAATTTGGCTAGCAAGAAAGACAGGTTAGCAAATAGCACTATGAGCCCTCTCTTTTTTGAAAAACAAAAGTAAAAATTAGCAGATGTTTTCTGACTTATTTTGATGGGAATGTGATAGAGTTGTTTGACACTGGGTAGAAACTTGACTCTCCCTTGTTTTCATTATATAGCAAAATAAACTCCTGGCTCCTGAATTCAGCCTCTTGCCTCCCTTGAGCAAGATGAATTTCTAATGGCCTTGGTTCTTGAAAAGCTCTACTGAAGCCACGATTTAAATAGGACTTTCTTTCAGGGGGGTCACTTTTTAAACGCTATTTAAGTGGCTTTGTTGAGGAGTTGGGGGAAAAGATAAAGAGGAGGAGGTAAGGGCAAACAAAGATATCTCAGGTATTTTTTTCAACTTTTGTTGTTTTTTAGAGACAGGGTCTCACCATGTTACCCAGGCTGGAGTGCAATGGCTATTCACAGGTATGATCATAGCACATTGCAGCCTTGAACTCCTGGCCTCAAGTGATCCTCCTGCCTCGGCCTTCCAAGTAGGTGGAACTACAAGTGTGTGCACACACAAAAAAGAAGATATCTCAGAAAATTTCTGAATTATTTTAGAACAATATTGGTGAGCATGTAAATTGGTACAGCTATTATGAAGAACAGTATAGAGGTCCCTCAAAACATTAAAAAGAGAACTACCATGTGATCCAGCAATCCCACTTTGCTTCCGGATATGTATCTAAAGGAAATGTGTATGTCAAAAAGATGTTTGCACTCCTGTGTTAACTGCAGCATTATTCACAATAGCCAAGATATGAAATCAGCTTAAGTATCCATCGACTGATGAATGAATTTAAAAATGTGGTGTGTGTATGTGGCTGTGTGTTTATACACACATATAAACAATGGAATATTATTCAACCTCTAAAGAGAAGGAAATCCTGCAATTTGTGACAACATGGGGGAAGCAGGAGGACATTATGCTAAATGTAATAAGCCAAGCAGAGAAAGACAGATACTGCATGATATCATTTATATGTGGAATCTAACTCCGATAGAGTAGAATGATGGTTATCTGAGGCTGGGAGGCGGGGAAAATGAGGAGATGTTGGTCGAAGGGTACAAAGTTTCAGTTATGCTGGATAGATAAGTTCCAGGGATATAATGTACAATATGGTAACTACAGTCAGTAATACTGTATTGTATACTTGAAATTGCTGAGAGAGTAGACATTAATAGTTCTCAACACATAGAAAATAAATGGTAACTATGTGAGGTGATGGATATGTTAATTAGCTTGTGATAATTATTTTGCCATGTATACATATATCAAAACATCATGTTGTGCACCTTAAATGTATACAATTTTTATATGCCAATTATGCTTTAAAGAAGCTGGAAAAAATTAGCAGAAAGCACAAAAATAAATTATGAAAAATTTAAAAACTAAAACCCCACAACAAGCAAAAACCAAACCAAAAAAAAAAAACAAAAAAACCCTAGGAAAGCTGAAACACTTGAAACACTGAGAATAAGTGTTAGATAAAGGAAGCCCTATTTTTCCTCCAAGAAAGAACCCCAATATTTGATGTGATGGATTTATGATTTTACCAGGGAAGAGAAGGAGGGCAGGGAGTTGAGGGCTTATTAAGATACTGCCCAAGTAACTTCAGCTTGGTGAATATTAAGCTTACTGGGTATTGTTTGCAGAATATATTTTTATTGCTTAAATCTATTTCACGTATGTTATTTATTTATAACTTTAAAGATAATTCAATATATAAAACCTTCTCTGCTGAAACGTGGGTATTAATTTCCAAGCATCATTTATTGCACTTATGGCTGATGGATTGTTATGAGTCAGAACTAATAAACTTGTAAGGATTAATAGAATATCAGTCCGAAAAAAAAAAAAAAAAGAGGTGTCTTGATGGTTGCCATGTAACTGCATCTGCCTGGAAGGCTGAATTACATGAGAAGTCGGCTGTGTTCTGTGCCTTGCTGAGGAAGGGGGGTGATAGGCAGTAGGGGGAGAGCAGTAAAATGCATGATTAATACCTTCTAATTGAGTGGATATTGGCAGCCGTACGTTGCCCAAGACATTAAGTAGCTGGCAAACTGATACCTTTTGCTAAACATGGTTACACTCTCATGGAAGTGCCTGTTCTGTAGATTAGGCCAGGTGATGCTAAGGAAACCTGGCTTTGTTGAAACAAACCAGGCACAAGATTCAACAAGCAGAAAATTACTCTATGCCTTAGGGTTTATTTTCTCTCTGCAAAAAGAGAATCTTGCACTCCATGTATGTTACAAAGTGTTGTTAGGGCAAAGAGGTTTAGAAAAACAACATCAGCAACCCACCAGATTTCTTTGACATTTAGGGAAGAACACTTTAGTGGTTGAGTTTGGTTTTTTCCTTACTCCCTTGAGGAATACTCTTTAGGAAAAGCTGAAGTCCCTTAACTACACATGCTTTTAAAGTCAGGGGTGGAGACAGCCACATGGTTCATATTTGCCTTTCGATGGGGGTAGAAATAAGAAAGCCGAAGAGCCCCGTGGACGCCCTCACCCTCTTTCTGAGGGGGTGATGGAGAGAAGGCAGCCAGGAGCATCTGCTTCCTGATTAATGGAGAGTGACATCACCGCCGCATGCACAGCTGAAAACTCGGGTCAGGGTTGTTTTTTGCACATGTTAATCTGTATTTCCAGTTGAGAAGAGAATTGCCACATTTTCACACACCCTCTTATTTCCCTTTTATTTTTCTCCTTTTCCCTCCCTCCTCAACACTCACAAATATGCACATTCATGTTCACTCACACGCACACACACCCATAGTCGCACACACACCCATAGTCCCACACACTCTTACACACATTCACACATGCATAGTTATACATTCACATATTCATAAATACATACATCACACACAGACACACACATTCACACACACTCAGACATGCACTCACAAATATTCATAAACACATTCACACATGACATTCACACATACACGTATTCACACACATAGACACACACTCATTCACACATTCATATATTCACACATTGGCACACAAATTCACACACTTAGTGTCACACAGTCCCACACACATTCATATACACTCACATACTCATTCACATATAGTCACACATTCATAATCACATACACTCACAGATATACACATTCACACATATTCACATATAACAGTCACACTCATAATCCCATGCACTCAGACACACACTCGTTCACACACACCCCCACCCCATCCCTCTTCCTTTGGGACGCCTCTTCCCTGCTGTGCTACTCCTGGTTTTCAAACAAAGCCCCAGGCTGACCTCAGGAAGCGGAAGGGTTCTCTGGGTTACAAGCTGCCTGTTACTGTAATCATTTACTACACCTGAAGTTTGATTGGCCAAATTGGATTAATATTTAGCAGGCAGAAGCTGTCCTGACTGTGAACATCAAAGGAGTGTGACAGACTCCACCATGTTGCTGGCATCAGGCCCAAACAGCGTAGCCGCCCCACCAGCTTTACTCACTCCCAGGATGTAGGCCTTGAGAAGCCCAGAAAAAGACCTTTTTGTGGTGCTGTCTTGGTGAAAATTTGGAAATATTTAAGCAAATTCACGTGCATGAGAAGGAGGCTTTTCCGTGTAAAATGCATTACGTGTTGGATGTCTCCCCATCCTGCCCTGTCCCCACCCCTTGCTCCTATTTGGAAGATGGTTTGGGGTGTTTTCGTCTCTTGACAGCAAGTTACAGAGTAAGGAACAACAGCGCCCCAGTTTACCTCAAAGGACAAAGAGGTTGGCTCTAAGGATGCTCATGGGCGGGCCCTGAGTAGGAAGAGCCAACCAGGGAAAATATAGGGACAAACCACTCCCTCCAAGGGGCACAGGTTCCATCTATCATCTGTCTTACATGTGTGGCTATGCGTGTGTCCCTTTCTTTTCTTCCTTCCTTCCCCACTCTTTCCCTCCTTCCTTCCTTGCTTCCTTCTTTTCTCTTTCTTTCTTTCTCTCCACATCTCTGTCTCCTCATAGGAATTTCTTAGTTTCTTGGCTTTCGAATGTGACTCAACCCCTCCCTTGGCCTGTCTGTCTGCTGTGTCGCTTTTAGGTTCTGCTGCCACGGCTAACTATGTTTCCCTGTGTTTCCAGATAAACTTGTGAGGGTCAGAAGCTGACAGACCAAGCTCATTTTTCAAGCCAATCTGTGTCATACAGAGACCACGGGTTTTCCTTGGGTTGGGTCCTTCTACCTGGTTCAGTCAGCTGTGAACAAAACTTGTGGAATTTGGTCGTTTTCCTTAAAATGGAGATACGAGAGATCACCATGGCTGGCGTGAAACTAGTTCTGGATCTGATTGTCTTTTCAATTGTTTGTCCATCAGGTGAACCCACTCTGAAGGGACTTTTGGTAACATTTTCCCCAAAATAAAGATCATTAATTAATTATACTTATTTGAAATGTGTGGTGATTTTAGCTTTTTGGTTGATATCTCCTTGGACTAGCAAAGACTTGGTTCAAAGATAGTGTCTATTAGTATAGAGATAAATGATCTGTAAGGGGGGCATTTAAAACTCTTAACAAGCTGTTTTCCTGCTCCCCTCAAGCACTTTGGAAGCACTCATTTATATGTAAACAATCAATATGCTAATTGCAAATAAGCCTTATCTACTTATTAAAGCACTTAACTGACTCCAAGTCCCTGTTAACGAAGCAACACTTTGTTAACCTTAGTTTGAGGTACTGCATAATCTTGAGATCAATGAAACTTAGTTTCTTTGAAAGTATTTTATGTTTTTCCCCACATGATTACATCCTTCCATTCCAGTTAGTTCAAATTAGGTGACATAAAAAAATTCCAAGATATCAAAAAAAAAATCAAGATAACAAAAACAAAAGCTTATAAACCATCGAGGAACTAATGTAAAAAGTAAGCAATGAAAATCTGAGGAGAAAGTTACTGTCCCTGTTGTGAAAAATAAGAATTGAGTACCTTTTATTTGCATGATGTTTTTTCTTACAAAAATTTGGGCAAAGAAAGGCAGGCAAAAATACTATTCAAAGTAGTAAGCAAATCAAAAAATTATTTCTAAAGTACTTTTTTTTTTGAGACAGAGTTTTGTTCTTATCGCCCAGGCTGGAGTGCAGTGGCACCATCTCGGCTCACTGCAACCTCCGCCTCCCAGGTTCAAGCAATTCTCCTCCCTCAGCCTCCCGAGTAGCTGGGATTACAGGTGCCAGCCATCATGCCCAACTAATTTTTGTATTTTTTTTTTTTTTAGTAGAGACGGCGTTTCACCATGTTCGTCAGGCTGGTCTTGAACTCCTGACCTCAGGTGACCCGCCCGTCTGGGCCTCCCAAAGTGGTGGGATTACAGGCGTGAGCCACCGAGCCAGGCTTATTTCTAAAGTACTTTTACAAAGTTCTTTTTATTCTGCAGAAGGGGAGATTACGGAAGGAGACTGCACAGGAGGATTGTTGAGCCTGGGGCAGAAGTTTAGGCAGAAGGAAGACAAAGGCTTCTGATGAAGAGGATGCAGTCCATCCTAAACTAGTGTCAGGAACTTTATTATAGTAGAAAAAATTAGAGGATACGATCCAGAACATCAGACATCGTATTAAAGCATAAAAACCTAATTAAATATTACCTAAAATAACATGGAGTAGAAAGCATTTTAATACATCCCTGCAATTTTTAGACGGTACAAGGTAAGAGGAAGAAATGACAGCAGGAACCCTGTCGTGTCCTAAGTGTGCTGGTTCATTTTAGTTGCAAGAACGATAGACTTGCTTGGGTTACCACATCTCTCATCAGTGAAGGTTTACGGAAGGATAAATGAGGTAGCCAGAAGAGGAACGTAAAAGGAAGAGCTGAACTGCAGAAGAGCGAGGCTGTGTGGCGCCTGGGACTTGGGGCTTGTTTTAATGCTCTGCTGGCGCTGTCTTGAGATTTTTTTATAATTTTTGATCAAGGGGCCCTGCATTTTCATTTCACACTGGGCTCACAAATTGTACAGTCAGTCCTGCTGCAACCAGAGGTTCCTTCCCAACAACTTGGGACACGAGCCATAACCTTAGGAGAAAGAAGAAAACACAGACTCTGCATTGCTTCTAATTCTTCTCCCCCACATCTGTTACCCCTTTTTTTTAGAGAACGAAAAATGTACCTATAGCAGTCTTTCTCATCTCTGTCAATATACAGAGCCTACTGGCCGAGCTTGAAATGCCTATAGCAATGACGGAGCCTTCAATTTCCTAACTAGAAGCTTAAAAAAAAAATCATGAAATCAGTTGGTAACATAAGAACTGAAGTAACCAACATACTAACATGAAACTAGTAAATAAGTACAGATGTCTAGTGTCACGTTACTCCTCATTTAAACATAAGAAAAAGGGACTACGAAGAGGGTACCTGAGAGCATAGAGACCAGGGAAAGTGGTGACTGAGGGGAGAGTGTGTCATGGGAGGTATGGGGACAGCACATGTGGGTAGAAGATGATTACCACGTCACAGTTTCTGCCTCTACCTATTCCTTGCTACTGTGTTTCAGTGCTTGCATTGACCCTTCAATCCTGCCAACCCTGCTTCCTTTAATTTATAAAGATGTTTCTTAATATGGCAGCTTTGTAATGAGGGAACTTACATCCTGGAGGAGTGGCTGTTTAGTATCTTCCAAGCTGCTGAGTTCCCTGATGGCTGGGACCGTTCCTCTTCGTCTTTGCACTGTCAGCCTGTCTTTGTACTAGTGAAGCCCAGCGAACGGTCTTCATCCGCACCTTTGTGAACTCTGCTCACAAACTCTGCCTGGAAACGTATTCAGGCCATGAGCACCCTTAGATTTTTTAGCATCTGTTGTGAACCTCTTCTTCAATGTGGTTCTTTTGACTCTCCTGAAGAAGAAATAGTTGGCCTCCATCTTCCACGTGGTACTTTCATATCCCAAAGAGGATAATTAAATAATGTCTTTATCTTCTTTTCTGAAATGAAAATTATCTATAATTCTGTGGGAATTGTGTCTGTTTTAGGAACCGTTGTAGCAGCTTTGTTCTGTGAGAGCCTTTGGGGCAGGAGAGACACTTTGTCTAAAATAAGGCTTGAAGTCACTCACCTGTACAAACGGGGAGATGGGAAAGCAGGTGGATGCAGGAGTACTCAGTGAGGACCCATTCCCCTCTGGGGCAAGGCTGGGCATTCACACCAGACTTCCTTATAGCTGACGGGTCTGCAGTTCCAAACTCCTTCCCAATCGAATAGAAGAAAAGTTGCTTGCTCTTTTTCCCTCCACTTCTGTCCTTCCTGTTGCCCTATGACATGGTTAAGTTGTCTATCATCCTGCAAACACATGAACACATTTAGCTCTTTCCTTTCATAATAAGAAAGATAATAAGAACATAATAAACAGAGACTGTGGCACGACAGCAGCTGACTCGCCATTGCTTCTTGAGCCTGAAAGACAGATAGTCTCCGGCAAGCACAGCCTCTGCCCATACGTTATGTACCAACTAATAAGTGTTGTCATGATTGTATAGATGCTAGTATATTTGAGTTTAAGCTGTTCCCTGCAATAAACTGCATCTGAATAGTGATACAACATTAATAGAGTAGCGGTGATGGTTCCATTCTAACTTCAGTGTTCTAAAACTCCCTGGTGACTGAAGTTATATGGCTCTGTTGTAAAAGCCTCGGAGTCATAATGGATAAAATGGGGGCAATTTCTAGTTTAGAGAGTGCTAACTATCTACCTTCAAAGAAAATACCGCTGTGTGGTGATTATCAATGCCAATGGCTAACCGCAACCACAGATAAATTCAATTTCATTGCCATCTAGAAATTTCATTTTGCTTTTTAGTGTAGTTTTCTCCTCTGCTAGAGACTTCCAGTGCTGCTAAAAAGTAACAGCACTGTTTGATATAAAGTCTAATTTTTCCCTCCTTTTTTGTCCACTCACAACAGAGCACTGAAATAGTCACAGGGAAGCGATCTATCTCAACTCTGCATTTGGGGGGCTATTGAACACTTTCCCACCGTCTTGCTTATCTCCTAGTTTCTAGCTTTGGTTTTTAATATCTCCTTTTGAAATCCTGAAGTTACCTTTGACTCTTTTCTTGCTCTTATCAAATTTGTTGTCAAAATTGATTATGCTCATATACTTCCCTTCCTCTTCACAGCTGTTGCCCTTGCCCTAATTCAGACCCTGTCTGATATTCTAAACTATTTCAGTAGCTTCCAAATATTTATCTCCTCCAAAGATCTTCTCTGTCCGCCAAATCCCCCTCCATTCTGAGTTCCACTGTGTCACTCCTGACAGGTCACTTCTCTACTCACAAACTTGCAGGGGCTCTCAACGGCCCACCAGACAAGGCCACATTCCACTGCAGCCAGCAGTTCATGGAGCTCCGGGACCCAGCTGTCCCCACGTGCTTCCCTCACAGGACCCATTTCCCACCCAGACACACAGCTTTTCTGTTTCCTTGACATGCCTTGCCTTACTTCTGTTCCTTTTTGTGCTTTTACTCAAGCTATTCCCATTTCCTTGAGTGCTTTCCCCTAATCTTTACAGATCCATATCCTCCCCATCCTTACAGATCCACAGCTTCTCCATGAAGCCTTTCATTATTTTTTCAATGGGAGTGCATTTCTCCTTCCTCTACACTCCCAGAGCAATTTAGTTGTTTCTCCAAACAGTCCTTACTCTCTGTATTCTTTTAATATGTTTTCTTGTAGCCCATAAACTACCTGAGGGCAGGGCCTAAGATTTCTTTGTAATCCACCCAGAGTTCTACTCCAGAGCCCACGGCCTTCAGCGTGGTACATGCCAAATTAATATTTTCTAAATGAATAAATCCATTTCCAAATCAATCCATGAATGAGTTTAGAGCTTATTATGAAATGTAACTATCTTCTAAGTTAAAGGAGGGTAGTAGAGGTATCGCATTGATGGAGAAACAGTTATGGATACAGAAAGGAGAAGGCCAGCATGAACCCTGTGATGTTGGATTGGAATCAGGCTAGCAGTAACTCATGTTTTTAAATGTACATATATACACACACACAGACACACAGATAGACAGATGCAGAAATATAGCTGTATGTATATAAATGGGTTAGCATACACACGTATATTACTGAGCGCTGTCTGTTGATAAGGCCTAAAAGCAACAGCCCAGTAGCAATAAGCTCACTCAGCACCTGTATCTTGTTTCTAAATGTCATTGTCCAATAAAAGGAACTAAGCCACCCTAGCAAGCAGTTGATTCCAGAGTTCAGGCAGGGCAAACACAAAATAAACCTGAAACATCTTAAAGTGCCAATAAATAAGGAAAGGCACAGAAAAAAGACATGGGCTTGTCAAAAGGACATAGGAGTCCGCATAAATGTGTTCCCATGGCCAAAGACAGAGGAATTTGAGCAGCAAGATAAAAAATGATAGCATTGGATTTTCACCCACAGAATAACGTAATAGCCAGAAGTCCATAGTTATATAAATAAATAATTTTAAGAATACATAGGAGAGAAGGGACAACTCTTTCTTAAGTAGAATTCCAAAGAATACATATAAAAGGAAAGTGGAAAACAGAACCACCATTGGGGAAATAACTGTTATAGACAAGATTCACAGATTGGTGCTAAAATTAGTGGGCAACGATTTGAGGAGAAACGGAATTTGCGTAGTCTCAGCATATCTCACTTAAAATGCTTATTTGCTACCAAGGGAAAAATTAAGTAACTTTACAGTGAAAAAACCAGCATAAACCACCCTAAGCAAGTGATCAAGTGAAATATCATATAATAAGACATATTGACATCATGAACCCCTTTATATGATGTACGAAGAAGGACACAACATCATTTTTATACTATTCTTGCTAAAAATACGTAACCTCATTCCAGTCCATTAAACAAGCCAGGTATGGTGGCTCACGCCTGTAACCCCAGCACTTTGGGAGGCCAAGGTGGGTGGATCACTTGAAGTCAGGAGTTCGAGACCAACCTGGGTGACACAGTGAAACCCTGTCTCTACGAAAAGTACAAAAAGTACAAAAAAAAAAAAAAGAAAAAAGAAAAAAACTCATTAAACACACACAAACTGAAGGACATTCTACAAAATCATTTTCATCAGTTCTCCTCAAAAGTGTCAAGGCCAAGAAAGGCAAGGAAAGACTGAGGAATTGTTATGGCCTGGAAGGCAATACTTCTCTATGGAGAAGTAACAACTAAATGCAATATGGGATCATCCGGAATAGGATTCTGAAACAGAAAATGACAGTGGTGGAAAAGATGGTGAAGTTCTAATGAGGCCTGTAGTTTAATTAATAGTATTGTATGAGGATAATTATGCTATGGTTATGTAAGCATATGGTTAACCTTGAGGGAAGTGGTGTGAAGAATACAAGCTTTGTACTCTGCAACTTTTCTGTAAGTCAAAAAAGTTTAAAGTTTAAAAAAATTAGAGGCTTTAATTAATTACATAAATTGTCATTAATATAGTAGGCATTTCTTTTTTGTTTGTTTGTTTGTTTTGTTTTGAGACGGAGTCTCGCTTTATCTCCCAGGCTGGAGTGCAGTGGTGCGATCTCGGCTCACTGCAAGCTCCGCCTCCCAGGTTGAAGCAATTCTCCTGCCACAGCCTCCCGAGTAGCTGGGACTACAGGCTCCCGCCACCATGCCCAGCTAATTTTTTGTATTTTTAGTAGAGAGAGGGTTTCACCCTGTTAGCCAGAATGGTCTTGATCTCCTGACCTCAGGTGATCCGCCCGCCTCGGCCTCCCAAAGTGTTAGGATTACAGGCATGAGCCACTGCGCCTGGCCCTATAGTAGGCATTTCTTTAACCAAAAAGGATCTAAACTACCTTTAAAGAAAGTCAAGCAGTCAAATATTCTTTTTATTCTTTCTATACATGACTTCTTTCCATGCCTTACATCTATTGTTTCCACTTGTTTGTAGATATATGGGTCTGACAGCGTGAGCAAAATCCTTTTTCCTTCAGGTCAAATAAACAGAGCATATGCCTTCTCGGTATATGGGTGTTTGGTTTTTGAAGCTGATACAGCTCTGTCTGAATCCTCTGTTGAGGGCAAGATGCAGCCAGCAGCATGTCCTCCTTTTTCTGGACCTTCCCATCACCCTAAAAAGTTCTTTGAGCAGGACCGTGGGCTGCCCTCCTTGCATCTGGCATTTCTCCGTCCTCCTCTTTCTTCTTGCATTGTGACTTGGCAGATTGCTCACGATTTTCAGTCCCAAGGTGAATGGACTGACACCCTTCACTTCCTTTGCCTTCTATGCATTCTTCTTTTCTAGTGAACCAGTCAACATACTTTTTATAAAAAACTTTTTATTTTAGAAATGTTCAAACGTACAGAAGAGTAGAGAGACTATAATAAAGCACTTGTCAACTTGATCTTAACCAGACAGGCACCCTTTCCAAAGAAAGGCAATTGTGACTACCTGAAATTAGATGTCATCAATGGTGAGGGTGAAGGTGGCACACTAGCCCCAGTTCCTATCATTCTCTCATCCTTATTTTTATACTCTCAGTTTTTGGACAACACCTTGTTTTTTTTGGCCACTTTATCTTATCAAGAGTACAGGGACTGGGGCCGGATCCAGTGGCTCATGCCTGTAATCCCAGCACTTTGGGAGGCCAAGGCAGGTGGATTGCCTGAGGTCAGGAGTTCGAGACTAGCCTGGCCAACATGACGAAACCCCATCTCTACTAAAAATACAAAAATTAGCTGGGTGTGGTAGCGGGCGCCTGTAATCTCAGCTACTCAGGAGGCTGAGGCAGGAGAAACGGTTGAATCCAGGAGGCAAAGGTTGCAGTGAGATGAGATTGCACCACTGCACTCAAGCCTGCACGACAGAGTGAGACTCCATCTCAAAACAAACAAACAAACAAACAAAAAGAGTACAGGGACTCACTAATCCTCTCTCCCACCCCTTGCACATTGCAGATTGAGGTCATTTCTCGGGATGGTTAATGAAAAAGGAACCTCTCTAAATGTTTTGCTTAGGGGTCCAAAATTTAGTTTGTGCTCAACTCACTTTTTGCTCTAAAGGTCTCATTTTTCTAAAGGAAGCTGAAATCATGTTTTGCTGATTAGGCCTCTGTGTTACTAAACACTGAAAAAAAAAAGTTTAGCGAAAGGTCACCGAACCGGAGTTCCTTCCGTTGTTAATTTGGGTTTTTCCATCATCAGTAATGCAGATTTGGGAATCTCAGGTTTTATTTCTCATGAAGCATTCTAGTAATTTTTGATCCTCAGGAAGTAATGAGCTAAATGAATACTGAAATGAGATCAAGGAAGCTCTTCCCAGAGAAGGTAGTAGATGAATAATAAGATGCTAGTTTCCTAAGGGGAACAAAGATTTTTACATCTGTGTGCAAGTAGGATATCAAAGTGCAAACCCACCCCTCTTTGAGAGAAGTAGTAGTTGGGAGTGAAGTAATGGAACCTCTGGCTTGTTATTCAATATAATCTGCCAGATGATGAAAGTACACTTTAGTATACCTGACTCCAATGATTTTAGTAATCATTTAACAATTGTACAATAGGATATGACTTCTGTTTCATGTTGGTGAGAAGGATAGAATGCTATTTCTTGATCCAGGATAACATAATTCAAGATAACAGAATAACATGGAGAAAACATTTCGTGTGTTACAAATTAGAAAAAGGGAGGAAAAGTTTTATGTAAATAATATGAAAGGTAAAGATTTCAGAGATAGTTCTTTATATATTTGAGGGTAAAATACCTTCTTAATGTACACACAAAAAAGCAATTAAAAGAAGAATACCCTGTCCATTTGTGATTGCCTCTACTCTGATCATCTCAGAATCGCTGTTAACAAAATAGTATCTTTTACCACATTTCTCCATCACTGGAATAGAATTTCCTTCTGTGATTTTATTACAATTCAGCCACTATCTCTGGATTAGAATGACATTATAGAAGCACAGGGATTTTGTGAGTTTCTATGTCTGGGGAGAGGAAAAGAGAGTAATAGGTTGAAGAAGTTTGGCGTTGGTATCACTTTTTTTATTCTGTGGTGATATGTCAAACACTAGGAAGAGAAAAGAAATTAAAATGTTTCTGCTGAGTGGAGATGGGAGTGAGTTCATGTCTTACTGAGGAACAGATCTAACATTCCTACAGACTTTACAGTCTGGAGATATAGCAAGGTACTATCAAAACAGGGTCATAGGGAGTCTCATAAATGTATTGGTCTATCATCTTTTGCAACGTTCTCTTCCTTCATAATAAGGGTAGCCAGTAATCAAGTAACTAGCTTTTTTCCCCTAGACAAACAGCAGATCTGTAACCAACAATAAGGTCAGTAACTTATGACCCTATGAGTTATCAAAAAAAGTTAATTATCTACCTTCTAATAAAGCAGGGAAACATCCAAATATTTTTAGAAAGCTTTTGATCACAGAGGTTTAAAGTCTTTAAAAATTGTTTTTACATTTTTATTAAAAGGTGTACACACACACACACACACACACAAAGACTACCCCTTAAAATATGTACATACAAAACTTAAGTAGAACACTTTGCTTCCCAATATACAAGACGAGCAAGGCATTTATCAATTTTCAGAAGGGGTTTATAATGCACTTATCCATATTTCCAGGCCTGAGATAATGAGGCTGTTCCATGAATGTTAAGTCAGGAAACTAAGGAGAACACAAGAACCAAACATATTGTGTATGTATAATATATGTAAAATCATAATGCCTCACCTGATGTCAACAGTTATGGGCATTGAAGATGACAGTCCTCTACAAGCTCTCATGACTGTTCCCAGTCAGTAACAGAGGGAAGGGGGCAGAGTGTGGTGCCCTACTGCAGGGTGGGGCTGGTAAAGCCTTGCTGTTTGCTTGGTGGAGCTTCCACCGTCTGGATCCCGGGGTGTGGGGAGCTGGAGTTTTTCTAAAGCTGGTGCAGTAAGAAATACAAAGTCAAGTCTAGGGTACAAGGCCAGACCCTCTACTGTTCCAGGGACTCTCAAAATGTGCTAGTCTAGAGACCCTGTCAATGTGCTTTTATAGTGAATACTTTTCAGTGTGTTACGTATCCCTCTGGCACCCTATCATGAGCAGAGCTCCCTCCCCTTCTGAGCACTGGGGTGCAGGGGATCCCGTGAGATTTCAGATCTACCCGGCACCCCTGCAAGCACTCTGTCCTCAAACCCTTTGAAGGAACAGCTCTATCCTTACACCCATTAGATAGGCACTACTGCTGGCCAATGCTGACAGCAGCCCTCTGCTCCATCTTGGCTGTGTCTCCTGTGCCAGGAACCTCAGGAAATAGACAAGGATTTGGCAAAATTCCTGGTGAATGGATGGCACCACGTGAGCATTGTGGGTAGCATTTCTCTGTGTTGCCAGACACATACATTGCTGCTTTCTCACTCTTCCTTGGGAAAGATGGGCCATTTTGGAGCTGATTTTGAAATGAAAAAGAAGGAGAAGTAAAAGAAACCCTAGGCTCCATATCTTTTCATATCCAGAACTTAAAAACAGAGGGAATGATTCACTTTTCTAACTTCTGCTTCTTGGGTGAGAAATAAATGTAAATCGTATGTCTAATTCCCCTGATTTTTCAGACTTAGCTAAGGCAGAAAACCAATCCATTGCATTATCGACTGGTATCATTAGCTTGAGGTTAGGGACCCACCGTTCTCTCTGAAGCAGGCCTGCCTTCTTCTCTCTGCCTGTATGTTATCCCTCTATCATTTTTGCTGTCTCTCTCCATCGCCTTTGATATGGTAATGATCTTGCACAAGAAAAGCCATTTTTTAAATATGAGTGCTTAAGGAATTAAAGGTGAGTGAGAAGGTGGAGGGTGTTAAGAAGGATGGTAGTTTGTCATTAGCAAATAAATAAGTATACCCCTTGGAATTAAAAAGCAAGCAAGCTGAAGGGAGCAGAAGGGGGAGGACAGGCGGGTGTCTTTCCAAACGCAGGAGACAGTATTACTAACAGGCTGGCTTAAAGCCCTCTTAACAATGTGCACTTGCTCTCCCTAGCTCCTGGATTGATTTCCCTCTGCCCTCCACAGACCTGGCTGCAGTTAAGCCTTGTGTCCTCCACGTGATGCTGAGCCGAATCAGATTTTCCTTTTAGTTGTTCGATCAAATTTTCCTTCCTAGAGCTTAGAAGGCACACTTGGGACCATATAGTAATTGCCTCCCCACACTGAACTGCTGATACCTTTATTGGATTGGCATAGGGTTTCAGAGGACTGTGTTTAACATGCAGTGAGCCGCAGCAATGCAAACAGCTCCAGTGTTTAAACAAGCATCCGTTAGGCCAGGAAACAAGGCAGTGCCAGCCCATTTGGTGCTCTGTAGTGCTGGCAGCTTAAGGTGAGCGGGCAACCCAGGTGCTGCAGTGGGAGAGGGCAGGCTCCAGGGAAAGTGGAGGAATTGTAGTGTCAGAGGAGGAGCTGATTCTCTTTAGATTTGCTGAAGGGGGTTTGTGGTGAGGGGGAGAGAGAAGTGTTGTGGCTAGGGACATGTGCAGAGCTCATTAATATCTCATTATGTTAGAATTGCAGTCTCCCCACAGATCGGCGTTAACGTTGGCAGTGCCAGAGGAAGGGCTTTGGGAAGCAGCAGCCCCCCTCCCTCTTTCTGCAAGCCCCAGCAAGCTCTCTATGCTTGTTTTGCACTGAGGGAATGGTGGTGTTGAATTTGTGAAAGAAGGCTGTGAGAAAACCCCACAGGAGCGATAGTGAGCAGCTCAGGAGAGGGTATGAGACTGAAAACTATAGTTTGTAAATAACAAAGTGACCAGATTTCACGTGTGCCAGCCAGCCATAGAGAGGGAAGGAAACTGACCAGAAGCTGGAAAGGAAAATCGTGGAAGTTAAGCACAAGCCACTTGGAGTCTGGATGTGAGTTGGGAGTTCGTGTCAGGGGCAGTAGATAGGCTAGCTCCAGATTCAGACCTCGATTTCCCAGAGAATGTGCCACTGGCCCACTGAGTTTGTCCAGGGCTCCTGGAGGCTCCTGGAGTGTACCAGAGCAAGTAAGGTGGACAGGAGAGGGGGAAAAATGAGGAGGAAAGAGAGCAGAAGAAAGCAGGATTCAGCCAGTGGGATTTGGTGAGACTGCGTTTTCAGCTGATCCCACCTGCCCATGTTGGTGTGAGTGGAGCAAAGGGAAGATTCTAAAGCAGAGAGAAGGTGGTGTGCAAGGGCCTATTCTCCAGATCTGACCTAGCTGAGCCCAAACCAGTCTTTATCCCAGAGATTAAATCCCCCTGTGTGCAGCCCTGGCCCCAGCTGGGCTCCTGCAGGTCACTCACCCCAGACAGTCATCCTGCGGACTCCAGTGCCGGGACTGGGGCCTCCTGGGAGGAAAAGTTGGAGCCATGCTCTGTAGAAATTACAGCCTCCCTGCAGACACTTAATTCTGCTCTATTAAGGATCAGATGTCTCCGTCTGCCCTGGACAACTGTGTGCCCTCCATTAATGAAAGGTGGTTGATGGCCACTTTAGTGAACAGTTATGTAACAGGATGTACCAAAACACAACAGTGTGTGCATGTTGTATTATAAAGGCCCCTTAATGTAATTCATAGTAAAGTTCTTTGAGAATATTCTTTTTCTGCCTTTTTGTTTTGGGGAGTTCTTATTTCTACCTTAGAATGTTCTTTCTGTGGATTTTGGCATTTGGCTTCCACTTCTAGCACCAGTGCACAGACACACCTGCACACATCCACAGAAGTGTTGCTGGTGTGGATACACAGCCAGTCCTGGGCTCAGTAAGCAAATGAAGAAGCACGTGTCCTTGGTTAATATCATATAAAGTGACAGGGCCACAGTTTGCAAGCATGTTTTGTGAAGACCTTTCTGGTCACACTTTGTTCTGACTTAACACAATATTCCATTAAAATATGGATTATTCATTAACTTACAGAAAGGCAAAAAAAGTGAATGTCATTGAAATCTGTGTTCCCTTTGGAAAAAAAATAACTAGAGTCATTAGTCATTAGTTTGTTATGAACAACAGTGCTTGTAATGAACATTTAAAAATAAAATGTATTTGATAATCGCAACCAAGTTTATTTAGGTTAGAAAAACAGTTATGGCATACAAATAGTGCTGAGAAACAAATTTAACAAGGCTTTTTTACAGCATGGCCTCTATAGCAAAAATAGTAAGATTCAGCCTGATGTGTATTAAAATCTATTATTCTTTTGACTCTGCAACTTTAATAAATCAAGCAAGAGTCATAAGAACAAAGAGAGGAAACAGCTGAACTGCTGTAATTTCCTAGCCAAATAGAAGAAAAGTCTGCCTCTTGTCGTTTACATGACTTTACCAAGCTTAATCCCATGAAAACAAATGAACAAACAAAAATGAAGACTCAATAGTTATAAATAGTAAACTAGACCTCTAGGGCTGAACTCCTGTGTTCAGCTGCACCAGGTCCCTGTTGTGGGATGTTCCACATTCCATGAAGTCTTGGCCTGTTTTTCCATGTGCTGTTCGCCTCCCTCAGTCCTTCTCAGTGGCAGGAGCAGAATCCACGCAGAGATTCTCACTTCTGCCTGTCATTCCCAACCTCTGAACTTGTCCATCTTACATCTCTTTGCTTTCCTTTCTAAGAAAGAAAGAAGGAAAGTTAAGTTCCATCCAAACTTTCTACATAAAAAAGTTATGACATCCAAATTGCCCATTTGAAGAGAGAAGGATAGTGATTCAGCAGAATTACAGTTCAAAATAAAATGGGATTTAACTTTGAGATAAAAAGAAAAAGTGAATCCTAGCTCCTTTAAGGCATTTGCCATGAATAAAACTTTAAAGTGAAATATCAGAAAATCAAGGATGAGATGGGACTTAGAGAGATCCTTCATCCCCCTTCCTCCCCCTTCTTCAATGAAGACCATATCTAAATCATCCCAGATGGCTGTTCTATTTTTAAAGATCTCCAGAAAAGGAGATTCTACCACCTCCTCAGTAACTCATTCCAGCATCTCTTGTTCCTCACTGCCAGAATATTTTTTCTGAGAGCCCTCAGAGGAAAAAAGACACACTATCCTAGATTTGGGGACCTGTAGTATTTCTCTTTAGGATTTAACCCCACTGTGCATATAGGAAACTAAGAGACATGGATAATGTCTTTCTCCAGTGAAAAAGATGTTTTTTCTCTAATATTTGGCTTTAAATTACATTTGTGTGCTTCTTGGGGGTCAATCCAAATTTCTCTTGCAGGCCTGAGGTATGCGCGGTACTCTGCTAGGTAAACAGAGGGAGCATTAAGAAACGATTCCTGTTTACATTCTAAGGAGTGAGGTCACACTCAGCTCCAGAGCCCACCTACTATGCCGGACAGAAATGTTCATGTAATCACTTATTCTTTCATTCCAAAGATACGTACTGACCACCAGTCGTGCGCTTATCTCTGCTAGACACTGGAGACAGACACATTAGTGAGCAACACAGACTAGGTGCTTGTCTGCAAGGAGCTTACACTCAAATGGGAGAAGACAATACCAAGGAAAAAGGAAGAAACAAAATGATTATAAATTGTGATCAGTGGTGTGAAAAAGACAAAACAGAAGGACACGATAAAGTACAAGTGGGAGGTGCAGCTGACTGAGCCAGGGTGGTCAGAACAGCCTTTCTGGGGAGAGATGTGAGCTGAAATCTGAAGGATGACAATAAGCCCAGCAAGGAGCTGGGATAAGCGTGTTCCACGTGGAGAGAAGCACCGGTGCAGATGCAGAGGAGGGGAAGAGCCCTCGGAGAGGCCAGCGCGGCCACCTGGAGTGTGGTGGTGAAGGGGAGAAGGGTATGAAGGAGCTGGGAGACACCAGACCATCCAGCGCCTCTTAGGCAAGTTTGACTTTCAGAGAAATGGGAGTCTATATAAGGATTTGAGGCAGAAAGACATACTCTGAAGAATGTTTTTCAACAGTGACTCTGGATGCTGGTGGAGAGTAGACTGGAAAGGGTAAGATGGGAAAAACGGCTAGTGGAACAATAGCGCAAGAGTCCAGGCAGGGAGCAGGCAGGGGAGACTCAGAAAAGGTGACAGATGGAAGGTGTGTGTGCTGGCCACACAGACACAGCGTCCGAACATAGGTGTGACCCATTCTGAGAAAACAAAATACATAAAAATCAAAACTTAAAGAGAAAGTCTGATTATTCCCTTTATAAAGGGACTCGCCTCAAGTATCTATTCTGTAAAGTAAAGGAAGATGTCTATGGGTCTTTGACTATAAATTTTAATAAGAGATATAAAACCTTAATAGACGGATCATGGAATTAGAAGGAATCATAGAGGTCATTTTCTCCTACTTTCCACCCAATAAAGAATCCCCTTTGCAAATCCCTGACAGATGAACATGCAGCCTTGGTATGAAAACTTCAAGGGACAGGAAGCTCATTAGCCTCACAAGGCAGCCCTTTCTATTTTGAATCTCTCTAATCGTTTTTTAAAAGTTTCTCCTTATATAGAGGCTGAATTCTTTCTCCCCATTACTTGCATCCATTGATCTTAGTTCCATGTTCTGGAGCTACATAGATCAAATCTAATTCTCTTCCTACATAGCAAACCATTACCTTTTCAAGAGGAGCTGTGGCATTCCCCCTCCTCAACTCTCCTCTTTCTCTAGCAAAATATCCTCAGCTTCCTCGCCTCCTTTTCACTTGACATGGTTTCTGGGGCCTTCTTTCCCCTGGTACTACCCTCTTGCTGCCCTGCCACCTGATGAGAGTGATCATTTCAGAATGGAAGCCAACCTTATTGGATGGCATCAGTTCAGAGCATAACTATGTCTCCCTGGACTCAGAGAACATACATACATTTAATGCAACCTAGAATTTCAAGAGCACACGGCTTCAAACTTCAAGGAAAACAAAACTGCTTATGAGACAGGTTTTCCTGCCTTAAATGCAAGACTTTACAGCTAGGCCCAGCAAATCTTGCTACTGCTAACCTACAGGAGAGTGGTTCTTGAACTTTTGGAGAGTCATGGGCCGCACTGAGAATCTGAGAAAAGCTTTGGACCTTCTTTCCTGAAAAAGACACATACCCACAAAATTCTGCATACAGTTTTCTAGCATTCTCAGAACTCTGGAAATCCATTTTTATGTAAACCTCCAGTTTAAAAATTCAGCATTATCAATGTCACAGAACCCTTGTTCTGTCATCTAAGAAATGTATATCTGCATTATCTCTATATTTTATTATGGTATTGTACGGGAGGTTAAAGAACGCCCACTTGAAAATCCCTGCAAGTCACTATAAAATTGTTAATGGGAGAGGAAAGTTACAAAAAGTCTTCAAGTACCATTGGTGGATACATTTGCTTATGTACCTTATTTAACCCCTACAACCCTTTTCTGAACTAGGCAATATTAGCCTTATCTTATGAATAAGAGGAAACGTAAAGCTATTAATAAAGAAAAATAGAAAGACCTGGGTGAAGGCAGTGGCTGCCGAGTGCAAATTTTTACAACTCTTGCAATAGAACCATGGTTGGTGGCCCTCTCGACTTTTAAGTGCTGAGGCCATGGCCACCTGGAGCACAGCATACATGCTTACGAGCAGGATTGGTTTCCTGGGAAATGTGTCCTTATATCGGCGCTTCAGTAGTGATATCCCTGGAAAGTGGTCACCAGTAGGATTAGCCATTACCATGACCCCACACAGGTGGCCTGCTGTCACCAACACCATTCTCTTCAGGATCAGGCTGGCATTGGGTTAGTGGCCAATGTATAGTTATAACTCAGTAACTCAGTAGCAGAAATGTTCTGAGAACGGCTGAAAGAACAACAGCCCTCATAGGAGATCCAGTTTCAGAGAGTAACTTCTTATATGCCAGCCAATCATGGAGGGGAGAAAGCAGTTCTGAGGATGCCTTCCTTTTTTTCCTATCTCAGGAGCCAGGCTGTGGAATAGTTTGGAAATGAGAAACACATTTTATTCACAAGTGGTGAGGCTTGTAACAGAGAAGCACAGGCTTTGGAATTCAAATCTCACACTAGCTGTGTGACCTTGGGCAATTTGTTTAATCTCCCTGAGCCCCAGTTTCCTCATTTGTGTAAATGATGTTTATTAACCTACCTTGCGTGGTTGATGTGGGAATTAAGAGAAAAGATCTTGAATTTGCCTGGTATTTAATGGATGCACACACAAGAAAAGCTTGCTGTTTGCTGATAACGTTGAGGAGTGCATAAATGGTTGGGGCCAGTCTGAGTAGCAGTAAATTTGGTTCGTCTGTGTTAGCAGGGTTACTCTGGCTTGGACCCGGATTCCAGAGTGATTCCGGAGGAATTCCTGTCCCCATCCCTACCCCTCATCACCCCAAAATTTTGCTTAAGATAACGAGGAGGTCAGGGCATGTTCACTGTGAACCCCCACTCCATATAAGGTGCCATGTTATAGTGGGTTCAGAGGATCCCCGCCCCCCCGCCAATGCTGCTTAGCCACCAGACTTACAAGGGATACTGGATGCTTTCGTACCTTGGATTCATACACACAGGTTTCTGAGATGAAGCAGTGTGGTAACTTAGCCATTAGTAGATCTCAATCGTAGCCTACACGGACATTTCTGAGAGAATCCTTGGTTAAACAGTACTAAGAGCAGAACTAAATACTGGTTAGGGCAAGTTCTGCCCATGAGGTTCTATGAGGCTCTGTCTGAACGTTAGGTTTAAACATAGAGATGGGGCCAGCTAACCTCATCATTCTGAGTCGTTAGATAGAGACTAGACTTGGTCATCTCCCTTTGCTAATAAGGAAACTGACATAATTAACTGAAGGAAATTAACTTGGATAATTTTGCAGCATGAATCTGCTTCCAAAGAGGAGTTGGTTTTTTTCTCTTCCTGTGAGCTGTTAATTCAAGAGGCTGTGTTAACCTGCTGCTGTTGCCAACTGACAAATGTAGTATTTTCCTGATCAGCCTCTCAAGCCTTTTTCCTTGCTCCTCCAACAACAGAGAGCAGTAATAAACTATCCAGAATATTTTGCAACATGGGAGTCATTTGCATGTCTTTGTAATATGGGAGTTGAATGCCTATTTTCAGTAAATATAAGCCTCCCGGTTGACTTAAGGTAATTGAATGATTTTAGATTCATTGTATATGCCCTTTCTCCTTAGCCACTGGTTTTAAGCAGGCATAAAATCACATCAGAGAAAAAAAAACCTGACTTTTGATATTCAAGTTGGCTCATCTGAATTAAAACCAAAACATGTGGAAATTGGGTTATCCACTCCAGACTTGGCTCCCTTTGTCTGTGAAACCTCAAAGTCTCCAGTGGAGCTGAAGGTAACGTCTTTCTTCAGGTGACACTCTGGGGCAATTCTGGGGAAAAAGACAAGGAGGGAAAGATGTGTTTAACTTTATTCCAGTTGGTTTCATCTTCCTTTTTAATTGATTTTTGTCCTCTCCATCATTTTCTCTCCCAATTAACGTTGAATTTCTCTCATTTAGTTCTAGCTGTTTGTTGTGGTCGGGTTTGGTACATCTGGGTTAGGCATGTTGCTGTGTTCTTTTCTTTCCTTGCCATTAGTTTAAAGGAGGTCTAAGCTCACAGTCTAGCTCTATTTCTGGAGAGACCTGCCACCTTTACAGGATTTACTGTGGTCATTTTCTTTTTTTTTCCTCCCCACAATATGGCGCTTTGTGAATTAAAATCAAGGTTCCTGGGGGCTGGAGGTAGGAATAGGGCAGGAGAAGCCTAGCCACATTATAATCAATAATAATAATAACTGTCTCCCTCTGTTGTGAGCTCTACCAGGCAGACTGTGTCTTATTCATCCCTAGCTTCTTACATAGGTCCTAGTGTATAAATGATGCTCGATGAGTGCCTGTTGAATGAATGAACTAATTTTTGCCGAGCCCTTTATAATGTATAAAGATGCTTCACATAGCAACGTGGGGTGATTGTTTTTAAGACCTTCACAAAACCATTTCCTCCCTCATTTCATTATGATTGTGAAATTGCTTTGGAATTTTGGAACTGTGATACTTTTACTGTATGCCTTTCATAAAAAGCCAAAGTCTAAATGCTTTTAAAAATATATATACGAGGAGCTGTGGAAGGAAGGGAGGAGGGAAACAATTTGTTACTGGATACTTTCTTGTAAAAAAAAAATTTTAATGTAGTTATCACTGGATGTTTTTTCTTTACAATTGCAGTTCACAACTCTTTTCCTCCTCTTTTACTAGGATGAAGGTGAATTTTAACAAAAGCAAGAAATATTTTAAAGGCAGAGAGCAAGTGGGCAGCCAGGGAAAGCTTTGTGTTTGTTTTTATGACTTGTGTTTTGACTTGGCAGATGTTCAAGGTTATTCTGCCTAACCAAATAATCCACACTGCTTCCATATCAGCAATAGCTGAGCTACCCTTCCAAGGGGCGCCCGCCGTAGTCTTCTGTTAAGATGTTATGCGGGACCTAAACCCTTGTCTTGCACTGAAATCAGTGCAGCGCTGACACCCCCACAGCCCCTTGGTTCTTTTGCTCTCACAGCCATTGAACGTCTGCTTCTGAGAGAGTCACCCAGGAGTACATAACCGACAGCTTTTTCTTAGATGGCTTCATCTGTTCGCACTCATCACCAGACCATTAATGCTGACTTTTCCCCCATGAAACTCAAGTGTAAAAGTAGGAAAATAATTGGATTTTTTATCCAAAAATCATTGGCACTTAGGACAAAGACCAAAGTCAGAAAAAGGAAAAAGCAGACAGATTTAGAAATTTTAAAAATTAGATATGTCTTTGACTTTTACAGGTGAAGTAAGAGCCATACTTAGGATTATAATCCATAAAAAAAAATTAGGGGACAAATTAGGTGAAATAAAATCCAGAACTTCCAGATGATGACAGCACTAAGGCATTACTTGTACACATCTACTCCACATATTTCTGCCCCAGGATACTGAGATTTTTTTTCTCCCCTCTTGGTTCTTAGAAGCATACAATTTAGTGTGTTCATATGCATGCCTCATTTATGCCTGGAAAAGACAGAAAGAAAACCCTTTAGTAAGGACTGTGATTCAAAATATGTATTACATTGACTTATTACCTACATTATCACTGTGTGTCAGGAAGCATATTGCTCACAGGTGGGATGCACAGTAATTTGGAAATACTCATTTTGGCCTTGGCATAGGATGACCTTGTCCTACTGCAGATTCATGCCCTGTGGCTATATTAGTTCCTAGGGCTGCCATAACAAATACCACAGACTAGGTGGCTTAATACACTAGAAATGGATTGTCTCACAGTCCTGGATGCTCGAAGGTAAAAATCAAGGTGTCAGCAGGGTGAGCAGGGCCGTGCTTCCTCTGAGACTCTGCAGAGAATCCTTCCTTAACTCTTCTTGGTTTCCAGAAGTTTGTCAGCAGTCTTTGGCATTCCTTAGCTTGCAGCTGCGTAACTCCAGTCTCTGCCTCCGCCGTCAAACGGCACTCTCCCTGTATGTCTTCGTGTTTTCACATGGCTGTCGTCTTATAAGATGATACCAGCTGTGTTGGGTTTTGCCTGTTCTACTCCAGTATGACCTCATCTTAATGAATTTCATCTGCAAAGATCCTATTTCCAAATGAAGTCACATTCTGAGGTACTGAAGTTTAGGACTTCAATATATCATTTTGCTGGGGAGGACGCAATTTAACCCACAACAGTGCCTAGACTTCTGCTTCAGAGCTCAGAATGTTACCTGTTTTCCTGTAACGGACTAGCTGTACGAAACCTTCATTTACTTCTCTCCTCAACCTTTATTTTTTCCTCCTTAGCAGTGTTCTTCCTTGGAGATGATAACCTTGTGTCAAGGTCATTGAGAAAAGAAAGACTATTAGAGCCAAACTTCTTTGTCTCCACCTCTCCCCATTCCATCTCAACAAATCTCTCCCCCACATTTGTTTTTTAATCACTCTTCTGATGGCATTGATATGCCCTTCCTCATTGTCTCAAAAACAAGCACCTCTATGGGAATGTAAAATGATGCAGCCACTATGGAAAACAGTATGTCAGTTTCTCAAAAAAAATTAAAAACAGAATTACCATAAGATCCAATATTCTGCTTCTGGATATTTAGCCACCAGAACTGAAACAGGGTCTACAAGAGATATTTGTATACCCACATGCATTACTAGCATTATTCACAATAGCCAAAATGTGGAGGCAATGAATGAATGGATAAACCAAGTGTGGTATGTACATATGTTTTAGTCTTTCCAGGCTGCTGTAACAGAATACCAAATACTACATGGCTTATAAATAACAGAAACTTATTTCTTACAGTTCTGGGGGCTGGGAAATCCAAGATCAAGGTGCCAGCACATTCTTGTCTGGAGAGGGCCTGCTTCCTGGATCATAGACAACTGTCTTCTTCCGATGTCTTCACATGATGGAAAGAGTGAGGGGGATCTCTGGGGCCTCTTATAAGGGCACTACCTTTCATGAAGGATCCACTGCCATGACTTAATCACCTTCCAAAGGCTGCACCTCCTACCTAATATTAATACCCTCACCTTGGGGGTTAGGATTTCAACATGTGAATTTCAGCAAGGAGACAACCATTTAGACCATAGCAATATACCATGAAATATTTTTCCGCCTTAAAAAGGAAATTCTGGGCTGGGCGCAGTGGCTCACGCCTGTAATTCCAGCACTTTGGGAGACCGAAGTGGGCAGATTGCCTGAGCTCAGGAGTTCACAACCAGCCTGGGCAACACAGTGAAATCCTGTCTCTACTAAAATACAAAAAATTAGCTGGGTGTGGTGGTGTGCGCCTGTAGTCCCAGCCACTCAGGAGGCTGAGGCAGGAGAATTGCTTGAACCTGGGAGGCGGAGGTTGCAATGAGCTGAGATTACGCCACTGCACTGCAGCCTGGGCAACAGAGCAAGACTCCATCGCAAAAAAAAAAAAGGAAATTCTGACATGCTGCAATGCAGGCAAAACTTGAGGACATGATGCTAAATGAAATATTCCAGTCATTAAGAGATAAATATCGTATGATTCCACTTATGTGAGGTACGTAGAGTAGTTAAATTCATAGAGACAGAAAGTAGAGTGGTGGTTGCCAGAGTCCGGGGAATGGAGAGGATGAGGAGTTGTTTCATGAACACAGAGTTTCAGTATTGCAAGATGAAGATTTCTGGAGGTGGATGGTGGAGAGATGGTTGTACAACAGTGTGAATGTACTTAATGCCACCGAACTGTACACTTAGAAATGGCTAAGATGGTAAATTTTCTTTTACTAATATTTTAACCACAATTATATATATCTGTATGCCTGTATTATACTTCTCGGACTTTCCAACACACATTTTCACTTGTCCTTCCTTCCTTAGTGTCAATAGGTCCTGCTTCCTGACTTCCCTTCTCCTTCACACCCACTCAGAACTTACTTCTCCTGAAAAAGCCTTTAACTTCACCTCATGACATACAACCTATGATGCCTTTTTTCCTTCTTGCAACAAGATTTCTTATATAGAAGAGTCACACCTAATATCTCCATTCTTGTTCCTAATATCTCCATTTGCCTCAGTTCCCTGACCAAAAACTGGCATTCATTTACAGTACTATTCTACAACTGTGCTGTCCAATATAATAGCCACTAGTTGCATGTAGCTACTTTGAATTTATTTAAAAATAAATACCTCAGTATTTAAATAAATTTGAATTTAATTTAAAAGCCAGTACCTCAGTAGCACTAGCCACATATCAAGTATTCAGTAGCCACATGCAGCTAGTGACTGAAGTATCGCACAGTGCATCCTCTCAGCAATGTTGGACAAACAACACAGTTCTTGTGCAAGGATTCTACTCATCACAGTCATCTGGAGGGTTTATTAAACCACAGTGTGCTGGGCCCCACCCTCAGAGTTTCTGATTCAGAAAGCCTGGGGACTGGCCGATAATTTGGATTTCTAACAAGTTCCCAGGTGATGTTGAGGCTGCTGAGTGTCATAGAGGAACCCTCGCTCAGATTCTCAGTGAATTACTTGGTTACTAACCTAGTGGTCTCTTAGTTCTCATTTCAGAGCTGCAACTGACACTACAAATTTGACCACAAATTATTCTTCTTTGTTTTGTCCTACTTTCTTGATGATGTTTTATGTTGATCTCTCACCAATACTGTTTTTTTTTATCTCTTTGCTGACTCCTCTCATTTAATTAACAGGACTCATTTCCAACTATGCATTTACTTTCTTAGGGAACTTCTGTGCTTATATATTGTTCAGGCAGACTCATGTGTATGGCTGGATGCCTCATTTCTACGGCCTTATCTTTTTTTTTTTTTTTTTTTTTTGAGACGGCATCGCACTCTGTGGCCCAGGCTGGAATGCAGTGGGGTGATCTCGGCTCACCACAACCTCCACTTCCCAGGTTCAAGCGATTCTCCTGCCTCAGCCTCCTGAGTAGCTGGGATTATAGGCACATACCACCATGCCCAGCTAATTTTTGTATTTTTAGTAGAAATGGGGTTTCACCATATTGGCCAGGCTGGTCTTGAACCCCTGACCTCCACCTACCGCGGCCTCCTCAAGTGCTGGGATTACAGGTGCGGGCCACCGCACCTGGTTTAAGGCCTTATCTTTGGGTTTGTGGGATAACTGTATTTGGCTATACCACTGGTCTTGAACAGTATGATGTTAAAAACTAAGCTGTTCTATGTCTGCCCTCTCTGAGTGGTGAGTTGATGCTTCCCAGGTCTTTGATAATTGTTGGTATGTATTTCTTTCAGCGATGTTGAGATACTTGCATCAAAAGCTCCATAGACGTGTCAAGTATTATGTATACCTGTTCGTTAAATATTCATGCAGTTAGAGAAGTCACCACTGCAGAGGGCTGAGTAATTTCCTTAATGCTTTTCCTCATGGTGGCCAACTGTTTTATAGACATAATCTGACTAATCCTTTCCATGAGGTATAGTAGGGGTCAGATGTGAATATGCCTATTTTCAAATTAGGAATTGAGGTACAGAAAAGTTTAACAGAGTGATCAGAGTCACGAAACTGGTTCTGCTTCTGCCAAGGAACTCCAGTTCGAGTGCAGGAGTCCTATGCTAAGCCCCAGACCTCCACGCAAACCTCTAACTACTAGACAACACTAAGCTTGCAGGTTTAAAACATAAAAAGAAATTGCTAAATGTGATTCAGGGCGTACTTCGCATAATGTATTTCTGTGACACTTCATAGTAATGAGATAATTACCATGGGTACTGTATTAGAGTATACATATTCTGTTAAGTTACAGCTGCAAGAAATCAGTAATGGCCATTAATCATTCCATGTTCATTCTCTGCGAATCTCAGATAGAAGTTAAGCTCAGAGTTCCAACAAACCTAAGACAAATTTTATAGTCATCATTTCTGCTGTTTACATGAAGTTTATGAATACAATAGACTTTCCCTAATTTAAACTAATTTGGGCAAACAGCTGCCTGAATTGAGAAGAATGTGAATTGAAGTATGGTAGTAAATATATACTGCTTGTGATATATTTAAAAGTAACAACAGTAATTCAAACTAGACTAGTGAGCTGTTAGTAAATAAACATCCTTGGGGAACTACTTAAATATCTGAGAAGAATTCATAATACATGTATCAATTGCTTATTTAAATTTGAGTTCTTGAGTTTTTGAGACTCATTTCTATATTAAGTAGGTTAAACATTCCCCTTATAACCTTTATTATACCTATTCTTTTACACAGTAAGCTTTTATTGTACATAAGGATAAATATTCAATTGGCCCTTAGCCAAGTTACAGCTAAATGCAAAATTAGCAGGAATTGGATTAATCAGGTTTTACTACACAGTATACAGAAATAGTGATAGACAAACTTACTATTTTCAAAATCAGGAATTAGTTACATATTTTAGAAGAGAATATGTAAACATATGGTTTACATAAAGTTGAAAGGAAATCTAAAATGTCAGTTTGTTCATCTTCCAACTATACACAAGTAAACCTAGACAGATTATACAATTCTGGGCTGTTAGATCTATAGGGGACTTCAGAGATTTTGTCCAGGGCAAAAATGGCAGCAGAGCATAGTTAACTGAGTTCCAGAGAGGATACAGCTTGGCCATGAGAGACGTGATTCTAGGTCCCAGAGCCCCTCACTCTAAGCTTACAATAGGTCCACCATCCATCTGCTTATTCTAGGTAATACATGCAATGTGGACACCCAGAAAAGGTAGACGGCTTCTATATGTAACCTGGTCCAGTATCTAGTTACCCAAACTGACACGTTCAGACCCTTGATGTCACTTAAGGCCGTTTACTCAAAATCATTCACGGTGAAGAAGAATAGTGCACAGTTGTATAAGTTAGCCAAGTTGTGGTTGCCAGAATGGGATACAACATTGTTGTCTGTGTCAGACAAGTGTTATGCATGAAGGGGAGCATTTTCCAATAGACAGGAGGAAAATTAAAACATGCAACAGCCTACAAATTCCTTTGAAATCAGGAGACTTGTGCATCTTTTGCATCCTCTGCACTCAGCTCAACACCTGACACCCAATGGGCCATCAAAAAGTCACAAATTCTTTTGAATGAGTCATGTAATTTAAACACTTGGTTTTCTGGCATTTTTATAAAAGATAATTGTGATTAGGATTCAAGTGTAATTTTTCTTTCATGTTTACCAAAGTCAAGAAACCTTGGCAGAAGAATGTAATGAATTCTTGTTCTCTGATGTAAAATAAGGATCTTATTTGGTAACTACCTGCCAAGTTCAGAGTTAAGAGTGCCTTCCAGGGTGACTTTGAAAGTAAGTTATTGATTTGTATCCAGAGTCCAAATAGGGACTCTTAGAGCTGGAACAAACCTTGGAGATCATGTAGTCCAACCCTCTCATTTTATAATTGAGGAAACAGAGGTCTGGAAAGGTTAAGTAACTGCTGCCTGATCACATAATTAAGTTTCTTTAGTTACTGTGCTTTGCTGAAATCTGGAAAACACCACATGCATATTTTTGCTTTTCAAGTTCCTGACATTTTCTGTTGTGTACACTCAGGGTATTTTTAAATACTGATAAGCATGTGAATGCAAACCTCATGTAGTCAAATCTGGCAGTGTGGTCAGTCTTCAGTGAAATCTATTACACTGCCTTGCTTGATACCTTTCTGTTCAGCTCTTTTTGATGTGTGGTGTTTAGACAAAAGGTAACAAAATATTCAATGCAGTAAAAATCTTCCTTTCTTTCACATTCACATGACTTCAAAAATATCTCTAAAGTCATCAATTGTTATTACAAAAAAAAAAATTGCTTCTGAACTGAGACCAAGGTGAAAAAACTCTGTCCCAGGGGAGTTTTAGAGAGCTATAACCATGCAAAAGTAGGTAGTTACAGAAAATATTATGCAAACTTAACTGTAGCATTATAATGGAAACTGCATAAATAATATGTGGATGGCTAGGTAAGAAAGATAAAACCATTGAAATACATACTTTTTACTCTACAGTTTTACAGTACGTTTACAATGCACCACAATTTGAACAGAAAGTTGACAAACTCTGAACCTGTTTTAGGCAAAGTGATTTATCGCATGAGGCACTGGGCTGGCGCAAGAATCCTAACCATCATTCCTTGTTCTTCCTCTGAGTTACATTATGGCCCTGGTCTCTATGCCTCGATTTTCCCACTGTACATCTCTCTGCAGTCAAGTGGATTATGGAAAATCATCGTAAAGTGACATTTACTAAGCTGCAGGGAACAAACACTTACTATTCAGAGCCTCCTAAAGTCATGGCAGGCTAACTTTTGCCTCCTCTGAGGTTTTGCTTAGAGTCATCTCTGACTATACTTCTTTGCTAATAGTTAAGGAGTGAATGTGAAGTTTCTTCTGAATTTGGGAGACAAACACTTTTGAAAATATATACATGCTGGGCAGGTGGTATGCACCCATAGTCTCAGCTACTTAGCTACTTAAGAAGCTGAGGCAGAAGGATCACTTGAGCCAGGAAGTTTGAGGCCAACCTGGGCAACATAGTGAGACCCGCCCCCCATCTCAAAATAAGTAAATACATTAATAAAAATAGGAGTATACATATTGTTAAACTCTGAACCAATAGCAGTTGTTGAGTTACTTGCCTCAAGACCAAGTCTGAGCTGTATTGATATGTACGTTAAGGATGGCATTGTCTGTTTGCTTAACCAGCCATGCAAGAATGATATTGGATCATGTAATGGGCTGAGTTGTGTCCTCTCAGATTCATTTGCTGAAGTCCTACTCCCCAGTTTCTCAAAATGTGACAGTATTTGGAGATAGGGTCATTTTAAGTTAAAATGAGGGCATTAGGGTAGGCCCTAACTGAAGATGACTATTATCTATATAAGAAGAGGAAATTTGGACCACAGGAAGATGCCAGGAATGAGTGCTGACAGAGGGAAGACTGTTCAAGGACACAGTGAGAAACTGGCTGCCTGTAAGCCAAGAAGAGAGGCACAGGAGAAACCAACCCTGCAGATACCTTGATCTTGGACTTCCAGCCTCCAGAACTGTAAGAAAATTAATGTATGTTGTTTGAGCCACCCAGTCTGTGGTATTTTGTTATGGCAGCCCTAGAAAACTAATACAGATCACTTCGAATATTTTACCTTTTGTAACCAGCTATAACTGATTTAACTGATTTTTTTTTTTTTTTTTGAGACAGAGTCTTGCTCTGCCGCCCGGGCTGGAGTGCAATGGCATGATCTCGGCTCACAGCAAGCTCTGCCTCCCGGGTTCATGCCATTCTTCTGCTTCAGCCTCCTGAGTAGCTGGGACTACAGATGCCCACCACCACACCCAGCTAATTTTTTTGTATTTTTAGTAGAGACAGGTTTCACCGTGTTAGCCAGGATGGTCTCGATCTCCTGACCTCATGATCCACCCACTTCAGCCTCCCAAAGTGCTGGGATTATAGGCGTGAGCCACTGCGCCCAGCCCTATAACTGATCTTTATCATTACAAAATCAGAAGTTAGCACTAGAAGTGACCATTTTTCCTCCAGTGTCTCCTGAAACCTTCTGGATAAAGTCCAAGCTTCTTACCATGGTACACAGGTCTATACAGCTCTTTCTTCTGCAAGCTTGTTTCTCCACACTTCTGCCCTACACTCTGGCTCAAGCCAGATACAACCACAGTCAGGTGCTACATAATGACATTTCAGTCAACGACAGGCCACATATATGATGGTGGTTCCACAAGATTGTAACGCCACATTTTTCATGTTTTTACTGTACCTTTTCTGTGTTTAGATATGGTTAGATACACAACCAATTACCATTGTGTTACAGTTGCCTATAGTATTCAGTACAGTAACATGCTGTACAGGTTTGTAGCCTAGCAGCAATAGACCCCAGGTGTGTAATAGGATATTAGGCTTGTGTGAATATGATGTTCACACAATGATGAAATCACTTAACACATTTCTTAGAATGAATCTTTGTCATTAAGCAAGTTTTCACTTAAAACCATGCTTCCTTCTCCTCTGACCCAAGGTGGTGCTCTCTCTGCCTGGGCTGTCTTCACCTCACTATGAATGCTTAAGTTCTCGGGTTGTGTGTCAGCCCCAGCAGGAAGCCTTACTTCATCTGGACTGAGTGGCATGTGGTGCTTTGTGCTCCCACAGCGTGGTCGCCTATGCCTACTGCAAACGACACTGTCTTTGCCCATCTGCATTTCTTTCCTCTCCATTCTGAAGGAAAGAGATTGGCTTTTGTTCAGTAGCGTGTCCCTACTTGCTGATACAGAACCCAGCACCCAGTAGATGTTCAGTTAGTTAAATCTAAGCATGAGCAAATTTGTGCAAAATATTCCTTTAAAATATCAATTGAGAGCCAAACCCATCTAAGACACTGAGAGGACAGAGACATGTTCGAACCAAATTATCAGTTTCATTAGTTTGCTAGAGTTGCCAGTACCACACACTGGGTGGCTTCAACAAGAGCAATTTATTCCCTCATAAGGAGGCTAGAAGTCCAAAGTCAAGGTGATGGGATGGTTTCTTCTGAGGCCTTGCAATGGTCTGAATGTTAGTCCTCCAGAATTCATGTGTTGAAACATAATCTCTGCTGTGGTAGTAAGAGGATGGGGCCTTTAGGGAAGTGATGAAGTCATGATGACATCACCCCCATGAATGGATTATTGCCTCCCAAAGGGCTGGAAGGAACTAGCTTAGGCCTTTCCCTTTGCTCTTCTGTGTTTTCACCATGGGAGGACACAGTGTTCCCTTTTGCCTTTCTGTCCCTTCTGCCATGTGAGGATACCTAGATGGTGCCGTCTAATGAGTAATGGCCGTTCACCAACACTGACATTGTGAGTGCCTTGATCTTGGACTTTCCAGCCTCTGGAACTGTGAACAAATACATTTATGTATAAATTACCCAGTCTCAGGTATTTTGTTATAGCAGCACAAACAGACTAAGATTGGCATCTCCCCTTTGCTGGTAGATGGTTATCTTCTTATAAGAACACCAGTCATATCACATTGGCGCCCACTCTAATCACCTCATTTTAACTTAACCTCTGTAAAGACTCTGCTCTAAATGTAGTCACATTCTGAGATACTGGGAGTTAGGACTTCAACGTATGAAGTGGACACAGAATTCAGTCTCTGATCATTAGTCATGAGCACTGGCTTCATAGGTATTTACCACCTTTGTGTATCCCTAGACTGGACGTAGACTGCTACATTGCCGTCCAGAAGGTTATTAGCCGTAAAGATTCTGTAATAAGGGTACATTTTTGTCAAGAAAGGAGCATTTTGTAGTTTGTTGTTTTCAGAGGTTGGAGTAGGCTATTATATTGGGAATTCTACAGCCCCAAGAATAAAGTCCTGGAAGACTGATGTTATGAAATTACTGCAGAATTCATTGCTGAAGCTGGACACAGTGGTTTAAATCTCTAATCTCAGCACTTTGAGAGGCTTAGGTGGGAGGATCGCTTGAGCCAAGGCCTGGGTGACAGAACAAGACGCCATTTCTAAAAATAAAAATTTTTTAAAGAATTCATTGTGAACATTACTGTCTTCACTGGAAATTCCTGTTCTGAAATGGCCAGTACTTGGTTAACCCAGGAAATTCAATGGTCACATGTCCAGTTCCTACCCAGGAGATGAAAACATTGGATCGGAAGGTTTTCTTCCTGTCTTCACTGCTCATTGGACTTTCAGGACTGGAAGAGGTCTGTGGATCACGATGAAGTCTTGTTGTCTTTTAGCTTCAGATTGGACACAGAGGTTTTAGGCTGCCACGTCTTAAAGGGGCACTAAAGGGTCCACCCGGGCTCAGCCTTGGTCACTCCCTGTACATAATTGAAATCGCTGCCCACAGAAGTCAGTGAGGTTGTGCGGAAGAGGCTGTGTAAATGACTCTGACTGTTGCTATAACAACAGTACCTTGGTCTAATTTCTTTTGAAAAATGAATTTCAGCTGGTGGGATGAAGCCGAGCCGCTTTGCCCCACAGATGAAAGCTCTGCCGCCAGGCTCCAGAGCTCTGCTGTTTACGGGCTGAATGTGTGGTGTGTACCTCCGCCTGGCTGAAAATTTTCAGAGCGGCTCAAATGACTTCCATGTTTGCCTGTATGTGAGAACGTGCCTGTCTGTCTGTGGGTATCTTCTTCATCCATGGGGGATTCATCCCGGAGAGAAAAATTCTCTCCTCCTGCCTTGGTTTCTGTTTATTAACAAAGTTACTCAAAAGACATGCAAATAATGACAGTTCCGTAATTGGTCAATGAAGGCAAGTCCCTAAGCCCCCTCAGGTTTGGAGTAAAAATCTGTTGTGAAATGGAGGATGGAGGCCTGGGAGTCAGATGCTGTCTAGAAATAAGAATTATGTCCTGTTTGCTCGCTCATTGAGACGTGTGTGTGTGTGTGCGTGTGTGTGTGCGTGTGTGTGCGTGTGCGTGCGCGCCTGCGTGTGTGTCCAGGGGAAGGAGAGAAGGAGAGAATGAGAGAAACTGGAAATTCTCTTCCAGGAGGGTAGCTCTTAGCTGCCTGGGAGTACTGCTTTATGCAAACTGCATCTCACAAGAAAGAGCAGTGTCTGGCCTCTTTGAGGGAAACACGAGGCTTTTTATCGAGTAAGAGATCTTATTTCAATACTTTTGTTTTCCAAAGGGAGATAAACATGTGATGGGATTTTATTCAAAAGCAGTCTCAGGTCTGGGCACCCTGGCTGTTCGCATCCTGCTAGGCTGGTGCACGACTTCAGTGCTGTTGAGGAAAACAGTCTTTTGGAAGGGCTGAAAACAAAAATGAGAATTCCTTATTGAAAAGAAAGGACATTTTAAGTAAACAATGAAATAAAAAGATTGTTGAATCCTCCCCAAGGGAGAGAAAAATACTCAGCCTCCCTGAAATATTGCTCCTTCCCGCCTCCCTCCTTCCAGAAAATAAACAAATCGAAACCTCACGCTTAGTTCTAACATGCCTATTCTTTGGTCTGTGTTGTTGGTGTAAGTCTCCAGCTGTGAATGATGCAGATAAGATCTGATCTTTTCATTTGCCATCCTCCTCCCTTATGGGGAGGAAAGCCTTCCCTTCTTCCTCACCAACCTCCTTTACCGGCATTTCTTTACAGCTCTAAATAAAATCCCATTAGGAATTTCAGATTGTAAGGCAAGGTCATGTATACAAGCATGTTTGAATAGAAAATGTATTCATGACTTCTAGTGGGAGATTATCAGGAGATATTCCTAAGGATATTGTTTCTTGTCCTTAAAAATAAATGTAATGTTATATGTGTGTGTATTTATGTATATGAAACAACAGAGCAGTACAGGGTTCAGATTGTGGAATGCTGATGGCAACTACCAGTCTCAGTGGAGCTTTTTCCTACAGAAAGCTACTGAGTGAAGGAAGCTACCGCTGGGATGCACACATTTGCTCTCTTCTGAAGTTTTCAGGGCTGCAGCCATCATCACTTCTCAAACACATGCTAAATTTGCAGAGTGACATCTTTCCTTGTAGAGGAAGCACAAGGCTTTTCTGTGAATCAGCCAGATCTGACTCAAAGACATGAACACATCCCCTTTAGAGCGTCATGACACAGGTGTCTAAAACACTTTCCCAGAATTTCTAAGCAGGTTTGCTGCAGTTTGATTGGGACAGAAGTCATCAGATGCAAAATAGCAGAGTAGGTGAGAGCATAGATTTGAGAGGCAGGCATAACTGAGTAGGGCTGTGCTGTGTGCCCTAGGACAAACTACCTGTCCTCTCTGAACCCATTCCTGTCCTTTAAGTTATTGTGAGGGTTAATCGAGGTAAGATATGTAAAGCACTTAGCTCAATGCCTGGCTGGTTAGCTCTCAGTCAATTAGAATATTGTATGACAATAATATATTGAAACATTTAGTAAGCAGTGAGTCAACTTCTGTGATAAAAACTTAGAAGTTTAGAGCATTCTACTGAAAACTACGTGAGATTTGAAAATCATATGGCCTTAGCATTTGCAAAGATAACAGTCTTGCTTTTAATGAGTAGTTGATAATTTTGTTAACACCAGTTTAAACTGCACGTATAGAGTTTGTGAAAAACTTTATAACTTCGGATACAGAGACTACACAGGATTCCTGTGACTTGTGATGAAAATATAATTTATTCATTCCACTGGGAGAAAGCCAGGAGCCTGTAAAAACATTTATGTATTTGGAAATTTGGAGATTTGAGGGGATCTTGGAACTTAGAGTTTCTAAATGTGGAGGACTTCAGCTGCCACTGCTCCTGATGTTTTACGATCCATTCCCAATATGTTGTTGTGCATTCAGTTGGTACTTATTACATGTTTAAGCATAATTAAAGGATAAAAACATACCTAAAGATTCAGCCACACCCCCAAAAAAGATTTAAAATATTTTTAAAGAGTCATTAAATCAGGATGTTGCTTTAGCACTTACAGCTGGAATTGGATGGGTGCTCATGTTCCAAACATTGAAAAGAGGCACCATCAGCCTTATGTACTTCCAAGACTTTTTGGGAATAGAGTTTTAAATGTGAACCATAGCAGAAAGAAAAAAGATCATGGTCATTTCTAAAAATAACCTCAAAGTACCTTAAAATGTTTTGAGTGGTTCTGTCCCCTGGGCTGGGGGCTCCGCGGTGCCCCCGTAGTCCCTTGGGACTCTGCAGCTATTATTTCAGATGCCCACTAAGAGGGTGAGGCCCCTTTAAAGAGGATCCTTTTCTTCCTGGAGGATTTCAGAATGGAGATTTTTAACTGCTTACGGCTGACACCCCCTCCAGAGATCCAGCATTTCCCACTGAACAGGTACAGGGAAGCCGCATTCTGGGATGGTCGAAAGCAGAGGTTTTAAACACTTGGCTCTTATGGCAATATTATATGTGATATATACAGATTATATACATAATTTTAAAATTCAAATTCATTTACTCATAGAGAGTAAAGTTGTTTTCTGTCTAAGTAATGTTAGGAGTCTATAAGATTACCAAGGGAGGCTTCGGGAGTTGTAATAAGATTTTTCTTTTTCTTTTCCTGTTAGTCTGCCCTGCACATAGATCTCTCTAAAACAAATGTATCCAACTTTTTTCAACATATGTGTGGCATGTGGTCACTTTTTGGCATAGACTTTGCTCTGGGGAGTGAGTTGAGCCTTTGGCACCTGGCGCAGAGCCCGACACGCAGACACAGAGCACCCCTCAGTTCACTGAATGAAAGTGAAGGGAAATATATAATGTGGAGGGGGAAATGGTCAGGGATATTACTGTGCTCAGAGAAACCTAAAATGTTTTTAAAAATACACATTTTTATGAAAAATATTCTAGAAATCCAGCAAGCTTCTGCAGAATTCAGAATCCTCTAAGGTTTCAAAAAGCCCCATCTAGAGCACTGTTTCTTAGTTCTGTTTATGAGAGCCCCCAGAGTATCACCAATCAACTCAGGAACATTTTGTAGTGACATTGGATTTGTATGTGTATGCATACTTAAAAAAATCACACCACCAACCTCACAGTGTCAGAATCCAACAGAATTATTAATCTAGATCAGAATTTCTAAAACCTGGGGAATCCTAGGCCAACAGCCCCGGAAGAATCAGGTTTTTATTCAGTTTCTTTAGATACCTGTGCCCCCACCTTGTGTCCCAATCTGGGCTACTTAATTAGAAACTATGAAGGTGGGATCAAGAAATCTGCATTTTTAACAGGTTCTCAGGTCACTAGTTACATTAAAGTTGGAAAATTACTAAAGAAAATCAAACCTCTAAATAACGCTCAAGATCCTTTCTAAGGGCACTTAAATCTAGAAGACAGTTCTGGAAATGTTTTGCGCACTCTTCCTATTCTACTCATTAAAATATCTAGCACATGAGTATTCTGGGTCATTCATTACATAAGCAGGTCAAATTCATCCATGTGTTCATAGGCTTATTACCTGCTGGTAGAATGGAAAGAGAATAAGCATGTGATAATTGATTCCAGTGAATCATCTTCTAGTTTGACCAGAACAGATCAAAATGACCAAAATGTTCTCTTTGAGCCTCTAAACTAGTTATAGCATCTGCAAGCTAAGACTCTCTTATCTTCAAGCCTTGGGAAAGACTTGTGTCTCTACCAGCTGGTGAAGGAAGCTCACTCACACTTTTGGTTGAAGAGGCTGCTATAGTGGGTGAGAACCACTTGAAGCCTTTGTATGGAAATTTAAAATTCAAGTCTGAAAATAAGCAGCGTTTGGGGTTTACATTCATGTGAAAACATGTGACCATGGTAATGTCGCTTAAAGTCTCTGGATTTCAGTTTCAGTTTTCTTTTCCACAAATCACTTCGTATGTTCTCTAGTGGTTCTCATCAGGGATTCCCTGGACCCTTAGAGTCCTCAAAAATATTAAGGAGATAGTCCATTTTCAGTATTTTAAACTAACCAACAGAAATTATACGTTTATTCTGAGAACACTATGCAGTCCAACATTTTCAAGAGCCTGCTTTGGGGATCAATTACACTAACTCATTGTGGTTATTTGAGAGCTCTTTTTAGCATTCATTCATTCATCCATGAAGGAAAATAGTTATAGTGTGATATGAATTAGAATGTCATGGAGGGTCTCTTAACCAACATCAGGAGTTGTAGGAAATGGCTGTCAAGAGAGACTGTGGAGTAGGTAATGTCTAAACTGAATTGTAAAGGACACATAGAATTGGTCAGGTGAAGAAGTTGGTTAAGTGTAAAATATGCAAAGGCTCAGAAAGAGAGAAAACAAATGTGGTATGTCCTGGGAACTGCAAATAATTAAGCATAGCTGAAAGTTTGGAGTTGAGTGGGGTTGCGGGGTAAGTCGGGGAAGATGAGAGGTAATGGCTAAGCCTGGAGAGTTTAGCTGGGATGAGGATCCAGTCAGAAGGCCTGTGTGCCAGACCTGAATGATGCTGAAGATGGTGGACAGCTTTAGAAAAGCTTAAAGTGAAGAACGGGCATGATCAGATTCACAATGTATGGAGAAAACCACAGCCACGATGCAGAGAATGGGTTGGAGGTGGCGAGACTGAGGCTGGTCAGGAGCTGCTACAGAAATTCATGAGAGACATATTGAGACTCTGAATGGGGTAGTGGCATTGTGGGCGGAAGATGAGACTAAAATTCATAGAATGGATAGTTCTTGAGGTTTAATTGGGTATGGTTGGTGGGGAAATGCTGGAACCAAGGAAGATCCCCGAAAGCACAATCTGAGAAAGCATATCACAGGTGGCATCAGAACCCCATGCCTTTGATGAGGGCATGACTGTGCTTCGTCCAGTCCTGGATGAGGGTGCAGTGTGGCTTATGGAGGAGTCAGACCTGAGTTTGAATTTGAATCTGGGTTTAGCCATCTTCTGCCCAGCCCCCTGAGTTCTGTAATTTCAGACACACTGCTTAACCCACGATGCCTCTGCAAGATGATTGTAATAAAACCTATCTTTTAGAATCATTGGGAGCAGGAGAGAAGGAATATGGTGGTTTACTAGAGTTGGACATTAGAAATTGGATGTCTTCCATCTTAGAATCTTCATTATTAATAGTAGCATCACTATCTTTATTCCCAAGCTCTGTGATCCTGCCCAACTTCGTGCAAAATCAGGGACAGGACAGTAAGAGTTTATCTGACTTGCCAGCACTGCTAAAAGTCTAATGGAATAAAAGACCTCTTTGTCATGGACACTCTGGCCCATGGAACACCTCAAGAATCTGCTAGGATTGGGGGCCCCCGTGTCAGCAGAGGCCTGGTAATCTTAGCCATGCTCCTCCTTGCTGTGGGTGTCATGCACCCTCGCCCACCACACCCTCTCCAAAACACTGCCCCTTTCCCTGTAGAACCATCCAGCCAGCACATAGCCTTCCCCACAGGTTTGTGGTGAGGATAAAATATGATTCTGTGTGAAAGTTCTTTGTAATTCCAAAGGCACAGCTATTCTTATTACTACTGGTTTGGACATAATGCACAACCCTCCCACTCCCCATTCTGTCTCTCTCTGCCTCTCAGTTTCACTGTCTGTCTTTCTCTCTCTCTCTCACACACACACACCACATACCACACACACACACACACACACACACCAGTTTCACAGAAACAAGCCATCAAGCCACACTAAATGAGGGACTTGCGCTGGAGCCATTATGGAAGATGAATTGTTTCCTTCAGAGTAATTGACACATGATAGCAGCCCATATTGTCATAGGCATTGGATGAACAGCATACTTCAGCTCCTGGCACCACAGCTTCACCTAATGGGAGAAAACATTTATATGTAATAATAGTAATACAAGAGCAAGGAGGCTGATGCTCAGGAAAGAGTTTCTGTGATTCTTCCACGAGGGTGCAGTCATACTAAGAGGCTTCGGGCTTTGCGAGGCAGAAGGGCCAGGGACTTCCTAAGATAAGGCTATTTGGGATGAGACTCTGCCCTGAGTCTTGAGGAGAGGAAAGTCACAGGGACATTTCCCTGTGCGCAGCCAGGCATTCCCATGTTCTCTGAGCAGGGAGCTTGTGAATCAGCCTTCTCAGCCACATAGCTGGCTCTGTGTCTCCCTCTCCGCCTCCCTCTGTCTCCCATGAGGAACATAAAGAGAATTAGACTCCCAGACCACCTTTCCATATAGCAAAGGATGATGAGGCAGACAGAAGGGATGCTAAGATTGCTCTGCTATTTTGGACATAACAAAACAAAACATAAAAATTATAGCACAGCATCTTCGATAATGTCTTTCTTATATTCCAAAATGCAGATACATGAAATATATAAATCAAGATTTGGGTTAAAGGGGCATGCAGTGGAGAACTTTAGGCCCTGGAGGAAAGGGAACACTCGGAGGCTCCAATCAGGTGGCATGCTGAAAATGTATTTGATTCGAACCTCAACGATCTAGCCTCTGCTGTTCTACAATCTAGGACATGAATGCATTAGCACTTGGACTTGAATTGCAAATTTGATTTTTGTTGTTCATATTAAAAAAGCTACATCAGATGCTTAGAAAACATTAGGGTTTTGCTGGCTAGAGAACAGAAATACCCTACCTATTTGTGTTTTGAAGATCCAGTAAGCATTCCTTCTCAGTTGCAGTTGTAACTATTTGTATCACTGAATTTTGAAAATGGTAAAGCTAAGACTTAGTGGGTGTTTACTGGTATCAGGTGTGAGGCTAAGTGCTCCCTACATTATTTCATTTAACCTCAGACTCACGGTAACTCTGTGAGCTAGATATTATTGACCCACTTTGCAGGTAAGGAAACCAAGGCTTAGGAGAGGTTAAATAAGTTTTCCAGGATTCATTTATTCAACATGTATTTATTGTCTATTCTGAGCTACTGGAAACAAAATGGAAGAACCCCTGCCTTCATGTAACTTATATTCTAATGGAAGGTATCATAGCCAACATTTCTTAAGAACCAGACAATATTGATATGTATTAGCTCCTAGGTAGGTGATGTTGGATTTGAACTCAAGCTTTCTAACTCCAGAGCCAGTGCTCCTGTTTCTCTAATTCTCACTGTACTGCCTCACCCAGCTGCTCACTCAGCCGTAAGAGGTGAAACTTGGGTTTCCAGCCAGAACTGCCTGACTGTATGGTCTTGGCCACCACCATTTTACAGAGAAACAAATGGACCAGCTTCGTTTCCTTCTCTGTCCTGCTCCATTCATTGCATGACCTGGAACAGAGTCATGGACTTGGACTTTCTAAAATCGAGTCAGTTCATTGTTAAGACAAATGCTTATGTTTTGAAGGTTAACATCACTCCAGGAGGTGCCAAAAGCCCTAACCTTCATTTCCTTTAAGTCCTAAAGCTGTGATATTTGATCTTGCTGCTATGTTTGGAGCTATGTTCAAGTATCTTCCATACTTCTGATCAAAACCATGGTATCTTGCCTTGTCCAATAAATAATATCATTTTCTAGCAGTTTCTGTGTAATACAATGAGTTGAGCCAGTATTTTTTTTTCCGTCAAATTCTAACATGTTCCCGTTAGGGCCTTGTGTTCAGCAGTTCGAGGGTCTCTATCAAATGACTATGGGCTGTGTTTGATGTTGTAAAAATATAAGATTTAGGAACAAGGGTTAGACTGGACTTTTACTCAAGGGCCCTTTCTACTCTGTTTACTTTTCTTTCTTTCTTTCTTTCTTTCTTTCTTTCTTTCTTTCTTTCTTTCTTTCTTTTTTAAGATGGAGTCTTGCTCTGTCAGCAGGCTAGAGTGCAGTGGCACGATCTCAGCTCACTGTAGCCCCTGCCTCCCAGGTTCAAGTGATTCTCCTGCCTCAGTCTCCTGAGTAGCTGGGACTATACAGGTGTGTGCCACCACCCCAGCAAAATTTTGTATTTTTAGTAGAGACGGGGTTTCACCGTGTTGGCCAGGATGGTCTCAATCTCTTGACCTCGCGATCTGCCCACCTCAGCCTCCCAAAGTGCTGGGATTACAGGCGTGAGCTACTGTGCCTGGCCATACTTTTCAAATATAATCATCTACTTATGAAAAAGCACCTAGCAGTAAAATGACACTTTGTGAACTTTACCGCATCTGCACATTAGTTTTATTATCCATGGTGCTCCTCTAGAGGCCTGGCAGTTTCACATGTGAGTGTTCAGGTGTCAGGGGCAGAGGGAATCCTCCCCCTCTCTTGCATTGGTTCTGTAATACACGGCACCTTGCCAAGAATAAGAGAGTACCCGAGTGGAAAGACCACTAAGCCTTTTCTCTCCTACCCTGTCATTCTGTCTTCTGCCTGCAACTATGTAAAGTCACTGAAACCCTTCTAACCCCTCCCAGTTGCCCCTCTGTCACTCAGCAAGCATCTCCCCAGTAGCTATTCTATGCCAAGCTCTTTCACCACGGCCACATGCACTGGCCCTTTCTGACAGAAAGGAAAGCAGCACACAGATGAGTTAGGTTTATAATTGATAAATCCATAGAGTTAGCAAGACTTCATAACTGGACTTTTAAAATGAGTCCAGTTAAGTGGATAACACTCTTTAGGGTAAGAGATCTATCACTCCCAAAACCAGGAATGTAGAGGCTGGAATCAGGCATTCCTTATGGTCAATGGGGCTGCCTCCTGCTCAGATTCAAACTCTTCTCTTAGCCCTGTGAATTAGACAATAGAATGATTCATTCCATTTGCAATTGTTTATTAACCCCTGCCATGAACCTGAGGACTGGGTGCAGGCCTGTGGTGCTTACACAGTAAGCACGTCAGCCACGGTTCCTACCTTCTTGGAACTCACCAAACAGACACTTAAGCAGCTGCCCCAAAGTGTGAAAAAGCTATGGTAGTGAAGTACAGACTGCTTGGAAAGACCTATTTCAGGACATCCAACCTAGTATAGTTGGTCAAGGAAGGCACCTAACATATAACTAGGGTGGAGAAGAGTATAAGAGAAGATTTCCTAGAGTAAGTGAAATCTAAGATCTAACCTGAAAAATAAGCAGCTATTACCCAGGGGAAGAGGAGAGGGAGCAGGAGGACGTTCCAAGAAAACAAAACAACATGGACAATGCCCTAGAGGCAGAAGGAAGCTTAGCACCGTAAAGGTGAAAGAATTCTAGGCTCTGAAGAGAAACCGGAGTATCAGCACCTTTAAGGAACTATAAGTCTCAAGAGAGTTTATGGAAAATGTAGGGTAAGGGAGAAGAGGGGAGGAGATGCTGAATAGAGAGGCAAAAAGGTGAGCCTGGAAAGATGAGCAGGAGCCAGGTGGTTTTTGGCAAGAGTCAGTTTGGACTTTTTTTTTTTTTTTTTTTTGAGACGGAGTCTCGCTCTATCACCCAGGCTGGAGTGCAGTGGCACGATCTCGGCTCACTGCAAGCTCCACCTCCCGGGTTCATGCCATTCTCCTGCCTCAGCCTCTCAAGTAGCTGGGACTAAAGGCGCCCGCCACCACGCCCGGCTAATTTTTTGAATTTTTTTTTTAAGCACAGATGGGGTTTCACCGTGTTTGCCAGGGTGGTCTCAATCTCCTGACCGCGTGAGCCACCGCTCCCGGCCCCGATTTGGACTTTAACCTAAAGACAGTGGAAATCATTGCAGAGTTATACACAAGAAAGGCAGTCTATTTTTTTTTTTTTTTTTTGGAAAATGTGGCATTATAAGGAGTAGATTCAGGGAACACAAAACAGTAAATAAAAAAATAGACTAAAGAGCAAATGAATGGAGGCAAAGCGTAAAAGACGAGTTAGAAGATGGCTGCAACAATCTAGTAAGAGATAATGGTATCCTGGCCAAGGACAGTAACAGTAAGGGAGGAAGGAGATGAGGGGGCATATTAGTTATATTTTGGAGGTGGAATCCATAGGACTTGGTGATTGCTGACGTGGGAGGTTTCAAGAAAAATGCTCAAGTATCTGACTTGAATAAATGGATAGATACTGAGATGGGGAACAGTGATGAGGATCTGGTTTGGGTAACAAAGGATAATAAGCTCAGTGTTGAGACATGTTGAGTTTTAGATGTCCATGAAATATCCAGCAGGAGAACATTGGATTTAGTGGAGCTGAGCACTAATCCAATGAGCCTGCTTCAACTATCTTCTCTAGGCTGACGACCCCAAAACAATGTACCCAGCCCAGTTTTGTGAGCCTGGGAAGATGAGCATCTTTTGGGGCCGTCAGCCTAGAGAAGATAGTTGAAGCTGTTGTAATCGATGAAGTTGTCTAAGAAAGAATGTAGAGTGAGCAGAAGGAGAAAAAAAGCTTAAGACAAAACATTGAAGAATCCCATCGTTTAGGAAAAAGAAAGACTACATAAGAGATTGAGAAAGAGCTGGTAAAGGGAGAAAGGAGGAAATTGAGAAGAGTGTGATGTTGTGGAAACCGGTGGAAACGTGCTTTTAGAAAAGAGTGAGCCTATCAAAAGGTTCTGAAAGGTGAGGTCACATAAGAACTTAAAGTAAGTTTGGGATTGCATTAAACATTAACTTTCAATTCTATGCTATTTAGTACATGTGTTAAATTCCATATTCTTAGAAGTTTTTATTTTAGCATTTTTTTTAAATGTTGATTTAATTCCTTGATGTTCTCATTTAAGTTGTGGCAAGAATTTGGGATAGGTATTAACATCGTTTTCAAGTATGTTACATTTTGGTCCAAGTCTCATGTCTAGCATTCATGGTGGCTCACACTTGTAATCCCAGCACTTAGGAAGGCTGAGGCAGGCTGATCACTTGAGGCCAGGAGTTCCAGATCAGCCTAGCCAACAGGGTGAAACCCCATCTCTACAAAAAATACAAAAATTAGCCAGGCATGGTGACGCGTGCCTGTATCCTAGCTACTCTGGAGGCTGAGGCAGCAGAATCGCTTGAACCTGGGAGGTGAAGGTCTCAGTGAACCAAGATAGCACCACTGCACTCCAGCCTGGGCAACAGAGCAAGACTCCATCTCAAAAACAAAAAAAGAAAGAAAATAATAACAGATTATTCTTCCTTGCTGAGAGTATTGCCCTTATTAACTATCTCTTTTCTTTTGTTTCCCACCCTTCAATCTTTTGTTTGTTTTCTATCTCTTAGCCCTGTGAGCTCTGCTTTTAGATAAAACCTTTTCCCATACAATTTGAATTGCAGCGTTGCCTGATTTTGAAATTATAAGTATGACTTCTTTCCTGTGTGTCGTAAACCACTTAAAAGTTAGTTCATCGCAATGCACATCTCAATCCTTAAAGAGTAAAATATGACTTGGAGGTTTAGTCATCCTCTTTCCTGTTTCTTTTCCAGCTACAAGAGACTGTGAAAAGGAAGTTGGAAGGAGCTCGATCACCACTTAATGGAGACCAGCAGAATGGTGCTTGTGATGGGAATTTTTCTCCGACTAGCAAACGAATTCGAAAGGACATTTCTGCGGGGATGGAAGCCATCAACAATTTGCCCAGTAACATGCCACTGCCTTCAGCTTCTCCTCTTCACCAACTTGACCTGAAACCTTCTTTGCCCTTGCAGAACAGTGGAACTCACACTCCTGGGCTTCTAGAAGATCTAAGTAAGAATGGTAGGCTCCCTGAGATTAAACTTCCTGTCAACGGTTGCAGTGACCTGGAGGATAGCTTCACCATCTTGCAGAGCAAAGACCTCAAACAAGAACCTCTCGATGACCCTACTTGCATAGACACATCAGAAACATCTCTTTCAAATCAGAACAAGCTGTTCTCAGACATTAATCTGAATGATCAGGAGTGGCAAGAATTAATAGATGAATTGGCCAACACGGTTCCTGAGGATGACATACAGGACCTGTTCAACGAAGACTTTGAAGAGAAGAAGGAGCCAGAATTCTCGCAGCCAGCAACTGAGACCCCTCTCTCCCAGGAGAGTGCGAGCGTGAAGAGCGACCCCTCTCACTCTCCCTTCGCACATGTCTCCATGGGATCTCCCCAGGCGAGGCCTTCTTCTTCTGGTCCTCCCTTTTCTACTGTCTCCACGGCCACTAGTTTACCTTCTGTTGCCAGCACTCCCGCAGCTCCAAACCCTGCAAGCTCACCAGCAAACTGTGCTGTCCAGTCCCCTCAAACTCCAAACCAAGCCCACACTCCAGGCCAAGCTCCACCTCGGCCTGGAAATGGTTATCTCCTGAATCCGGCAGCAGTGACAGTGGCCGGTTCAGCGTCAGGGCCTGTGGCTGTGCCCAGCTCTGACATGTCTCCAGCAGAACAGCTCAAACAGATGGCTGCACAGCAGCAACAAAGGGCCAAACTCATGCAGCAGAAACAGCAACAGCAACAGCAGCAGCAGCAGCAGCAGCAGCAGCAGCAGCAGCAGCAGCAGCAGCAGCAGCAGCAACAGCACTCAAATCAGACTTCAAATTGGTCTCCCTTAGGACCTCCCTCTAGTCCATATGGAGCAGCTTTTACTGCAGAAAAACCAAATAGCCCAATGATGTACCCCCAAGCCTTTAACAACCAAAACCCTATAGTGCCTCCAATGGCAAACAACCTGCAGAAGACAACAATGAATAACTACCTCCCTCAGAATCACATGAATATGATCAATCAGCAGCCAAATAACTTGGGTACAAACTCCTTAAACAAACAGCACAATATTCTGACTTATGGCAACACTAAACCCCTGACCCACTTCAATGCAGACCTGAGTCAGAGGATGACACCACCAGTGGCCAACCCCAACAAAAACCCCTTGATGCCGTATATCCAGCAGCAGCAACAGCAGCAGCAACAGCAACAGCAGCAGCAGCAGCAGCAGCAGCCGCCACCTCCACAGCTCCAGGCCCCCAGGGCACACCTGAGCGAAGACCAGAAACGCCTGCTTCTCATGAAGCAGAAAGGAGTGATGAATCAGCCCATGGCTTACGCTGCACTTCCATCCCACGGTCAGGTAAGTGTGAAAGTGACACACTCTTCGAGCAGTTCTTGTGGTGCATTTCAGACTGTCGATGTGTGATGTTCTACAAGCTTCCACTGTAGTGGGGTCTAATTGCCTGCAGAAAACCTCTTTACACATCCTCAGGTAGTGGCCAGGTTTGGAGTGTTCTTTTTCCATTTCTCCTAAGAAATGGAAAAGGGTGGCATGATAAACTTTCGTGTATTTCAGTGTCTAGGAATCAAACTTCTTTTATTCCCAACTGCAGATAAGAATTACATAAAATTCTCACTCTGAGGGAGGGAGGCTGCAGAGGTCACTCCACCAAACACGGCACTACCTCTGTAGCTTCTCTCCCAGCTTGCATGATCCCAGGCTCTGGGTGGTGGGAAGCAGGGGACATTCAGGGCTGTCTACAACAGTTTTATAAGGCCCTGAGCAGCCTTCAGCTGTCCTACTGAATTATGAATAATGGGAAATTTGGCTTGTTGATATTCAAATATAGGAGAGCTTTCTGGATTTTCAAAGTGAAGTGGAGGGTAGATTTTTGTAGGACCTTATAATGTTTAAACACTTGCTGCTAGACTAGCAACAGTTAGAAGCTGGTTCAGTCTTCTTACTTGGGAGTGCAATGAAACCTCTCTGATACAATCAGCTCTATTTCAGGAAAATGTGATGGTGAATATATCTTAGTGCTGTATTAAAGTCTCTACTTTCCCACTGTCCTCCTTCATGGGAGGTTGGGCTCTTGGTATGCATGGTAAAAAATGAGCAGCAACCAGTCGGGAAGTGAATAGTCATTGACAAGCTTTTCAGTCTCTTCATCCTGACCAGTGGCAAACAGCCAAAGCTCCTTTAATATAACATTTGTTCTACCCTGAAGGAGAGAGTGGGGAAATGCCCATTAAAGCGACTCCCCCTGCCCTACATGGATGAATTCAAGAGAGATCATCTTACTGCCAGTTGCTGTGCTGTGCCTCAATTCTTCCAGGATGCAGACATGGTCATTTTACTTGGAGAATTTGCAGAAAAGTCTTTGCTTTAGAGGCCCTCATGTCTAAACAGGTTCTAACTAGTGCTTGGGTAGGTGTCCACAGTTGAGTACTTTAGAAGCACTGGGAAATAACGCAGGCAGATCTTGCCTCACTTGGTTATTTGCATCTTGTAGCTCCTGGAGTGCCCCACCCCACCCCCGAAACCCCAAGCTTGATGGAGCTGCAGGGCTGGAGGTGGTGCTGGCCTGCAGAGACAGGCCTGAGCTCTGTGGCTTCATTCTTGTCCTCAGCCTTACAACCCCCAAACCTCACAGTGGCTTCTTGTCTGCACATGCCAGCCGGCTCTAAAGATTCCGTCTGGATAAATAAAAGTATAACTTGGTTTACATTGACTGCAATCAGTAGCTACTAGAAAAATATCATTGAAATGTGAACTTCTATATATTATCTTAGTTTCATTAAGAATATATACCATTGGGGAGATAACAGCATTTTATATACTCCAGATTAAGTTCTGAAGCAGGCAGAAATATAGGCAATATACATGAATGTTTGTAGTAGCCCAGGCGTGTCAGAAGGTTTATGAGATCACAAGCTGTCAGAATGGTCTGTTGTTAATACAAATTGTGCTTCTACATTCGCTGTTCTTACACTAGCTACAGTAGAGTATTTCCTTCAAGCCAGACCAAAGATGAATAATTAATTCCAGTTCACAGGCTCTGCAGACATGTGAGTGCAATGATGCACCTATCCTCACCCCCACTAAATGTCTTTCAAAATGTGCCAACTTGGGACAAGTTCCTGTCTTTGCGGGAACATGAGTTTTAAGGGTACTTCTTTGAGGTCCTTATGCCTGCCTAACTATGTGTCACTGAAGCTGGTAGCTGCAGAGGTCATGTTTTGAAAGAGCTCAGTCAGCTGAAGAAGCAAAGTGATGTTTTTCTGGATTAAATCTGTGTGCTCCTCCTCTCTTCTCTCGTCTCACGAAGTATTTTCAGTGTGGACAGAATGTTCTTTTGTGAGTCCTCATTAGAATAATCACTTCTTAACCTCACAAAATCTCATCAGGTAAAAGCGTGCTTTTTAATGAAATATTAACTCACCACTGTTTGAAACGAGCTTCAAAATACATATATAAACATGTGAATGTCTTTCTGCAAACATATCATTTATTTCTTGTTTTTATCTGATTGTGAAGCAGTATTTACATAGTTCTCAGAATAGTTCATTACATTATATGCGGGTACATTCCACAAATACGAGCACGAATTACAGGTACGATATAAAATATAATTATACATAGGTTTAGTTCAGTTTCGTTTTCTGCTATTGCTAGTGAAAACTCACTTTATTCTTTGTTGATCACAATGACCATGATCAACATTTCGTTTTAATGAATGACTTCAGCAGCAAAGCCTTTTAGGCACGTTTATTTCAAGAAAATTGTCTTTTACAGATGTTTACTTATTTGGAACATTTGTATAAAATGCCATCTCAGAAATGAATAGGAATGCGCTTACTTCCTGTATATTTCAAAAAACAGGGAAACAAAAATAGAAACAAAAGATATTTCAAAATTTTGAATGTGTTTTATCTAGTAATTGCATTTCTCAGAATTTACATATTATTCTTTTTGATCAGATGGTTGAACAAAGATTATGCTCATGGTGTTACTTATGATAGTGAAAACTTTGATCCAAAAATAAGTATTTTGGAAAAATAAATACGTACATGACATTCATGATATAAATGAATGACTAATCATATGGAAATGCTCATAATATGAATAAAATAGATCATAAAACAATTATATGTTACAATCCAAATTGTGACTTTTAATATGTGTAGAAAAATACTGAATAACTAAAATGTTATTTTAGGAATTCTAAATACTGAATTCCTAAAATGTTAGGAATGATATTTATTTCTGGCTGGAAAAATTATGAGTGATTATTGTTTTCCTCTTTATATTTAACTGAATTTTCTAAACTTTCTATCATACATGTGTATTAATTCTACCCTCTGGGAAAATACTTTTTTAAGGAAGGGAAACTCCCTACTTAAAAAAGTTTACCCTTCGTTAATTCTTTTTTTAAAAAAATTCTTAGTTGAATTGATTTGCCAGTTGGATTGAGACAATATCATTATTTGCTATTCATTGACATATATTAGTTGTGAATCCCTGCTTTAGTGAGTAGTCCTAAAACCTGCCTCCCACACTCAGTTTCTTTTCCATTCTGTCTCCTAATCCCTTTACCATGTTCTCATTCCTAGAAAATTTTAGCTAAATTAGTGACAGTGAAAGTAGCAATAACATTTTTTACCATTAAAAGTTTTTGAATCTTCTCTGAGATATGTTCTTATATTATTTCTTTGTTCTTATATTATTTCTTTATTCCCTTTACTTTTTTTCTCTTTCTTTTTTTTTTTTTTTTTTTTTTTTTGAGACGGAGTCTTGCCCTGTCGCCCAGGCTGGAGTGCAGTGGCGCGATCTCTGCTCACTGCAAACTCCACCTCCCGGGTTCACGCCATTCTCCTGCCTCAGCCTCCCGAGTAGCTGGGACTACAGGCGCCTGCCGGCACGCCTGGCTAATTTTTTTTTTTTTTTTGTATGTTTAGTAGAGACAGGGTTTCACCGTGTTAGCCAGGATGGTCTCGATCTCCTGACCTCGTGATCCGCCCGCCTCAGCCTCCCAAATTACTGGGATTACAGGTGTGAGCCACGGCGCCCGGCCTACTTTTTTTTTTGTTTTAAAACCTTCTGGAACTTCTATTCATCATGGACTAAACCTCCCAGATTGTCTCTAATTTTCTTCTTACCAGCTTCACTTTTTAAACATTAATACATAATATTTACACATATTTATGGGGTACATGTGATATTTTGTTACAGGCATAGAATATGTAATGATCAAGTCAGGGTATTTAGGGCATCCATCACTGTATTTATTCTTTCTTTCTTTCTTTTTTTGAGAAAGAGTCTCACTTTGTTGCCCAGACTGGAGTGTAGTGGCACTATCATAGCTCACTGCAGCTTTGAATTCCTGGACTCAAGCCATCTTCCCACCTCATACCCCAAGCAGCTGGGACTACAGGCATGTGCCACCATACCTGGCTAATTTTTTTTTTTTAATTTTCAGTAGAGACAAGGTCTCACTATGTTGCCCAGTCTAGTGTCCAACCACTGAACTGAAGCGATCTTCCTGCCTTGGCTTCCCATAGTGCTGGGATTACAGGCGTGAGCCACCGCACCCGGCCTGAGTATTTATTATTTCTATGTGATGGGAACGTTTCAAGTCCTCACTTGTAACTATTTGAAATATACACTACATGTTCTCCAATTTTTAAAATATGTGTTTTTGTTATGAAATAGAACTTACTATGGTCACATCTGGTTTTTTTCCGTCCTAATCCTGTTGTTTCTCAAGGGCAGGATCTCTCTCTCTTCTCTCTTACACACACACTTTAGCTGATTTTTGCATAGTGCCTAGCACTGTGTCTTAAACATAAGGATATTCAATAAATCATTTGATGGTGATCATCAAAGTTTGGGTCAAAAATATGATTACAGTTGATTATCAGCTCCAATGGAGAAAGCATTAGCACAAATAACACAGAGCCGCTTTTGAGATCAAATAGAAAAGCTGAAAAGGCAAGTCTAGAATGAATCCTTTGATAGGAGGTGATTATCTTGAACCAGCGGAACAACAGTGAGATTGCTGGGAAGGCAACCACAATCCCTGTGTCTGACAAACAAAAAACAATGGAGCAACTATGAAAGAAGTAAACCAAAAGCAGAGACCACTTGCTGGTCAAGGACGGTCACAGGCCAGCCCAGAGCCCAAGAATAACTCCTGTGGGGAAGAGCAGAAAGGGAATCATTTCCAAAATGTGGTGTTAATTTTTCATACTTGCAGTCTTAGGACTAGATACATCATAGGTGACTCTGCTACTTTATTCTTTACACGTATGTTTTCTACATGTGGCTGTGTGCATCATAATGAGTATATGTGCTCATATTTTACAGAATGTTTTTCACTTTCAATTTTATTTTACCAGAATTTGTGGAATGCCCTGTGTGGTATATTATTATAAGCTTTTTAGTCATAAAATCTCCAGAGAAAGAACAGAGCTGCAAAATTCATAGCCATCATGGAAATCTCTTGGAAGATACATTTTCCTTAACTTTAAGCAGCCAGGCGCCGTGGCTCACGCCTGTAATCCCAGCACTTTAGGAGGCCGAGTCGGGTGGATCACCTGAGGTCAGGAGTTCGAGAGCAGCCTGACCAACATGGTGAAACCCCATCTCTACTAAAAATACAAAAAAATTATATGGGAGTGGTGGCAGGTGCCTGTAATCCCAGCTAATTGGGAGTCTGAGGCAGGAGAATCACTTGAACCTGGGAGGCAGGGGTTTCAGTGACTGCCCATTGCACTCCAGCCTGGGCAACAAGAGCAAAACTCTCAAAAAAAAAAAAAAAAAAAAAGACAAGCAATTATTTAAAAAAAAAAAAACTTTAAGAACCTGGAACCCCTTTTTTCAGTTTCCTTGATGTATATATTATTTACCTTATCCAAGTAATACACATGCACAGCTCAGAAAGTCAAATACTGCTAGGGGGATTTTGATGAGAAACAGTAGTCTCCTGCCTCACCCACGCCACTCTTAATTTCTGCTTGCCAAAGGCAGCCACTTCCATGTTGTCTTCTCATTTATCTCCATAAATTGCATTTCTCAAGTTTTCAGTTACTCAATTCTACAGAAGATGGGGGGTGCAGCTACTTATACTACCTCCTGACAAACATACACAACCCCCCCACACACAGTCTCTCTCTTTCTCTTCCCCATCCTCTCAGTGTAACTAGCTATATTACAAATCATGATTTTAAAAAGTAGCCCATGTTTAAAAGACTAATTTTTGCATAGTGCCTCACAGTTTAGCCATGTAGTATACTATGATTTTGTTTCCTTACTTGTATAGCTTTTTGTTTTCCTTGGAATTTATGATTGCCCTTTTGGGCAGGGTGAGGGGCATGTATTGTCTCTGTACCTACTTTTGATCCATCCTTAAACTTTTCTGACCATGTAAAACATTCAATATGATCAAGCACATCAGATAATATAGTTTTTCTCATGTTTCCTTTTCTTTTCCCTCTCTCCCTCCCTCCGTCTTTCCTTCTCTCCTGAAGTTCTCTGCCCTGTTGGTTCTGTCCACTTCTGTCCTGCAGTTTTCTTGGTCTGCTGCTTAACGGAAGTCTTGCAATCACCCTTCACCATCATTCTTGGAACGTTTCACCACCGTTCTGTGTTGCGTCGTCTGTTTTCTCGATCCCACCTCTTTCTTGAATTATTCCCTCAAATTGGTGGAAGTCCTCATAGTTTCTTACAAAAGGGTAAATGGGAGATTGTTCCTATGGAACCAATTTTTGAGACTGTCTTTATCCTTACATTTGATTAATAGTTTACCTGATGTAGAATTATAGGTTTTGTTGTTGTTGTTGTTGTTTGTTTATTTGTTTGTGTTTTTAAGACAGAGTCTCGCTCCATCGCCCAGGCTGGAGTGCAGTGGCTCGATCTTGGCTCACTGCCACCTCTGCCTCCCAGATTCAAGTGATTCTCCTGCCTCAGGCTCCTGAGTAGCTGGGATTACAGGTGCGTGCCACCACACCCAGCTAATTTTTGTATTTTTAGTAGAGATAGAATTTCACCATATTGGCCAGGATGGTCTCAAACTCCTGACCTCAGATGATCCACCTGCCTCGGCCTCCCAAAGTGCTGGGATTACAGACGTGAGCCACTGTGCCCAGCCTATAGAGTTACAGTTTAGAAAACACATTTAATTAGAATTTTAAAGGCATTTCTTCATGGTCCTCTGACTTCCCTACTATTAAGTCCAGGGCCATTTGGATTCCCCACCCTATGTGTGTAACCTGTTTTTTTTTCACTCTGATAACTTTTCTAATATTCTTTACCCTGAAATTTCATGATGATACACCTTATTGCAGCTCTTTTTCATTCACTGTATCTAGTACTATGCACTTTTTAAAAAAAAAATCTGGAATTGTGTGTCCTTAAGATCTTGGATATGTTCTTAGATTATTTCTTTGGTAATTTCTCTCTTCTTTTTTCTCCTTTTTTAACTTTCTGAAACTTCTGTTTATTATGTATTAAACCTTCTGGATTGTACTCTGATTTTCATATCTTTTCTATTTTTCATGTCTTTGTCCTTTTGCTCTATGCTCTGAGATTTCCTTCATCTTCCAACCCAATTATTAAATATTTCATTTTATCACATTTTTAATTTCCATAGGCTCTTTCTATACTCTAATTTATCCTTTTCAATCCAAGGCTATTAATTATCATTTTAAAATGAAGCTTTCCAGGCCTGGAGCAGTGGCTCTCACACCTGTAATCCCAGCACTTTGGGAGGCTGAGGCGGGCGGATCACTTGAGTTGAGACCATCCTGGCCAATATGGTGAAACCCCGTCTCTACTAAAAATGCAAAACTTAGCCGAGCGTGGTGATGCATGCCTGTTGTCCCAGCTACTCAGAGGCTGAGGCAGGAGAATCACTTGAACCCAGGAGGCAGAGGTTGCAGTGAGCGGAGATCGCACCACTGCACTGCAGTCTGGGCAACAGAGTGAGACTCCGTTTCAATAAATAAATAAATACAATTAAGCTTTCCTGTGCTTCCTGCTTTGTCTGTTTCTCCTAAGCATATTTTTTCATATGCTTGTTTTTCTTTCTTTCATAAAAGAAGCTTTTCTCAAATATCTGTTTAAGAGAGAGGCAAAATAAAGCTAATTAGTTGCTCTGTGTGCTTAGATGGGGCTTGTAAAGTGTGGTGCTTTGTTATAGGGTGATTCGCCTAGAACCTGCCCATTTCACTGGGTCAATGTTTGTAGATTGTTTTCCCTTAAGCTAGACAGGAAAGACTTCCATCTCATGGCTGAGGGTTGTAAACTTGGATGCTGGCTTTCTGGAGCTGAATAAGGGTAGGGAGGTAAGAAATGGTGGTGATGCTGAGGGGCGTGTCTTACTAAGTTCTATGTAGACTTTCACTTAATCTCCCTGTTTTCATATGGCTCCTCAACCCACTCTGGCTAGGCCTGGGATCCAGGATTCCAGAGTCCTGTGGTTTCATCTCTGCAGAGTAATCCACCCGCCTTCTTCTTGTCTGAGGGAGGGTATCTGGTCCGATTCTTAATTATACAGGATTGCAGCCAGTTTTCCTTTTTGCACTCCCATCTACCCTGGCATTCAGAGGTGCCTCTGGTTCCTAAGTCTTCACAGCGTTGTTTAGCTTGAATCATCTTGCTTGATTTTTGGCTTCTTCTACTGCAGGATTAGATTCAGCTTTCTCTAAGCTGCTAAGTCGTTTACCACTCAGCCAGCTGATTTTCATCTCCCAAAATTTTGTTGACACCCCTCAATTCCTATTGCCATCTCCCATCTTCTTTGTTCTTAAATATTTATGTCATTTTTATTCCTGTATTGTGATTGTACTGGAGCATCGGAGGAAGCCAAGATTAATGTGGGTGTTCATTCTACCAGAGGCTCCTTCAGTGATTTTCAACACTTTTCTGTTGAATATCGAATATTGTCCAAATTGAAATTTATAATTTTACAGCAGAATTCACATTATTGTTTCTAACACTTTTGGCTCCAATAGAGTGGGTTTCACAAAACCAAAAGTGCTCTCTTAACACAAAATTTACACATGTCAAATACATGTATTGAAAAAGACAACAGTGTCAACATGATCATCATGCTATTTTGGAAGAAGATTTTGTGATTATAACTATTGAGTAGTTTTCAGAATCTTGAAATACTGACTTACTTCAAGGACTATGAAAACAGTTTAGGTTCATGACTCTGACTAAGCCAGTAGTACCTGGCCACTCAGGGGCAAGGTGGAATATGGACAGAACACTCCTCACTGACTGAATCCAGGCCTTCCCTGCTGAGGGGAAACCAGCAAGCAGAAGGGCCCCAAAATCCAGATCTTAAGTGCAGTGCCCCTGCTGATGGGTAAAATACCTCATTTCCGTGTACATCCTGGCATATTTTGGAAACTGATATTCTGTCAGAGTTTTAGAAATATGAGGCTAAGAGAAAGCAGCAGAAAAGGAAACATTTTAGGAAAGGAATGAGCTTTCTAGAAGAAAGAGGTTTTTTGTTTGTTTTTTTTTTTTCAATTTTGAGATGGAGTCTCACTCTGTCACCCAGGCTGGAGTGCAGTGGCACGATCTGGGCTCACTGCAACCTCTGTCTTCTGGGTTCAAGCAATTCTCCTGCCTCAGCCTCTTGAGTAGCTGGGACTACAGGCACAGGCCGCCACGCCCAGCCAATTTTTTGTATTTTAGTAGAGATGGGGTTTCACTGTGTTGCCCAGGCTGGTCACAAACTCCTAAGCTCAGGCAATCCACCCACCTCAGCCTCCCAAAGTGCTGGGATTACAGGCGTGAGCCACCACACCCAGCCCGAAAGAGGTTTTAATTGCACTCCTATGAAAATACTCCTTAAAGGTTTTAGGGGATGAGAATATTCTTGTTTGCTGAGAGAGCTGATAACCCATCGAACAGTGGTTCTGAAACATTTATGGGCCTAAGAATCACCTGGGGAAAGCATTCAAGATGCAGGTAATCAATCAGATTCCACTGCCAAAGGCCCAGAATCTGTAGATCTGGGATGAGGCCTGGGAATGTGCATTTTAATGAACATCCCCACCCCCCCGCCCACATCTCCCAACCACTATCACCACCACGACCATTTTCTCCCAACCACTACCACCACCACCATTTTCTTTCTCTTTTTTCTTTTCTTTTCTTTTCTTTTTTTTTTTTTTTCAGTCAGAGCCTCACTTTGTCACCCAGGCTGGAGTGCAGTGGCACAATCTTGGCTCACTGCAACCTCTGCCTCCTGGGCTCAAGCGATTCTTGAGCCTCATCCTCCTGAGTAGCTGAGATTAAAGGCATACACCATGATGCCCCACTAATTTTTGTATTTTTAGTAGACATGGGGTTTCACCATGTTGGCCAGGCTGGTCTCGAACTCCTGACCTCAAGTGACTCATCTGCCTCAGCTTCCCAGATTGCTGGAATTACAAGCGTGAGCCACTGCACCCGGCCACCACTACCATTTTCAAATGGAGAAATAGTACATAAGATAACACTGCGGGCTGGGCGCAAAACAAACAAACAAAAAGCAACATAACACTGAGACTGCAGTTCAAGCAGCCTGTGTTTATTTCATTGCTAAATATTTGTATATGTTTAAATATGGCAGTTATTGTCCTGTTGATTCTCTGAATAGGACAAAGTAGTCTATCCTCCAGTGGTCCCTTCTCCCCAGTCCCAATGTGGTGAAGAGTGGGATTTTTCCTCCAAGAGAGGGTTTGTTATTCATTTTTCTGTCTCAGGATTTAAGGGCACAGTCTTATAGTGCCAGGCTGCTTTCCTTAAGATCTATAGAAAGACAGACCGCAAAGGAATGGATACTACACACATTAAAGGCGACACAAGGCTTATGTAGGGCCTCTTTCGGGCTGTTCTCCTCAGAGCAAGACTGCTCTCAGGCACAGAGGTCAGCCACAACCCTGTGTTCCGTGTTCTGATGCTCAATCACATCAAGGATGGCAGACAAGCAACTTTCCCAGGTGCTCCTGAGCTTCAGGGAGATGTTGCCTCAGCCGGATGCCCAACTTCATTCCATTTCCAGACTCTTAGATTCCCTTCCTTTCAAGGTGCATTCTGCTACACCCTAGGCCCCTACCCAGTGCACTCACAGGTAAGAGAGTAGGCCCAGCTTTATTTTTTCCCAAGAGGAGCCTACTAGCCTAAGGGTTCGACACAGGTGTAGAAAATTGTAAAATGGCCAATCATATCCTCCCTGTGTATATTCACTCCTCAAAGTCATGATATTATGGACCAAAGCAAGATACCAAAACAGTGTAACCTAGAGTGTCCAGCAATGTGCAGTCTGGTCAGGGAGATAAGGGCGATACAAGGGAGCGAGTAGTCAGTGCTACCTTACTAAATTTTACATTCAGGATTCAGGGCAGGGAGAACAGCAAGGGTCAGTGCAGCCTGGAGAAGACAAGAGCAGCCTCCAGAGGGCAACTGAGCTTCGAGATAGACCAAGAATGAGTAGGAGTTGGCGGGATAGAGGGTGGGTAGAAAGGCATCCTGCTGGCGGCAAAGCATTATTCCTTCCGTGGCCAACTTAGATTATAGCCAGGCTGGAGGGAAGGGTTCCGGTGCGGAATAGCGAGGCAAAATTTGAATGGGAGAACATTTAGAGGACTTTCTACTATTTTGAGTGTGAGACAGTAAGAATGTCTATCTGGACACAGCAGTTAAAATTTAAGAGAACAATGGCCATAGTGGCATTTAGAGGGAAGAAGTAACAGAACTTGGTGCTTGAATAAATGACAAGATAAAAGGAAATGAATCAAATATTTATGATCATAAGATTAAATATTGGGATGGTATAATAGTTTCTGAAAGATGATCACATGTATACATGTAAATAATCAAATCTTATTTACAGTATATTTAAAAGCAATTTAAACACGTAATTTACTTTGCTATTATTTATCTTATTCTTCTGTTTTATATTTCCAGTTTTCTGAGGTACTACTTGTCCCACACTCTGCAAAAGGTGTGAAGCAAGCTCATGGCTATTTTTTAAAAAGTTTTCGCAGCATTGAGCCACAAATAGCTACTCTGTGCTTTATGGTTGGGCTTTTTGTTTTTAGGTGTTTATTTTTTAGTAAATTCATATCACTATGAAAGTGGTTGTTTTTCTTAGAGTAATAACAGACTATCATATGTTCCTTTTGCTTAATATTTTTATTATAAAGATTTACTTCATCATATCTTAGCAATTATTTGAAGAGAGTCCTTTCTAAAGATAGTCTTTTGGAGCACACTTTAAACAGTTCCAAGCTTTAAAGTATATTATGTCATCGTTCATTAACTATTCATACAACTCTGGGCTCTTCTAGAGGTTATAATACTCTTCGGGGGGTGGGGGGAAATGCTGCTTTCCTATACAAAGATACTCTATTATATTTTGGTTCCTGGGCAAGATTCTCTAGAATTCATCCTCTTTATGACAACAAATGGTTTGCAGCGGATCTAGTACATAGAGAATCAAAATATCTTTCATGTTAGTTAGATTTCCAATACATTGTCATGATTAGTTAATATGACACATGAGATTATGCAATTTACCTATATGTTTTATTTAGTCAGCAGTAAATAGTGACCCCAAATTATATCCAAACTAATAACTCCCATTTATTAATATCATGATTTCCTACAGGAGGTTTTATAAACATATCTGCATTCTCTAAATGCTCTTCTTAGATCTGAGATGTTTGGGAATTTATATGGCCTGCTTTTCTGCACTGGGCTCTGGCCAATTCATACAAAGGATGTTTTAATGGGCTTGCTAGGCCAGGAGTACTTTCAGTGCCATGTGGAAGTTAGTCAGGGGTGCAAGAAAAAAGATTGCCTTGGGTGTAGAGTGCAGTCCACTTCAGGCAACGCCTCTGAGCCGATAAACTGCAGCCCCAGCCTGCAGGCACCCCAGGTGTGATGGCAACCCCTTGTGTACCCTCTGCTGGACACTGTTGTGCCAGGCACAAACTGCACAGCCATCGGTGGCAGCCTGGGTCCACATGATCATTCCCTAAAAGCCACTGTGAGTGAGAGCTAGGTTTTAGATCAGTGCAATAAGAATGAGTTACATGTGCCACAGAGTGCCAAAGTGTGCTCTTGCTGGGGCCAGTCAGAGCCTGTACTTCAAAGCCTGCGAATAGAAGGGTGATTGAAGGCCCTGGAACAGGAGGCGATTCACATCTGAGTGTATTGCAGCCTTCCTGGTAGATAGTGTTAGTTTCAATATCACCCATTGGTAAGAGTTTCATTAGTGTGGCAGAAAAAGTCCAGAGACAAGACTTGGAAACACACTTGCCCCTTGCATCCCTCTCAAAGCAGTGACAGGTTTAGAGTTTCCAAACTCTAGAGCAGCACTGTCCAATCAAAATAGAATGCAAGCCACCAGTGCAAACTATGTGATTTTTAAATTTCTATTGGCCATGTTGCAAAAGGTAAAAAGCAGCTGGTGACATTCATCTTAATATATTTTTATTTAACCCAGTATATTTAAAATATGATTATGTTAACATGTAATCAATATAAAGATTACTAATGGCATATTTTACATACTTTTTTTTTCATACCAAGTGTTTGAAATCTGATGTGCCTGTTATGCTTATAGCACAGCCCAATTCGGACCAGCCACATTTCAAGTGTTCAACAGCCACATGTGGCTAGTGGCTACTGTGTTGAACAGCGCGAGTTAGAAAAACACCAAAAATCAGTTCTGTGATCAGAAAAGTAATAGGCAAGACCAGAGGTGATTTTTTTTTTTTTTTTTTTTTTTTTTTTGCTGTTTGTGAGTCTCTTACTCTTTACATTGCCTTTTAAAAACTATGTAATCCTACACTGGATGGAATGAATTAGTGCTTTCCAGTGCCCTCCGCCTGGCCAGGCTCTGGATAAGCCAACCCAGCCGGCTTTGTGCCCATGCTGTTAGAATTCACCTGATCTGTGTGGCTCACTGCCTTCAGAGATTTCCATGGCCATTTGTGTGTAGTGCAGCTGCTTACTGGGAAAGGAACGCCCTTATTCATGACACCCTGTAGTCAACATATAACATTTGTGAGCAGCCCTGGGGCCATATAAACATCCTGCTGTGAGGTCAGGAGCACCTGACCCCCTATTAACATGTCAATGAGAGTGGCTGGTGCGCTGGGCTTGTTTTCTAGGGTTTTGATGAGCCTCATTAATTATGTTGAGAAAGAAAGGTGTGCAGCTGGAGAAGAACCCACTTAGCTCCACGTGAACATGAATAATTGGACAGTTGGCAGAGTGTTAAATTGGCGGTCTAGTGAGAGAAACTGGTGAATAAACACAATTCCCCAAAACACTGCAAAGCAGTCACAGTTCTCTCCGTTTTTGCAGCGCTCCCACCACTTCCACCTTCTCCTGACTTGAGAACTGCCTAGGTATGACATCAGGTAGGATCATATAAGGAGCTGCCTTCGTAGGGAGGGTGGCAGAGTGTAGAGGTCGGGAGTCAGCTCTGAAGCCACAACAGATCTTCAAATCCTGACTTTACCACTTCAGAACTTGCAGGACCTTGGGCGGGTTATATAACCTGTTTGTACTTTAGGTTTTCATCTAGAAGATGGGGATGATCAGCTGGGCATGATGGCTCACGCCTGTAATCCCAGCACTTTGGGAGGCCGAGGTGGGCAGATCACGAGGTCAGGAGATTGAGACCATCCTGGCTAACATGGTGAAACCCCATCTTTACTAAAAATACAAAAAATTAGCCGGGCGTGGTGGCAGACGCCTGTAATTCCAGCTACTCGGGAGGCTGTGGCAGGAGAATGGCGTGAACCCAGGAGGAGGAGCTTGCAGTGAGCTGAGATCGCGCCACTGCACTCCAGCCTGGGCGACAGGGCAAGACTCCATCTCAAAAAAAAAAAAAAAAGGAAAGATAGGGGATGATAATCAATAGAGATATTAGGATGACTCTGTGTATTAGTTTACGTTAAGCATTTAAAATAGTATCAGACCCATAGGATGTACTGTGTTTTTAAAATTAAAAACATTAATCATATCGTGTGATTTGTACTTTTTTAATCCTCTAGGAGAGTGTAAGTTTCTTCAGTTTTCCTTTAAGCCAGTTTCATTCATTCATTCATTCATTCAACATATTTTATGTGCCTGTGGTGTCTAGGCATTGTGCATACAAAGATAGAAAGATTCTGGAAGAAATATATTATCATATATATGTGAAAATTTTATAGACAGGGACTGTAAACAAAATGGTAAAAGTGTATTACTGTTCTCTTTTAAAAGCCAACTGTTAGCAAGTTTCACTGGTGATTTTTTTAAAAAAAATCAATCTTGGCTCTGACAAGATTGTTCCTCCTGCATAATTTACCTCTATTTAAAATAAAAACTATTTATTTTTCATATTTTAAAGTACAATATTAAAATGCCATCTTTTTTGTTTATGTTAAATGATTTTAAATGAGGAAAACATCTCAAGACATAATCTAGCCACTCCCCACTCCTAACTCTAGAGGTCTGTTAGACTCTTTGAGGCCTTACAGTACCCTCATTGTTTCTGGTACCTCAGTAGATGAGAAAAATCATTTCTCTTTGTTAAAATCAGAAGCTAAAAAAGAAGGTGGGATTTAATTTACCTGAACATTTTATAACATCTGATCCATTTACATATTAAATGCAGGTAAACACATATTCCAAAATAATGAAAAGACCTTTTAATAAAACTTAAAAACTTAACTCCAAAGTAAAGAAGAGCTCTATTGGAAAGATTACCATATTAGTTATCTATTGCTGTGTAACAACTTATGCTCAAAACATAGCCACTTCAAACAACAAACATTTATTATCTTACATGGTTTTCAAGGGAATGCAGGAGCAGCTTAGCTGGGTGGTTATGGCTCAGGCTCTTCCATAAGGCTACCGTGAAGCTGTCAAGTGGGCTGCAGTCATCTGAAGGCTTGACTGGGGCTGGAGACTCTACTTCATATGTGGCTCCCTCCCATGGCTGCTGACTGGAGGCCTCAGTTCCTCACCACATGGACCTCCCCACAGGGCTGCTTAAGTTTTCTCATGACATGGCAGCTGGCTTCCCCTGAGTCAGCTTCAAGAGAGACCAAGGAGGAAGCCACAGTTCATTTCATGACATACTATCGAAATCACACACCTTCGTTTCTTCATTGTTTCATTCATTAGAAGCAAAATAATTTAAGTCCAGCCACACTCCAGGAGAGAGGGATTAGGTTCTCCCTTCTGAAGGGAGTGTCAAGAATTTGTGAACATATTTGTGGACACCATAATGACCATGAATGGCTTTGGCATTTTATAACATGCTTAAGTGGTACTGGCTCAGGAAAGCTTAGGATGGGAAGAACTGAGCTGGCAAAGGTGAGCAGCTCCATTTTTGAGGATACATAGATCAGATGTGCTGGAGTGAGAGGAGGGATGAAATCATAGGCTCCAAACATACCAGAAATTTCTTTTCTTTCACTTAGCAGTCCTGGACCTGATATCAAAGCTGTGCCACATAGCAGAGAAGCAATACAACATTCTGTGGTCAAATGTGAAGCCTTGCTTTTATTTAAAGTAGGAAACAAAATATCTGCGTGATTATTTATTTATTTATTTATTTATTTATTTTTTGAGATGGAGTCTCACTCTGTCTCCCAGGCTGGAGTGCAGTGGCACAATCTCAGCTCACTGCAACGTCTACCTTCTGGGTTCAAGCAATTCTTCCTGCCTCAGTCTCCTGAGTAGCTGGGATTACAGGCGCCCACCACCATGCCCGGCTAATTTTTTTAATATTTTTAGTATAGACGGGGTGTTGCCATGTTGGCCAGACTGGTCTCAAACTCCTGACCTTAGGTGATCTACCCACCTCAGCCTCCCAAAGTGCTGGGATTACAGGCATGAACCACTGTGCCCGGCCGTGTGATTATTTTTTTAACTCTAAACCCAACCTTGTTATTGATAGGATTTTTATTTCTGCCTTAAGAATTCTTTCCATCACCTTTTCATTTTAAGACACTTATCATTTCTATCCCTTCCTTTGTCCCCTGTGCTGTCCTTCCTTCTGAAGTTCTCACCCGGAAAGGCATTACATCTTTGATGCTGCAGTTCACTTCTGTGTGCACCCCTGAGTTCTTCCAGTACATCCTCCAGTTCCTCTGCTTTCCATTTCACAACCTGGTTACAGTTAGTCACACTGTAACTTCCTGTTACTGAGTATTTCAGGGGCCAAAGCTCTCTATGCCCTATGCTGTCCACTTAGTCATCTCTCTCCACATTTGTATTATTCACAGCAAGATGCATGCACACAAATCCTTTAAGTCCGTCAGGCTTTTCTTTCCATTTCCCATTCAAATATGAATCACCTAGCAACATTTATTGAAGACCAATTGCACATGAAGCTGTGTTCCCATTATTGTGAGCCTCACAAAGGAAGTAAAAGCCATGGTCCTTGCCATTAAGAAGTTTATCCTCTACTAAAAGCTGGATTAAAAAATTTTTTTTAAAATAATAACAGCATACAGATTCCCGTTTATATTCAATAGAGTGAAATGTTGTCCAAGTTACAATGATCAAATGCAAGGGTTATTTCTCTGTATACCTTTTAACTGAGAAAGCTAGCCATCTTTTGGATTAGGTAAATGCATGTGCCTTGATGAGAAATACTGCTACAAAAAATTAGTGCCTGCTGTTCACTTCCTAGTATTGTAAACACGTTTCACCCAATCTGGTGAAATTTCAAGGCATGTTTTTGAAACTAAAATAAATAAATAAAACATTTATTAATCCTCTGTAACAAAGATACACCCAATTAATGTAACAAGTAGTTACAACCGATAACTGAAGCATAAGCAAAAGGATAATTGTATTAGTGTCCTAGGGTTTTCTTCTTTTTAAAAAGACGTCAGCACTGTGCATTGTTTTACCTTATTTTTAATGGACTGTTGATCAGAAAGGGGAGTAGGGAAACTGGGTTGCGAAGGGTTAATAAGGAACAAAAAGTGCAACCTGAGGAAGACACAGCTCAGGGAGGAGGACCCAGGGGAGTGTGGAAGCCCCTCAAAGCTCATTAGAGAGATTCAGCTTGTGATACAAGAAGCAATGGGTAGTCATTGTAGGTTTCTGAAAAGAGGAGAGTACTATCTCGATCAAAGTGATTGGCAGGAGAGATGCTAGGAAACAGCATACCTGGAACAAAATAATTAGGACCTGACTGCGTGTGACCCTGGAAATAGGTCCAAAGAAAAAGCAAGAGATTGTGGAAGTGACTGTGGGCAGGGGTGGGGACAGGAAAGGAAGAAAGGCGTCAAATTTGACTTCCAAACCTCCATACTTAAAAAAAACTGAGGATGGCCATTGGTTCCTGGCAAAGTGAGAGCTGAATTGACCAAAAGTTGTTTACTCTAATTGGCTTAATTGTCATTTGTACATGTAATGAAAGTTATTTTTCTGTGGAGAAATAAAGGAGTAACAGTGTGAATTTGGGGCTTATCTAGGTGGTAGGTAAAGAAAGACATATGAGTCGAACCACTTCTTGAGGAATGTCATACATGAGAAAAAATGTATAGTCTAGCATCAAGTCTGGAGATAGCTAGAACTAATGACCATGAAAAAATGATATACCATGAAAAAATGATAAGCACACAAGAAATAAAATGTGTGTATTGTGTGACTGCATGTATATTTGTGTATGTACACACAAACATGCATTCCAAAAACATCTGAAAACCCACTCATCATCATGTTAGCCCTAGGTAGTTCTAACTAATGGAAACACAACTGATACTTCTTTTCCTTTCTTTCTTTTTTTGCTTATCTGAATTTCCTCATTTTTCCTGTTGAATGTATATTGCTTGTATAAGTTTCTTCATAGTGAGAAATTGTTTTAAATCTTTGGTGAAATGAAAGATATAGATACAAAAATTAGTCAAGTGTGGTCCCAGCTACTTAGGAGGCTGAGGTGGAAGGATCTCTTGAGTCCAGGAGGTCGAGGGTACAGTTAGCTGTGATTGCGCCACTGAACTCCAGCCTGGGCGACAGAGTGAGACCCTGTCCAAAAAAAGAAAGAGGTAGGAATAGAGTTTTCAAGGTCAGAATTTAGAACAGAGGGAGCCTTGAAATAAGGCTCAAGATGAGGAAACGAAGACCCTGATAGTTATGGGATTTATTGCTAGGCTTTCAAAAGAAGAGTATGCATTTTCTAATGCTTAAAAAGCAATTTTTCATTTCAAGGCTTAAAAATATTAATAAATACATCAAAAGAAGAATGGAGTTATTCTCATCTGCTAGAACTTGGATTGATCTAAAGCAGTGGTTCTCAACCTCAGATGTTTTGTTCCCCAATCACCAACTGGACATTTGGCAACATCTGGAGATAGTTTTGGTTGTCACAACTTGGGGGCCAGGGGTAGGGTGGGGTGAGGGGAACGGGGAATTGACGCTGCTACTGGCACCTAGTGGGTAAGAGAGCAGAGATGCTGCTAAATATCCTACAATGTACAGGACAGTCTCTGCACAACAAAGCATTATCTAGCCCAAAATGTCGATAGTACAGAAGCTGAGAAACTCTGATCCACAGTAAGGTACATATTCACAGTGACCATTCATGGAGCGCTTTATGTGCCAAGACCTGTACTAAGCCCTTGACATGAAACATTTAATCTTCAAACGATCTTGAAATTCAGACATGTAAAGTTAAGTAGTCTGTTTAAGGTCATATGGTCAACACTAGAACTAGGAACCAAAGCAAAGCCTATTTGAATCCAAACCTGAGCTCTTAAACCTTATGCAATTTTGCCTACATGTTGACACTCACCGAATGAAATGGGCACAAGAAAGCCATCTCAAGATCACAGCCAACATTCTGATCTCATATTTTTTTCTACTGTTGCCAAGGCAGTGGCCTGTTAGCTTCAGAACGTTTTATCTCCTAGAAGGTAATAGGTGGTAAAACAAATTGCAATTCTTTTCTATATTTCTTCCCCCTCACTCTTCCCTCCATCCCATCTTTCAGATAAAGGTTTCTTTTTTAATGAATATTACGTGTGTTTTGTTGGAGTTTGGCCGCGGGGGTGGGGTGGTATTTGGTTGGTCATGCACATAGGTGCTGGTGTATTTCTTGTCTGCATGCCTTTTGATCATGGAGAAATACTCTGCAAATGTCTGAGAATTAGTACTTTCTAGCATCATTTTGGCAAGACATTTTTATTTAGCTCTTATCCAGCTTCTTGGGTCTTTTCACCTTTATCTCTGGATAAAGAATTCTTGTCTGCAGCATCCTAAAGTTACTTCAGCCTCCTTGTCATTTTCACTGAAGGACACTGCATATTAAAAACAAAAATTTTATTGCCTTCCAAAAGCTGACTTCCTTGGGTCCTTGAGAACATAGATCCGCAGCTCGATGGATCTAATTGCTTGCTTGTCAACTGGAGTAAAGAGTAGAGTTCCCCAGTATCATGTACCTTCTGCTGCCAGCACTCAGCCTTTCTTTTCTGCAAACTAGGATTTTTAAAGAAGTTTGACTTCCATATACTAAATTGCTATGGAAGCAAAAGAATTGGAACATACCAATCAGGCTTGTCAATCTATCTTCTCTTTGCATGCTTTCCACACAAACATGGGATTGAAATAATCTGTTCTAATGCTGACATGCAGAAAGACCATAGCACAGTTCTTGAGTGCCCCACCCATTTCTGTGGCTCCCTTAAGATTATTTTAGCAATTAAACGTCAACAGCAATAAATAAAATTGAGAAAGAAATTTGGATAAACCTATGCACAGGAAAAGACTTATTTTAGAATTCTTTTCCTGTGAGCTTTTACTGTAAGGATTGTGTTTTAATACCACTGCTATCACTCGTGGAGAAGGAGAATTTTATTTGTCTCCTTTATCCTGTTTTGATTTTTAGAGAGAAATTTTACCAGTTCATTTTTTTTTCACATTCTATTTCTTTTGACACAAAGTTATAAAGACAAAATGCCACAATTTTTAAGTGAAGACAATGTTTCAAGCATTGTTCCACATACTCTGCACACATTTCCTCATTTAATCTTCACAAGGCTTGTCATAAAGGTATTATTACCTCCATTTATATATGAGAAGACCGCGGCCTAGAAACATCAAGTGAATTTTTTCTAAGAGCACGTATCTAGTAAATGGCAGAGCAGAGATTTGAACTCAGAGACCTTTGAGTTTAGGGCCCAGGCTTTGCTTAACTTCCGTGTAAAACTGCCTTTTAGGTGACATATTAAACTTGAATTTCAATGTTATGATCTTTCAAAGAGCTAACAGCACTTTCACATTTTAATTTATTTTCGTAGTATCAAGCTGAGTAGCTAAGTGGAATGAATTCATAATGTCAAATGAATCTTGAATGATCCTATGACCAAACTTCCATATATATCCAATATCAACAGTACTGTCTCTAAATTCCTGCTAAATTTGTAGGTAGTATGCCTTGCAGATTGAACAGGGAGTGTTTCTTATACAACTTGCACAGTTGATTGCACAGTCACCATTTTCCTAAATAGCTCCTAAGTGTAATCAGATGGTCTAAAACAATATGTAGGATTTTAGTTTAAAAAGTGTGGCTGTTTTACATGTATACATACACACACACTCACACCCACAGATGTGTTTCCCTGTTTCCCACAGTGCCTAACACAACCCTAGGTACAAAAGAAGTGCCTTATAAATGCTTGACAGATTGGACTTCTCTCTAGAGAAATGTGAAGGAAGAGAACTCAATTCCAGAAGAATAATTATGGTATGCTGAAGCAAAGACCCAGTTCACTGATTTTTGTTTAAGAGTCCCGGGGCAGCCAGGCCATCCCACAGGGGCTGTGAAGGCAGTGTGGGGCGGTGGCCTCAGCCAGGGGATGGACCTTCACTTACCAGCTGCAGGGTCTTCAGTAAGTTATTAGCTATCCTTGAATTTCATACATATTTCTTAACTTCAGTTTTCTCATCTGTGAAATAGTGATAATAATATTCTCAAAGTTAAATTATTATTTTCATTGTCATCATTATTATTTTAGGTAGGGCACCAGAGAAACAGAAACCATTTTATTGAAAACTTCCAAATTTGGAATCAACAGATTCTGGTTCAGATCTCACATTTGATGTTTAACAACTATGTGCCTGGGGCAAGCCTCTCCAGTTTCCTCATTGGCCAAATGAGATGATAGTGCCTACCTTGCAGGCAACATTAAATATGGTGACTGTCAGGAGCTTGGTATGTAGCAGATGCTCAACAAATGTTAACTCTGATTATCATTTTCTGCTTACCAAAGCTGGTAAATTACTTTCCTAGAACCTTAGCTTCATTTCTGTGGCACCCTCTAGGCCTATGGATTTTAACTTTTTTTTCTTTTTGAAGTAACACATCCCTTTGAGAATGCAATGAAAGCTACAGCAATATCACCAGAAAAATACACATTCCCAAAGCAAACATGGACACATTTGCAGGGGATTCAATGATTCCTGGGTTAAGATTTTCTGGTTTAGGTCCAAGAGGGTAAAAAATACATGACAATCCAGACGGAATGGTTATTGGCTTTGTAAAAGGATTTATTGTAGTATTCCCATTGCAACTTTCCCAGTATCATTAAAATCGGATTCCATTTACAAAAACTGACTTTATTTAGCACATTTCAAGAACACATTTTATTTCATTAAAGCAAGCCTCTTTTAACAAAACATATTTATCAAATGCCCATTATGTGCCTAATAAGGTGGTGGGTGCTGCGAGGAACAAAAGAAGCTTAACATGTGGTCCCTGCCCTCTGCGTTTCTTTCTAATTGGAAAGGCAAGTGAACAAGGCAGCATGAGATGTATTAGCGCTATATGCTGATATAATCAAGTACTAAATTGTGTATGCTTGTGTGGGTGGGCGCACAAGCCTCACATATCATTCTCTGACCTTGAATTGTACACAAATCATTAGCGTCAAACTGGAATTGCCGACTGCTCCCCCACCCTTCGTCTTCGCTTGGCTGACTTCCATCACAGCCTCTCCCTCTATGTCTGAAACATACTTTAGAAAAGAGGGGTGAAACAAGACAGTGAGGAAGAGAGAAGAATCAATAAAGAAAAAAATAGGTCACCTGTCTGTGGTTACTGCCGCAAATAGATTCCATCTTGGGCGGGGTCTGACCCAGGAGCCCCCAAGCTCCGTGAAAACCTCTCTGGGGGACACACAGCAGCTTATCTTCCTTGTTTACAAATTAACTGCCTTCTGTCGGTGACTGAGTCTGAAGAGGCAGAGGGATGGTGCAAAGAAGGCCTGGCTACCAGGAATAGGCACTCAGCCACACTGAAGGTCCAAACTTTGTTCTGTATTCACTGCCTAAATCCATGTGCATTTAGCACTGGAGAAGATCTGCAGGAAAATCGCTGGGTGAGGAGAGACAAGCGTGTCCCTCCCTAACATTTGTGGAGCCCAAGGCAAGAGTGCAGATGTACCACAGGCCTCATCCTTAATTGTTATACTTCAAGCTAACAAACAATTAAGTACAATATGTCCTATCAGCTGATCTTGACAAGTATACCTTCGTGGCCACTGGGAAGGCCAGTTTGATGTAGAATCCCTGCCTCCTGGGGGTTCTGCAGGTTGGGTTCCCTGGACCACCCAATTCCCTTTCCATCCCTGGCTCTGTGTTGTACCTCAGGAGCTTCCTACATTTGTGGGACATTCCTGGCCATACCTCCAAGGTCCACCTGCATGCCCCTTGGCCATTCTTTGGGCCTAGAGGTGCACACAGCTGTGTGGCCACCTTCCAGAAGACGGACCTGGGAAAACAGACTTGAAATTCTCTAAGCAGAGAATCTGGGGCTCCGGGTATCCAAAGAATGGTCTAGAGGTGGGAACACAGGCTCTTGCCTTGCTTCTGCAGACTACTTGCGGTGGTAGACATGTATGTGGTCAGAGGAGGACCCAAGCAGGCTCTCTAAGGCTGAGGCCAGCTCAGGAGCCCCTCAGTGCGCATGTCTAAGGCGTAACTGCAGAAAGGAAGAAAGACTTGGTGAGGAGATTAAGGCAGAGTCATTAAGACTGCCTAGTTCATTTTGGGGGGAAGAGGATAAGTTGGGAAGAGTTAAACAAGAGGAAAAAGAGGCTGATGAAAAGAAGGGAGAAGCCCAGAACCTGGACCACTTCTACAAAGATAGGGACTCCTAATTTATTATTGTGTTTAGTTAGAGAATGAAAAAAAAAAAAAACAAAAAAAAAACCTTTTACAGAGGTCAAAGGGCTCTGTAATTCAGGGACAAGGGATATGAAAGGCAAAAGAAGGATGGTTTTGGAGCTAAAAGCAGGGACTAGGAATGATTTCTCCCCAAGGTCACCTGGATCCATCTTATTTCTGCACCTTCCCCTCTTTCATGATGGATACTGGACCCTTGAACCATTCAAGAAGAAACATTCCACCTTATTGTATCCCCTAAAAGAAAACACAACTGAAGGTTAATTTTGATTCTCCAAGGAGAAAAAGAATAACTATTTAGACAAATAAAGTGAAGTATTTCATTGAATTTTTAGCTAGACAGAGAGAAGATAGTTGCTGTATTTGAAATTGCACTATTTGCAGAATTAAAGAGGAAAGGATATTTTAAATTTTGCCCAAATATGCTTGGTAGAACTGAAGGAAACTCTAATGATATTTCAACATTATAATTTGTCTCCATTTCACAAATTCTTTGTTTTATAAATAAAATGTTTGAGTGATTTAAGAGGGAAGAACATAACAAGTAAAGCTTTGTGGCAAAAAAAAAAAAAAAAAAAAAAAAAAAAAAGCAAGTTTGCATTACTATTTTCCTAAATGTATTTTTATCCATATTTCACTTTTTTTCTGATCAGCTTACTAGTCAGAGAATTTGAGATTCCTTGAGAGTCCTATAATTCTGCGTAACATTGTCCCTCTTGCTCCCAAACATGTTGATGGCAATTATAGGAAGTGAGTAAGTGAACATAGTTGACTTTTAGTCATCAGGAATTTATCATTCAAGATTTCTTTTTCTTTTTTTTTTTTTTTTTTTTTTTTTGAGACGGAGCCTCGCTCTGTCGCCAGGCTGGAGGGCAGTGACGCGATCTTGGCTCACTGCAACCTCCGCCTCCCAGGTTCAAGCAATTCTCCTGCCTCAGCCTCCCAAGTAGCTGGAATTACAGGTACACACCACCACACCCAGCTAATTTTTGTATTTTTAGTAGAGACAGGTTTCACCGTGTTGGCCAGGATGGTCTTGATCTCTTGACCTCGTGATCTGCCCACCTCGGCCTCCCAAAGTGCTGGGATTACAGGCGTGAGCCGCCGCACCTGGCCCATGAAAGATTTTTATTCATCACAAGTGAAGCCAACAAGTAAGTCATAGTATGAGTAATTAATTATTATACTGGAGTGTGAATTTGAAGCCTGTGCAAGGAACACACCCATCAGAAAGTTTGTGAATGAGCCACACCATGGCCCAGAGTCTGTATCTTCCTGCAGCCTCTGCTTCCCTGCCTGTCACCCACCTCAAAGTAGCTCTCATGAAATGATCATTTGTTATTATTCTTCATCACTATTTACCTTTTACAAATGTTATTAAGTTCATGTCTGAAATTGCTACAATAGTGATGTCATTGACACCTATGGTGAAAAATTATATTTTATGGCAGATATTATTTTACAAGCTTCTGTAAGTTTCTTTGGTCCTGTATTTGTCACATCATTATGGACCTGAAGATGTGCCCACTAATGAAATATTTTGTTACAATTTGTTGAGTTTTGTGGGGAAACTTGTCTGCTCTTGCAGTTTGTTCAAATTTGGCATCAAGAATGTTTCTGGATATATTCCCCTCCCATGTCAAGGGTTTTTAGTACAAAAAAAAAAAAAAAAAAAAAAAACCCATGTTCTGGTATTACCACAGAAAGTGAAGGTACAGAAATTAGGAAGTAAACACAAATATAGCACACTAATTGTAACTTGTTACATTTGTAGAGCATTTTATGTTCTGAGTGTTTGAGCAATCACCACTTTCATCTTCCTTTTGAGAGAGGAAGAAACAATGTTACTCTGCTCATTTTATAAATAAGAAAAGGCAGCTGGGCACGGTGGCTCACACCTGTAATCCCAGCACTGTGGGAGGATCACCTAAGGTCAGGAGTTCGAGACCAGCCTGACCAAAATGGAGAAACCCCGTCTCTCCCAAAAATACAAAATTTGCCAAGCATGATGTCACATGCCTGTAATCCCAGCTACTCAGGAGGCTGAGGCAGGAGAATTGCTTGAACCCTGGAGGTGCAGGTTGTCGTGAGCCAAGATCACACCATTGCACTCCAGCCTGGGCAACAAGAGCAAAACTCTGTCTCAAAAGGAAAAAAAAAAAAAAAAAAGGGCACAGGAAAAAGTGTGTAATGTGCCAGAAATCAGAAATCTCACAACAAACAAATGAACAAAGAATAAGACTTACCATATTTTTTAACACCTGAATGTTAAACATTATGCTAAGCATTTCACATATATCAACTCCCACCTTCACAGCAACCCTGTAATGAAGGTACTACTATTTTTTTTTTTTTTTTTTTTGGAGACAGAGTCTCACTCTGTCACCCAGGCTGGAGTGCAGTGGCGCAACCTTGGCTCGCTGCATCCTCCGCCTCCTGGGTTCAAGCGACTTTCCTGCCTCAGCCTCCTGAGTAGCTGGGACTACAGGTACCTGCCACCACGCCCAGCTAATTTTTGTATTTTTAGTAGAGACAGGGTTTCACCATGTTGGCCAGGGTTATCTCTATTATTATTCCCATTTTGTAGAAGAGGCAAGTGAAACTCGATGTATTTTGACAGCCTGAGAAGGGTCCCATAGCTAATAACTGGAGCCAAGGTTCAAATCCAGCCTGTACTGCTCCATATTCCGAGCTTTTCCACTCAACACTGCTACCTACATTTGGGTCTCCAGAGTCCTATTCTAGTTCTATTCTAGTCCAGTGCCCTTTCCACTTCTTATATGGGTATTCATTGACTTATTAATTCATTTGTTCATTACAGAGCACCTCCTCTTTGCCATGCATTGTGTTCTGGGTGGCAGCTACAGAGATAGTGAAGAGGAGGAGTATCCACTCTTACCCAGCACATGTCTGGGGAGACCAATGGGTCAACAGCAAGATTACAGCATAGCATGAGTGGTCTGTGACAAAAACAAAGGGCAACATGAATGGTCAGAAGAGATATTTGAGCTGAATATCAAAGGATGTGGAAGTTTGTCCAAGAAAAAGGGAATTCCGAGACAGTGAGCTGGATGGTCAAACGCAGTTTGGAGTTGGGGAGGCAGTTACTGGAGAGATAAGAAAGTCAGAATGTGAGGGGCATCTGTGGATAACTCTGTGGTTTCCAAACATGTTTGCCCACTAGAATAACCTAGGGTCTTTAAAAAAATGTCAAAATACAGGCCACATCCCTGACCAATGAACTCTTAATCTCTGGGGCTGGGACATAGGCATCAGTTTGTTTTTTTTGTTTGTTTGTTTTTGAGACAAGAGTTTTGCTTTTGTTGCCCAGGCTGGAGTGCAATGGCACGATCTCAGCTCACTGCAACCTCCGTCTCCCAGGTTCAAGCAATTCCCCTGTCTCAGCATCCCAAGTAGCTGGGATTACAGGTGCCTGCCACCATGCCCAGCTAATTTTTGTATTTTTAGTAGAGACAGGGTTTCACCATGTTACTCATGCTGGTCTCGAACTCCTGACCTCAGGTGGTCCACCCCCCTCAGCCTCCCAAAGTGCTGGGATTATAGGATGAGCCACTGCACCCAGCCGGCATTGATAATTTTCAAGGCTCCCCAGGCGATTCCAGTGTGCAGATGAGTTTGGTAACCACTGGCCAAACCAGCTCGTAAGGTCTTAATCCTGGAATGTAATCAACAGGGGCTTATAGAAAAGGAGAGACATAATCAGATTCGTTTCTGGAAAAGGTAACTAGGCCCACTGAGGGTACACCAAGCAGGGAGTATCTGGAGCCACCAGCAGGTGGGAGAAGCAGCTGTGCAAGAGCCCGACAGGAGTTGGAGAGGCTGCCCTTGAATTTCAACAGACCTCAGTTCAAAATAAAGGTCCACCTTTGCCAACTTTCCATTTCAGGCTATTAACTAAACCTCTGTGAGTTTGATTTCCTTATCTGTAATGTGGAATTTCTAATACCTATTTTGCTTGATTGTTGTAAGGCCTGTGAGACTACACACACACACACACACACACACACACACACATCGGCTGGTTAGACATTCATACATCTTAGTACCCTTACACAGAGAATAGTGATAGGATATGTTGGGGTAGACTAGGTGGAATTTCAGATGGTGAGGCAAGCTTGGAGGAGCAGAGAGAAAAATTAAGAAGCAGGGGCCAAGGATGTCTGAGATGGATAAAATCATACAGGGAGAAGAGAATGAGTTGAGGATAGAGCCTTCGGGAATGCCAACATTTAAAGACAGGGCAAGTAAAGAGAAAACAGGGAGAAAGAGAAATAAGAAAGAAGTGATCCAGGAGGTATGAAGACAGCTGGGCAGGAGTGAGATCCCGAGGTCTCAGGGTGGCTACTACAGAAAGATCAAGAGTCAAGGACTGGAAAATGATGCATGGATCGCATTGTGGTTTCAGGTCTGCCAGGGAAAAGGAAGGTCTCATCTTTTAGTATATACAGATGTATATATCTTTATGTATATACATGTATTGTATATACATATATCATATACATCTATGTATATAAAACTGCCTGAGTTTAAAAACACTGAGTACCTACAATACCTCAACACTGGGGATCTAAATGGACACTGAGAAATTTAGAAAATGAACCACAGTTAAGACTGAAATTAATCATTACCGGATCAAAAGTCATCTATAATGAAGAGTTTCAAAATGAGCAGTATCCGTCCACCACAAACAGGACAGAACAAACTCAGTGTTTTTACTGAGTACCTACAATACCTCATACTGTAGGTATATGTATACATAGGTATATGTATACATAGCTTTATCCAAAGGCTCCACTGAGTGCCCTTGCATGCGTATTGTGTGCGCACAGCCTAAGCTGGAGCCAGAGCTCAGAAGATTGATGACGTCACACCTGGCCCAGTCCCTGCCTAAGTGGGTGCAGGACGGTGGACAAAGCCCGCCTTTCCTGAGGTTTGAACAAAATCAAGGAAACGGTTGTCGTATTTGTCTTCATTTTGTGGGAAAACAAAGGTTGGCTTGACTGGGGCAAGAGAAAATATAAGAGAGGGAAGATGAAGAGCCACTGGTGTCCCAGCCTCGTGTTCAGCGAGGATGCCCTCCCGCAACTGCCTGCCTGTTTCCATGGGCTCCAGGGCGCAGGAAATGCCTCATGGAGAACTTTCTGGAAGATGGCCAAGAGAAGCCCCTCTCTCAAGGGCTTTCTGGGAACCCAGGGGACTATCTGCAGAAGAACGTTCTTTGGGGCGCGGTGGGAAGCCAAGCAGGCCTCCTCTTTTGGGCGCTGGTGAACGCAGGATCCGCATGGAAGCGACTCCGACCCCACGGCGTTTCCACGCCTCTGCGGCTTGGGAGGGAGCTAGGGGCTTCAGGAACTCAGGCTGTGGGTTTTCGAGTTGCTTTCCTGATAAATGAAAATCCTCCTGATAACATTTAGATTTTGTCTCTCCAATAGAAACGGCAGCACGTCTCGCTGAGGCCCGCGCCTGCCCCCGGGTACTCGAGGCTCGGTGGCTGCTCCTCTAGCCCCTCCCGCGACGCCTTCGTCCGGTCACTCCGGCCTTGCACCCTGTGGCGCTCAGGCCTCTCCGCTCTCGTTTGCTCTCGTACAGACGGTTTCCCTAAAAAAAATCTTTACACGTTTAAAACCTTCTCGATGTCGATTTTTTGGAAGACCTGAGCTAACACATTATTTAAGAGGATGCGTTTAACAATGCAGGATTCAAGCTTTAGTTCTCAGCTAATTACAAGCAAGGTAATTAACCTCCTTACGTCTCAGATTACTCATCTGTAAATTGGGAATAATTTTAGTATATTTCTCATAAAATTGTTGTGCCTATTAAATAAGAGAATGCCTATAAATCAAGTAACACAGTTCCTAGCACTTAGTAGATACTGCTTGTTATTATTTTTGAAGTTAACACTATTTTCAGTGTTCTTTATCACAATGGTAATAGGTATACTATATGAAGTATACAAGGTATTCTACATAAAATATAGTAGAACTTGGCTGGGCACGATGGCTCACGCCTGTAATCCCAGCACTTTGGGAGGTCGAGGCAGGTGGGTCGCTTGAGCCCAGAAGTTCTAGACCAGCCTGAGCAATATAGTGAAACCCCATCTCTGAAAAAAAAAAAAAAAAATTAGCCAGGCATAGTGGCCTATGCTACTCCGGCAGGAGGATTGCTTTAGCCCAGGAAGTGGAGGTTGCAGTGAGCCGTGATCATGCCACTGCACTCCAGCCTGGGCAACAGACCCAGACCCTGTCTCAAAAAAAAAAAAAAAAATGTAGTAGAACCTCTGCTAATGTTGGTGTCATAGGGTAAAATCAGAGATGTTTTTCATGTTTTTCCTGGAAGTGCATGCCTGGGACATGATTTGACTAACTATATTAGCAACTCCTGGTATCCTGAGGTGCTTTTGAGTGTGGTTTTAATGACTTGGGCTGCCTTTTGATATTCACTGAGAGCTGGTATAGTCATAATCATGATGGTATTCTCAGAGGTGAGGGATATACCTCAAACTTCTGTTTTTACTCTGTTTTCTAGACTCCAGTCTTGTTCATAGTAGACAGATACTGCTCATCTTGAAACCCTTCATTGTAGATGACTTCAGATCCAGTAATGATTAATTTCAGTCTTAACTGTGGTTCATATTCTAAATTTCTCAGTGTCCACTGAGATTCCCAGTGTTGAAGGCATTGTATCCTGGATGTGTTCGCAGGGTTAGTGACATGCGGAAACCATAGACTGGCACATGTGAATAAGAGCTGCCCGGGTGATCACAGAGCGGTCGGGAGCAGAGACACTGCTTGAGAGGAACCCAAAGACCTCAGGCAGTGCCGCCCTCTCAAATCTACTCCATGGCTTTGTGCTTCAGAACACAGGACTCCTTTCAGTGATTTTTACTGAGTATTAACTAGCTGTGTGGGACGCACAAAAGCATGTGACATGGTCTTAGCATTCAAGGAACGTACAATGAATTCATTTTTTAAGTGGAGTCTCATAGTTTGACTGAATGGAATAATTTCCATTGGCATTGCAAAAAAAAAAAAAAAAAAAAGCCAAGAATCATCAGGCTACCCAGCCATAGTTCTGTTCTGGTCAAAATTGTTATGAATGACTTGGATAAAATTATAAAGGGCATGTTTATCAAATTGGACATGACCTAGGGCTGAGAGGAATAATGAATACAGTACATTGAAGAAAGGAATGGAGATCTAAAAAGATCTTCACAGTTTCAAAATCTATCAAATCAAAAGTAGGTGCATAATGAATCAGTGTAAAGCACACCAATTACTGTGTGACTTTAGACAAGTTACTTAACCTCTCTGTGTCTTTGTGCCCTTGGGTGCAAAATAGGAATAATGGTAGCACTTACACATAAGGTTTTGAAATCAGTTTGAAATCAGCACATTAAAGTGCTTGTCTCGCCTGTCACATTGTAGATACTCAGTAAATGAAGCGAGTACTCTTTCCAGTCTGCAGTTGCCTGATGGAATTATATGGTAACCCAGATTAAGGTGGGGTGGTCCACTGTGACTGCACTCGTCAGACCACGCTAGGTGGCATATGTCCATTGAATGCCACACTTGAGAGAGAGAAAGAAATTGGATTTTCAGAGGAAAGTAGCTACAATGGTGAGAAAACTTAAAATCATATGATGGAAGGTTAAAAGAACTGGGTCTGTTTTGCCCGAAGTAGGGAAGACTCCAGTAGTACATAATAGCATTTTCTATTATTTGAAAGGTTCTCATATTGTAGATGGCTTAGATTTATTTTCTATCTAGGGGCCAAAGGTGGATATTTCAGAAAGACAAATTTTGGCTCAATCTAAAGGAGACTTTGCTAATATTCAGAGCTGCTCAAGGATGGTAACAACCTCCTCAGGAGGAAATGAAGTCCTTGTCACTGGAGGTGGTCATAGGCCAAATAGCTACTTGATTAATTGATGGGGAGACTTGGGTACCTTAAATGTCTAACCTCTGAAATTCTGTGATTCTGAGAATCAACAGAGCTATTTTAGCCAAACAATAGGTAAGAAAACTTATTATCAATATGTTGGTTTATTATACACCAATGAAGAAAATCCAAAGTCACTAGATCAGAATCTGGCAGTGGCAACTTTCCTTTCAGGTTTGAAGGGGGTGGGGTGGGGGACCTCTATCATGTTCTGGAGCAAGCGCCCTCTCATCCTCTGTCTCTTGGCTTTGTCGGATGTATTTGAGCCCTCTAGCTCAAAAACAGACCTTCCGCTTGGCTGGGTGCACACAGCCAAATAAAGAGTGGCTCAACAGACAGCTTACTGTTTATCTTTCTTAATCTCTTTTAAACCTCTTCCTGCCTCAGCCAGCAGTAAACCAGTTGCAGAGGTTAAGCTGGCTCCCCACTCCTCTTTCTTGTTGGTGTTTAATGTCGCTGATATTTGTATTTCCTATTTGCTTTGGGTGGAATTTATTGTTTAAAATTACAAAAACTTCATTATGCCTATGCTAATTAATTATCTTCTTTTATGTTTTGTTTTCGTGACTTTTTCTTTCTTGGATTTCCTTCATTTTTTTACTCCTACAATTAAAATTCAGAACCACATAGACAGTTTTGCTTTCCCCTTTGTGTATTTAGATTTATTGTTGCCTTAAGCATCTGTTAATGTTAGAAAATAGCATACAGATATGGGTTATTAGTTGTAGTCTCCTAAGAGTTACAAATTATTCAATAATAACAAAGATTATACTTGTTGATGTACTTTCTTTTGGTGCATAGAATGGGACACCATAATTCTCCTGTACTCTTCACAGAATCACAAAGTTTAGAGGTGAAAGATTGCCGATTTTCTTAAAGGTACAAGCTTTTCAGGGCTTATGTGTGGCTTCAGCTCTGACTCCAGCACTTTACAACTTCACAGAAGTTCGACAAGAGACTTTACTTCAACCTTTAACTACCTGAGTACAACGTATCAGGATGAAGACAACCATTTGCTTTGTGATCACTGACAGTTGACTCTCTGAGTGCTACCTGCTCATTCTGCTTTCCCAATATCTCCATCCAGAAAACTGCTTTATGCTAGAGGAGAGAGTTAAAGTCAGTCGCTGCTTGTGTCCGTCCAGGTCTCTACATTGCAGGTCCTTGTAGTTCTCCTTTTTCCAACAGGAGGATCCCTCTCCTGAGTTCTCTCCTCTGTCTCCATTTGAATTCGACTTCGTAAATGACAAGTTAAATTCATCTTATTGCTTAAGAATATTTTTTGACTGCACTAACAGGCACCCATTTATGCTATACACTTTGCATAAGATCCTCATTTCCAGTGGGCCTTTCTCTCCATTTATTCCACATATACTGGACAGCTACCAAGTGCCTTGCATTGTGCTGGGTAGGAACAGGGGAGATAAAGACAAGACATTGGCATGGCTCTCCAGGAGCTTTTAGTCTCTTGTGGAGATAGACAGACAGTTGCACTGCAGTGTGGAATGAGCTAGAGTCCTGGTAAACACAGGTCCATCTGGAGTCCTGAGGGATGGTCCAGACAAAGGGGACTGAGTCCGTGTATAGCAGAAGGAGTGGGATCCAAACAGTGTTAAAGAGTGACTGGGAGTTTTCCCGAGCCTACATTTGGAATAGAACAATTTTTATACGGAATTTTTATTAGGAAGCATAGAGTGGTTTCCTCATAATAACTTTATTCTGTTTTCCTGTGGACTCATAAAATTTTTTGCTGCCATATGAAAATTAGAACTTAAAAAGAAGGGGTTTGTAATGTAGTCTCCACAGGCCTGGACCAGGCACATGCTCTCCAAATGATAGCAAACCTTTGATGCCCATGATAAAGATGAGATAATGTATATAAAAGCACTTCATAAGGTAAAGGAAGCAATACAAATGTGAGGTTTTACAACAATCAAACATCCTTTTCAGAATATTTTTCACTCCTTATAAATTCTCCGGTGATTTTTAAACCTGAAAAACTGAAATGCTTTGGAAATATGAAGCAAAGAACACTATGCAATGCATGTAGATATGCCACTAGGATGATAAATCTAATACATGTGTTGAAAAACAGAGGAAAAATAGAGAAAGGTCTTTCTAAAATACCTTAACTGTAAAACATCCCTGAAGCCATTTCACTTGGACAAATTTCTTTTCTCTAATATATACATTGATAAACTTTTTATTCTGACGTTGTTTCATCTCTTTGCATGAAATGCTTTTCATCTTACTGCAGCTTCATTCCCTCAGACCTCCAAATGTGTCAGACCCTGAGATTTATTATACACCAGCACGTAGCATAGGATGAAGTTCATATTCAAATAGAGTGAGGACAGAATTGCTTAACATGTAACACCTGCTCCAGCTATACCCCATTCATCCTCTGATGAATCTCCTAGAAACTGCAGACGTCTGAACATGCTCAATTCTAGTGGTAAGAGATGGAGCCGAAGATGCAGAGCCACCCCCAGGCTCAAATCCATTGATTTAGAATTGAAAGTGGATCTACATTAGTGATTAAACAAACTTCATTTCCCTTTCTCCTGGGTGAGAGCACATGGCTGATTTAGGAAATAGAAGGAGGCTGTGGCGGGGAGTTGAGAATGGTCCCAATGAACCTGAGGAGTCTAAGGCTCAGATTCCACAACCAGGCTGGGGCCATCAGCACAGCAGGATATCCTTGCAGTGGAGTCTCACAGCTATACCATGCTGCTGGAGAGACCACCAGATGACCTGAGTCCCCACCACCGTGTTCTGCAACAAAGAGCAGGCCTTCCTCCTGCACTAGCACTCAGCCCTGTAAGTGATCTTGGGCACGGAGTGAGACTGCCCTTAGGACAGAGGTCTCCTGGACTGGGGACTGTGGTCGTGCTCTCCCTGTTGCCACCAGGCCTAAACCAGCATTGAGTGGGACATCTGCAGCTTGAGACTATCCAAGAAAATGTTCCTCACCATTAAAAAAGAGCACTGAAAGATGGTTTTATGGATGATACTGTCACTTAACATCACTGATATGGTAGACCTAGAAGGGCCCTGAGAGCACATCCAGTCCCCTCAATATATGCCTGTCCCTGGGCACACTAGATATCACAATTAGCATAGAATGTGGGGGGAAATTGACTGTAATAGTGGCCACAAGATTAGGTTTATAGCCCATATTTTGCCATTAATTTGAACCTTGTGGATTTAAGCAAGTCACTACACCTCTCTGGCCCTCCATTTTCTCACTGAGAACTGAGGAAGCTGTATAGGTAATAAAACAACTGACATTTCTTGAACACTTCTACATGCCAGGCACTGAACTGAAAGCTTTGTAGACATCAGACTTAATTCTCAAATGACCTGTGAGGCTATATTCCTCAGTTTTTCAGGTGAAGAAACTGAGGCATAGAAAGGATAAAAAAAAATGTGGCCGGGCACGGTGGCTCATGCCTGTAATCCCAGCACTTTGAGAGGACGAGGCGGGCGGATCACCTGAGACCAGGAGTTCGAGACCAGCCTGGCCAACATGGTGAAACCCCGTCTCTACAAAATTACAAAAAAATTAGCTGGGCATGATGGCGCATGCCTGTAATCCCAGCTACTCAGGAGGCTGAGGCAAGAGAATCGCTTGAACCCAGGAGGCAGAGGTTGCAGTGACCCGAGATCGTGCCACAGCAGTCCAGCCTAGGAGACAGAGCGAGACCCCATCTCAAAAAAAAAATAAAAATAAAATAAAAAATTTATCCAAGGTCTCATAGCTGCTCATAGCTGGTAAAAAGCAGAGCTGGTATTTAAACACCCCTCTCCACTCCCACTCCCCCAACCTTGGAAGGTAATGAAGTTTCTTCCCCCATTAACATCTCTGATTTTCTGACTGCAGTGCCTAAAGTCCTCAGCAAGTGCTAATAACACTGAGGTGTTATTATCAGCTTGGCTGTTCTCTTCAGCTTCTCTGGGAGATAAAGCTTGGGGTTGATCAGAGATCATTTGCCTCCTCCTGAAGAGGCTTTTGTGTTCTTATCACCCAGCCTCTAAAGAATGTCCCCTAGGTACCTCCAGGCCATCTCCATCTCCATAATCCTCAAAGCCTCCTTCCTGCTTCCCTCCCCCAACCAAACTCAGCAAATACACCTGCAGGCCCCCCACCTGCCCTACTGTCTCTTTGTTTATTCAAGAATACAAGGATTATTTATTCCCTACCTGGAACATATATACAAGCATCCCCAGCAGGGTTAGTTTAGTTTGATTTTTACCATTTTCAAAAGGGAAACGGATACTATTATCTTGAGGAAAGGAGCAACTTTTTAAATGGTACCATTTGAAATGGATGAACTTTGAATACAGATTAGAAGCCTGTCCTTAGTCTGTATGTATAAGGGAAGCAGAAATGAGAAGTGTAGAGTTCCCTGGAATGTGTGGATACTAGGGCTGACTGTGGTTCTGTAACTGAATCACTTTCTGGTTCTGGTCACCTAGTCATTCTGTAATGTCAGGTCTTGTCTGTAACACAAGAGGGTAGTAGTAAAGTGTGTACTGTGTGTTCCTATTTATAAATCACTTTCACATACATTACTTCTTTTCAATTAGAAAATAAATAAGAGAACTGAGGCCCATCATAGAGAGTACAAGACTTGCCCAAGATTGCCCAACTGGTAAAGGGAAACAAAGCAAGGAGACAAACCTAAGGTGTTCTTTCCATTTCACAATGGCTGAGTCAGTGAGAAAGGCAGAGACATAACCAGAATGCTGCATTTTGGCAAATGTGACGTTCCTGGAATGGATTACTAACAGTCTAGAAACATAGAAAGTACCATGCAATTAAAAACACACAGTCCAGGCCAGGCACGGTGGTGCACACCTGTAATCCCAGCACTTTGGGAGGCTGAGGTGGGCGGATCACTTGATGCCAGGAGTTCGAGATCAGCCTGGCCAACATGGTGAAACCCTGTCTCTACAAAACTACGAAAAAAATTAGCCAGACATGATGGCAGGTGCCTGTAATCCCAGCTCCTCTGGAGGCTGAGTCAGAAGAATCGCTTGAACCCGGGAAGCAGAGGTTGCAGTGAGCCAAGATCTCACCACTGCACTCTAGCCTGGGTGACAGAGTGAGACTCTGTCTCAAAAAAAAAAAAAAAAAAAAAAAAAAACAGTCTTCTGAATTTTGGTGAGCTTTGGAAATACAGAAAGTTACCGACAATAGGTTTCACACTTCTTTGGACCTATGGTGCTTTCTATGTCTTTTACATTTTACTCTGTGACCATGACATGGTCATAAGTTGATTTGCAGAAAGGTTATAAAGAACCAAGAAACTTACCCCCAAAATTGCTATGCCCTGCAAAGTTTTCATCCAGCTTTGTTCAGTACCCTGGCGAGGATATGCTTGATTAAAGGATCTTTAGCAATTGAGAACAAGTGTTCAATAATTCCAAAGTTTGTACTTCCAAATTTGTAAATCTATACATCTGTATTATTCTGTATGTTTACTCTAGCCTGTGACATAGAGCCAGAGTGAAGATTGCTAAGGTGCCAGTCCTGCTCAAATTTCAATTAGCAGCAAGTCCTAAGGTACTCAGGGTCTTAGAACCCGTTGGTTTGTTTTGGAGAGAGACCACGTACAAACTTAGAAGAGCGGCTTTCACTTCTCTGTTTCCTATCAGCAATCCCTCAGCTATTCACTCAAGAGATCTCTAAGGTCAGTTTCTGGCAGGAACATCCCTTCACACTCCTCCAACAATCAGTCATTCACAAGTGGCCATTATTTTAATATGAGCACATATACCTATGCGCCAAGATGATTACAGTCTGCAAGCATAGCCATGTTTTCCTATTTCCTTTGTAATCTCAAGGGTAGTCCTAAAGCCATGTACACAAAATCCATTTTCCACTTAAAGGCCTGAGCCAATGCCCCCAACCAGCCTATCTTACTTTTATTCTTTATGTTAGCCCCATATCGCCAAGTAGGAACATGGTCCTCTGTTTAGAAAACGGAAATAATGAACTGTATGTTGGTTGTCATTGTTTGAAAAGAGAAAACAACCCAAAGACATTCTACATTCTAAGACAATTTGGTTGCTGTTTCTCTTGCTTTTCTTCCAAATTTCTCTCCAAGCTCCAGGGCTTACAGCCTTGGGCACTGGCACTGTAAAGTGGATTTGCAGAGCCAATAGGAGCTGGCCTTCCTCTGAAGAGTCTTAAAAGGCCCTGAAGAAGGAAGTAGTCCAGGTGGCGTGTTATATCTGTGATGTCAAACATGCAGGGCAAACCGGTAGCTGACCTAGACCATAGATAAACAACACCTTTAAGAAGTTGGATGGTCATACTGTCATGCTGTATATTTAAGAAAAGGCTGGCCTTCAGTTCCTAGTTCTGGTCAGTTCTAAGAGCCCCAGAAAGAAGGCTGTAAGATTATAAAACCATTGGTACCTTCAGAGAGCCTGGAGGGACAGTATTTGAAAGGAGAGCATACTTAAAGTTCTAGAACCCAAGTTGCCAGAGTAGTGAATGCTAAAACTCCAAAGATAGTTCATGTAAAATTACCATAATTTCCCACTTTTCTGGAAAGAGGCTCTTAAAATATGGGTAATTTTCTAATGTCAACCATATCTTACATTTTGGTAGAGGGCTCTCTCTCTCTTTTTTTTTTTTTAATCTTGCAAATAATCCTCTTTCTGTCTTAACATAAGTATATGTGTACATCAAAAGCTTTACTCTCAACAATCATTTTGGAAGCAAAGAAAATATACATTGGGAGGCTGAGGTGTGTAAATCACTTGAGCTCAGGAGTTTGAGACCAGCCTCAGTAACATGGTGAAACGCCCGTCTTTACCACAAACACAAAAAAATTAGCCGGGCTTCGTGGTATGCACCTGTGGTCCCAGCTACTCGGGAGGCTGAGGTGGGAGGATCGAGGGTCGTTTAAGTCCGGAAAGCAGAGGTTGCAGTGAGCCGAGATTGTGCCACTGCACTCCAGCATAGGCACCACAGTGAGACCCTGTCTCAAAAAAAAAAAGAAGAATATATAAGGTTGAGGTTTATACCAGTGCTAGGTGTTGATAACAACCTAGCTTATCTCATGGGCTAATAGCCTTGGACAAAACCATCTAATTTATTATCCAAACCAGGGCACTTTTGAGAGTGAAAAGGGGCACTAACCAAAGAGGTCACCAGGACAACTTCTGTAAGCCAGGAAGGTCCTGGCAGATCAGGATGTATGGTCACCTTAGTCATGCAGAGTGAGATTAACTGGATGAACGAGGAGTGCTGAGACAGTAATAGTGACTTGAAACTATCCTTTAGGATGTTGTTTTGCTTTATTTAAATGTTTACATCTATTTTACACAAAATGATATAGAAACTTAGATTTTATAAAACACTGCTTGCTTTTCTTTTTTTAATTGTGATATCAGGTACAAGACAACTGGCTACAAATACATAGGGTGTAGGGGGGGAAATATACTGAATTGAATAAAATTTAGTGTCAGGCAAGTAAGAATTTTAAGCAAACTGAAAAGTTGGTTGACAATACCAGTGCTATTTGTCTGTAAATCTCATGTAAGACATGAAACACATTTTTTATATAGTATAAAGGTCCATGAGTATATTTGTTTATAGTTAGCATATCAAGCCATGTTTCTTCATAAGATCATTTTCTCTGTAACTCCTATAAATGTACCAAATATTATTTAAAATGTTAACAGTTACAGAAAAATCTCCTTTCAGAATTTTATGTAACATTACAAGGAAGCATGCTGATCCACAAATGAACCATAAAAGGATATTTTGATAGGATAGAGCAAACATGACAAATTAAAATCTGAGTGGTTAAGTTACAGTGGATCTCATTGGATTAACTGTTGTGTACTTCAGGGTTCTGTTGCCATCACGTGCAATATTGTTACAGTGCAAGTAATTTTCAGACTCAACATTTAAAATTCTTCTTTCCTACTGAGGCTCCTTTTACCTTCATCATCACCCATTCCTGCTATTCCTCCTTCCTGTGAACAAACTCATGATATAACCTCTTAACTGGGGAGCGCCAACCCCAGAAGCACAGTTTAACCTGTTTATCAGCTTTGAGGTCAGATCTTGTCTTATTTGTCTCTGCCCCGTGTTTCTTGTAGACACAGCGTCTGGACCCTCCTTTCAGTTATTTGCTCTAATCCTTTTCTACAGGAAGTTCCTAGGGACCAATCATAGCCAAGCAGTTCATACAGTTTTCCTTTTAACCACTTAGTCTCTGGTCCAGAGAACCCCTAGAATCCTAATATAGAATCACAAACCTAACTTTGCATTCACACCTACACAGCAATTCAAGTATGTCTGGTTTTGCTCTCTATAATACCTATGTTTGTTCATTATTTTTCCCCTTTTCTATGATCAGGATAGTCATATATACTATTAAATAGGAATCCATTTGAAAAAAGATGATGTTAATGCACAGTGCAAGAAACAGTAAGATCTAATAGTGTTTAAATATATATGTCAGGAAGAACATTGCCAGAAAAGGAGAGCAGTGAAAAGGGGACATAGAGATTGCTGAGCAAGAAGGGAAAGAAACAAAAAGATGTAGGGGCTCATTCTAGCAGGCTGAAAATGGGGGCATTTTTCAATTCAGCTAATCTGTGTTAATTGTTTATAATCTGAGCCCAAAATCATGGCCAAAGAATACATTTGGTGTAATTTCATAGCGTAAAGCATGTCCCTTTTCTGATCACTATATCCTGTGTATTGAATTTCCTCTAGAAATTGACTTGCCTTTTCTCTAGTCTTAGAGGGAAAACAATCTTACTTCCCACCTATTTCATAGCTAAAACTTAGACAAAACTTACTCTATTCTCTTCTTTTGTGTTTATTTATATAAGACGTAAGTGCATATCTCTCAAGAATTTTTTAATGGTCAACATTTTATTATGATATTATTTTGCTTAGCTTGGGATTTTTCATGAACTTTTGTCTTCTTAGAAAAATAATTTGTACAGATTGGCAAAAATAAGAAAATTAAAATCACCAAAATTCACAGTGCCCAAAAATAGCCACTGTCAGAATTGCTGGTGTGTTCAATGTTGTTTTTTGTTCAATCATTAAAGGGCTATTTTTGAGGGAAGGACTCTGCTCATTTCAACATTGTTGTGTTTGTAGATGCATATATCTCACGCATTAATGCTTCTGGATCTATATGAGAATAATTTTGTTAATGACTGGAATATGTAACCAGAAAATATCTGACATATGCAGCTTCTGCCTCAGCTTTAACGGTGCCCTGGTGAGAAGCAGCCGTCGATGCTGTCATTTCTGTGCACACACACAGACATCCATCCATCATGAATATTTAAAATTCAATCATTAGGTGCAGCAGCAGCAGTGGCAGCATATTTGTTGCAACTGATCAGCCACTAATGGTTTAAAAACTTAGAAATTGGGGGCTTCTTTTGTCAATTGAAGAGGATTATTCCAAGCCACTGAAGCTCCTTGTCAGAATGGAAAAGTGTATTAAAAGAGATAAGATTGCACACCCCAGGGTCGCTTACAATATGTAATTTCCTAAGCACACATGCTTAAAAGAAAAATAGATCAAATGGATGAGATTGGAGATCCCTAAAATAGTCTCCTGTCCAGATCAAACATACCACCAAATAAACAAATAAACAAACAAAATAGCCTGAATTCTGTTTCTTCCTGAGTCCCATGTAGATTTCTGGTGAAGAGAGCTGTGCTTTGTGACCTAGGCTTGCCACTCAGTCATCCATCCCTCCAGATTAACTTTCCTTTTCAAGCAAGCTTTTCACAACAATAGAAGCAGCAGTGTATTCAGTTGTCACAATAATCAAGTGAAGCATGTTTTCTTCCATTACCATGAATTTGGTGATCAGCAACAGGGCATAGCTAGAAAGTATTTTTGAAGATTTTACCTCCTGTACTTAATTGATCCTGTTCACCAGGGCAATCAGCTTCCTAGTGCTAGCAATGGCACTTTGTTTCTTAATCAGTTCCCAATTCTCTAAATCATATTTAAAAGGCTTTGTACGGAAGCCCAGAAAACAGTGTTCCAGTTTATCTGATACCTCCCTATGAACTGAGCGGTCCCAAGTGTTTGAGGGAGAGACACAGTATCAGGTGTGCATGGAAACATGTGTAAAACAAGCACTGCGGGATTCCGTGTGACTCTTGCAGGACTCCTTGAACAATATTTTTATGATTTGCTCAACGGATTGAATCTGAGTGATCTTGTACTCTCCATGCTGCCCTCTGCACCCAACTTCCCACACTATTCTGGACAAACTGGGGTCTAGGCTAACCCAGAAGAAAAGAACCATATATATATTTTTGTTTGTTTGTTTTGTTTTGTTTTTTACACAATATAGATACACAATGTGAATAATGGAGGAAAGAGGGAGGGGGAAGAAAGCTGAGAAAGGAAGAAGAAAGGAAAAGAGGAAAGAATGGAGGGAGGGAGATTTGTCAAGTGGTGAAATTTGTACCATTTGCAAATCAGTCAGCACTCAGTCCCATTACCCTGTCTCTGGCCTGTCTTCTCATAGATTCGGAAAATCCTAAGTGTGAACTGTGAAAATCTTACTGAATGATGTGGGAAGAAGCAGATCCCTCCAGTCTCATTACACTTTTGGGGTTTTCCCCACCTTTGTGCTATCAAAGAATTGTGACATGGCCTCACTGGGGAAAACACACAATTTTCCTCCAAAAGATTACAATGAATCACCTTGATTTTCTAAATTAAAGGATATCCTAATAAAGCCATGCAATAGGTATTTGAAGTATACTGGAGAAGGCCAGAAGCAAAAATGTTTTAATGGAGCTGTATTTTAAAGACTGTGCCTGTAAAGAAAAGCTCTGTCTGCTACCAAAAGTCATATAAACTAATGGCTATTTTAAAATACATCTTTAGTCTGGGCATGGTGGCTCACGTCTGTAATCCCTGCACTTTGGGAGGCCAGGGTGGGTGGATTGCTTGAGCCCAGGAGTTCGAGACCAATCTGGGCAATATGGCAGAACCCCGTCTCTGCAAAAAATACAAAACTTATCCTGGTGTGGTGGTGCACGCCTATAGTCCCAGCTACTTGGGAGGCTGAGGTAGGAGGATCACCTGAGTCCAGGGAGGTTGAGGCTGCAGTAAGCTATGATTGTGCCACTGCACTCCAGCCTGGGTGACAGAGTGAGACCCTGTCTCACAAATTAAAATAAATAAAATAAAATACATCTTTAAATATAAAATAATATTTAAACTATTATTAGTAGGTTGTTTCTTTCTTAAACTCTTCCTCTTACAGACAAAAATATGTAGTTTGGTGATAGAGTCTGTCTAGTAAAATAAAAATAAAGTACAGTGCTAGCTTCTTATAAGCCATAGTTTAGTCACCAAGGCTTCTGGCAATCTGTAGGTAGGAAAATTAAGGCATAAAATGATCTATCAAGATTTGCATAAAAAGCCACTCATAAGCCGAGGAGAAAGCATTTCAGCTCCTGGATTTTTTGTCACTGTCAAGCTGTCACAAATAACTATGTCTGCTTGGAGCATTTCAAACTCTGAGTTCTCTGTTTATATAGATGTTGGGATTTCCTCCCACTCCTAAAAATATATTCTAGATGAAGGGGTTAAAGATCAACATTACCCTGCTAAACCTTACTCTGACTCAAGATTTACTTAACGAACTGTAATTTTACTACTGCACAGATTCAATCTGTTGAGCAAATAAAAATCATTTTGAAAATGACCTATGTATTTATTCAGTTTGTATTTCAGAATTATCATAATATCAGGTATAAGGGGATTGTGGTACCAATGAAACTATTCTATACCATTCACCATAGATTTATAAAGGAGACTACAAAAGAGAAAATAAGAGATGACATCATATGAAGTGCTTTAGTTCAGATAAAGGAAACATCCAAAAATACTGAGATGAGTAAAATTTTATTCAAAGTAGGTTCCTGCTTTGTCTTGATCTCAATCCATTCTAACTCCTGATGTCATTTACCGTGTGAGATCTTAGTACAATCATGAAAAGAATATGAGCATTTATCAAAACTCTCTGACATCTGTATGTTTAGAAATGAACTTACACAGCAAAATATGATTTCCTTGCACTTATTTAATTTTTCTAACTTCAATTTCTACCTATGTGTCTCTGCCAGTTTGACCTGATTCAGACACCCAGAACTTGAATAAAGAAGCCCTCTTCTATTTTCATTCTTAATGAATATACCTTTTCCCATGTCCACATTGAGCCTCCCTTCTGTGTACTCTGTCTAATGCAGCCACATGTCTAGTTCCCCCTCTCTGTCACCACCCTCACTTCTTCTTTCCCATCTTCTTACTTCTTTGGTGTGACCTCTCTGTAGGACAACATGCCATTTCTGATTCCCCACACACATACCCTATCATTGATACCTACCCTCAGGATTAGATTCTGTCTAAGTAATTTGTAGAGCCATCAGGCTTTAGTAAGTATTGGACTGCAAGTCAACACCCATTATCTCATCAAAAGGGATGCTGTGTTGGGGCAGAGGGAGAGAGAGAGAGAGAGACAGAGAGAGAGACAGACAGAGAGAGAGAAAGAGAAATAGAAAGTCTCTTCCAGGAGAAAAACCATATTGATGATATCAAAAGGAAAGGAAGGTGAATAGTGTGAGCCAGAATAGGACTAAACAAATGGCAGGCTTTTGTTCAGCTCTCTGGCATCTGGACAGCAGCTCTCTGCTTCTTACTCAACCTGTCCCCAGGCTCTCTGCAGTCTTGTCTTCTGGTCTCATTTTATGTCATCCCACTATTGATGAACAGAAAATTTGGGCAGCTGCCCACCATCCCTATATCCCACCCACACTGTCAACAACAGCATGTGAAGAGGAGCCATGTGGCTGCAGTGGTAAGGAAGGTACAGTCTATGACCAAGAAAGAGACACTAAGTAGATGATTAAGAGCAGTACACACTGCTCTGACAGCCTTATTGTCACAACTGATTTTCAGGATGTTGGCAGTGATTCTGAAGCCTGTAGAAATTATCAGGTTTTAAGGGATTGAGAGTTCACCAGTGGTCCACTCTTGGTGAAGTAGGATGCCTTGCTTGGTATTGTTAACTCCCACATCATCTCTGTGCCAAGAAAAAGACAGCACAATGCCACCAACATCTAAACAGTGGCATCTAATTGATTTCAATCTTAGTTCAACAGTGTGACCAGAAGGATGTTTCAATTACCATCACCATATGGGACACTGAGTGTCTGATTAGTAGGGATGCTCCTGTTCTTCATTCTTTAGGCAACTACTCATTATTGCATAAGATGTTGTCTCTGATGATGAAATTGTATCCCAATGGACTCAAATAGTATGCATAGAAACTTGAAGGTGTTTCGCTTACAGCCAGAGTGCAACAGAGGTTTTGGAACAAGCTGGGTCCTACCAGAGCCAGAGGTGTAGCAGCTGCAGACTTCCACTCTACCCGCACCTCACATATTAGTTGTGAATTTGATAAATGCCATCCTGAAGAGCAATTGATTTATTAATTAGCTGATTCAGAATGTTCTTAGGACTCATTTGGGATATGGAGTCATTATAATTTAAAAATGTCAGCGCAGTGCAATAGAAGATGAAAATGGCACCTCCCAGGGGCCCTGTGGGCCAAGCTTTCTCCTTTGGTGAGTGGGGTTTCTCTCGATGGCTACAATGCCGTCCATGGGAAGTTGCTTCATCAGACCCAAACAGTGAGGTCTCAGGAAGTGAAGAAATGCTCATTTTTTGAAACAGAAGCTGAGGTCCAGACTAGGACGTGATCAGACCAAGCAGGACAGTAATAATTTGGTTATTAAACTGGAGATAGTAGCAATTTCATTAGAAGACTCCGAATTAAGATACTTCAGGAGTCATTTCTAGAGAAACCCCAACTGTATATAATTACCTACATCTATGAACAGGTAATCCTATAAATTTTCTAGCAAAACAGTTGGTGAACTAAGAAGGGAAAATATGGGCTAGATTAACTTATTATGAATGTTAATTCATCAGGTTTTGGGTTTTACTTTTGCCTTGTCCTTAAACATGGGTAATTAAGACCTGTCAGTAGTGTAAGTTGGGATTTGAGTTCAGGATTTTGGAAATATTCTAATTCCCTGTATTGGGACTAGGTAGTAAATCTAAAATTGTGATATATCAAGTTATTTTCTGGTGTGTTTTCTAAATTTGAGCACATGGACCCGAGAGTAGACACATCTTAGTATGTACTCAGCTTTGGGCAAAAGATAGATGGCGTCACCTTTCTTCGCATGCTGAGCTCCATAGTAGATTGAGGACTTGGGTTGGAAGCAGTAAGGTAATTGCCAAAGCCCCATTATCAGGTGGGTACACGTAGAGCTTTTGGGAGGAACAGATGCCATAAGTTATCAGTTTAGTCTTACCTTCTCTTTAGAGGGAAAAGAAGTTGGAGAAAGCGTCTGCAGCTAACAAAAGGAACTGGCCTTGGCTGGACGTGGTGACTGGGGACTGTAATCCCAGCACTTTGGGAGGCTGTGGTAGGCGGATCACCTGAAGTCAGGGGTTCAAGACCAGCCTGGCCATCATGGTGAAAACCCCCCGACTTTACTAGAAATACAAAACTTAGCCAGGCATGGTGGCACACACCTATAATTCCAGCTACTCGGGAGGCTGAGGCAAGAGAATCACTTGAACCAGGAGGCGGAGGTTACAGTGAGCCGAGATGGCGCCACTGCACTCCAGCCTGGGCAACAGAGTGAGACTCTGTCTCAAAAAAAAAAAAAAAAAAAAAAAAAAAAAAAAAAGGCAAGCGGATAACTTGAGGCCAGGAGTTCGAGCCTGACCAACACGGTGAAACCTCATCTCTACTAAAAACACAAAAATTAGCTGGGCGTGGTGGCACACACCTATAATCCCAGCTACTTGGGAGGCTGAGGCATGAGAATCACTTGAACCAGGAGGCGGAGGTTGCAGTGAGCCAAGATTGCACCACTGCACTCCAGCCTGGGTGGCAGAGCAAGATCCTGTCTCAAAACAAATAAAAATAAAAATAAAAATGCCTCCTTTCTAGGATTGTGGGAAGAATTAAACTAGATAATGAGTAGATGCTCATGAATGCAGTAAACGTGAGTTCTCTTCTCTTTCTGTTTTTAGATATGTGATACAGTCACTTACCCATTCCATAATTAGTTTCCTTGTATGTAAAATCAGGGGATAATAATGTCAACAAATAGTTATCTGCTTAACATTGTTTTATTAAAAAGCAGGTATGTTCGCATGAATAAAACAACCTTCCCTTTTAAACTCCTTGTTTGGCATCCTCAAACCTCTCAGCTTGTTTCAGATGGGAACTTCAACCCAATATCAGGTCACAGTGCCCAGGTTGATCTGTACTCCGTGTGGGCTCTGAAAGCATCACCCCTGCAGAGGCTGGAAGCCCTAGTCTTCCCAGGGGATGCCTTGTCTGCAGGTACTGCCCCCAGCCTGCAGTGAACTCTGGACCTTTTATTGATCCTGTGTGCATCTGGCTCCACTCTGATACCAGGAAGAATGGGGGTTGCTGGCCCTGGACTTGGTCCTGGACAAATAAATGTGTTTGTCAAAGCCCTTTCCTGACATCGGTTGTCTCTAGCCCAGGTGGCACTGTGGAGGGTAATTAGTTCTCTTTATTAGAGGGAACATCAGGAAGCTCTGCGCTGCTCACCGTGGACACATGTAAAAAGATTTTGTTAATGCAGCTGTTACTTGCCTTTTCATTATGCTAATGGGCAGCCTGTAAGAAATGTAACTTCCTGTCACTGGCACCAAGCAACACCTATCAGACAAAGCATTGTTTCTTCTCACTGTTGATAAGTGTGACTTGTGGGGACCAGCGATAGGATGCTCATTTTTATCTGCTAAGTGCACAGCGCTTGTAAAAAACCAGCAGTGGCCTTGTTACCACTTGACGTGACACTAGGTTTAGCTGTTTACATTGACACACTGCTGCACCCTTTTAGAGCTGCAGCCAGGGGTCAGATTCATTAGAAAGCGTCAGCGCCGATAGTGAAGCAGCATCTGGTGGGATTCTCTCTGCTCTCCTGTTGGAAGCAGCAAGGCAAGGCGCTTGCATCTTGAAATGGGTGATTTTTAAATCTTTTCTTCGTTTGATTATTTGAGAACCCCTGTTTGTTCCTTGACCCTACATGAAGAAGATGAGAGAGAAAGAGCTGGACATAGCATTCACCCCAGTGATGAAGAATGGGAATGTTGGGGCCTGCTGTTTGTTGCTTTTCTTTTTGCTGATGTGTGGCTCTTCGTTGCCCAAAAGGTCTGCAGAGAGGGAGTTAAATGCATGTGTTTTTCTTGCACAGCAGCAAGGCTAAAATGTGGAAGTAAGCTAAGTAAACCTTTATAATTAGTCCTTTATGTCTTTCTCCTTTTGCCTCCCTATGTATGAGTATTGCCTTGATAAATTTGGTGACCATACTTCCCTTATAATGCTGGAAGCCACATATCTTTTGGTTCTATGTTGTTATCCCTTTAGTCATTTAGGATATGGAGGATGATCACCCAGAATCCTTGGTTCATTTTGCAATCACTGTGACCAGATGAGTTGCTGATAACCTAGAGCAGCCAGAGTGCTTGTTGCATTAAGAGCCAGAGCCCAGGCCTTCACTTTTGCCACATGTGACTCTATGTCCATGAAACTATGTGCAGGACAATGCACACGGCAATTGAGAAGGTTCTGGAGACCTTTCATAATGTTGTGTGAGGGCTCGCTGGCCACCATGGCAGAGAGAGCAACATCCTCCTTACCTTCAGAAACCTCTGGCACCACCAGCATTGCTGACATATCTCACGCCCTGTCACAGCTTCTTAGTTCAACAGGCTGCAAAAGCTCCTCCCCACCTCCACCTGTTCATAAGGATGTAAGGATAATTAGTGCATTTTCTCAAGTTCAATGATACACTCATTTTGAAAAGCAACTACCGCATTATCCTGCCCTTGCCCTTGGGAACTGGATCCCTTCATTTGTCGAGAATACCCCTTGCCAGGCCTTTTCATCTAGCCGCTGCTCACACTGCACCGGGGCTTCTGTCTGGGTGATTCTTGCTGGGTCATGCCAGGAGGTATTTGGCATTTCCCTAAAGCCCATCATGTGAAGTAAGAGTACCACCGAATCACGAAGCTCTGAGAAGTTTTGTTAAGATCAGTCATGGCTTGATCAGTCCAAGCATTAGGATACCTAGTTTGCAAGTCCAGTGTTGTCCACCTGGCCTGGAATTTACCAACTGCTCTGTGGAGAGCTCTCATCCCACTTATGAACTGTGCTGCTTATATCTGCACTTTCTTTTTCTGTATGCCCAGTACGTAGCTATGAAGGGAGGATCCCAGGGGCCAGAAGCCAGGGGACCATGTAGTGTCTTAGTGTGGTTTATATGTCATTGCAGTCTCCATCCAGGTCTTTTCCAGATCCTGGGATGCTGCCAAGAATTTCCATGCACAGGAAGACAGAGATGGTCATGGTGATATACAGACTTATACAGAAGACGTTTTTCTATCTTTGGGGGGCTTTTGACCCCTTTCCACTCACTTGAATTCACACAGAATAATTATATGCTCTTCTGAGGGCTTACTGCTGGGTCAGAAAAGCAGGGAGAGTTGCTTTTGGATAGTAATCCCCACTGCTGGCCACCAGCAGCTGCAGCCTCCACAGCAGCTGCTTCCCCTCGCCTCCATGCCACCATCTCCCCTTCATATCCACTATCTCCTTGTCTCTCTGCAGGTCATTTATAATCAGCAGTCATGGCGTACAGGCCTCATTAGTGATATAGCCATTCCTTCAGTGCTTCAGAAATAATCATTTAGAAAAAAATGCACGGTTTCCATCCCTTGAGAGCCCATGAGTGATGAATTTATTTCAGTTTGGCTGGCTTGGCTGTCTTGCTCAGCCTTATTTCCATATTTATTTCAACAAACAATGTAGGGTGGGAACAAGAAAACACATGCTGGGTGTACACACACGCTGCATATCTGCTCCCTAAGTTGATTCCTCTTGGGGAAGGATGAAAAGGAATGCCAACGAAAGAACCCTCCATTAAAAAAAAAAAAAAAATCTGTTGGACTTGGATGGGGTGCTGTATAGCAGAAGATGAGCTAGTTCACGATGATTTGTATTTGAGAAGGTGTGGGTAACATGGCAAAAGCAATTGATCCTTAGCCCCCCATTCTGGTAGTGGTGTTTCAAGAGTACTTTTGCCCCTCAACCCCCTTGCTCCCGGAGGATCTGATTTATGTCATGGTGGACAGCAATGGACTTTTGATGCCAACAGAGGATCCGGTGCTGCTGTCTGAATCTTTCACCTAGACCTTGTTCCTTGTGATGAGTGGGGAGGGGCGTGTGTGGGGCTCACAGGCTGCTCTGATGAGGAATGATGCCAGCGCGTTCTTGATGGCAAGTGGTGTCCATGAATCAGACTTGCAGATGTGCAAGCCACCTGGCTTCAAGCAGTCAGCTCTCTTAAGACATTTAAGCTTGACTGAGGATTTGGCTAAGGCTTGGCACTTAGCCCACCTGAATTTTTTAGGGTAAATGTTTTCAAGTGACTTCAGCCAAGGGTCAGAAGAGAAGATCTCAGAAATCTGTTTAGAACTATGTTGCTGACACTATGTCAAGGGGCCAAGCAAACCACAACACCATTGTTAACCTCACCATTACAAATCAAGGGAAGGGAGGAGGACACCACATCTTGATTCTGTGGGGATGCTTTGAAAGTGGCAGTGCGTGTTTTATAGTAACAATAATAATAATAAAAGTTTTTCTATTCTAGGATGAAAGGAAATAGAACATGCAGAACAGTATCTTGTCCCAAACATAGCAGAACACCATTTTTCCTATGGAAAACTTGGACAGTGCAACCAATTTACCAGAGAAAGAATGGAAAAAGCATCTTAGAAGAACCAGGAATAAAAATTTTTGATTCAGGGACCTGAACAGCAACACTTTCAGAATCTCTTGTTCTCAGAAATGCATTTTACTAAGCTTAAGATTCCTTTTTCTAAGAAAAAATGGCTTGCTTTCCTCAAACTAAACAAAGCAGGGAGGCTCAGGGGTGAAGAAAAAGATGAATTGAGCAATATCTAATGGATACGCTCCTCCCCAAAATTAGACTCCAAATGATATGAGACAGAGGGAATATCTCAAGGGTAGGGAATCATCTGTAAGATAGGGCAATACTGCCGAAATGCAGTATTTTCAAGGAAATAAACCCCAAAATAAAGCTAAAAATCTAGTGCCTGGTCGAAAATTAACTGTAGATCCACTTACATGCTAATATCACAATTAAGAGTAGCCTTGGGACCAAATGAAAATCTCCTTTATTAACAGAGGGAGCCTTGTTAGAACAGCACATACAAGGTGGCCTCCAGCTACCTTGTGTCATCCTATAATGGTGATCTGGGAAAACATGTCCCAACCCAGGCTTGGCCGATGTACCCATGCTCTCGCTGGGAGCCTCATCTAACATGAATAGATCTCCCAGCCAGCTTATGCTCAAGCCTTTCCATCTAAGCAGACAGTACAGAATGACTCTTATTTACCCAGCCAAAAAGATTTTCATTATCCATATAAATATATATGTATATATTTTTTTCTTTTCTTTTTTTGAGACCGAGTCTCACTCTGTAGCACAGGCTGGAGTGCAGTGGCGTGATCTCGGCTCACTGCAAACTCCAACTCCCAGGTTCAAGCAATTCTCCTACCTCAGCCTCCCAAGTAACTGGGATTACAGGCATGCGCCACCATGCCCAGCTAATTTTTGTATTTTTAGTAGAGACAGGGCTTCACCATGTTGGCCAGTCTGCTCTTGAACTCCTGACCTCAGGTGATCCGCCTGCCTCGGCCTCCCACAGTGCTGGGATTACGGGCATGAGCCACAGTGCCTGGCCTATCCTTATAATAGTATTATAAAATATTCCTGTGATGTAGGAGAAAGTGCCTTTCTTTGCCTTATCTGATTGCTGAACTGTGCTCTTGCGGTAAAAGTGATTTTGTTTTGTTTGTTTGTGTGTTTGTTTGTTTGGTTTTGGAGATGGAGTCTTGCTGTGTCACCCAGGCTAGAGTGCAGTGGCATGATCTCAGCTCACTGCAAGGTCCACTTCCCGGGTTCATGCCATTCTCCTGCCTCAGCCTCCCAAGTAGCTGGGACTACAGGCGCCCACCACCAGGCCCAGCTAATTTTTTTTGTATTTTTAGTAAAGACAGGGTTTCACCGTGTTAGCCAGGATGGTCTCGATCTCCTGACCTCGTGATCCGCCCGTCTCGGCCTCCCAAAGTGCTGGGATTACAGGTGTGAGCCACCACGCCGGCCAGGAAAAGTGATTTTGATAGGGATGGTGTTGGGCTTAGTATTGGAGTTAGTAATTCTTTTTTTTTCTTTTCTTTTCTTTTTTTTTTTTTTTTTGAGACAGAGTTTCATTCTTGTTGCCCAGGCTGGAGTGCAATGGCATGATCTCAGCTCACAGCAACATCCACCTCCCAGGTTCAAGTGATTCTTCAGCCCCAGCCTCCTGAGTAGCTGGGATTGCAGGCATGCACCACCAAGCCCGGCTAATTTTGTATTTTTAGTAGAGATGGGGTTTCTCCATGTTGGTTAGGCTGGTCTCAAACTCCCAACCTCAGGTGATCTGCCCTCCTTGGCCTCCCAAAGTGCTGGGATTACAGGCTTCAGCCACTGCACCCGACCAGAGGTAGTAATTCTTTAGCAAATTAAAGATCTGAAAGTTTCTCATACTGTCTAAGAGAAATAGCCAAATAGCAGTAGCAACTTAGTAAGTGTGAATGATGCTGTATTCCACCAAGAACAACATAGGCCCGGGCTCTCCAGCATTCCTACATCTCTGGAGAAGGGCACAAGAGCCAGGAAGCCAGAAAGGCCCCTCGCCATTCTATCAAAGGAGGGCTCCAGCACTTGGCTAACCTCCTGGGGCTGGCTTGCTGGAACTGTGGTATGCCATTTTTAATTGGTAATTTGACCTCCCCAAAACATGGCATTAAGACAGCAGAAGTTGATAATTGAATAAAGAGGATCATCATTGTTGTTTTGAATTGGAAATAGTTCTCATAACAACCCTCTGAGGGTATTTCCTGTCACCACCCTACCTCCTGCCCCAGTAATCCTATACTGCAGAGGTCTGTGATTTTTATGGCATTGATGCTTTTCTCCCAATTGCCCCTTCTAGCTTTTTTCATTTACTGATGAGCTGGCAGACGATAGGCGGGTGAAACAGACAAATTGATTGAGGAGCTGAAATGTAGATGTGTGTCTGGTCTCTATAACACCTTTGGGGTCCTGTGTGAATTTACCTGTTTATTTATGTGTCTGTTATTTTGGTTCACTTTATGATGTAGTTTATCTATAGAAACTGCCGTGAAAGTGAAGAGACAGAATGGTGAGGTTCAATATCTTCTTACTGGCATTTCAGCCCTAGAGGGCCAAGGGTCACATGATCTACCACCTTTACTGGCTTCCCTGATAAGGTTCTGTGTCATCCGCTGTCTCCTGCACAGTCCCATTGGCCCCCTGTGGTGCAGTCCCCAGACCCCTCACCAGGCACCTTCATGAGTAAGCATCAAAATGTATTCCTGAGTCTCAGCTCCCTGAATTATAATGTTATTCTCTTTTCCATTATATAGATGGAATTTTTCCCATCATCTTTGCGTTTAAATTGACTTCCTTTGAGCCACAATCAGTTCCTTCATGAAGATAACATTTGACTCTTCTGTCATTGTATGAAGAAAATTAAGGCCTTCTTTGGAAAAGTTATATGAAACTTTGGGGGACATGCAGCAGGATGCAACAGAAAAAACTCTCAAGTCAAAGACCTCACCCTACCTAGTTACTCATTTAGCCTCAATGACCATAGGCCACCGAGTAAAAATAGGGCAGGTCCCCGTTGATAAATTGGAGAAGTCAAATTAGATCATCTCTAGTCTCCTTTCAGCCTTAAAACTATTTTTCCAGTCTGTATAGTATTATCATGGGTATCTGTATATTAGGACCCACACCAGAATGGACTTTTAACCTCAGTTATGGACTAGTCTGTTTTCTGGTTCATAGAAAGCCATAGGTTCAGAGTCTGGAAGGAATATAACAAGAACTGAAACAAAATCAGCCTCGGGACGCCTCAAATAATAAATGAAAGCTGAGCTCACATGTCTTTAGTCAGTCAGCAGTGTTCATTGAACACTTAGAATTTGTAGCATAATATCAGGCGCCCTGAGGCATAAACTAAAACTCATTCACTACCAACTTGGGACAGAAGTATAAACATGCATGCAACCAAGCGTGCTTATGCACACTGCTGACACACAGGGCCATCCCTGAGCTGGGATGAAGGGGTCACCTCTCTTCAGCCCCTGCTCTTAGTGAAAACATTTACTTTAGTTAAACTTTAGTTCATTCTAGTTAAATCCAAAACACTATGCAAGAACACACATCAGAAGTGGGGAGATCCCCCTTGTCTTGTTCCCCTCTCCCTATAAGTGGGATTTTTGCCAGAGCTGCTTGTTTCCTCAGCCAACAGGAAACATATTAGTACAACATGAATGAAAGTCCAGAACTCTTTTAAGATTACTTTTCCCTTTGCAGTGATCAAAATTAACTTCTTGGAGTAAACATAAAATCAGGGCCTATTTCACGGTTCATACCCTCTCTCTAACTAGACTTAACCCTCCCTCCCCCTTCTCCCAGAAAGGGGTAGTCACCCTTTGATCAATTTTATGACATCTCCGTGGTTGATACAGAGTTGTTAAAATTATTTTGACTCAAAATTAGTAAAATTCCTAGAGCAATTAAATGCACTGCTTCATGTTGGAGGAACTGTGCTATATTCCAACCTTTCCCCACATTAGCCCAACCTAATGAGGATTGGGCAGGTGTGTGTGAGGGAGGGTATTCTCCAGGGAACCATCAGCATCAGCATCACTTTGGAACTTGTTAGAAATGCAAAGCTCAGGCCCTAGCCCAGACCTACTGAATTGGAATCTGCGTTTGCCAGCTCCCAGTGACTGCAACGCACCTTCAAGAAGCGCTGTCTTACAGAGGGCGCTGGCCGGCCACGGGGATCCCCAGGCCACATACAGAAGTGGCCCAGTCTACGTGCTACCGCCACTAAACTGCCTAGTGGCTGGTGCAAAGCTACTGGGTAACCCCTCCCTCCAGAGAGCTGCCAGATCTTTCAGGCCCACAGTTGTGATCCACAGAATACAGTATTGTATTGTTGCAAGAGGAAGAAAGATCAATGTTTAACCACAGTAGCACACCACTATATCATCAGTTGTGTCTAGTATAGATTCCAACAGAAGTGTGTGAGTCCTCTAGCAGAAAGCTTTTGTGTAGGAATGAAGATAAGTTTCCTATTAAAACCCACGCTGGATTGAAGTCTCATTTCAAAATGGCAGCGTTCTCTATTTGCCATTTCTATTTCCCTTGTGCCTGTCACAAAGTTACATAAGTGATTTTGGGTTTTTGTTAGGATAAAGTTTTAATGTCAACTGAAAGCAGGGGGAGCATCCCCCTGCCCCCAACCTGATTTTTCCCCTTCTTTCACTGGTTTTTCCTCTTAAAGATCCCAAATTTCTTCCCACTCTTCAGGAAGCCCCACCCCCAGCCTAAGCACAATCTATTAAAGAGGCTTTCTGCTAATTCAGGTTCCCGTGTGAGAAGGGATACTGTGATTCATTCTTCTGAAGAGCTGGTGGAGAGCCCCCACCCCCATCCCATCAGTAGCCCCTGGGGACTGAAGCAAATGGGCAAGTCGGTCTATCCCCAAGCCACAACCCCTGCGTAATGATGATGGAGACCTTCAAGCGGCCACCCCTTGGCACTGCAGCCTTTGAATAACAAGGAAAAGCAACAGCTGTGAGAATAAATTCTTGCATGGTAAACTTAGGGCCTCGAACTCAGAGTCGAAGCACTGTATTTCTCATCATATTCCTTCCACTAGGGTTGTGATGATCTTGCCAGAAAGTGTTGTTTCTCGGTTTTCTCCTGTCTTTTCTCTTTCCCCTTGGCTGCCCCCCTTCTTCCTCCCACTCTAGCCTCCACGCCTCTGCTCTCCCACTCCCCAAATCGAACATGTACAGATTTTACGGTTCACTGGAGAATAAGTGGCTGTCATTTCACAGACGGGCCAGGATGTAATTAGCCACAATGCATTGGAGTAATGGAACAGATGTCTCTTTGTAAACTGAGTTTGCCGCCGAGCACCGCGTGTGTGTGACCTGCCGACTGCTCTAGGCGCTTCCACGCGGCCCCCTCCCCCTGTCTTTCTCTGTCTTCCCCAGCCCCTCTCTGGGTTCCCGGGCCAGAGGCTGGGCTAACTTGCGTGTTTGTGTGTTGACTGTTTTTGTTTTTCCTCTGCTTCCCTGGTTGGCTCACTTCTGCTGCTAAGAAGCTGCTGGTGACGTGACGAAGAGTGAGGGAGCTGAACCTCCGTTTATCGATGTAGTCATTCACAACAGAAAAGGTGATACCCCTCTTATGAGATAATTGGTAGTTTCAAGTTGCACTTATTAGTGGATGATAATACACCAGCAAAATCATAAATTACTGTTATGCTCTCTGGCCTGTTGTTTTTTCTTAACTAGAAATAAAGGAGATGCGTCTCCCTTCTTCCAAGGTTATTATTTAAAATTTAAGAGGAAGAATCCAGGCTGATCACTGCGGATGATGTGGACAAATATCAGATACTTAAACTGACTGCCTAATAACCATTGAGTTCATTTGTTTATACAGATTATGTGCTCGTATGGACCTCTGCCTTTCTGCACATTTCACTTTAAATATGAAGGTCATACCTTAAAAAAATTTTTTTTAAGTAATGACTTTTGTACATCCTTACTTTTGAGGCTGAGGATTTAGTAAGTAGGCACCAGGCACAATTCCTGTTGTTGGGTCAATCCCAGAGGAAAGTGTGGGTAACACAAGGTCCATCTGCAGGGGAAGAACGAAGTTGGGAAGAAACAGTGAATAAAGGTGGACGGTGCTTCACTTTTTATAGCTTCTCTTCCCACCCTAGGGGAATGAGTGGTACGGATGGTAAATACACCCAACTCCTCCCTCAAGCTTCCTGCACATTTGAGGGAAACAATCCTTATTAAAATATGGGAGGGGCCAGGTGCGGTGGCTCACGTTTGTAATTCCAGCACTTTGGGAGGCTGAGGCAGGTGGATCACCTGAGGTCAGGACTTCAAGACCAGCCTAGGCAACATCGCAAAACCCTGTCTACTAAAAATAAAAATAAAAAAAAAAATAGCTGGGCGTAGTGGCACACGCCTGTAATCTTAGCTACTTGGCAGGTTGAGGCATGAGAATCACTTGAACCCGGGAGGTGGAGGTTGTAGGGAGCCAAGGTGGCCCCACCGCACTCCAGCCTGAGTAACAGAGAAAGACTCTGTCTCAAAAAAAAAAAAAAAAAAAAAAAAAAAAGGGGCTGGGCATGATGGCTCACGCCTGTAATCCCAGCACTTTGGGAGGCTGAGGTGGGTGGATCACGAAGTCAGGAGATCGAGACCATCCTGGCTAACATGGTGAAACCCCGTCTCTACTAAAAATACAAAAAAATTAGCCGGGCGTGGTGGCGGGTGCCTGTAATCCCAACTACTTGGGAGGCTGAGGCAGGAGAATCGCTTGAACCTGGGAGGCGGAGGTTGCAGTGAGCTGAGATCGCACCACTGCACTCTGGCCTGGGTGACAGAGCAAGACTCCGTCTCAAAAAAAAAAAAAAGAGTGAGAGGGATCAACTCCCTGGAATAGTGCTGGCCTTTGTTCCTCAGGATATCATGTTCGGTTTAATTGATTTTTTTTCTCCTGGCCACACGCCCAGGATCTTGGCTTTGGGTACTCATAGGAGAAGGCGATCCCATGCTCGGGTCTAAGGTTAAGCTCCGGTGTGTGCATATATTTGGTTCCTTTGTCAGGTGAGAAATACTCTTCTGGTTCTCAGCTTGATCACTAGAGTCAGCAAGACCACACCCTCTTGGTCAGGGATAGAATATCTTGCTAGGCCTTTATCAATAAACAGACAGTGTTGTATTTATCATATGGGAAAACTAACTGCAATAAGAGAGTCTAATATTAAAGTCTCTAACTGGGATCTTGGGTTTGAGTTTGGCACTTGGTGTCAGTGAATCTTCAAATGTTTTCTTAATTTAGATTTTTTTATTTTAAGATTTTAGGTGTTATTTTTCCCAAAAAAGATCCAAGGGTCTTCATTTGGGTTTTTAAAAATCATTAAAAGTTTAAAAACAGCAGTCTAATGTTAATTTTTACCCTGAGGATTTTATGATAAATAATAGGTGGAAATAGATCTCTGGTGGATGAAATTGATACTGATACTGGTTTAGCAACAAGTAATTGGAAACCTCCTCACCATGACCTCATTGATTGTCCCTTGATTATGAGAAAGTTGAAACCTCTTCTATTCTCTGAGGGGTTTTGGTGGCCATGATTGTGTCATTGATACAAATTTGGGAGAGAAAATGTCTCATTTTTTACTGATCTCCTTATCGCCAGAATGTGGAGTACCCAATATGCCCTAAGCACTCTATCAATATTGCTTTTTTTGTTTGGGTTTCATAACTCAAAGGAATCCTTTGTATCCTCAAAGTACATTATAACCTCCATTGCTAGTATAACTATGTCTGAATGATTTCTGCTTCCTAATTAATGCCAAATTGGGATCACTCCCCAATTTTGTAAGAGGCCGGTGATTGTTCATGGGATCATTGGCATGCCTTCTTGAGGAAAGGAGAAATAATAGGATCGTGTCTTATTTTTTTTAATCCTCCTTAAAAATTAACACAGTGTAGGCCAGGCGCAGTGGCTCACGCCTGTAATCCCAGCACTTTGGGAGGCCGAGGCGGGCGGATCACGAGGTCAGGAGATCGACATCATCCTGGCTAACACAGTGAAACCCCGTCTCTACTAAAAATATAAAAAATTAGCATGGCGTGGTGGCGGGCACCTGTAGTCCCAGCTACTTGGGAGGCTGAGGCAGGAGAATGGCGGGAACCCGGGAGGCGGCGCTTGCAGTGAGCCGAGATCGCACCACTGCACTCCAGCCTGGGTGACGGAGCGAGACTCCGTCTCAAAAAAAAAAAAAAAAAAAAAATAGCACAGCGTGCAAAAGTATTTATTGATTATTTTAATATGAACTAGATTTCCAGAGATATAAATTGTATAGGATCATTGATTATTTTGAAATTGCAGTTATCTGATATAGCCAGGATGTACTGACATTTTAGAGAATCTTTGGGGAGAAAGGACTGTCAAGGTCCTCCACTTAACCTCTTGCCAAGAGCAGGAGTCTCCTCCAAAACTCTTTGATGAGATGGCCGTGGAGTCCTTGCCTGTCATCCAGTTTCATTTTTTGGATATGGAGTGATTTGAAAGTCCTTCCTTGCACTCAGCTGAAATCTATCTCTATATAACCTCCACTTTGTTCCTACGTTGTGACATGGAGTAAATCTACCCCTTTTTCATAGGCAACCTCTAGAGAGCTAACAAAAGCTTTCATATTTCTCTAGCTTCTCTTTCCCAGCTCAGACATGGCCACTTCCTTCCATTATTCGTTACGTTAACATGACCATCTGACCCATTGTCACAGAGGCTATCCTCTTTCTGACATGCTGATAATAACTGATATTTTTTTAAAAAGTTATATTCCCAGATCTGTGTATAAAATTCCAAATGTCATTTGACCAATACAGACTTCAATAAAAATTAGCAAAACTTGTTTGCTGCCTAAACGTGCTTGAATCCATTATAAACCTCACATAACATAACATAAACCACATACAGACAAGATTTTCCTAGCACAGCACAAGAGCAGTTAGCATTTGTGAATCTATTTGGGTATTAATACTTTCCTGAACTGGTAAGATTTGTATTTTTCTTGTCATTGTCATTCTTCCTGCTTACTCTGCCAGTATACAAGTCACTAATGCAAATAGGAGCAGAATTACTGTGGAGTTGCCCATCACTGCACAGTGGAATCCAGACCCCTTGGTATGTTCAGCTTCCTCATCTGCCTCCTGGCTTCATCTCCTTCCCCTTCCTCATAACATCCGCTGCGATTTACCACGCCAGTTCCTCAAACACAGGCTCTTCATGGCTTCACACCAGTTATTTCTCTACTTGGAATGCTTTGGCCACACTTGATCTGACTTAAAAACTTCTACTAGTCCTCAGTCCTTTAAGGTTTAACTCAGGAATCACCTTTTCTTTCCTTTCCTTTTCTTTTTTCTTTTCTTTCTTTCTTCCTTTCTTTTTCCTTCCTTCCTTCTTTCCTTCCTTTCTCCTTCCATCCTTCCTTCCTCCCTCCTTCCTTTCTTTCCTTTCCCACTTCCTTCCGTGCTTCCTTCCTTCTTTCCTTCCTCCCTCCCTTACTCCTTCCTTCCTTTCTCTTTCTTCCTTTCTTTCCTTTTCCCCTTCCTTCCTTCCTTGCTTCCTTCCTTCCTTCTTTCCTTCCTCCCTCCCTCCCTTAGTCCGTCCGTCCGTCCTTCCTTCCTTCCTTCCTTCCTTCCTTCCTTCCTTCCTTCCTTCCTCTTTCAACAGGGTCTTACTCTGTCACCCAGGCTGGAGTTCAGTGGCACAATCTTGGCTCACCACAACCTCCACCTCCTGGGCTCAAGCGTGGAATCACCTATTCTTAGCCCTATGTCAGGACCATGACAATGGGAGAGGCCACCAGATTTCCACTTCCTAACCAACCCTTGAAGTCAATGTTCCATGTATATTTTTGTTTTGTGAGTAAAGACCGTAATTCATTACAATAAAACTATGTTTTTAAAAAAAAAAAAAAAAAAAAGAAGTGCATCTTCTGCAAAGCCTTCTCTTGCCCATTTTCAACCTTCGTCTCCATGAAGTGCCTACTCCACACTGTCATTGCAACATTTATCATTTATTATGTTGTATTTAACTATTTGTTCATTTGCTTGGCGTCTCTAGACTTTCAACTCCATGATGCTCAGGGCTTTGTTTATTCCGTGGAGTTCCACTATCCAGACAATGCCTAGTCTTTTAGTAGGATTCAATGTGTATGTGATATCTGTACAGGTCCACTAGGACACTTAGCTCTCTCTGTCTAAAGGGATGGACAAAGAAGTTCTATCAAATGCTTTGCTCAAGAACACCCTGTCCTATTAGTGTAGTAATACCATTAAAAAGAAAAGTGAACTTTGGTGACATGTTTGACTTGAATTTTTTTGTTTTGCTTTGTTTTATGCTTTTTAAGAAGCTCAGGCTAGATCCTGGTGTCCTAACATCAAGGCTTTCTGACCATGTGGAGCATCCATGTCACTGACTATCACAAATGCTATTACAGCTCCATCCTAAGCCATGTTATAATTGTTTTTTTTCTAAATGTTAATGGGTTTATGATTAACTATAATTGTATGTAGGAACCTACATAGAGGACTAATTATAGGTGCCTATGCACTCACCTTTTAAATCCCTACTATGTGCAAGTGTGTCAGACAAATAACATCTTGGCAGCACCGTAATGACTATGAATATAATCAGAAGACGAAATGATGCTGGATTCTTCAGTTACAGCCTCACTTTTTCAAGAGTTGACACACCATCACTGTATTTATCACCAATTAAATTTCCTTATAGTAGTTACTTGCAGTAATTTTTGAGGCAATCACCTCAGCTCAAATTGCCATAGCAAACCACATCATCTTACCAAATAGAATTATTATCAGCAGTCATCATCCTCATCAATTCTTTATTAAAGACTCATTTCTCAAACCATTTTAAATCGTGGCTTAGAGTAAGTCATTTATAACCACATTTTGGAAATAGGCACATTATATTTCCACTTCATAAATATGTTTTATTAGTAATGAGTAGTATAGTATTAGATTACTATTAGTATTCTCATCATAGGTTGGAAAAATGCTTAATTAACAAAGATATTGGATTGGAAAAAAATTGACTCTGGGCATATTTCTTCTTGACCAAATTATTTTCTGTTTTTTCCCCCCTAGTCCTTTGTAATTTTTAATTGCATTCACCTATCCCAGAGACTGTGTTTCCAGGAATCTGCATAGAGAAGCTGGAATGCAATAGAAGCACAGGTTCTAAAAAGACATTCCTGTTACTGTGTCAGGATCTTTTAGCATCTTCACCTTAACCCAGTCCACAGCTCCTTTTCAGAAACCCTCAGCAGTCAGTCTTTGTTGGTGAATGGCATTGCTGAGAACTGTTCCTATTACACATCATAGAGCAGCTAGATTCCTGTTCTGGTTGTGGTCGTCTTAAACTGGTATTTGAAATCCAATGCCGTTTTTTCTGTCACTCTTTGGGTGTCTTTATTTCTGAATACATACACCTCCCTATTTTCTATGTTCTGATTTCACCTCACTTTCCAGAAGAACAGTAAGTGCCAGAGGTCACTGTGCCAGGGAAGCCACCAAGACGCTCCTATCATGCACATCAGACTCTGTATTAACCTTGGGCACTCACAGCCCTGCTTTAGCCAGATCCTTTTCTGAATGGTCGTTACTCATTTTTACCTAGAACTTCTGGCTTACTTTCTTTTTGTCCTCAACTCTTGTTGTGATTCTTCCATTGTTTCTTATTTTATTTCATTTGCAGTGGCGCGTTTAGTTTCCCTATCTTGTATGAGAGTGGCGTTCTTTTGATTATTTTCCATTCTTTTTCCAAAGGGAGAGGGATCTTTGTGTGATGGTGCCGTATGTGTCTGCAAGGGTCGAGTCTGTGTTCTCTGAAGCAACAAACCACATTTGTGGATGTTTTGCTAACACAAAAGAGCATGGGTTTGTGTCTCAGCCTAAATGATGGAGTTCTGGACAGCTTAAATCTGAAGTGGCTTGCTGGTTCCCTAGCAGGCAATTATGTTACACTCAGGGAGCCTCTGCGCAGGCTGTTCGTATGCAGATAGTTGTCTGAGGGAACAGGAAGAGCATTCGAAATATGTGAGAGCCATGTGACAATTCCTCAGCAATTGATTGTCCACAATTGTGTCCTAATTGCTGACGCCACCAGTCTATCCATACTACCCATGTTTTGTTCAGGTGTCTTTCCCAAGGTCCCTAGTTATGCGATTCGTGTTCATAAAAGCTTCTAATATGGCCCTTCTGTTCACCCAGCAGGTGAATAATCCCCAAGTTAATAAGAAGGTAAGCACTCTTATGAACACAGCTTTAAAAGGCTTGACCCAACTCTGAATTCACACTGTGAGGGAAAACTACCCTTCACTGATACTCCTTGTGGCATACACAAGCGAGCCAGCCCATGTCCGCTTTCCAGGGTAGAAGGGACATTGACCTGGGATGCTGAGGTGGGGCCCGGGGTCAGGATGGCTCAAATGGATGCCAGGGGAGGCTGCTCAGTAACAAAGACACCGAGAGCACAATCTTCTCACGTGCGAAGGAAAAAGCTTCTGTGAATCAGAGACCCATCCTAGCCAGTGAAGAGGCCAGCCCAGCTTAGCCAGAAGATCCACGACAGATACCCCCTTCCTCCCACAGGGCTCCCATGGAAAAGCCGACAAGAAACACGAAACTGCTCCCAAAGTGATATCCCGACCCCGGGTTACAAATGAGGATTGATGTTCCACTGAGAAACTATAATGGCCTTATCACAGCAATCATCCCAGAACACCCATGCCTCCTCTCTTCTCCCTTCACATCTGACTGGTTATCTATTGTTCCTCATTGCCAGTGCTTGTTTGAAGAGCTCGGCAGCATTTGCAGGTATAAAAGAACGTGCAACTTTTTTTTTTTTTTCCTTCTTCTCTTCCTTGAAGTCATTGTCTATATTTAGGTCAGTGACGTGATGAGAGATGTTGATGTGTTTTGTACCTCGCGCTGCAAATTGCCTCTCTGGATACAGGGGAATGGGGAGGCTCTAATGGCACTGGCCTGTGCTCCGTGCCTTGCAGGAGGAAGCTACCACCCAGCTCATGGCTGCCTGCGGCCGAGGGTAGGCTCTGCCTCCTGCCACCCACCAACGTGCTGCAAAAACACACATGGCCACGGAATCTGGCCTCCCAGATTCTCTGCATGATAGACGGGACTATCTTATAAAAAGATGAGAGGGAAGGTCGTAGGAAGTTGCTTTATCCTTTACCTGGAGTCCTTATCCAGCACTCTGCTCTATCAAGTAGAAAATGTGGCCCTGATAAATCCTGCCCACAAAGGCACTGTGCCTTTTTAACATGCAAATGTTCAGCCAGAGAAAGTAAATAGACATCTCCTCCTTCAGGGAACTAGGAGACAATCACAGCCACCCCTCACCCCACCCCCAATACCGTTTCCCTTTCCTCTTCCTATTCTAAGAGAAAGAAATTCTAATTTTTTTCCCATTATTCTTTTTTTTAAGAGGGAAGGGCTTGCATTGAATTGCTCTGAAGCCACTGTCTTCTACCCCAACTTCCTCCCGTCTAGATAGGCTTCATTAATTTGATAAGCCGACACCAAAAGAGAGGGGTGGCGGTGGAAGGGGGCGGGGTGCTGCAGGAGGGGCTGCCTAGGGGCTGCCCTGAGGTTTTAGAAGATGAACTGCTAATGATGTTGAAGACGTACCTTTTCAGACTGCATGGTCCCTCTGGAAAATCAGGGTCCTTTTTTACTTATTCTGATGGTACTGCAAGAACTGAAAAATAGAGGCCTGGTTGGGATGGAGGGGGTATATGGGCTGGGGCGGGGGTGGTAAGTAGACAGATGCGTCTCCAAGGAGGAATCCGAACACGTCAGTTACACAGCTTGAAGGGCCTTTTCTTTAACAGGGTGTCTGATATTGTCATGCTAAAAAGTCAGAAACTAATGGGGGAAAATAGATTAATTTGCTAGGTCATTTATTGAACAGTCTTGCTTGATACTTACAAACTACTGAAATTAGTGCAAATTGGCAATATGAATATTTTGATCAACATCTGTGACCCTTGAATGCAAACCACAGAGCTTTTAACATGTCAGAGGCACTAATCTTTGCTAGTCCTTTCCCATCTTCTAATATGATGGAAGTTGATTATACCTAAGAGAGCCATCTGTATAATCGTCCCAAGACAGTCCCAGTTTATGCCAGTTGTCCTGGCTTGGGTGAAAAATTATATAGTTACCCTAATTATTACCTCTCAGCAACTGGGAGACGCTGAGAGATGCCCAGCTTGGGTTTGATTCTATTTTTATTCTCTGTTCTCTTGCACACTTTCAAGATCATTCTCAAACATTTACTGAAAACAAATGCGTGCGGCATTCTGAGGATAGAAAGGCATTTAAGGTAGGATCTTTTCTGATTGCAGTTAGTGGCAATATAAGCGACTTGCAGGTATAACAAAAACCTTGAATATTCTCGAATCATAGATCAGAACCATACCCTGGCTTATTTCCTTCTGAAATAAATTCCAAGCTGGGGGTGGGGTGTCGATGGTCATCAGATGTTAAGAGAAAACAACCCAGGCTACTGAACCCCCAGAATTTCTGCTTCAGTATATATTTTACTTCCTCCTCAATTTTACCAAGTGGTAGTGATTGCTTTGTGGACAGCCAGCTGCTTCGTAGAGACCAGGAGCAGCTTTGAGCCTGAAGGGTTGGGGTGAGGGTAAATATTTCAAACACGTGAACAGGTCTTGGCCTGCAGACCTATCAATTGCTTAACTAGAATCTAAATTAGAATGGCTGATAAACATTCATTTATTAAACAAATATTTATAGAGTGCCTGCTGTGTGCCAGCCACTGCTCTAGGCACTTAAATCTGTGAGCGGATAAAAAAGAATAGGAACTCTGCCCTTGTGCAGCTTACGTTCTAGCAGACATTAAGCATCATGAATGAGTGTAAATTACATAGTATGTTAGACAGTTATAAGTGCTATGGAACAAAGAAAAAGCAGAGCGGGGTGAGGGAAGGCGGAATGATGATCCAGGGCACTAGGCTTAGACGCTGCTGATGTGTCTAATTTAATTCCACCCTTGTTCTGCTGCCTCCTGCCCAGAGCAGAGCCCACATGCAAACACCAAGGACCAGGAATGCCAACACGCACATGCAGACACACAGAAGCTGCAGACCCACAAGAGAAGTGACACAGGCAGCAGTCACAGTTCATGGCCTTTGTTGCTCCAGCCCTGGCTGCCACAGCCAGTGGTACTCTGTATGTGTGTCTTTATGAAAGAGCTCAGGGTTGGAGGGTGGGCAAGGATGGTTGTAGGTCCTGCCTTTGAGGTGGAGGGCTGGCCTCTGCAGTCCCAATTCAGTTCAGGGTTCTCAGCTGGAGTTCTGGGTTTCTTTCTGCCTTTGTCAGTGGTCCATCACGTAACCTTCTGTGTGAAACTTATCTATTCCTGACAGTGGTCGTATTCATAGAATCTTAAGGTAATAATAAAATCTGACTGACTTGCATAATGAGGAATCATTTACTGATTTTCTAAGAAGGAAGAAGCCAGCAGTATGAGTTATTTAACACTCAGTGATATTCCAAAGACAAAGCCACACAATGTCCAATATATTTGGTCTATTTCATTCATCTTAAAGCTATGTGTTTTTTTCCTCCTGTCATGTGTTCTACAATTTCAGCTGAATAGGAAGGATCAAGATAAATACCCCCAGGCCCCTGCCTGGTTTTGGAGCACTTTAGGGAGAGATACCACGCAAACTATTTCTTCTGCTCTTCAGAATCAGGGCTGTGCTTCATGTAGCATGGTAAAAACGATGTCATCAATTTGGTGGAAAAAGAAAACAGAATTCTGATTCTTCTCTCCCATTCATTAACTGGAACTGAAATTGGGATTCCTGTCTTCCTCCCTGATTAGGGTTCGAGATGTGGAGCTGATTCCTGAAGTGAGCCTGTTCTGCCCAGTGCAGGCAGCCATCCTGCTAACATCTTGATGTTTGTGTGTACCTCTGCAGCTGCTTTCTTTTTGTTTGTGGTCACTCAAAGGAAGGAATGCATTCAAAGGAAGCTCCAATTCTGATGGAGCAGATGCTGTTCTTAAGTATGAGAACACTTACCCTGGCATAAAAGCCCTGCTGGTATGTCTAGCGCCAATAAGGGGACTCTTAAGACTCAAAAGCACGAGGCCTGATTCTTCCTCTACCAAACCTGTTGCCCAGAGGGGTACAGTGCGGATTTCAGGAGGCCTGATACCCAGAACTTACCCCAGAAACTCAGCATTAATCACAGAACAGGAGGTACAGCTCCCAGCAGCAGCCCAGTCACTGAGCCATTGTCTCCATGGCCTCTACTCCCATATTTGCCACAATGATAGCAATGATGATGATGATGGTGGTGGTGGTGGTGGTGGTGGTGGTGGTGGTGGTGGTGGTGGTGATGGTGATAATGATAATGATGATCCTGATGATGATAATGGTGATGGTGATGATGTTGATCCTGATGATCATGATGGTGATGATGATGGTGATTGTGATGATGGTGATAATGTTGATCCTGATGCTCATGATGGTAGTAATGGTGATGATGATGGTGATGATGATTATCCTGACTTCCAATTGCTTTACCAACAGAAAGAGCTAAGAAAGCTGTGCAAAATTTAAAAACTGGTCCCAAATAGATGGTTTGCTTCTGGTTTTATCAGCTCTCCAAATACTGAACTCCATAGGCAGTTGTGAGCATGGAAATAATCATTTAAAAAAGTAAGTAGTTCTTGGATGCCTACAATTCACATAGTTGTGAATAGTATAGTACTGGGATAAGCATTTTATCTCACTTAACCCTCACACATCTTTTGAATATGGGCACTATTGTCCACATTATGTAAATGATAAAAATTGGCCTGGCACATTTTGTTGTTATCAGTTACTCAGCTACCATGCCACAGTCAGATTTTGAACTTGGAAGTGGCCAGTGGCCAGGAAGCCTAGGCCAGCTTCCCTGGTGTTCTCCTGCTCTCAGCCTCTTCTGTTCTTCAGGTGGAGTGTGGTAGAAAGGTGTGCCCCACAGCAGGGCCTTGCTTACTTAGGTTAGCTTGCTGCCTAATACAGTGGTCCCCAACCTTTTTGGCACCAGGGACCAGTTTCCTAGACGACAATTTTTCCACAGACCAGGGGTCGGCCGGGGGGATGGTTTCAGGATGAAGCTCTTCCACCTCAGATCATTAGGCATTAGATTCTCATAAGGAGCATGCAACCTAGATCCCTCACATGTACAGTTCACAGTAGGGTTTGTGCTGCTATGAGAATCTAATGCCACTGCTGATCTGACAGGAGGCGGAGCTTAGGGGGTAATGCTCACTCTCCCGCCACTCACCTCCTACTGTGCCACCTGGTTCCTAACAGGCCACGGACTGGTAGCAGTCCATGATCCGGGGATTGGGGACCCCTGGCCTAATACATATGTTTCACAACCTTGTAACAGACAGTTCATCTAATTAATTTGAATGGAAACTTAGTGATCGGCTCCATACAGACAGAAAAATAATCCATCCCATTGTGATAACAATAGATTTACTTAGATAATAGAAGTTACTGCTTCCGATCAATTTGGCAATGGTTTTTCTCATAGCAAATTTCAAACTGTGTCACCAGATACTTGAGAAATTACTATGGAACACATGAAAAATGGATATAGAACAATTTAGCAGTATGTGGAGAGCTCCTCAAAGGTGGTCCTACTCCTTGACCTACTGATTCTACTTAAAGAAATGTTTTCCTAAGAACATAATTAGAGATGTGATCAAAAATATATGTATAAGGATGTTTACTCTAGCATTATCTATAGTGGTGAAAAATTGGAAAAAAAAAGACCTTTATGACCAAAAGTAGAGAACTGGTTAAGTACATTATGGTATATTCAACTGAAAGAATATTTCATGGCTATTGAAGTATTTTAGAAGAGTTTTTGATAACATAGGGAAATGTCCACGCTGTAATAAGTGAAAAAGATAGAATATAAAACTACATACGATCCCAATATTTTCAACAAGTGAGAATGTAAATAACTTGAGGTTGGATTTTTGGTTTAGTGAAATGAAGAATAAGTATTTGTTCCTACAACTAAGTCTGAATCTAAATGAAGAATAAGTCTTCATTCCCGTAAACTAAAGATTAGTTTCCATAACTAATCTTTCTTAAAGATTTTAGGAAACAACCTAGAGAAAATGTTGGCAATTGAAGAAACACTTTCATCAGCCTAAGTCCCCAGTGAAATGAGTGATAGGATAGTTAAATATCAGCCTTGAAACTATTAAATACTTCATGTTTCTCTTTATTTTTCTTCTTGACCTTAAAACGAATTTAACCAGAAGTTATATTCTGATAAAAGGTGATGTTTTTGTAATTTCATATTTCTTTAAAAGCAGACTCTTTCAGAGAAAAGCAGAGATATCTATGACATTCGGGTCACAGTTGCTTCACTACCATGATATTGACACAGGTTGGTCAATTGACAAACCTTTATCTGATCAGAGAAATGGCACATTAGAGATTTGCACAGCCAACATGGAAGATGTCTCATATCCACCATCCTGTCTAGTGGCAGTCATATGGATAAGGGAGGCAATTTCTTTTTTATACTACAGGTGGAAATTGGAGAGAGAGGTAGGGTATTGGAGTGCTGAGTACAGCACCATTGCCTGAATGAGAAAGCCCAAGTCATCAAAATACTATCTTAATACTACGGGAATCAGAGCGGAAGAAAATTAGTGTGTTCTTCAACACATGGGAAAACAGCTATAAATGAGAACCATGTATGTCCTGGAAGGACTTTTGTCATAAAGTGTAAAATATCAACACTCATGGTCAGTTAAAGAAAGTCTTCAGATCTGGGTAGGATTAGATTGGAGAGAAATCTGAGTCAAGCATTTGTTAAGAAGCTACCAATTTATACTTAGCTATTTTTGCTAATCTTGTTTTCATAATCATATCTCTGAGAACACTTGGGCGTTTAGAAAATAGTGATAACTACGTGTGACCACTTATCGGGTGGCAGTATAGTCCAATTGGAAAAAAATACCCAAGAAGAAGTTAAAAGTGAGCTGAAGGCCAGCCTTGCAAATCTAGCCAATCAAATGATTGTAGACATCACACCTGTCTTCTTCCCTAAGCCAAATCTGAGAAAAAAAATAAGATATCGAAGCAGCTTCATGCAGGGGATACAATTGGAGCCATGCTACCTATGGAACAAAATACTAGCCTCTTAGCATTATATTCAAGATTATATATAATCTGATTCCAAATACCTTTCAGCTTCCTCTCTGTCTCACCATGTCTCTCATCACTGCAGGAACACTGTTCTTTCTCTTTCTCTTGAGTGAGCCACACACTTCAGGGAGCCAGAACCTCAGCCCATTAAGCTCCCTCCTCCTGGACTGGCCTGAAATGCTCTGCTGCTTTTCTTTGCTTGTCAAGATCACTCTCCCCGCTCCAGGCCCAATCAAATACCACTTCAGCCAGAAATTATCCATCCTTTTCCATACCTGTAGGTTTTATACCTGCCTTCATTTCATGCTTATTTTATTCGGCCTTACATTTTTGCTGGCTGTTTGTTTCTCTCCCCTATCGGATCATTATTCATTTGCGTGCGCCTCTGATGCCAGCCAAATGAGTTCATACAATAGGCACTTAATAAGTGTTTGCCGCATTTAGTCAAGTATAATATGCTGTATGAATATTAAAATGTTTGATACAGGCCATATGTACAACCAGATTTTCTAGACAAAATATATGAAGAAATATGACCTTGGGACAGAATATTTGAAATTGAACTGATACTACAAGACCCAGGTTGCAAAGGCTACTGTAATCCATAATAGTAGTGAATGTTTTGGGGTATTTGCTTCATTCTAGGTATTACACTAAGTTCTTTCCATATAATATCCCATTTGATCATCCCAACACAAGGAAGTGGGCCTCATAGCAGGCACTAGTGTCTTTTGTAACAACTTCCTTCGTTCTGACAATGACAATTTTTCTCCAACTCTCATTGGTATTCTGTAGTGTTTGATGATTTTCCTATTCCTGGGGAACCTCTAAAATGTATCAGCTCTTAGGAGGATGGACTTCTCCTAAGTAAAATAGTCATGAGTAGGAAGGAATTGTGATATGACCTCAATTAGTTAGAAAAAATCTCATGGAAGAGATTAGTCCTGCTTTAGCAAATATTTATGAGCACACACTATGTGGCAAAGTACTTAGTAAACACTGGGGACAGAAAACAGAGATGCTGCCTAACCACAGGCACAGGAGTTTAACCACAAAAACAGACATTAATGAAATAATCACACAGATACATAATTACAGCCCATGATGAGGACAGGTGCTGTGAAGGAAATGTGTAGACAGCCATGAGCATGTCTAAGCTAGCCTAGTGAGGGAGGTGCCAGTCAAGGAAGGTTTCTCAGAGATCCGGAAAACCAATAGACGGTAGCCGGGGCAGTGATTCTCCAAGCGTGGTTCTAGGACTAGCAGGATCAGCATCACCTGGGGACTTGTTAGAATTGTAAATGATCAGGTCCCACCTCAGGCCTACAGTATCAGAAATTCTCAGGAGTGGTGCCCAGTATTGTGGCATTTTAACAAACCCACCAGGCAATTGTGATAGACCCTCAAGTTTGAAAACCACTATACCAGCAGATGAGATGAGCTGGGGATGGTGCTGAGGCAGAGCATTCCAGCTACAAGAAGTCATAACTACAAGAAGCAGTAAGTGAGTCCCCAAGGCTGGGAGGAACACAGTGAGCAGGTGGAGCTGCCAGGAGGCCAGTGCAGAGAGCCAGAGGAAAGTGGGGTGGGGCAAAGCTGGAAGACATACTGGTCAGATGGCTTCAGCGTTGGTGGTAAGATTCTGCCCACTCTCCTGAGAGCTGTGGAAAGTCACTGAAGAGTTTCAAGGAGGAGTGTGATAGGATCATTTTAAAGCATCCCCCTAACCCGGCATAGAAAACTGATGGAGGGGAGTAGATGTGAAGAGATTCATTTGGAGGTGACTTCAGTCCTCTGATCTGAAAAATCACTGAATGGAGGGATAGGACATGTAAACAGAGGGAGGTGATATATATGGAGGAGGTGACAGTGAAAGGGCTTTGGCAATATTTGGAAATGGGGATGGAACCTAGGTTTCTGGCTTATGAAACCAGATTGACGACAGTGGTCCCAGTCACTGACATACAGAAGGTGGAGGTCATGGGTTTCATTTGGATCATATGGATTTTGAGGTATAACCTAGACCCTGGCAGAATTTGCATGGATGAAAGCCACGGAAAAAAAATTATTCTCGAAGGGGAGATATGGTGACCCCTGAGCCAACAAATGGAGATGGAAGTGAGTTTTTTGATGTTTGTTTGTCTGTTTTATGATTCATCCATCCATCCATCCATTCACTCTACCTATTACACCCTTCTAAGTACATAGAAGCATTTGAACAACAGAAGAGGAAGACTGGTAGATAGGATCAGAACCAGCTATGGCAGATCTTGATTTCCAAGCTAATGGTGTTGGATCACCATTGAAGGTAGTCAGAGTGACATCATGGCAGAGGTATGTTTCAGAAGGGTCGCCTAGCACCTAGCCTGTGTTGTACACAGGCGACAAACTAGAAGGAGGAAGACCATCACAGTAGACTCTAAGAATGCAAAAGGACTCTCATTCTTTCTAATTGTAATATAAAGTTAGCATTTAGGAATGACTAGCACATTCACATACATCCATTCATTATATTCCCTCCGTGTGGCTATGTATCTTTAACCTGTATAGCCACACAGTCTGGGAATAGGACAAGATAAATGTTGAGAGCGTGGAATCTAGGTCTTTTTCTCCCTTTTAGTTTTCTAGAACCAAGCAGAGGTTAGGTATTTTAACAGATGCTAATGTTAATTAGAAGTGAAAGACCTACACTTAGTAGGCACTCGAGATCTATTAAATTGAACTGGATTGACATCAGTGGTGTCTTGAAAGAAGATGCAGCACAACACTGGACTTCTCAGGGAGACAGGGCTGAGCCGTGGGGGCCCTTGCATGAGAATTAGGACCTTGGTGACCCCCGTCTGTTCCTCCTTTCCTCTCTCCCTCCCCCACCGCTGCCATGGCGACACGTCTGGAATCACAGTAAGCCTTATACCCCAGAGAAAACAATACTCTGTTCGAATGGTGTAAGTTGGCCTCTAAGCTCACGATCTGCAGGCCCCATCCCCCACAATCAGGGGATTCTTACAAAAGGCAGCTTTTTACCAGAGGGTCGGCCGCACTGCTGCTCATCGATTTCAGCCCATTTTATCCCTCGGCACTTTCACTTGTTTGTTTTTGAACTCACACCACAGCCTCGATGCTGCGGGTTTCATTTTGGCATGAAGTTACTGATGTGACCGTCTGCATCCCCTCCGCTCAGCCCCTCAGAGCACGGTGCTTCTTTCTTCTTTGTGTCTTGTCACTGCTGTTGACTCACCACGCTGGGCTGTTGGAGCTAAACTGAATTAGTAACAATGCAATCAACATCTCTATTTTTATCTTCGCACTCCCCTCTCTTCCTCCCCTCCTGACTGACTCACCATTTCTAGGTCTCAGAGCTTGGCAGTCTTAGAATTATATTGGAGCTGGGGTGAATATATGCACAGATGTGATATTTCTACCATTCGACACAATGAGTGTTTTATTTTTTTTCCTGGTAGCACAAGGGTTCAAGCGTTAGAAGTATTATTTATTATGCTCATCGTCGTCCGTATTGTTGCTGTGTTACTGCTCAAGCTGGTGTTTATCTCCTGAGGTCTAAGATGAATTGTAGGCAAGGCAGGGAGCCAGGATCTGATTTCTGAAACTCGTCTTCAGAGGAAACTTCAGTTTTGAACTAAAACTTTTAACTTTGTCCCAGTTGAGTTCTGGAAACCTGAACTGGAATCTGAAGTATATACTAAACACAAAGTAGTAGTAGTAGTACCTTTAAAAAATGCACCATGAATGCAGAATATCTTATTCTGCCTAGGCCTCTGCATACTGATCATTGTATTAATTTTATAATTGATGGAGATAGATCTATTAAGAACCTGGGCTTTTGGAGCCCAGATTTGAATTCCTTTCTGCCAGTTATTATCTGTAATCTTGAGCAAATTACTTAATTTCTTTGTGTCTTTTCTTTTATAAAATAGAAACTTTTACCTCTCACGCAAATGTCATAGTCCATATCTCATAAAATTGTTTTAAGGATTAAATAAGCTAGTATTTATAAAGCACTTTAAAGTGCCTAGCACATAATAAGCTCTGAATGAATGTGGGCTATTATTATTCAGCAGGCCATATTTACCTGTTGTAAGAGAAATGATTCATTCCTGAAAACAGTTTCTTTTAGCAAGCACAGTACACTTCAGGATCTTACCTTCCCTTATTCCTGAATTTACAAACCATCCATGTTATGGATACTAAGTGGACACCAAGTTCCAGAACAGACCTATTTGTCTTTTATTCATAAGTCGGGCTTTCTAGCTTCCTAGTCTGCCTTTTGCATAGCCAGAATTTTAGTTTCTCATCAAAATTAGGTTTTGGCTCTCATGTGGTCTAAATCCAAGTACACTCACTTTTCTTCTCCAGATAATTATATTTTACATAGAGTGACTTTTCCTTGGCCTATCTAATGCTGCCTCATTAGACTCTAAACCCTAATGATACTCTTTCATTTCTATAGCACAGCCATGGAAATAGCATATAAAACTCTCTGTAGAAAATTCCCTTTGTCTTCCGTTGCCCAGGTTCCTCCAGCCCTACGCTCTTTACTGGGTGTGGGAAGGAAGAGCAGTTGCTGGACTATTTTGGCAAGAATCCAAAGGGAGGGTCACAAAGCTCAGATGCAGGTAGGATTTGGAAGGTCCCCAGAAAACTCCCAGCCACTGTGTGCCCCAGAAACTACATTATCAGCATTGCCTACCAAGTCTTGGTGGTGGGGGGAGGGTGTTACCCACCTTTCAGCTATCGTAGCTGTACCAAAAAGTATCTGAACCACACAGTTCATTACAGTTCGTTCATATCTACACAGCAGCCACAAATCAAGAGAAGCTTGGGCACAGATCTGTGGGAAGCAGTGCTGGGAGTTTTGAAATCGTCCCCCGTGACAGGAAACCCTCTCGGGATGGCTTCCAAAGCCTGAGGGAATTAAACACACTCGAGTCACCTTCAGTCTGATTAGGTGTTCAGGGATAACTAGTTGGCTGTTTTGTTTTTTAGTCAGTATCTTTAGCCAGCTAGTAGTTACATAACTTGAGATCACAGAGTTCTGTAAGGCATAAGCCTTATATGATAGGAAGCATCATCGCCATCCTGATTTCTGCTCTCCAAAGCTTTACAAATTTTTAGCTACTTCTTCTAGTATGAATCTGTACTTCTAAATAACGTGTTTCTGCAGTTATCTCTTGATTATTATGTTTTAGATACTACTTATCGACTTTCTACCATGGAACAGGGAGACCTACCCACAGTTCTCTTTCTGCCTCTCAGATACGCTTCCTCTTCTTCCATCTTCCTACTTATTGATATATCACAACTTTTGGTGAAATCATCATTCTGTGTGTGTGTGTGTGTGTGTGTGTGTGTGTTTGTGTTTGTGTACTGTAGCTAGCTGCATGTTGGGCTTTGATGACATTTCTGTTGCCACTTTTGCTTTTTCTGCAGTTACTGGCTCTGTTTCCTTATTTCCTTGCTCAGTTTTTTGTGGTCCTGTCCTGAAATCATTCACAGAGTCTTCATCAGAAGGGTGAATCTTCTCTCAATACATTTGCAAACATCAGGTAATCAATCCATTTCTTTTTCTTTCTGGGATCCTTCCTTCTGGAGTCCTGCATCCTTTGGCCCCTGTCTGGATGGCTGCAGAGCCGGCACCCCGAGCCTTTGCTTCACCTTGATCCTGTGGGGACCCAGTTCATGGATTCCAAGTCTTCTCTGGCTTGGTTTAGTCCCCATTTCAGTGGAATGTATTCTCTGATCACTGCCTGAGAAAGGGTACATGAGAAGTAAAATTTGGGGCCTTGCATGTATGAAAATAGCTTTATTCTGTTCACATGTCTGACCAAATAGAGGATTCTAGGCTGTAAATAACTTTCAGGAGGAATTTTGAAGCGCTTCATGCATTTTCTTCTTGCTTCCAAGGTTGCCACCAAAAAGTCCACTGCCATTCTAATTCCCACTTTTGGAAACATTTAGGATCTCTTTTATTTTTAGCTTTCTGAAATTTCACAGTGGTGTTCCCTGCTGTGGCCCTTTTTGCACCCATTGTTCAGGGAATTTTCTGGGCCTTTCAACCTGAAAGTTCATGTCCTTCAGTTCTGTGAAAGTTTCTTTTATGATTTCATTGATAATTTTATGATGTTCTCTACTCTATTTTTTCTTCTCGTTTCTGTAACTCCTGTTATTTGGATCTTGTACCTTTTGGACTGAATCCCTATTTTCTTATCTTTTTCTTTTCTATTTTTCATATTTTTTACTTTTGTTCTATTTTTGAAAGATGTTTTTAACCTAACCTTCCCACCCTTTAATATTATTCCTATTACTATATTTCTAATTTATAAGAGTTTTATTTTAATTTTCTAAATGTTTATTTTTATGCCATCCTATTCTTAACTCATAGGTTCTCCCCTTTTTTTTTTTTTTTTACATTTCTGAGAATATATTAGAGATTTTTTAAATGTTCTGTTGCTTTTATTTTCTACTTTCTCTCTTCTCTGTATTTATTTATTCGGAGTCTGCATTTTATATTAGAGGCTTTCCTTAAATGTGTGGCAATCTTTACCTGTACCTTCATTGTGAAGAGTAAGATACTAACAGCCTAACTTGGAGCCCTGTGTTTTCATAAGGACTCTCAAGCGGCAGTGATTGGCCTGAAACCCAGCTGTGGGGAATCCAAGATCTGTTAGTCATTCCTCATAGGCTGGTTAATTTCCCTAGATAGGAGTCTACTGGGCTTCTGTCTAGAAGTTGTAAGACTGGCTGCCAGTGGCTGCCAGTGTTCTTGAAGCCAAGTGCCAGACAGGTTTGGAGTGAGGTAAGATTATCCGACCACTGAATTGTAGATTTCCACTTAATTCCCATTTCTATTACAGCACTCCCAACTTCAACTGCGCTTTGTGTCCTTGTGCCAGAACTCTCTGTTTCTACTTTTTCAAAGAGTAAAACCACCAACCCTTTTAGGGTGGAGAGGGAAAAGTAGGATGGCCATGTACTATGCACGGAATGAGGGATGAGGGAGAAGGTCTCAGGGTCTACGACTTCTAATACAGAATTTCAGCTAATCGTACTGTGTTTTAGCCCCATGTGCACCTTCATCATCAGAGGTACCTAGTGCCTCCAATTCCTAGACTCTTTAAGATTTTCTTTTTTTTGAGACAGAGTCTTGCTCTGGTGGATAGAGTGCAGTAGCACAACCATAGCTCACTACAGCTTTGACCTGGGCTCAAGTGATCTTCTTGCCTCAGCCTTCTGAGTAGCTAGGACTACAGGTGCATGCCACCACACCCAGCTAGTTTTGTAATTTTTTGTAGAGACAGGGTCTAGCTCTGTTGCCAGGCTGGTCTCTAACTCCTGGTGATCCTCCCTCCTCAGCTTCCCAAAATGTTAGGATTATAGGTGTGAGCCACCATGCCTGGCACCTCTTTAAGATTATTAACATACATTAGCTAACTTCTCCTTGGCTTTCCCCCACTGAACGTTTTAATTTCAGCTTTTCCTGCTCTACTGAATTAGTTACCACACATTCATCCACTTTCTAGTTCCCAAAATTATGTTAACACTTCATATATGTTTTTGTCTCCTCTCTGACACTTAATATGTAGAGTTTTGCTTTTCAGAAAATTCTGTCTTTTGTCATTTTTGTGGAGTGTGAGAAGTAAAGTAGAAAAGAAATGGAGATAAACATGTATTCAGTCCTCAATGTTTAACTGCAATCTATGATCTGACCCTTTATGTCTAAGAAATACCTTTACCATCTATGTGCATCAAAATAAAATTGTCAGGTTACTTGGCAAGTCCTTCATTCTGGAATATTTCCACTTGGAGCTGCCATAGTAATACGGGTCTGCCTCAGAATTAAGAAATGCAATGTGATTCTAGAACTATCCCAGGAAACCTAAGTCAGGTTTCCCTGGTTCACCAGTAAGTTGTCTAAAATTCACAGATCAGAACCAACCAATTCCCTGGATTCTGACCTGAGATCCAGACCGTAACTCCAGAGCAGCCTAAGTAGCTAATAGTACTCAAGCCATGGGCTGAAGAGACCAGCCCACACTCACCCCCTTGTCCAAGGCTTTTCTAGACTGTGTGCACTCTGGAAACACAGGATGATGGAGGCCCTTAGTAAATTAAATTTAGGTTCAAATTCCAGCTCTGCCCTGTAATAGGGTATCAGTTCAGATTGCTTTGTTTATATGTTAGAAGCACTCTATAACAGTGGCGTAAGTTTTAAAAAGTTTCATTTTCCTCATGTAATAAGAAGCCAGACACAGGCAGATGAGAGGAAATGTAACTGATGCACAATGTCAGTTATTTCATATCTCCTTCTGTCTTCCTACCCAATGCATGGCTTTTATCCTCATGCTTGTTATCTCAAGGTCACAGAATGACATCTTCACTGCTGGCCTTACGTCTGTGCTCCAGGCCAGAGGAAAATGAAGAAAACAACAGAAGAAAAGGGCAGGGCCAGTCACAAATTCCCAGCATACTTCTATAGACATCTCATTGGCTGGAACTGTGTTACACAGCCATCCCTAGCTGCAAGGGAGGCAGGAAAATCCCTCCTCAAGTACAATCAGGATTCTACTGAAGAGAAGGAATATTAGCTAGGCAGCCAGTGGTGTCTACCACAGTAGGCAACAAATTATTTAAATTCACTTGATTTTTATAACCCTAACTATAAAGTGAGAATAAAAAACCTACCACATAGAGTTGTAGAGAAGAATAAAGGGGAAAATATTTAGAAGATATATACCTGACACATAATGTGCCCTCCATAAGTGTTAGTTTCCTTCTCTGGGATCCTTCTGTGATCACTCACAGATCCCTCTGTGCTCTGATTTCTGAACACACCACAGTATCATATGCTGTGAAGACCTGTACAGATATATATTGATAAAAATTAATTTTAGGCCAGGCATGATGTCCCATGCCTGTAATTCCAACACTTTGGGAGGCCGAGATGAGAGGATCACTTGAGGCCAGAAATTTGAGATCAGCCTGGGCAACATAGCTAGACCCTGACTCTAAAAAAATTTTAAAATTAGCTGGGTGTGGTGGTGTGCCTATAGTGCCAGCTACTCAGGAGGCTGAGGCCAGAGTATCACTTGAGCCCAGGAGTTTGAGGCTGCAGCGAGCTATGATGGGGCCACTGCACTCCAGCCTGGGTGACAGAGCCAGATCCTGTCTCTAAAAAAAAAAAAAAAAAAAAAAAATCAATTTTGGTTTACATATTGCATGATACCTCTTGGCAAAGCATTAGGAAAAATGAAATTTGGAAATCACAAGTCAAAAAAAATGTATTTTTCGCTAGAATGTCTGAATATAAGACTATAAAGATGATTTTACAGTCCATGTCTTTCTTTATTTCTCTTCCCTTTATAACTATCCACCCACAACCTCTCTTTACTAAACTCTTCTCTTGATCCCTTGAGAGGTTCCTCAATTTGTATTTACCATTATTCATCTACAAAGCTTTATTATGCAGTCACTGGAGCATCCGTGTGTGTGTGTGTGTGTGTGTGTGTGTGTGTGTACGTGCAGGTATAAATGTGTATTTCTTTAATCAGCCCAACAACTGACCACCCCTGTGCTTTCTTCACACAGCAAACCAGGTGGGAGTCAGGAAGGTGGGGGCTCACATGTGGGGTGGGTTATGGCCAGCCAAGCCTGCAGCTGAGTATTTATGAAAACAACAATGCTCTGTTAGAGTTTGGGTCTCAGAGGGTGAGAACACATATGGTTTCCGTGGTTTTGGGTCCACAGAGTTTTCCTGCCTGTACTTACGATGGACTGTTTCCCATCCTGCCTTGTTTCCCGCCCCAGGCCCCGTGACTGACGTGTGCCGGTGCACAATCTAGCAGAGGGTGGGGACCAGGGTCACATCTCCATAAGCTACGTTGGAAGGGGCCTTTGTTTTCTCTCTAGCAAAATAAGCATGGGTAACAGAGGGTAGAGGTGTGGTGCTGTGGCTGCTTCTGTACAGTGAAAAAATAAACAATATTCCAATCCCGCATAAGCTAGGCTGCCTCCTAAAATCAGCAGCTAAGAGCACATCCTCTCAAGATAAATACAGAAGGGAAGGAAAGAAAGAAACCTCTCCTTCCCCATTTAAAAATGTTTCCCTTCTCTTGTGGCCCTTGTCTAGCTAGTCTTTGCCTACCTTAAGTTCTGGCTGTCTGTGTAGAAACCAAATGCCACAGTCCAAAGGAGAAGCTCTTTCACAGGGAAAACAAAAGGCAGCTGTCAGTTTAATCCCAAGCTCCCTGATAACATTCCAGCAGAGTTCCTTTTTCTGGAGATGAAATAAGAACCCTGGCAGGCCCTTTTGACTGGTCACATAAATCATTTGTAGTAATTGCTCTGAGAAAGGAGAGCCTCTCAGGCTCCAAAGAGTGAGTGGGGGAGTCACACACCGACATTCTTTCTTTCTCTCTCTCATAAACACACACACACATGCACACTCACAAACACACCCTGTGCCACTGCCACTAGCTGGTCTCACACATGTGTACATTCACCCACACGCACACCCCTTGTCTCAGGGATCGCTGAGAGGAGTTGCTCACACTGGGGTAAGCTCAGTGAGCCATGTATATTTTTCGAAAGCATAATACGGAATATCATAAACAGCTTATGTTTCCTTCTCTTTGAGATTGAGGCCGTGTAAATTATTCTGAGTACAGTTTGGGAGGGGATGTTGGGAGAGTTGACAGGAAATGTGGGAGGGAGAGAACACAAAGGTAAGAGGGGGAATGGCAGTGACTGGCTTTGTTAGGCTTATCCATTGCTGTGTATCCTATAATGTGTCACCTGCTTCCTCCTTTTTGCCTTTTCTGGTGAGAACTGAGATGTGGTCATAAAAATCCCCCATCCTGTGATCTGGGAGTTGCTGCTGAGGCTTGGCAGTTCACTAAGGACCGAACTCTGAAAAGCCACAAAGCTATAATATCCCTTCCCCTCTGTGGCCAATAAAGCTGGTGATAATCAAATAACAGGACTTAGAAGTGGTATGGTGCCTGCAGCGGTTGGCCACAGGCCGGTGATATACACCCTTCACTTGTAGGCTGATGTGTGTTCATTGAAAATATTGAGGCCACCAGTGATGTTGGTGGGGGGCTCCCCCAGGCACACACAGTTGTTTGAAGAATGAATGGATGGATGAATGAATACATGAATGGATAGATGGATGAATGAATGATGGATAAGTTGAGCTCACTGTTATGTTATGAAAATAGCTGGAAAAGTCAGAAAAATTGGATAGCTTGTCTGACAGATGAATGCCTCATCCCTCTCCACACACTGCAAGTTATAGCTGTTCTCAGCATTGTGCCCGTGGATAGAGAAGAGAAAGTGAAGGGAAGGAAGAGCCGAATATGAATGGAGGAGTGTACCTTTCCCCACTCCACTCTTCAGTCCTGATTATAGAACAGCCCTGGCTATGAATCAGTGCTGCTGTTGAACATGCAACTTGCTAAGCTAAAATTCACTGTCATTTTGTTTTGTTTGATAAGAAAATATATCAAATTTGGAGTGTATCATGTATGGGCTATAGGCTTTGTCAAGCTAACAATTGGAGTGTATCATGTATGGGCTATTAGCTTTGTCAAGCTAATAATAAAGTCAACCTTCTTTATTTCTTTCCCAACTTATTTGACACCAGTGATCTAACTTCAAAAGGAGAGCAAACAAGGGTTGGCAAAGAACTGTGTTCCTCCCAGTGTAGCTCACGTGTAAAAGCAGTGTGTTTTCCACCACAAGGCTCTTCTGCCACTGAGGCACGGACTGTTTTAGGGTACGTGTATGCTCCCTTGAGGTATCCTATGGAGTCTGAGCTCAGGCCATCCTTGGTTTGATCTTTCTCCCATCTGCCCCACGCATAGCCTTGGATGTAATTTGTCATTCCTCTCTTGGCTACCAAGCCAGTTGTTAACAGGCCGGCATGTGTAGGTGTACTGAACCAAAGATGGCTCCTGCATATGGCTAAACAAGTGCAGGGTTTAAGGTAATTCCGAATCGAGGCTTTCAGGTATGGGTTAGTAGATTTTTGCTTTAATCTATAAGGTCCACTTAGGTTGGAGTTCTAAACTCAGACATACACACACACACACACACAAAATAATAGCGTATATGCATATGATACTTTACAGTTTGCAAAGCAGCTTTCCGAATGGCAAGTCTTGTCAGTTGTTATTTTTAAGCTGAAGAAACCAAAGTTTAGAGAACGATAAATGGCTTATTTAGGGTCATAGAGCCAACAAGTGGCAGAAACTGGAATAGAAGCCAGGTGATGACACAGCTAATTTAGTTTGCCACTGAACGTATATTGTCTCTTTAAATTATTGTGGTGAATTTTAACAAATTCCTTTTTACATAATATTTTAAGCCTAAAAAGTCTGTTTATTTTAGAAATTTAAAGAACTATGCACCTGATGTGTTTTTAAAATCATGCATAATCCTACCATTCAAGATGATCTCTCTGTATCATTTGGAAGTGATGCATACTAGTTAATTTCTATGCATATGAGACAAATATAATGTCTTGATTTAGACAGCATTAAATCCAACAGCATTTGGTTTTGTATCCTACTTTGTTCACCTATATTATTGAGGTTTTTGGTCATTTAACATTCTTTATAAAACCTGATTTTTAATGCCTGCATAATTTTCCCATAAATTATTTAAAATTTAATCTGTCACCTATTGTTGAACATTTTAGTTGTTTACCTTTTGTTGTTTACGAACATCCTTTTAAATCTATCTTCAGTGGAATTTCTGACTGTTTTCATAGTGTAGATTCTTAAAAGAGCAATTTCTGGGTTGGAAGTTATTAACTAGGATCTTGACGTGTGTTGTATAATTGGTTTCCAGAAAGATCTTATCAATTTATGCTTGCCTACTGAATGAGCTCCCTTACCACATCTTATCCAGCTTTAGGAATTGTTATTTTAATTTTTTTCCAATATAATAGTGAAAAAATATATTTTGTTCTTTTAATTTGCATTTGTATGATCATTAGTGAGACTGAACATCTGTTAAGAATTATTGGCTAAATTATATTTTTCATTCATAAACTGTCTCTATTCATGTCTGTTGCCCATTTTTCAAAAATAGGATATATATTTCTTTTTCTAAAAAACTTACATATTATAAATTTGCATTTATGCCAATATTTTGTCCTAGCTTTTAATCTGCTTGTTAATTTTTAAGGGTTTTTAATGTACAGTTTAAAAATTTATGCAATGAAAACTATTAACCTCTTCCCTTGTAACTTCTAATTATTTTATACTTAGAAAGACTTTATACCAAAATCATGAAATACTGACTTTTAAAAATGTTTTTGGAGTTCATTTTTTACATTTAATTATATGCTCTTCAGAAATGTATTTTGGTATAGTTGCAAGGTGCAAATCTAACTTCAGATATCCCCCCTTATTCTTGTCTATTTCATAATCTTTCCTTTCCCCATATTTTTAACAGATAATGAATTCTTAAGATCTCCTTCTGGACTATCATTTCTCTTGCATTGAACTATTGGTTTTTCCACCGCTCGCATAGTATTCCATTATTCTGGTTTTACAGTAGGTTCTAACATCTCATATTGCCTTCTTTAGCTTCCTTAGCTTCTCCTCCCAGTTTATTTTTCCAGAATAACTATAAAAAATTTATTAAATTCCTAAATGAATCCCTCTGCAATGCTGATTTGAATTATATTAAATCTATAGAATGGTCTGGGAAGAGTTGACTTCTTCACAATATGCAGTCTCTTCATTCAGGAATAAGAACTATATCTCCATTCACTCAAGTCTTTTTTAAAGATTCTCTAATTTTCTTCTTGTAGTTTCTATTCATTTCTTATTAAGGTTATTCTTGGGTAACTCAAGTGTTTAATTATTTCTGTTTCTGAAATCATTGCAAAGTGGCATTTTTAAAAAGAGGGTCTTGATTAGCTAAATTGGGGTTAGACTATGAGAAAACCCAGCAAAACCTGACAAGCCAGAAGTCATTAGTAATTAAATAATTTCTATCTGAAAACTAATTGGATTAAATTAACCCATTTTAAGGTATTATTTCTCAGACAAGAAATGTCCAACTTCTATTTCTGTGTCACCATCAGTGACTATTCCTAATAACATACCACTTTTAGTCATTGCATAAACAGGAGACAAATGAAATTCATGCTTATAATAAATTCTTTTTGTTGTTGTTGTTGTTTTGAGACGGATTTTCGCTCTTGTTGCCCAGGCTGGGGAGCAATGACTACATCTCGGCTCACCGCAACCTCCGCCTCCCGGTTACAAATCAAGCAATTCTCCTGCCTCAGCCTCCTGAATAGCTGGGATTACAGGCCCCTGCCACCTAACCTGGCTAATTTTTGTATTTTTAGTAGAGATGGGTTTTCGCCATGTTGGCCAGGCTGGTCTTGAACTTCTGACCTCAGGTGATCTGCTTGTCTCAGCCTCCCAAGGTGCTGGGATTACAGGTGTGAGCCATCGCGCCCAGCATCATTTTTAAATTAATTGTTATTTGTGAGTACTAAACAGCACTGTTCTAGACACACTATCCTCTACTTCTAAAGCCACACTTCAGACCTTAGCCCAGTAAAACTTTTCTTTTGATTTCCCAAAACATAAATTGTTTCTGTTACAAATGTAAATAGTGTCCTACTACTTAAGTGTATACATACATATGAGACTATAAGCAGATATAAATTAATATGCTTGCAGAAAGAGGATGTATGATAGAATTTTAGAGTATAAGCAGACCTTAAAAATCAACTAGCCCAAGCCATCTAGTCTTACTGGGATCCATGAATGTATTAAAATTCTTAGTGAGGCTTGGCGCTGTGGCTCACACTTGTAATCCCAGCACTTTGGGAGGCCAAAGTGGGTAGATCACTTGAGGTCAGGAGTTTGAGACCAGCCTGGCCAAGATGGTGAAACCCCGTCTCTACTGAAAATACAAAAATTAGCCAGGCATGGTGGCGGGCACCTGTAATCTCAGCTACTCTGGAGGCTGAGGCAGGAGAATCGCTTGAACCCGGGAGGCGGAGGTTGCAGTGAGTCAAGATCACGCCATTGCACTCCAGCCTGGGTGATGAGAGCAAAATTCTGTCTCAAAAAAAAAAAAAATCCTTAGTGAGATCACTTGTGTATGTGTGTATCATGTGTGCATTTTTCTGAAGGAAGAGTCTATAGCTGAATTTCAAGTGGTTGCCAACTATTTAAGACCCTAAAAAGAGCTGAGAATGACTGAGCTACTCCAACCTTCTCACTCATCAGATGAGAAGACTGAGGCCCAAAGTGCTGAGGAGACACACCTTTGGGCACACAGCTCTTCAGGGGCAGAGCCAAGGCAGGAAGTTGGGTCTGCCGATCCCCAGCTTTTTCTGTAATACCTTTCTGCACTCTACATGTGAAGATCATATCAGATCCCTGCATCCTCAGTGTGCCTGCATGGTGTGAGCTGGGTGTGTTGAACTAGTGTGGAATTTGGAACCAAGACCCCACATTGAGATTTAGCTCTGGACTCAACAGTTGTGTGACCTTGGGCAAGATCTTCAACTCTGACCTCAGTTTCCTCTTCTATGAAATTGAGTTGCAGGAGTAAAACTGATCTTACAGGCTTTAAAAGAGGATATAATGAGGTGATGTGTGTAATGCATACATAGCCAGGCACTTTATAGACTGTAAAGTGCTGTGTGGTGTTATTATTTTCATCATGACTCTGGGAGAACTGGGGTAACAGAAGCACAGTGGGGGTATGTGGCAGTATTAGTAACTTTCAGCTGCCACCCTGCATACACCAAACATGTCATCCTTCACCAGAGCCAGGCTCCCTGTGCTAATTAGCCCTCTCTCCTGTTTTCCTAGCAAACATGGTTATTAACTTACACATCTCCCAAACGCCTGCTGACAGAAGTTCTCTATGATCCTATGCCCAAGAAAAAGAACACGCAACTCTTACAACTTCATAATAGGGGTTCTGTTTTTGTTTTGTTGTGCTGTATAAAAATCTTTTTTTCCAAAAATGGTAATCTGTAACATTTGAAGGTTTATGATAAACTATGATTTTAAAAAATTCTTTTAAATCTTCTATCCAGCAGCACTGCATTTCATTTTATATTTTATATATGATTCTTTTTTGAGACAGGGTCTCACTCTGTTGCCCAGACTGGCATGCAGTGACATGATCTTGGCTCACTGCAGCCTCTGCCTCTCAGGCTCAAGCAATTCTCCCGCCTCATAGGACTACAGGTGTGAGCCACTGTGCCCAGTCACTGCATTTTAAATTGGTCCAAAAACCTCATGGAGGGTTCACCACTTCCTGTTATTAAGCATGTTGGAAGAGCCACAAATCTGGATATTGGAGGGGGTAACATTTATAAAGAGAAATAGTTATACCGTTTCTCAGCACCATAATATGTAATCACTTAACACTGTTTGCTATAGAGTAAAATTAGGTATAAGATATTTTTGTCTTTTAGGTAATAATACCTCTTACATTTGGAACATGCTGCTCAGTTTCCAAAGCACTTTAAGTATATATTTAATGTGTAAATACACATCTTATTTAATCCTCTCAACAGTCCTGTTAAGAAGGAATGATTGTCTTCATTTTTAAAATGAAGGAATGGAAGTTAACTGGCTGGAGGCCCACACTTAACTGTCAGCACAGCCCAGACTTGACCCCACTCTACCATCCATCCATCTCTCACAGGCTGCAAGGCAGCCTCACCAGGAAGGCTGTGCCACTGCAGGGGCACTCAGGGAAGCCTGCTCCTACAACAAACAACTGTACTCATTTTGATTTCTTTTTTTTTAAGAAATAGGGATTGTTCGTTATCTTTGTAATTTTATTATTCCAATATTTAGGATAGAGGAAAATATAGAGAAGTATTCAGAGATTGAGTGAACAAGGGGAAAAGCAGTAAGCCAAAGGTAAGGTGATGAGAGGAAGTCGGGCATGGCAGCAAGCAAGGAGGAGTTGCTCATGGGAAAACAGTGAACAGATGCAACTGGATAGGAAGGATAGGAAGCCAAGGAAAGAGAGAAAGGAACACAGTGATAGATCCTAACCCTGCTGCAGCCAGACACTGCGGGGAGAGGTGCACGTTGGAAGATGTATATGATCTTCCAGGAGGCAGTTCTAGCCAACTTAAGAACCAACAAGCGCCATTCCAGTTGTCCCAGTTATAGGATATCTTCAGGCTATCCAGCCTCCTCTCTGCTACCCCATTCTGTAAGAAACTGGACCCCAGTGGAGCTGGAGAGTTAGAGCTCTCCCCCTTCACTAGACTCTGGAATTTAGAAGTAGTCTGTTGCCGATCCGAGCCGTAGGGTTGAAACCCTATAGCCAAAGAGAACCCTTGGTATTGAGAAATAATTACAACCCCCTGAATCACATGTGCAGCCGCATTCTGAAGTGGGCAGTCTGTCTGTCCATCTGGCCCCTTTCTGCTCAGGTCTCTTGGGCATCTGGGGAGCTCAGGCACCCATGGGGAGCCTAGACTTATACAGCAGCCTGCCCTGTACTTAGGAATTAACTCTTCACAAGACTGTACTCCTGTTTGTCACCTGTTCTTCTCATTTAACAACTTTCCCACCTTAGTCATTCTGTCTGCTGCTGATCCTAAGCACCACTGCTACCCGTAAGTTCCAAAGACACAAACATGAACAGACACATGTGCCTGCCCACACAGACAGACACACACACACAGACACACACACACACACACACACACACACACACACACACCCACACACACCCTGTTCCTGCTCTTTTCAAATTAGGTCTCCCTTGGATGCTGACCCAAATCTGAAATCTTTTCTCAGTTTTGCCATCTTCACTAGGATATACATTATGGCTTTCCTTTTGACGGAAAAAGTCCACTGTTTCTCAGCCCATGTTTTATGCTCCTCCCTTCCCCTCCCCTCCTGCCTGCAGGTTTCATCCCTCCCCACAGCGGTGGTGCAGCTGAATCCTGCCCTGTCAGAAGTTTCCTTGTCTTAGGAAAAGGGTTGGCAGTTTTAGAAAACAAACAAACAGAAAAAGGAAACCCAGTTAAATTTGAATTTCAGATGAAAAACAAATAATTCTTTAGTATATATGTATGTTAGTATAAGTTGTTCATCTGAAATTCACATTTAACTGGGTGTTCTATATTTTATCTGGCAGCCCTTTTTGGGGGCCATGTCAGGCAACTCAGTGTCCTCTCAAGAGGAGATCTTAAGAATGGTCACAGCCCTGTGCTAAAAGTGGCTTTTGCCATTGAAACTGGCACATCCCATAGGGAGCTCCTAGCTACTCTTAGAAGCCTGGTTATTTCTAAGAAGTAAGCAGATTCCAACTGGATCTGTCAGTCCAATCCAGGCATCTGAAGCCCAACATGCACCAGGCCAGATCCCTGACAAATCTCCCTACCTGCATAGAGCTCATTATCAGCATCCCAATGTCATTTTATGTTCTCTCTGCCAGGATTTCCTCCAACTTTGCAAATAAGGGCCAGAAACATCACGGATAGCTCAAACAATTTGCCAGCCTTGTCTCTCCTCAACAGGATTACTGGTTGCAAAATAAATGAAATCAGTGTTGTTTACAACTCATCATCTAAAATTATTATTCATTTTGGGCAAATGGCTGTTTGTAAAGCTAGTCTGCCATATTTTGAGTCATTATCTCTCATTTCTTTCAGAAATTAAAGCTGACTTTGAGTTTTCAAATGAAAACAAATCGGAGGCCTTTCTGATTGTTTTATCTTGCGTGTACAATCTTCCAGTGACGGAGGCCTCCTTCGTTGCTAAAGTCTGAGCAGCAGCTGAAGAGGTGCAGCTCTCTGTTCTCCTCCTCTTTTGAAAATCTCTCTCTGCTCTGTAAAACTTTTAAAACAGAAACTTTATACTTTTCAGTAAGTGATGAATTTCTCTTTTTCATCTTCATTTATTCTCATCATCAAGTCAATTACTAAGTGCACAGGTATTTGAGACAGCCCCTATACACAGGAGTTTATGTCCTGGAAAGGCAAAATCTTTATAAATTTGCCTTTGCTGAGACCACACAAGTAGACTTCTGTGCAACACTCTCTGCCTTCTTAAGGAAGACGGGACAGGTAATCATTAAACAATCTAGACATAGAAATGGCCTTCTTCCTGTTCTAACCACTCCTAAATCACTGCATTCATCAACGTTTACCAGGGAACATTCAAGAATATTTACTTCGGTTGATGCACGTAACATTTTTTTCTAAGTATGAGTTGTTAAGGTCTGAAAAAAACAGTCTGATTCTGCTTTTTACTGAAATGAAAATATGGTTTGTCATAAATTTAATAATATATTTATATATTCTTTAGTGTTGTGGAAGAATAAATACAATCCCTTGCAGTACAGTTTTGTTTCATGCAAAGATTTAAGCTTTTTCCTGATATTATAAATATTTTGTCTCATATTCCTTTTTTTCTCCTCTTTCCCTGACTTGTTCTGAAACTTAAGAGGGTAAATACTAAAGTGCATTTGCTTCTGTTTAAATAGGAGTCACAGGGTTTACTGAGAGCCCCTCCTCCAAAAATGAAATTGTAAAGGACTGGAATTGAAATCACTGACAGCTGTGCCTTGCCCTCCTCACTTGATGTCAGAGGGAATTGGTTGATTCAAAAGTCCAGTCTTGAGTTTCCACAGAATAGAAAATGTGCATCACTTTGACCTTGGGGGAAAGATAAGAATGCATCTCCTTCCTGTCTTCCTTCCCTTCTCTTGCCTTAGTCTCATCCATTTCTAATTTATAAGCTTCAATTTCACTTTTCCTTACATGAACCTGAAAATGTACTGTCTTATGAGGACAGAAAGAGAATTTAGTTAACTGCCTTCCTTGGATTTTTGGGTTTTCTTTCCACTGCCCAGGGTTTAAAGTATCTATCTATTTTTCCTTAATACACACATGCACAGTACACACTTTAGCTGTGAGCATTTGTCTAGTTATGTTTTGATTTCAGTCGTTTCAACCTTGAAAGTAGAATAGCTACCTTTATCATTAGCCAATTCATAGCATTAGGTTGATGTATAGTGTCAGGATATTTTTCTTTGCAAGAATCACTCCAAGGACGGTTGATCCCAAACAAATAGAAACAGTTATCACTCATAAAAGTGATTTGCTTTAGAAGTTGGTCGCTTAATTATGTGTAGTACTTCACAAAAAAATGGCAGTACTCACCTACATCAATAAAAGTCATGCTTTTCAATGTTCTCACCCAATCTTTGAACATAGAGGACCAGAGGTTACAATAAGGCTGGCTAGAGTTGGAATGCTCTTATTAACCATGGAACAGAGAAGCAAGCTCGGGATAGAAACTGAAAACCTTGCCCATAAGTTTAGGCTGCTTTTAACTGCCTACGCTAATCACTTACAGACCAAGGAATTCAGCTGCATTTAATCTGCCCAGGTAAATAAATAAACTTATTAGATAAGATATTTAAAATTACAAAATTTAATGGGAAAAGGCCATGAAAGGGCCTGGTAGGACATCAGGATGAGAAAGGAAATGTTTACACATCCCTGCTAAATTGGACAACTTTCCCTATTCTGAAGTACAATACCAAAAGTATTTGCTATTTTGTTTAATTTTGGAGGTAAGGCTAGGACTAAATTTAGAAACTGGCAGAATGTCAGTCTCTGAGGGTTTCTACCATCTGTACTAGGAGGAAGTGGTGTTTTTGTGGAATTGGCCCTGACCTGTTTTACCTCATAGACTATGAATGATGTGACACATGCATAAGGGAGATTCCCAGGTAAATTGCATAGGGAGAGCACATCATGACCAGTGATCAGGGCTGGCAACAGCTATGGCCTTTGTGATGACCTTGTCTTTCTGTTGCACTTGACAATACAGTTACCATAGAAGCTGTTGTTGAAGGTGGGCCAGTGTGGTACCTGTCCCTGCAGAGTATTGCCTGACAACTTTGGACACTGAACTTTTTGCAGAGTTTAGCTCTGTCTAGGATTATGGATAGAATGTCAGAGATGAAAGGCATTTTGAGAGTCTTTGGTTTGGGTTGAGTTCGACCATTTAAAGATGGTGATATTCAACTGTTTTTGATCTACAAAAATAGCAGTTTCATATGGCTCAACCTAATAGTTACCATTCATTCCAAGTACTTGGCACCAAGGCTCAGAAAGCGTAAGTGATTTTTTTCTTATTGTATTATGAAAAACATTTCAACAAAAGAAAGGTTGAGGGACTGCTTCTGTGAACTCCCGTATACCTGCCACCCAAATTCAATTATCAAGGTATTGCCATGCTTTCTTAATCCCTTTTCTTTCTTTCTTTCTTTCTTTCTTTCTTTCTTTCTTTCTTTCTTTCTTTCTTTCTTTCTCTCTCTCTCCTTTCTTTCCTTCCTTTCTTTCTTTTTTTCTTAAGTGCTTTAAAGCAACTCTTATACTTCAGGTCCCTTCACCCCTTCCTTTTTTATATATACATATACAATTCTAAAATATGGATATTTTCTTAGGTAATCACAATGCCATTATCACTGTTATCAGAATTCATAGTCATTGCTTCATCTATAAATACATTGCATCAAAAATGCTTTTTATTGTTGGTTAGGATTCAAACCATTGCACTGGGTGTTACATCTTCAAGTCTTTTTTGGGGGGTGCAGGGGATAGACATATTTATTTTGTTTATTCTTTTTTCCTCTTGTTGAAGTATCTTTAAAGCAAGTTCCAACCAAACATCATATCAATTTACCTCTATATACAGAGTATGTATTTCTGAAAAAGTGAACTACCCCTCAATCTGGTCTCTGCCTCTCTGTGCTCACAGCCAGCCAGCGATGCCCTGGCTGCTCTGTGTCCTTGCTATGAATGGGAGAACACCCCCTTCCACCAAGGATGTGGTGTTTGGATTAAGCCTCTTACTCTGGAACAGCATACACACTCTTTCCTTTGTAGTATATGCCTTTGATTTGTTGAAAAAAACTCAGCCCATTGTCCAGTGTCCATGGGAATGTGTGTCTTTAGCCATGTGACATTATTAGCTTGTACATGATCCTAACTGTGGCCTCTCACCTTACTTTTCTGACCCCACATCCTATATGTAGCATGACCCTGCTGACATGTTCGCTCAGATGGTCAGGATCACTCCATAACTGGACTCTTATTAGTTAAATGTCAGCATGTGTATATGTGTATTTTTATCATGTTTTTATGACTTTAAAATAATGCCAACTTAGGTTGAGATAAACTGTAAAACAAGTTTCACATGACATACATAATATTTTGTTCAATTGTAAGAACAAATTGAAGGCTGCAGCCTCAGTAAGCAATGTCATGTAGGGGGAGTACCTGCTCTGGCCAGGCATGTTGACATCATCACTTTTAGACCTCACAGCAATCCTGTGAATTACCAGGACCATTTTACAGATGAGGAAATTGAGTTTAAGGGAAATTAAATAACCTACTTATGGCTCTCTGTGTCCAAGCCCAGTGCTCAGATACAAAATAAGATCTGGAAAACCTAACTACTGGGTCTTTGTTGTAGTCATCATTCATTCATTCATTCATTCTTGCTGTATTCCAGTCACTGTGCTTGACTTTGGTGACTATCATTTCTCTTTTGATTTGCGATCATTTTAAAGCATATATATTGTAACCTTTTTGCAATTGCTGGTGTAGAGGGGTAGAACTAGCCTCTACCTCATGGTTCATTATATCATATTAGGTATTTGCTCTAGGTTCTGGTAGGGCAAGCTAAACCATGGTCTGTCCAAATCCATCTTGATCGGTTGGTTGATTTTTCAACACATTCGAATCACTAGATTATTCCCTTACTTCTGAGGGTGGAGCCACAAGGTTCACACCCATGGAAATCTCTGATAGGGTACTCTAGCCTGGAGGACATTTAAATGCTGTTGTAAAGCCTGGGAAGAGGGTAGTGTATCTTGAAATCCATGTAGGATCTTTGTACCAGCTGGGCTTCATTTCAGAATCTACTGCTGTCATTACAAAATAGCTATTTTCTCTTTAATCTGTGTGCCACATTGCAGCAATTTTCATCAAAAATATATTAAGCCCCTGCTGTAAATTGGCCCCACACACCCTTGTCAGACATGTGAAGTGTAAAATATCTTCTTTTTTCGAAGTTTCTTCTCTCTATAAAGCCCTAGTAGATATCAGCAGTTCCTAAAGCCTCATAATAGTCATCATATCTGTAAGCCAGAGATTATAAAGCATAACGAATCTGATCCAGTGTCAGAGACAGATCTTATCCTTTGTTTATACAAAATTACAGAAATGGCATTCTAGAAGAAAAAACATGAAGCTCCCACATTTCCATGTCTGATGAAACCTGACCTCACATTGCCCAAGAGAAACTAGTTTTCCAGCCTCAAAAAAGGTTACCACGTGCTACCCAAATGCCCTCAATTATTACATACCTGTGCTAAAGAAGATACAGTCACACTTATAGTGGGGTAAATGGGAAAGTCTGTCTGTGAGAGACAGAAAGAGAGAATGTGTGTATTTACATGTGCATTTGTGTGCACATACATGCGTAGTTACACACCACCCTCTCCTAGAGTAATTTAGGATCCTCCAGAAGGGTTTTACATCTCCACAACAATATGGTACTACCGCATGTTGCAAGTGGGGTCAGCTGGAAGCCTCATTCAGGAGGTCCGCTAAAAAGACAGAAGCTTGTTTCCTGCTTGCAGCTTTCAAGACACTGCATCTCTGTGGTAGGGAGATTTGTCAGGCTGATGCCAAGAATGTCTGCCAGTGTTATGGAGAAAAGAATGGAGTCCGTTACTTACCAGAAATTGTGACTTTTTGAAAATGTCTTCCACTCCCATAAAAGAACACAAGAACCGTGGTGCCTCAAACATTCCCCAGAAGCTCCTATAATAAGATGAATTTGACAATTTAACAGGAAATTGCCTCCAAATATTAAACCATTCTAATTTCACCCTTAACACTCAACTAAAATGCATTCAGAAACGTTTCGTGTATAATATGCATGGCACATAAAGCATGAACCACTCAATTGAATTCAAATTTAGTTGACATCCTTATACTTTTGTTTTTAAAAATCAACAGCCAGAAGTCTACACTTTAAGGGACTTCCAAAGTTACTTGCTTGTGTTCCTCTTCAATAAAATGTCTGTGAAATTCAACATTATGTTAGGTTATTGTCGAATTAGTCTTTTTTTATTACAATTATTAATGAAATTTCAAGTTAGACAGTTTTTCAGCCTTTCCTGAATTTCAGGATGGGTTATTGACATGCTGACAGATATGATGTAAATCTTCCATCGCTTCAGCTGTGCCTTCTCACCTAACTCTGTGGCTGCCCTTTCTGATCCCTGGGGAAGAAGCAATATAACTTCAGTCTCAGTCACTGTCTAAGCAGAGATAACTATATTGGTAAGGCACAGTGATTTTTTTTCCTCGAAAACTTCAGCTATTTGGGAGTTTCTAGGTGTCATTGCCACCAATTCTTACCTTCATTCAGAAAAGAAGCTTTCAGGACAGGCAACCTCTTGGCACCTGACCCTAGTCTGTTAAGCAGTACGAAGACAGAAACAATCTTGGCCAGCTCCACAGAGGAGCAAAGACTGTTGGCAGTGTCATCTGCAAAAATCAAAACCAGATGTGCTCTTCCAGCGTGGAACACAGATTTGCCACCTCAAGCTACATTTTAGCCACAACACAGGGAGCAGAGAGATTGGCATTTTCCCAGTAGGAAATCATTTTGAAAACTGGACAAGAGCTCTTCAGACCAAGTAAAAGCCCAAATTTGCAGGCTGCCTCAGTAAGTCATAGGAGTTGACATTTTAGAGCATAGGAATTGCTAAGGTGGAGATGGAAGCAGTTAGGAATAACAGTGTGCTTAAGCAAAGCCTGGGAGTTGATATAGAGGCAGGATCAGGACCAGGGTGAGGCCAGTAAGGCACCTGGTATCCAGTGCACAGTCAGATTGGGAGTGAAGATGATCCTACTGGGACACCAGGCACCCCACTGATGGCCTGGGTTGATTTTACTGATCGAATCAGCTGACTAGATGTCTGCCTCCCTCCTCACCTTCCCACATGTGGCCTTCCTGGGGCTGTATAGAGAGAAGAAGAGCCTTCCCAGATAGATCATTGTTCTTTGACCAGAAGTGTGTGATGACTTTGTCTGTTATCTGGGATTCTAAGAGAATATGGTGTTCTGGTTCATCTTATTGAAGTAACTAGAATACTGAACATGAATATTATAATTTTTCAAGCAAAATATGTTGTATTAAAATGAAGTAAGTACAGTGTAATCTTCTTTTGATAATGATTTATAAGTTGCTTAAAGATCATAACAAGGCCAGGGGATCACAGCCATGAATATGGAATATCCATGTAGGACTGTTCCTTAGGTACATGAGAACTTCCTGACAATGAGTTCTGGCTACTGTTAAAAGGTGAGTAGCCAAGATGTACAGTGCTGTTCGTTTTTTTTCTTTTCCTTCCTTATTAGAAAGTAATGTATTCTCAGTGTACAACCATAATAATATTCTCCTAGGGCTGTGCCTCACCATTGAACACCATTGGAATATTCAAACAACTACCTATAGATGTTTGCTGATCTAACATGAATAAATTACAGAAGAATGTGTTTAATACCCTCTGGAGCTAAAGATCTGTATTTCTGGACTCAGATAGTGTGTAAGTTAGGTTCTTTGATAGAAAGCAGTGAAAATCAACTCAGGTGAACCTAGGCAAAGCTGTTAGTTAGCCCACAGATTTCAGAACAATGCAGAGCCAGGCTTGGAAAAGCCACAGGAATAAAGAAAACTCTAGGGCTCTTTTGGCAGGAATTAGTATTTAGGATTTTAAGATGCCACCACTGAAATGAGTCGATTCCAGCTGTTTTCCATCCTTGCATCCATCTGCTTGAGATTCGAAGATTTGGGAGAGAGTGTCCACTTGGCCAATGGGTCATGTGTGCACATCTTGGTGATTGGAGAACTAGGCACCTTGCCTTGCAGTTCCACAAAGTCAATGGAGATTTCTCCCCAAGAGGACTCTGGAATGTTATTACTAAGAGGGAGAAAGTGCATACTAGCATTAATAAATGTCCTGTACGGGGAGTTCGCACAGTCACACTGAGTGTTCAGGTCTCTGATGTAAGCAGGTTGGGTTGATGCTCTTTCCAATGAACCTGTAACTCTAAATTTAAGGTAGAGGGGCTGGAGGGAGGTGTGGCTCAAGAGCATAGCACAGTAGGTAGCTCTACTATGAATAAATGTGTTTCGTTTCTTTGGATAAGTAAGAATGGCTCTACCAGTGAGGTAATGCCCACCCATCCTCATCAGCATTCTTAAAGAAAACCAGTTCTGCCGGGCGCGGTGTCTCACGCCTGTAATCCCAGCACTTTGGGAGGCCGAGGCGGGCGGATCACAAGGTCAGGAGATCAAGACCATCCTGGCTAACATGGTGAAACCCCGTCTCTACTAAAAATACAAAAAAAATTAGCCTGGCCTGGTGGTGGGCGCCTATAGTCCCAGTTACTTGGGAGGCTGAGGCAGGAGAATGGCGTGAACCCGGGAGGCGGAGCTTGCAGTGAGCCGAGATTGCACCACTGCACTCCAGCCTGGGTGACAGAGCAAGACTCCGTCTCAAAAAAAAAAAAAAGAAAGAAAGAAAAGAAAACCAGTTCTACCAGAACTAGAATTCTACTATCCAGTGCAATGTTAACAGTATTAATAGCTTTGAAAAATCATGTAACAAAGAGAAAAAGAAGGGCTTTTGGCTTAGTTCCACACTTTGTACATTCCATTTGTTTTGTTGCTGTCTGGGTAGCTTATAAGCAGCAAGTATATAACATTTTAAATGCTGTATATCTGAAAATACAGACCAGAACAGAATAGCTATGCCATGGTGGTTAATTCACTTTGTTTAATTGTGAGATATATTATTATAGAATGTTTGTAACTCAGATCCTTATGAGGATCATAAATTAATATCAAACAAAATTTTTATCCTAAATATTTTTAAACTAAGTTGATATTAAGACATCAGCTTAAATCTCTGTTCCAAAACCATCTATATTGTTTTAAATATGCTATCTGTAAAGGATATCGTTTGCTCATTGTTATAGGAGGAAGTGGAGTAGATGACTTCTCAGATCTCTTAGATTTAATCTACTATGAGTTTGAGTCTCAAACCTTTTGTGTGACAGTAAAAATGTTTTCATTCTGCTCTCTCCATATATCCATGAGCTGAATCGCATGCTTGGAATCCAACACAGTGCCTGAGTCTTAGCAAGTACTCAATAAATGTTAATTGAGTTAAATTGATTTGTTCAATGCAACAAAAATGTATGTAGCGCTGTCTGCATTAATATTTCTCTAGCCTCCAACATGCATCTGCCCAAATACTCAAAGGATCTAAGTTCAAACAGAGATCCCAGTATATCCAGCACCACTAACAGATGGAGCCTCCGTAATTACCATGTCCACCTGTCTGCAGTGGGCTGTTCTGGGAAGGAACACATTCATCTATAATAACAATGCTGGGGAGTTGGCTGCTAAACAATAGCTTATGTTGGTAAGGATGTGATACAGAACAACTGGCTAGAATACAATGGGCTGGAAATACTGTAAAATATGCTCAGGGTTCTGGAATAATACTGGTTTTAGAATAATGTGCTTTGTGACCAAATAGCTCAGTGGTTAACTTTCAGGAGGGACATTTCCCTGTATTATGAGTAAAGCTGCTTTGACTACTATCTTGAAAAGGTAAATAAATGCACTGAAGGGAATTCTTACATGTATTATGAAACTTCTTTATATTATATTTTAGAGGAAATATATTTATAACCTTATAAGTCAGTGACAGTTTATTTAGATAATGGGTGCCTTTTTTTTTTTTTTTTTTTGAGATGGAGTCTCACTCTGTCTCCTGGGCTGGAGTGCAGTGGCGTGATCTCAGCTCACTCACTGCAACCTCCACCTCCTGAGTTCAAGCAATTCCCCTACTTCAGCCTCCCGAGAGTAGCTGGGATTACAGGCACGTGCCACCATGCCTGGCTAATTTCTGTATTTTTAGTAGAGATGGGCTTTTGCCATGTTGTCCAGACTGGTCTCAAACTCCTGACCTCAAGTGATCCACCTGCCTCAGCCTCCCAAAGTGCTGGGATTACAGGCGTAAGCCACCATACCCAGCGGTGGATGAGATGATGTAAGGATAATGGATGAGAATGTACCTCATATATTTTGAAGATTTATATAAGGGTAAGTTTCCATTATTATAAAACTTTTAAAGTTCAGTACATATTAAGAGTTTAAAAGATATTTAAACAAAATATCTATCTAAGTTATCTTTAAGCCTAACTTAATTTTATATCAGTTTAGTTTTCTATTCAAAAATTCTGTTTGTTGCTAATCTGGTCTCTTTAAATGATATCATCTCTTCTGCAAAACTCCCAGAACAAAAAGAGGACACTATAAAAATTTTCAGGTTTCTGTATGTTTCTGTGGGAATTCAGTCAAGAGCTGGTTGGCTAAGGTGATTTTAATATAAAGTTACTCAGGTACAGCATTATTCACAATAGCCAAAAGGTAGCAACAATCCAAATGTCCATCAATAGATGAGTGGATAATCAAAATGTGGTATGTACATACGATGGAATGTTATTCAGTCTTCAAAAAGAATGAATGTCTGATACGTACTACAACATGGATGAACCTTGAAGACATTATGTTAAGTGAAATAAGCCAGACACACACAAAAAAACAAATATTACACAATTCCATCTATATAAGATACCTGAAATGGTAAATTCATAAGACAAAGTAGAATAGAGGTTATCAGGTGCAGGCGGGGAAAGGTGATGGGAAGTTATTGTTAATGGATACAGTTTCTATTTGGAGTGATGAAAAATTCCCTGAAATGGATAGCGGTGATGTTGCGCAACATCGTGAATATACTAATGCCACTGAATTGAACCCTTAAAAATGGTTACAATAGTACCTATGTTATGTATGTTTTCTACAATGAAAAAAAGTGGTTTGTTCTGTACATAAAGCAAAAAAAGAAAGATTACTCAGGAAATTTTTTTAATTTGGCAAGGTATATATATTATATATATAGGGTATATATTATATATAGGTATATATTTTATTTTATATATTTATTTATATATATATATATATATATATATATGTCACTAGGGTGGAGTTGACACATCTCACAGCCTAGGTGGGTGGCCCTTTCCCTCCTCGGTGACCCCTACCTGTTTCTCCCAAGCCGTCTGCCCCAGAGATGAGAACACCATCCTCAAAGAAATTTGTTGGTCCTGGGTCCTGAGAGAGTCGTTAGTTAAAAGTGCCTGAATAATTGCAGTTTTCCATTTGAGCTTCCCAACAAGGTCTGAATGTCCTACATTCCCACAGTCAGCTAGACTTCTCCTGGGATTCTCACACTGGCACCTCAGGCTCAGCATATTCAAAATCTAGTTGACAAGTTCACAAGCTTCTCAGTCACCCAAGTTTAGTCACCTTCGACCCCCATGTCCAAGTCCCTCCACACCTGTTTCATCACCCTTCTCCTTTCTGAATTCACCAACATTGCCATAGTTGAGGTTGGAAAAACAAAAACAAACAAACAAAAAACAACTTTTGAATTAACTTTCTAACTGTTCTGTTTAATCTTCAATACTTTCTCTCTCTGTTCCAAGACATGGTCAAAAAAAAAATTATATATCACTTCTTTGGTCAGAAGACTTTAGTGGCTCCTCAGTACTTACAGACTAATAATTTTTAAAACTGCTTACATGACATTCAAAACCCTGCAGTGTCCCCACCCAGGCCTTCCCCCTGCCATGCCTTCACATCCACCCGTGCCTAGTCACATTGGGCTGCTAGCAGCTCCTACACACGGACTCAACCTGCTGTGTGCTCCGCTTCGCTCATGAGGATCCCTCTTTCTAGATTCTGCTTTCTAGACTCTGCTTGCCCTCTACCCACCCCTCTTGTGAAATACTACTCTTCTTCCAGACTCAGCTCCAACACCCTTTGTGAAGACTTCTTAGGTCCAGACTACCCCACCCCAACCCCTAATCAATTCTAATCCTCCCAGTGTTTCCGTGGAACACTGTGAGTTCCTCTTTTAAGATGCTTGCCACATTCTGCCTGTGTTATTATCAGCTTAGTGATTAAATCTCCTTTAAGGGAAAAACCACATTTTGTAGCATTTTGTATACCCTATGACACCTAGTCTACTGCCTTTCATGTGATAGGTGTTCAGCAAATACAACGAATTGGCCTGTATTTGAAAAGATTGTATTTGATGATCTCTAAGGCTACTCTAGCATTAAAAGGCCTTGGTTATATGAAATAAACCTAAGTCAAGTCTTTCTGTATCAGTAAAAATTAAATACAGCTGCAAATAACAAAGGTCTTCTTTCCTCCTCTTCTTCCCCACAACAGTGGTTTAAACAGCATAGTTTATTTTTCTTTCACAAAGAAAGTGATCCAGGGCTACTCTGGCAGCTCCACAAAGTCATCAAGAACTCAAGCCCACTCTCCACTCTGCCATCCCTAGGTTGTGACCCTCATGGTCTATCAATGGCTTCTAGAGCTCCAGCCATCACATAAGAATTCCAGGCAGAACTTCTGTTCTAGGAACAAAAGAAGGAGGCATGTCCTCTTTGACGGAAATTTCTAAGAAAAGCTATTCAAAATTTCACTGTATCTCATAGACCAAAACTTAGTTTCTTGGCCATCCCTATCTGCAAGAGAAGTTAAAGATTATAGTCTTTTAGCTTGCTAGCAACAGGCCCAGCTAAAAATAGGGACAATGGTAGGCACCTAGCAGTTTTAGCCACACTCTTATTGGTAACTTTAAAAATGGGAGGATTTCATTCTGTCAGATGTGAGGTTCTCTTCAGGATATATAGAGAAAGAGATTGGAGACAGCGAGGAGAAAAGAACTGGAGACAGGATGTGACATATCTTTCTCTTGGTATCTAAGATAAGAAATCAGGAAATAATCATGAAAAAACATCTAGCAAACTAACTGATTCTAGTTTCTATTCAATTAAAAGAAATGCCACCTTGAAGAGAGAGAAATGGGAGGGAGTGCGGAAGGCTCCATTTGACAAGCCCCCTGTTGCCACCACAGGTTGGAAAAGAAGCCAGGATAGAAGGTGCCTGTACAGGAAAATGAGCTGTCTGCTAGGATTTCTCACTGAGTTTTCAATGTAATATCGAAAAGAAATGGGAAACATTTTAGGATCATTTATTCTCAGCACAGAAATAAAGGTGCTTCTTGAGGTTGAATTGGACTCTGGTGCCTCATCTTCAGGACTGTCCTCATTAACTTGTTGGGATCTTTTACATGTCACTTAGCATAGAATCTCACCAAATAATGCTTCATTCTACACCTTTTAAAACCCACTGGTTTCCAAAAGTGTAACAAGAATAGATGGCAAAAGCCCTAAAGTAGAGAGTTAAGTACAAAGCTTCAAATTGACATGGTTAATAAAAAATTAAGGATTGCTATGAGACACTTCAGGCAAAGCTAAACAAACTAGGGGATTGGGTAGTGTGAAAGCAGATGAAATTTAATTTGGTTAAGTGTAAAGTAATGCACTTTGGGAAAAATAATCCAAACTTCTCATAATCTCTGATAGGCTCTGAACTCATAGTAAAATAATTTAAGAGTCATGGTTGATAACTTGGGGAAAATATCTGTCTGGTGTGCAGCAGCAATTTAAAAAGCCAATAGGATGCTTGGGGTTAAAATAAAAAATAATACAGAAAATTTAAGATAACATATAAAACATTAGTGCTATTCTGTGTCCAGTTTGGGTTATCACAGGAGATATTAAATCCCAGAAAAGAGACTTGAAAATTGTTTAGAAAAGTAGTGAGACTTGGGATTTATATAAGCTTGCTGACTTGGAAAATGGCATTTTTGAAGAAGGAAAAGAAGGTGTGATACAGAGAACAGGAATAATAATAATTTAGAAAGGGCTACTTCCTCCTTGGTTCTAGTGTCCCATGGTATAAAAAGGCAACACTTAGTGAATTCAACAAAAAAGAATATGTAACAAAGATAGAAGATGGTCTTTAGCCAGTGTTCCGTAGTTGTAGATCTCCCTGTTCCAGGAGGGGACCTGTATTTGATTAAGGGGCACAGAACTACATTAACATTTATGTCTGTTCAGCTGAGAATGAGTAAGTGAAGTGTAAGGAAATCCCCTGTGGGGCGCAGGACGGAGCGCTGCTGCAGAACGAGGAAGGTTCAGTAGAGTGCTGCTCACAGCCGGGAAGGGAAAGCTGAACAAAAAGGCTCAGTGGCAAACCCAACTGAGGCATGTTCAATTTTTCTATTACATACAGAATATTTATTTTTCCTCCACCTGTACTCTCATGATTCAGCATTTCCCACTGCAGCAATTGGCAGGGCTGTGTCTCTGAGGCACAGTCTGGTGTAGGCTCTGACAAGGGATGTCCCCGGGTGGAATAAGCAGGGGTGGGGAGCAAGGCTAGAAACATGTTTCCCTAAAGTCAATATATCGTGCTGTCTTTCTCCAGTGGAAACTGTACTAGCATTAACCTGGCCCTTGACCCCACTTTAACCTCACCTCCTGAAACCCATAATCCCGGGTTATCCATTTCCCAAATATAAGTAACTACTGAGCCATGCTTCCTGCTGTGAACACAGCCTGCCCGGTGACGGCAGTACTGTTGTATTGACAGATATGTCTGTTACCAGCTGACACCTTGGAGAACTGATTGATTGGCTCAAACAAAAATCTAGAGATTTATTTGAAGGGCCAGATAGGTCCTTCACAGCATTTTCTCAGTTCAAGATGTCACTTCTGCCTTACGCACAAGAAGCTAAAGAGCAACCACACTTTTACAGGTATTTAGCCAACAGAAAACAACCCAATTTCCACCTAGTCCCTGTGAAATTAGCATCTGGGCTGAGATTTACTGGCCACTCTTCATAAGCCATATATCAGCTAAAATGATGCCTGAAATCAATCCCCCAAATACCGTGAGACTCCACTTTTCCCCTTTCCATGGTTTCTCACATCCTTAAAGCACATTAGCACTCATACGCCTTGTCTTAGTCTGCTTGGGCTGCCATAACAAAGTCCCACAGCCTGAGTAACTTAAACAACAGACATTTATTTTCTCACAGCTCTGGAGGCTGGAAGGCTGAGGTGAAGCTGTTGGCCAGGTTGGTTTCTTCTGAAGGCCTCTGCCTCGTTTGCAGACAGCCATATTCTTCCAGTCTTACATGGTCACCCTTCTATGTCTGTGTCCAAATTTCCTCTTCTTAGATGAACACCAGCCATATCGGATTAGTGCCTACCCTAATGACTTCACTTAATTACCTCTTTAAAGGCCCTGTCTCCAAATACAGTCACATTCTGAGATATTGGGGGTTAGGACTTCAACATATGAATTTTGGTGGGAGACACAATTCAGTCCATAACACCCCCATTTTACCATCGGGAACTTAAAATTCAAGATTTAATTACTTTCCCTAGACCATGTGGCAGGCCGCTATTAAATTGTCATTAGAATTCCCAGGCCCCCTTCTCTGTGTATGAGAAGCTTCCAAACCACAAGCTGCCCCCTGCTCACTTGCCAATCAAGGACTCTTCTTAAAACACAGCATAGCTCCACCACCCAAAACCCTCAGTAGCATTTTAAATTCAGGAAATCTGTTTTATCACAGGAAAAAAAAAATTAGTGCAGAGATATGTGAATGAAGGGACAGATCTCTCCATGCAGTGCCCCAGGCGCTGGGGAGCCATATTGTTCGTGCTGGGTGATATTTTTCCAAACAATACTCCGCAGTGCAGCACCAGCCAAGCAACAGCCCAGCAACCACATGCAACCTGTTCCTGCCAGTGGGGATCACCACATTCCGTACAAAAATAAAGAGCTGTGTTTACTGCCCAATTCACTCATCAAGAACACTCTGATCCCAGAGCAAGCATAGGGAACCATTATATTCCTCCTTCACAGCCCTTCCAGGGGAATTAGGAATACAGCTCTGCTGTCATTTTATTTTCTGCCCAGAGCCCTATGAAAGTGAACTCTGATTATTAATATTTTAAGCATGTAAACAGCAAAACCCCATCCATGTCCTCGGTCTTGGTATCAGGATCCGGCACCGTGTGGGAGGACCCAGAAGCTGAGGGGCAGGCTGTGGTTCAGACATTGAGCACCCAGGAGCCATGTGGCTGGGTGTCTGTCAGTTAGGAATCCAGGTATCGGCCCTGGCCTCATGAGTGTTTGTGTCCAAGCTAGCCGCCTTCTTCTTTTGTACAAATGTAAGGGGTACAAGTGTAATTTTGTTATACAGCTATGTTGTGTGATGATGAAATCTGGGCTTTTAGTGTATACATCACCCGAATAAGGTATGTACATAGTACCATTCAGAGATTTCCCATCATCTACCTTCTTTCCACCCTCCCACCCCTCCTCGTCTCCAATGTCTATCATTCCACACTCCATGTCCACGTGCACACATTAGCTCCCACTTGTGAGAACCAAGCTAGCCTTCTAAACCTCTCCAGGATCTTTCTCTGGTGACAACAAAGAAATGAAGCAAGAGAGTGATCGGAGATGAGGGCAGGGGCTGCAGACTTGGCCAAGGCGTAGCGCATAGCAAAGGCCCAAAGAACTGAGTACCCTTCCAGTTTAATTGGTCCTTCAGAAGAATGGAGAGAATAGTACATTGGGGGACTAAGTGGGAAGAGATGAGAATTGTATTAAAAGCAATACAAATGTTTCTTTTTAAGGAATGGAAAGAGATTCTTGAGAAAGGCGACCCACACACGCGCACAAGAAAACATCAGCACTCATGCAGGAACAACGAGAGGCCATAGGGAAGTATTTTTAGCAAGTGGAAGTCAATCACAGCAGGGAGAGAAGAGGGGTGGGTAAAGAAGGGGCCTGGAGCCTCGCAAGTAAGCCCAGAGCCCTGCAGTGGAAGCCACCTAAACCAACACCATTCTCCCTCATCCCGTGCCTCGCCAGGATCGCTTGGAATGCCACTGGAGAGGCAAGATGGTTTTAGAAACAGGAAATTGGAAGTGTTCTGCTTAAAATGCTTCAGGCTCTGTGTGAGAGAGAAAGAGAGGGTCTGTGTGTCGATAAGAGGAGTGCTTGTGTGGACGCTCCCAGGTCGGCTTGCGGGCAGCTGGGCGGCATCAGGCGGGCCTGGCCTTGTTGACTGCTCTCATCAACAAAGGCTCGCTTGTTTTGCTAGCCATTTTCCTTGCATTTCAGAACCAAGGGTCCTTTCTTCTTTTTTCTTCTCTTGCATCAGAGAAAGCTGTTGTGTGCGGATGCTCAGGAAGGTAAACATATGCATTTTAATATCTGTGGCTCCCCCACAGTCAGTGAGCTATTTCCTCCACCCAGGTGGAAAGAGGATAGCGGGCCTCTCTGACATGCTGGTTAGTCTGAAAACAGACCGCTAAATGCGTAATGAAGAGCCTCCGAGGAGTCAATCTGCATGTTAAAATGGTGTTCAGCAGCCCGGGCTGTCACACAACATAACTTGAAGATGAATGTGCATCCAATCAGACGGCCAATCGCTGACTGGGAGGGTCCTGGCTATTAGGATTACCTGACTGCTCGGTGGCAGTGGGGTTTCCAAGGGGCCACAAGTTAACCAGCACCCCCCAAATCTGTGACAAGACAAATGAGCCCTCTCTTGGGCATCCCCAGATTTGCATGGTCAGAATGATGCCGAGAGACAGTCTGAACCAGAGAGGAACAGTTAAAGAAGCGGGTATTGATCCCAACAGAAAGACACAGGGCTTTCAGCACGTTGGAGTCCAGGGGCTGGAAGCGATAACAAAGGAAAATGTTCAGCTTGACACTTGGAAGCAGAAAGGCAGGTTCTGAGCAGCCCCACACCAGCAGGTACTACCTGCCATAAGGTTTGTGTTGCAGCCACTGCAGTCACTGCTGCTGCCACCACAACTACAGTTCATAGCCAGTAACAGCCTTCACATGAATGATGTGTAGACACCACTTTTGTCTCTGAACGCTTGACAACAATTAGGACCTGACTCCAGGAGCAGGACGTCACAGGAACACCGGAATACTGGAGAAATGAGGTTAGAGCAAAGAAATTAGCCATCTGCCTGGTGAAGACTGTGTCCTCGAGGTAGCATTTACATAGGAACAACAGGCAACACGTATCCATTTTCATTATCCTGTGCTACAGATAGACAGAGGACAAAAGGGCTTTAAGAACCGTGTTTTCTTTAAGGCCCCTGTACTTAGCGAGGCTGTATGTCCTTTTTTCCCCTTCATTCAAAATGCCTGCTGGAGCTGCAGCTAAATGACAAGCCCTGGGGAAGGATTCCTATCAGCTGGAAGTTTTATGCATTGCTCCTTTTTTGAGGTTCCCAAACACTGAAAATAGGCAGCCTAAAGCCAAATTTGGAGCATAGGAAAGGGCAGCAAATACAATTGTAAGGCTCTACTTTGAATGTTGCAAATCTCCATCTGAAAGATGGAGGGAAAAAATATTTTTAGGTGAAAGGTGATTCCCAAATTGAGCCCCAAAGATGTTCCAGCAGCTCAGAGCTGTGGGGTTGACATCAGAGGCCTCCTGTCTTAAGTGAAGCCTCACCCATAGACATTGCAGGTTCTGGGTGCGCACACCACTAGCTCTGGCCAGCTCCTCGGCAGTAAAGAAGCTCAGTTTGCAGTTGATCCTTGGCTGAACTTTGCCATTCATTACAGGACAACCAAAAGGGGCACCAGGAAGGCCCACCTCCATTTAGCATGTCTATTGCCCTCCTAAGAGCCCTGTTAAAGTGGGGAAAGCCACTTTTCTACATATATATATCAGCTAACACTTTTATCTTTGTGTCCATGTAAACTGTTAATATTAGTTTCACCATGCCAGCTTGATCAAAAAGTCAGTCCCAGCACAGTGGCTCACACCTGTAATCCTAGCACTTTGGGAGGCTGAGGTGGGAGGACTGGTTGAGGCCAGAAGTTTAAGACCAGCCCGGGCAACATAGTGAGACCCCCATCTTTACCAAAACAATATTTTAAACTAGTTGGGCATGGTAGTGAGCTCCTATAGTCCAAGCTACTCGAGAGGCTGAGGCAGGAAGACTGCTTGAGTGCAGAAGTTTGAGGCTGCAGTGAACTATCATTGTGCCACTACACTCCAGACTGAGTAACAAAGTGAGACCTTGTCTCTAAAAAAATCATAATAAAAAGTCAGTGAAAGTATTGAAAAATGTTTGGCTGATTTTTTTAAAAACTGATTTGACTCGTCATGATTTACGGGATGGGCATATAAATCTAGATTTATTACTCAGATCTCTTTGTCCCCTCCCTTCCACTCCTCAACAAGTTCCCTCAATGCTGCATTCCATGGAACAGTTCCCCGTGGTATCCAGCAACCCTTCCATCCAGTCCAATTCAGCCTCTGTTGGACCAAACTGACACTCATATTATTATTCTATCAAAGAACACAGATGGGTGGTTGCACATGGGGATTTTCTCATCTTTAGCATTTTATGCTGTTCATTTTAGTAAACCACCTTGACCTTAGGGTGCCAGATATTTTCTCAAGTTTTTAAGGAGTAACAGCATCACCATGAATAGATGGCTGGTGTTGAAACCAGTGTCATGCCCCAGCCATGGAACAAGCTTGGCTTGAGCTCAGTGCCCTAAAAGTAAAACCACACTTCACTGCCCTGTGTGAAGCCCGAGTGTTTTACCACATTCTCCCCTCTTTGCCCACCTGTGAAATTAGAACAATATTAATAGTTAATCCTGCCTAATGCAGGAGAACAAATGAAGCTAGTAGAGAAAATAGCCGTAATGGGTGTGCTGTACAGACTATATATATATATATATATATATGAAAATGCTCTGCGATCATTAGAAGAGAGCTCCTACCACAACAATCTAGTAATAGAACTGGGATTTTGAGATTTACCAAACTTTTAAATATCATGAAGTTTGCCAAATTTAAACAGCATACCTCGACCTTTTAAACTATAGAACTCTCTGGCTTTATATCTATTTGTAGATATAAAAGGCTTTCCCTTTCATTGTTCAGGCCCCAAAAGTGAGGCAACTGAATTGTGCAGCATAAATTATGATCCAAATAGGAAAACGTGGGTGGGTTATATTGCTTCATGTTGTAGAGTGTTTCTGGGTTTTCCTCTGCAACTCTATTTTTCAGTGATGATGTACAACACCTTTGACGGTGGTAAATAAATTAAAAATTTAAGAATTTATAATACACAATTCAAGCAACATCCAGAGAGTAATGCATTTTGGGTAAGGAGCTAGTGAAACCAGTTATAGTAGTTGGGCATAGGGATGTGAGTGCTGAGCATTCTAACAAAGATAAAATGATGATTTTGATGGTTTCCTATGAGCAAAGGGGAATTATCAGAGCCTGTGTAATTCTTTGCCGTCAGAACTATGCAACACTTGTCAGGTGCAGTGGCTCACACCTGTAATCCCAGCACTTTGGGCAGCCAAGGCGAGCAGATCACGTGAGGCCAGGAGTTTGAGACCAGCCTGGCCAACATTGTAAAACCCGTCTCTGCTAAAAATACAAAATTAGCTGGCTATGGTGGCGCGCACTTGTAATCCCAGCTGCTCAGGAGGCTGAGACATGATAATCACTTGAACCCAGGAGGCAGAGGTTGCAGTGAGCCGAGATGGTGCCACTGCACTCTAGCCTGGGTGACAGAGCAAGAGCGAGACTCTGTCTCCAAAAAAAAAAAAAAAAAAGAAAAGAAAGAAAGAAATGGGCGACCCATGCACAGCCACATGTAGACAATAAAAAGCAGTTTTTTCAAGGATTACTCAGGAGAAACAATGAAAAGGGGGAAAATACAAGGTAAAGCATTCCACCTGTCTTCTGGAGTTTGGCAGAATAAGCACATGCACATTTGAGGTTGGTTAAGAGTCTCTCCTTGGCTTGAGGTTGTTTGAACTGTGTCCTGAGTGACAGTATTTGTGGTGTCTGCTTTCTAGGTAGATGCATGGCACCCAGAGAATTCTCAAATTCAGTACACCCAATTCTCTTCTTTACCGCAAAGGTAAAGACCTCAGAATCTGTGAACAAAGAAGGAAGGGCCTCCTGGCACCAATTGAGTTTTCTGGGTCAGAGCCGTCCAATGGAACTTTCTGGAATGGGAGAGATGTTCTGTACCTGCACAGCCCAATATAGTAGCCACTAGCCAAGTGTGGCTATGAACACTTGAAAAGTGGCTGACACGCCTGCAGAAATGAATTTTTAATTTTATTAAATTTAAATGTAAATAGTGGGTACCGCCTCGGACAGCATGGCTCTAGGTTACATGGTCTTCATAAGGAACTGGAAGTCAGGAATGGCAGCGCATCTGCTGGCCTAGGGGCGAGGGAACAGAGCAGAGTCTGCAAGCTGACAGAGAACAGCACTTACAGTAGCAGCATATGGCTTGCGCCCTACAACATAACGAAGACTGATCTGTGACAGATTCGGGGAAACATCTTTCCCTGTCGGCCTCCCCTCCTCCACTCATTCTGATTGCAGGGTGGAGAAAGGGCCTCCATAGTCAAGCCTGGTTATTGTCAAGCTCAATTTGCCATGACTTTTATTTTCCAAAAAGCAATCTGGCCAGCTGTGGCTGAAAATGAAATCACCAAAGTGACAGCCCCTCACCCCTCCGCTGATTATTGATTTATAAAGAATCCAGTCCGTGTTCCGGTCTGTCCTCCTATCCTATGGTCATGTGTATTGCTGGCAGATCCCAGGATACAGATGCAGTCTAAGAAATACTTTTTAATATGGGCAGTAAATAGTAACTTGTATTTCTAAATGTGAGGAGATTTTTACTGACCATTCTCAAACATTTTAGAAACAATCTTAAATGTAAAAAATCAGGGCTATAAACCTGAAAGACATAATTAAAATTGTGACCACTAGGACTTTTGGGGTGATGGGGCTCACAAATTATTTTTAAATTAAGTTTCTAAATTTATTTCCATTATCTTCCACTCCACCAGCCACCTGATGATAACACTTTGGGATTTTGAACTGAAGAGCAGCAAAGCCAACTAAAAACCTACCAGAGTTATGCCTTCTGTGAGGTGTGTGAATCAATCATTAGCATTTATAGAGCCCCCCCAAAGACTATTCCTCAGCTCTTTAGGGAAATTAGGGCAAAAATAAAATAGATTACATCAACCTTGCTCAAAAGGCCTTGGCTAACTGGCTGGGGCAATGGTCAGCCATTGTATGTGTGCACGGCCTACAGAAACCTTGCAGTCATATATTCCAAGAGTCCTTCCAACCCTCTTTTGTCCAATTCTGAATCAAAGTAGGCTGTGTAAAGGCAGATTTAGAATAGCTCACAGCATTTTCTTTTTCTTTTTTTTTTTTTTTTTGAGGTGGAGTCTCGCTCTGTCACCCAGGCTGGAATGCAGTGGCGCCATCTCGGCTCACTGCAACCTCCACCTCCTGGGTTCAAGCGATTCTCCTGCCTCAGCCTCCCAAGTAGCTGGGACTACAGGTGCCTGCCACCACACCCAGCTAATTTTTGTATTTTTAGTAGAGACGGGGTTTCACCATGTTGGCCAGGATGGTCTCCGTCTCTTGACCTCGTGATCCACCCACCTCGGCCTCCCAAAATGCTGGGATTACAGGCATGAGCCACTGTGCCTGGCCAGCTCATAGCATTTTCTGTGGGAACGTGGAACCACAAGGGCCTTATAAATGTTATGGAGGTAGTGCTAGAGATTCGCCCTCAGGAAGAGTAAGGGAGGTACCCAGTCTCTAACGATTCTTTATGAAGAAGAAGGAAAATAGTAACTTCAATTCATCCTGACAGGTGATCCAACTCAATGGTTTTCAAGTGAGATAGCAGATCTTAAATCCCCATCTTTTTCTCCTTCCACTGTGGCTGCCCTCTGAGACTTAAGGTCAGCCCTCTGTGCTTTTTCTCTTGCTCAGAGAAACTCCCCTAAAATTCTCTGACCCTGATAAGGATGATGCCCCACTGGGTTTTACTCTTCTCTGGGACCTCAATGGAGGAGGCAAGGCCCTCACTTCACTTCAAAAGTGCACAGCCCTGTGAATCTCTAAGTCCAAAATATCATCTAGTCCATGGTGGTATAAACCATGCACAACACTTTCTTTTTCTCATCTCCAGCTCTCTTGGGATAGCAAGTAACAACCTACTTTTATCACGGTATTCTTTTATTCATCATTTTATTTTTTCATTCAACCAATATTCATTGCATCACCCCAGCGTGTCAGTTGCCTGTCCAAGGCTTGAGAATACCGTCATGAACAAGGTGGATAAAGTTCTCACTCTCAGAGTGTGCACTTTCTAGTAGCCAGAGAAGGCCCATGGAGGTGACACTTGAGCTGAGACAGAATGACAAAAGGAGCCAGCCAAGGGAAGAGCTAGGTCAAGAGTGTTCCAGCCAAGGGAGCAGCTGGCACAAAGAGAGCAAAGCTGGCTTTTCAGGAACAGCAAGAAGGTCAATGTGGCTCAAGAGAGCAGCAGGGAGAGAAGGGTGGGTAAGATAAGGGTTCAGCAGAGGGCAGGAGCCAGCTGATGCACAGCCTGGAAGACCATGGTCAAAAGTGCGAGTTTTAAGCATTATGGGAAGTCTTTGAATAGTGTTAAGCAGGCAAGTAACATCGTCTGATTTATGCTCTAAAAAGCACCCGGGCTGGGCACCATGGTGCATGCCTGGAGTCCCAGTTACTTGGGTGGCTGAGGCAAGAGGATTGCTTGAACCCAGGGAGTCAGGGCTTCTGTGAGCCATGATGATGCTGCTGCACTCCAGCCTGGGCGACAGAGAGAAACCATGTCTCAGATAAATAAATATAAATGTTTTAAAGCAGGTGTCTGGAGAATGGATTGAAGGAGAATATAAGGTTCCTCCTGGCTGGGTCCAAGCAAGTGATGATGATGGCTTGGACTGGGGAAGTGGCAGTGGAGACTGAAGACTGATCAAATTCAGATCTTCTTGTGGCAAGGTCTGCTGAAGGACTGGATTTGGAGCAGGTAGAGGAGGGAAGGAAATGTGAATGATTTCTTGAAATGTTTACTTGGCCAACACAGTAGATGTTGGTATTGTTTTCAGGAGTGGGGAGCAAAGAACCGGAAATTCTATTTTGGACATATTAAGTCTAAGATCCATGTTAGTCAGCCTATATTTTGGGTTACCCTGCCTTTCCATAAGTTCTTCCTTCTGTCTGAAGAACCGTCAGCTTTTCCAGGGCCCTGTACCACATCAGCATTTCATTTAAACCTGTTGCTTTTTGTCAGTTCTTCCTCCCCCAAACCCTGCAGAGGAGTGGATGAGTGTCCCTCCAAAACCCTTCCTATATTTGAATACAGTCACTGTCACCCCTTAACCTTTTTTCCTCCAGGATAAACAATGCAATTCCTTTCATCTTGCTTTGGAGAACCTTTCTTCCATCCCTTTAATTATGGCTATTGCTGCCCTCTGTGCCCCTATAAGTTTTTTACATGCCATTTTGTAGATGCTGGAGCCAAAGTAGGACACAGAAGTCAAATAACAGTGTCACGCCAGTAAAACAAAGAGTGCTTCCTGGCCTTTACATGTCACTCTTTTTCTAAGCCATCCCAGGAAGCCATATCTGGCTGATCCTTGGCCCTGTGACCTCTGCCCCTGGCTTCTGTCTATGCCCAGGCTTTGCCATCCAGTTTTGGTGCCTTTTGTTTTGGGGTTTAAATGCACCATTTTGCGCGTATCTGCTTTGAGTGTGTTTCCATCCTGTTTTTGTGGGGATCATCCAAACACTGTTCAGGGAAAGCCTCAGTCTACCTAAGAGCCTCTGATAAAATGGCCAGTGGCTGCAGCTCTGCACTTTTCCCTAAAGCTGCCGGGAGCTTTGTTATTTTTCACTTATCTATCAGTGTGGTCTTCGGAGTGCTTTCTAATCACTTATCACCTAATCTGCAGAGTCACTTCCTTAACCCTCCCAAGAAGGGTTCCAGAGAAAGCAGAAAGGGAATGTAGGAGGTTTCCAGGGCACTGTATCACGACAGGAGCCATTTCAGACATAATCAGATCTCAAATTTCTCTCTAATTTAGACATATCAGCATGTTACGGCTCTTCCTAGACCATCACAACACCTCTGCAACAAAATACAACAAAAATAAATATCCCAAAATAAAATTAGAGCAAAATACCATAAATTAACAGCAATTGACATCAAAGAACTGTTGATTTACAAAATAATCATTTTTTCAGCCTACATGCATTGGAAGATTGTCTGTGCAGATGCATTTATCATTTGCCTTGGGTTAATACATTCTGATTTGGCATGCTATTTGGTGGGAAATATTTATGTAAGATTTTTATTTCCCATAAATAAGTTAAATGGCAGCCGTAGAAGCAGAGCTTATCTTATTATTATTTGGCTTTGCCCTATTTCCCTGAGTTGGGGGAAGGTGCAGAGTAGCCTAACAGTTGCAAGTTGTACCTTAGAAATATTTCCTAAGCAGTCGGAACCATAAAATGCTTTAAACTAAGCTGAAGGTAAAAGGCTTTTGAGGGAACCCTGAGTGTAGCAGAAAGAAAAATAGGATGGCAAAGGATGTCCACCGTGCTTTTCACCCTGTCAGCAGATGATAGCAACAGTTTGACGTGATATACCGGAAAGATAGAAACAACAACAATGAAACAAGGATGCCTTGGAAAATAAAATGCAAACCTGAAATCAAACGGAATCATTCTGCCCCCCGAACCACTCCTCTCTGCTGCAAACTGCCCCCTATTTTCCTTTCCGGGCCCACAGCTCATGGTTTAACCTGGGAGATTGTAAACTCCAGTTTCGTTCCTCATCCTTAATTTAGCTAGACAGAGCTTTGAAATGGCAACTAAATTACCTTTTGGTGAAATCAAATCTTCCCTACTAGCCTCAAGCAGAGAGGAATCTAGACCGCAAGGGCCAGCTAATGTGTCCCAGCAGCTCCCAGTCACTCTCCTGGAACCCACAGAGGGTGCGCTCTATTGAAGGGTTACTCTCATCCTTTGTACCCCACAGTTTATCCTGTAGGGGGTTATTTTGCACAGCCTTTTCTCTTCTGACTGCCTGCCTAGCAGGAGGTTGCTTAGGGCAGTAAAATGTTTATTACCTGTTTATTGTGTGAGTAACTGCAGTCAAGGAGGAGAAAATATTTCCCAGTTTACCTAGGGCAATGAAAATAGGATTAAGAGTTCTGAGGGCTAAGGAAGGAGCAGTATAAAACCCAGAGAATCATATACCATGCAGCCATGAGAAGCCCAAGTACCCTTGCATTATCCTTTCATTCTAGTCATGGTGACTTTTCCTCTTATTCTCAGACCCGTGTAATTCACCATTATGGATCTGGGGATTGCTGGTGTTCTAAAAGGAAGTCTTTCCCCGGAGAGAGTTTGGCCCCATCCCAGGTGTAGCTATCAAATTGCACCAAAAGAGAGATCATCGGCCTGATTAGCGTTTACATACACATTTATTTCTCTTTCCTCCAAAGTAAGTTACAAACAGCTTAACTTCCACCAACTTTGCAGTGTGGAGATTCAATAAGATATCATATAGCAGTTCAAGCCATTCTGCAACTGCCATTTGTAGTAAATTCTTTTATCATGGTTTAGAATAATTCACGTCTAAGATTTAAAAATTACTATCATAAATCTTCTATTAGTTCTTAAACATGATTTTCCTTCTGCCATCCTCCCCTCCGTCAATTTTTTTCTCTTCTTAAAGACTCTTCCTGTCTTGATCATTAATGGAGCGACAGAGTTTAAGTCCTTTTCAGACTTCACACAATTATACTTAGCCATCTCTGAAGCTGAAATACTAGGGCTTCCTAAAATGCTACTACTCTTAGAAGTGGGCTATAGGATTCAGCTGTAATTACTTCTGGAGTCTGTTATCTCTTCATTCATTCATTGGTTCATTTGTTCCTTTATCCTTTTGGCAGATATGGATTGAACTCCTACTACGTGCCAGCCACAGTGCTGGCCACTTCAGATAAAGCAGTAAACAAAATAGACATAAGTCATCCCTGCCCTCATGTTGCTTACAGACTTGGAGGAGACAGTAACAGAGTATCGCCCAGTTAAATAAACAATTACCAAGTGTAGTAGTTGTCAAGGAGGATTTGTTCAGATGAGACAGTCAAGGTCAGGAACATTTTGACCATTATTTCTGCTCCTGCAGTGAGAGGAACAGCCAAAGCCCAGCTCTGGAGCTCAGCATTCTGACTTGGAGCTGAGCCAAGTCCTGGTGCTCTGCTGCTCTTTTCTGTGGCTCAGGCACATCTCTTGTCCTTGTTTGTAAAGATGAAGCTCACACGGCCTGCTGCAAAGGATGGCCTGCTATGGCTTGCTTGAACTCCTGACCATGTGCTTTAGATCCCAAACTTGAAAACTGTTTCAGAAGTAAAGCACCCAGTTAGAAACAACCCATACATATGGTTTCACAGTGGTCCGGTTGTTTGCAATTTTTCATCAAATTGAACATTTCTCAGTCATCTTCTTCAAGTGCCTGTCTCAAATCTGAGTTCCAAAGCCATCGAGGTGTTTAAGTACAGTCCACACAACATGAATTGAAGAGTGGGCGGTTTGGCAATCTTTATGTCAATATGATACATGGAAAGGTTGCCAGATAATTCAGACTCCACAGATTCACTCTCCTGTTTATCTGAATTGTTAGTTTAATTGATTGAGGAACTTCAGAATCTCCTTTTTTATTTTGTTTTGCACAGGCTCATCTTCTGTACCCATTTACGCTGAGCCTTTTGGTAATGTGCTCACTGCTACCCCATCCTTAGCACTACCTAGGGTTGGAATTATTTTTCTGTAGTAGCAAAGATCCATGGACACGCACACTTTTGACTAGTGAAGAGGAAACTCTAGGGAAATGGAAAACAGGTGCCAATAACCAGCACAGTCAAGCATTTATCCTCTTGAAAATTGTATTTCCCTGGGCATTTAGTGATACCCTTTTGCAGTTGAAGAACCTGAAGCATTGCGAGAGATTTAAGTCTCTGATCTGATGAACACCACTCCGAAGAGTGACAAGGCTTAGCAGTCATCACAGTGCCATTAGATAACAGGATGCTTGGGACTGGGTAGGGCAATGTGAAGATGATGAACTCTTCTGCCTTTTTTCTGTTTGTCTTCATGAGCGTATGGTGAGCCAATACGTTTCAGAGCTGGAATTAAGGCTAAGAATCCTGAAGCCTGTTGATAGTTCTATCCTCAGCTTCTGGACTTCAGTTTTACAGATTGGCTTTCATGCTTCTTTTTAAAACTACCAAAAAAATCTGGGCATATGCTTAGACTTTTTAAAATGTAATACTTGATATATTAAAGCTGATTTTCTTATAATATTATCCTATGATCATAGAGCTAGAGGAAATGTGATACATTATTTTAGGGTTAGGGCCCTCTACTGATACTTTATTCTTTTTTTTTTTTTTAAGTAGAGATGGGGTTTCACCATCTTGGCCAGGCTGGTCTCGAACTCCTGACTTCGTGATCTGCCCTCCTCGGCCTCCCAAAGTGCTGGGATTACAGGCGTGAGCAATACTTTATTCTTTCCTATGGTATTCCTAAGAAGTGGCTTTCCAGCCTCTGCTTGAAGACCTCCAGTGACAGAACATTGACTGACTCATTTTACGTCTGGGAAGTTCATCCTCTTGATGCTTGCTATAATACAAGTTAATGGAGGGCCAATAATGTTAAGATAACTTTGGCCAGGCGCAGTGGCTCACACCTGTAATCCCTGCACTTGGGGAGGCCGAGGCAGGTGGATTACCTGAGGTCAGGAGTTCGAGACCAGCCTGGCCAACATGGGGAAACTGTGTCTCTACTGAAAATACGAAAAATTAGCCAAGTGTGGTGGCGGGCACCTGTAATCCCAGCTACTTGGGAGGCTGAGGCAGGAGAATTACTTGAACCCAGGAGGCGGAGGTTGCAGTGAGCCGAGATCGCGCCACTGCACTCCAGCCTAAGCAACAAGAGCAAAATTCTGTCTCAAAAAAACTAACAAACAAAAAGACAACTTTAAAAATATCTGTGAACTAGGAAAGCAAGAGCTACACCTGAAGAAGTGTAGGTCCTTTTACCTTTTTTTTTTTTTTTTTTTTTTTTTTTGAGAACGGAGTCTCGCTCTGTCACCCAGGCTGGAGTGCAGTGGCGCGATCTCGGCTCACTGCAAACTGCGCCTCCCGGGTTCACGCCATTCTCCTGCCTCAGCTTCCCCAGTAGCTGGAACTACAGGCACCTGCCACCGCGCCCAGCTAATTTTTTGTATTTTTAGTAGAGACGGGGGTTTCACCGTGTTAGCCAGGATGGTCTGGATCTGCTGACCTCGTGATCCGCCCACCTCGGCCTCCCAAAGTGCTGGGATTACAGGCGTGAGCCACCGCGCCCGGACTTTTTTTTTTTTTTACTTTAAGTAGAGGTGACCTGGTGTGGGATGTTTCTTTCAAGACATAGCAATGATTCCCAAACTTCAGTGTATCACCTGGTGAGCTTGTTCCAATTGAAGATACTCGGGCCCCATCCCAGAGATCCAAATCTGGGATGGGCCCCCGAAAGCTACATCTTCAAAGCACCTGTAGCTGATTCTGGTACAGGTGGTCCCTCTGGATTACCTAATTAAGAAACTCTGTCCTAGGCTGGGGAATTTGCAGTTAAATACGCTAAGGGTTTCCTGAGAAATCTTTTACAATCTTCCGTTTTCTCAACCAGAAAATTATTTCCGCCAGCTAAACTCTAGAGGAGCAGTGTATAAACTAGTGAACTCTGCCCTTTATTTTACATCCTGTAGTCCCAGATACTTACATAAAAAATAATGATTGAAGTTTGAATGAATTTCTTCCCAGCATTTGCTAATGAGAGAAAAGTATAGGAGCTTTTGTGTGCATGGCCACAGAATCTTATCCCGCTTCCAGGGAAGGAAAGAACTTCTTCACTACCTGATGTTTTATTTATGCATTGAGTCATTTAAGGTGGCTGGTCACTGGAATAGTTAGGAATGACACTGCAAAAAGGGTCCTTAGATATACAGGATGATCAGCCCATAACATGAGGCTCAGTCTTAGGAAAGTTCTAAGACATGGCTTTGGTTCTTGGACCCAGAACAGTGTACAGTCTATACAATGGCTGCCCAAAACCCTCTCCAAAATACAACCTCTTTAAAGGAAAAGGGCTTCTCGTTTGATGTGCAGCGTAATACATCACTGCCATTTTATAAACTGTAGCTGTAACTTTGGGTAAAGACTTCATGAATGGATAAAACGTAAGATTCCGAGTACTGTAGAGAGCTCTCCAGAAGGAGGGTGTGGTGTGGATCCTTCATGGAGGGTCTTTGAGGTTCCTTGCCACACTTGGTCCTCCTAGAGAATTTTCTAAAGCACACAGCCACATCCAGTTGTTAATCCTTTCACAACCTCTGGGCAGCGTTCCCAACCTGGTATTCTCTGTCTTCAATATCCCCCTCCTCTCCCTAGTCCTATCCACTCATCCTTTCTGCTGGATACATTTTGCTTTACAAATATACAGGCCATCCTATCCTTTCAAGAGAAACTTTCTCTGATGTCATTTACTTTACTGTGTAACATTTTATTGGGGGCCAGAATATCTGGAGGGTCTTTGGAGTTCACCTTTGGGCTGAGGGCTACTGAGCTAATTCTAAAAAGAGATCAGCAGTTGGCTGGCTTCATTCCAGGGAAGATCCCAAAAAAGCAGGGTCAGACTTTTATTTTTAGGAACAAAGAGCAACTTTCCAACTGAGCGCCTGCCTCGCCCTCTGACATCAGTATCCTATTCTGTCCTGCTTCAGCTCAGCCACCACCAATCTCCTCCTCCCTATCCACCAACTCCCTTAGGATCCTGGGAGGAGCTTGTTGCCAGGGACACAAACAGAATAGTCTTTTTAAAAGAAAAAGTATAAGTGAAGAACTAAAGTAGAGACTTCCGTTTTCCTTCCCCTACCTTTGCCCTGTCCATGGGAACAACGGTTGAACTCTTAAAGCTTCCATCCATTTAAGCCAGAAGTGTCCAAATATTTTTTGCCGATACTATATACTTAATTCATAGGCAAAGGTAATGAAAATTTCTAAGATGTCTCTGAATCCTCCTCACAGACAAGGAGCCTTGGCTGGGCACAGTGGCTCATGCCTGTAATGCCCGTACTTTGGGAGGCCAAGGCGGGAGGATCGCTGGAGCCCAGAAGATTGAGACCAACCTGGGCAACATAGTGAGGCCCTGTCTCTACAAAAATAAAATTAAAAAATAAAAAACTAGCTGAGACATGGTAGTATACACCTGTGGTCCCAGCTACTCAGGAGGCTGAAGTAGGAGGATCGCCTGAACCCAGGAGTTTGAGGCTGCAGTGAACCTTGATTGTGCCACTGCACTCCGGACTGGGCAACAGAGGGAGACTGTGTCTTTAAAAAAAAAAAAAAAAAAAAGAGGCTGGGCGCGATGGCTCACGCCTGTAATCCAAGCCCTTTGGGAGGCCAAGGCGGGTGGATCACCTGAGGTCAGGAGTTCAAGACCAGCCTGACCAACATGGAGAAACCCCATCTTTACTAAAAACACAAAATTAGCCAGATGTGGTGGCACATGCCTGTAATTGCAGCTACTCAGAAGGCTGAGGCAGGAGAATGGCTTGAACCCAAGAGGCGGAGGTTGTGGTGAGCCAAGATCACACCACTGCACTCCAGCCTGGGCAACTAAAGTGAAACTCCGTCAAAAAAAAAAAAGAAAAAGAACTTTGACATGGAAGGTCTTTAGACTCACCATATTTTATTGCCGGTTCATAAGTGTCATATTTACATGTAGATTTTCCTGGTGACTGTACTATTGAGCCTTGCAGTCTCCTGTAAGATATACCACTCAAAATAGTTTCCCTAGGAAAGGCTCATCATGGTCAACTAGAGCATGTCACTGCTGTGCAGATGGTCTTCTCTTGTGGATTATAGAACAAAATGGACAAGAGAGCACCCTAATCAAAGCAGCGTGTCTTGTGTTCCATGCACCTGAGATGTGTTCTCAGGAGAGTGTGTTTTGACTCTTCTTCTACTACCTCTGGATTCGGGGACCCCAGAGCCTCTCTGGGCATGAGGGATGCATCTCTCCTCCTGTAGGAGAAGAACACCCACTCTGTATCCCTGCCTGCCTGTTCCCAGCTCCAGGCTGAGTCACTGAAGCCCAAGTCTTCTTTCCCATCCTGAAGGGTTCTGCAAGCTAATGGTAGGACTTCTGCTTCTGCTGAGACTCAGAGTTCCTTTAGTAAACACCAGGAGGCGACCTTTGGAAAAGGACTGGGACTGTTCTTCCTAAACACCTTGTTGTTACCAAAGCAGTCACAGTCAGGACTGGGGCTCAGTCAGCCCCTGGTGCTGCCATTTCCCCATTCCCGTAGAGTCATGTACACCTTCTGTCAATGTTGACCGAAGCCAGGTGAATTTAAACAGTCACATCCTATGTTATCACCTGAAAGAAAAGGGGGGAAAATATATAATTAACCTGAGGGGAAGCAGGATGTTGAAGAGTGAATGCCCAGCATTCCTGTTGGTCCAAGAGAGCCACGATAGCTTTCAGGCCTTGATTTCTGTCTACCCAGACCCCATACATCAGCCAGCACCATGGGGTGCTGCAGCAGGACTGGTCTCTGCCCTGGCCCACCAAGGCTACCTTCTCAACATCAGCGTAGTACTAAGAGTAGCAGCAGGAATCCACATTGGTTTTGCTTTATTTCCTGAACATTAGTAGAACAGTTTAAACATCTGGTGTTACATTGCTATTGATTCATAAGGAGGTATTTACAACTGTAAGCCAAAATATAATACATCTTTATGCTTGAGCCCATACTGTAATATGGCCAAATTAATCTGAGCAATAGTAAATACTAAGACTTGGGAATTATAAAGCAACTTGTTTCTGAGAATCAAGATACTTATCAGATGTTATTTTTTACAAGAACCTGATATTTAAGCAAATAACTTAAACTTGTGGCATAAGACTATCAAAAATATATTTGAGAAAGTTCTAAGTCCTTAAAAGCAAGTGCAACAAAAACAAAAATTATCAATTAGGACCTAATTAAAGAACAGCAACACACACACACACACACACACACACACACACACACACACACACAACTATCAACAGAGTAAAGAGACAACCTACTGAATGGAAGAAAATATTTACAAACTTATGCATCCATGAAAGGACTAATATCCAAAATCTATAAGGAACTTAAATCATCAAGACAAAACTCATTAAAAAGTGGGCAAAGGACATGAACAGGCACATTTCAAAAGAAGACATATGAGTGGCCAACAAAGATATTCCACCAAAATAGGAGACATCATCTGGTGAAAAATTACAAAGAAAATAAAATAAACTTGTTCAGAATTTTGACATAACCTCATCTAGAATATAATATGCCATTCTGGCCATCACATCTCAAGAAATAACTAACCAGAACTAAAAAAGGTTCAAGGAGGAACCAAGTGGTCAAAGGTGGTGGTTCTTAACCTTTTTGGAGTCATAGACTCCTTTGAGATTCTCTCTAACCCTTTACTCCAGAGAAATGCATGTGTGCACACACACAGTTTTGCATGCACTTTCATGCTAATCTATGGCTAACTTGGGGTCCTCAGACCAAAGTTAATAACCTTTCATTTAAGAAATACTATGTGAGAATAAATTTAAAAGTTTGGATTCTTCTGTCTGAATACATAAAGACTGAAAGGAGCTATAATGGGACTCCAAAATCACCAGGTATGTGATTAATGTAATATATCACACACATGTTCACCAAATCCTGGTATAGTAAGACAAAGTCGGAAGGACCATTATGGAGTTTGAAAGAGGCAAATTCAAGAAGAAGAAAAAAGGAAGCATCACTCATTTACATGGCTGGTTTCATAAGCGTAAGGAATTTCATTAATGTAAGATGTGGTAAGACCAGAACTATAAATAGCTTTTAAGACAGCTTAAACCAATTTCATGGATGATAGATCTGTGACGAGATGTTAGCAAAAACTCAGTGGTTTGGTATGTGGCCCTCACAATTTGAGGTTGACATCAACATAGACAACTGTGCTTTCCTAACGAACACATCCGTCAGCATGTCCCTTGGTGCCACCAAAAGAGATTCCGTGCCAAGCTGAATAGCTGAGTGGTAGGCCTGACCCAATGTGGACTTTTTTGGTTAGAATTAATTACCTGTACCCGCTGGAAAGTTGTTGTGGTGCTCATGTTTTATTTTGTCTGTTTCCTTGGGAGGCAAAGGAATATAAGTTGGGTTACAGAGTAATCACATTGACATAATAATAAAGTGGACAATAATAGTCACGTGTATACTTGTTATGTGTAGATAAGGTATTTTTGTGAGGTGGGAAGGAACACATACTGTTACCCCCAGTTTTTCATGTGTGGGTACCAAAATACAGAGGGCAACTAGCTCAGCCTCGCACTTAACGTCTCATGACATTCACTGGCCCCCATGGCCGTGCCTGCAGAGCTGGTCTGCAGGGAGATGGCGCAGTGGCAAACCTTGGTCTTTTCTCAGTTTTGCTCTTCATGTGCCGAGTGCCCAGATGCCAGAACCTTTACCTTCCCTTGACTTAATTTACCTCTTTATCAAATAGAGGGGATAATTTCTAAATCATGGTAGAAGGAAATGGCGGACTTGGAGTTGTCGGGAGAAGAAGGAGAAGATCTGAGCCGTTGTCCATTCTATTGCTGTACTCCAGAGAAAGCAGCTGGGTGTGGCCGGTTACCATAGGTGCCAAGCCCTATTCTGTCATGGTTTCTGGTTGTTTATTGAAGGAACCAGAAATTGTTGGCAGTTCCCCTCATTGACACTACCTTGGCATCTAGAGCTTTAAAAAAATCACTCGTGACTGGGCACGGTGGCTCACGTCTGTAATCCCAGCACTTTGGGAGGCCAAGGTGGGTGGATCACCTGAGGTCTGTAGTTTGAGACCAGCCTGGCCAACATGGTGAAACCCCGTCTCTACTAAAAATATGAAAATTAGCTGGGCATGGTGGTGGGCGCCTGTAATCCCAGCTGCTCAGGAGGCTGAGGCAGGAGAATCGCTTGAACCCAGGAGGCGGAGGCTGCAGTAAGCCGAGATCATGCCACTGCACTCCAGCCTGGGTGACAGAGTGAGACTCCATCCCCCACCCCCACCCCCCAAAAAGAAAGACCATGAAGGGAGTTAACTGAGTAGTGCCTTACGAAACAACCAGTGAGACTCACTTTGTGGGAGGAGAAACAGGGAAAAGGGGGAACTAAGAAGAAATACACAACACCTTGCCCAATGTTCAGCACATAGGTGCTCGATAGACACTTCATTCTTTTTATTTATTTATTTATTTATTTTGAGAGAGGGTCTCACTGTATTGCCCAGGCTGGAATGCAGTGGTATGATCATAGCTCACTGAAGCCATGATCTCCTGGGCTCAAGCAATCCTCCCACTTCAGCCACCTAGTACCTGGGACTACAGGCACGCACCACCACACTTGGCTTATTTATTTTTTTTATTTTTAGTGCAGACAAAATCTTGCTATGTTGCCCAGGATGGTCTCGAACTCCTGGAGCGATCCTCCTGCCTCAGCCTCCCGAAGTGCTGAGATTACCGGCATGAGCCACCACACCTGGCCAATACTTCATTCTTCATTGGTGGAAAAGATTGTAGACTTCTAAGCATTTTCCAAATAAAAAAGCTATGATTTGATTTCCAACTTTTAAACATTGCATGTCCTTTGCCATTTACTACATTCTCCAAAAAAACCTTGAAATGAAGAAGGCCACCCTTAAAATACTTCAGAGGCTGAAAATATGATTATTACATTGGAATCCTTTAGCCTATGTGATATTTCTTTAACTTTGCACTTTCAGGCCCAGTAAAGCCAAAATCAGGGTAACCAATGTCATTTTACAAAATGTTAAAACCCTAATTGCAGTTCCTTTTTTAAATTATTTTAAAGATTACTTAACAACATTAGACAGTGCAAAAAAAGAAGCAAGGAAAGCATTCTTAATTCTACCATCCTAAAACAGCAAGTAATTTCATTTTTAATATTCCCTTCCAGTTTTAGACAATGTGCATACATATTTTTGTCCATGTGCCCCACAGTGACCATCATGGTGAACTTATCATTTTTTACCAGATATAACATGTAAGGCAGATGAGAAGGAGATGAGAACCAAAGAAAATAAATAATAATCCCTTCAGTCAGTGGCAGCCCAAACGGCAGCTGTTAGTGGGGCTGCCTAAGATAAGGTAGGCATCTCTCTCCTCCCAGCTAGGAGTACTGACCAGCCTGGGGGACTGGTCCCAGGGTAGGCACTGGTGATAACTTCATAACCATTCACACTGAGGCTGGGCTCACCTCTGTCTCAGCCCCTGCTTCCCCGTGAACCCAGGCCCAGCCCTGCATTGGGAGCTGCCCAGAGTAGGTGCAGTCACTGAAGCAGGAGTGTGGCCGCGATGCCGGCAGTGAGCCATGCCAAGCTCATTGAAAGCAAGCGGACTTCCTGTGGCCCCTGCTGCTCTCAGTGGGATGTGGACAGTGCTTGTACCTGTGGAAGATGGCACCATCCCACAAAAGAGAACACACTCAATGTCTGTGCACAGCACTCCCTTATCACCGGGAGATGTTGCTGTTCTTTCCCCGCGTTTCCAGTAGAATGCCCAATAACAACAGCAACCACATCCTCCATCAGGTTTCAGGCTTTTGGGAGTCACAAAGTGCTCTCGCATGCATTAGCTCACTAGATCTGCACAGCAACTTCAGGAGGCCACCAGGGTAATCTCTATTAGCCCCACATCAGGCAAAAGGGCAAGTGAGACTTGGAAAGATGAGACAATGTCCTCGGTCACAGAATGAAAGTTCAGTGGCTCTTGGACCTAATGGCCATTCGGGAAAAGGTCGTAGCCTCCTCTGCCCGGCAACATGCAGGGGCACAGACGTCCCCTTGTCCATGCTGTTTAGCAAGCAGCCTTGCCAGGCATGTGCACAGGAGTAAGTAGGGACCTTTCCAGCCGGGCATTGGTGAGCAGGGCGTGGAGTTGCTGATAAGGGAGTCTAGCAAAAGGATGTTTAAAAATAAATGAGTCTTGCCCATGATGGAAAAGGTTTGCTCGTCAGCAGGATTGCTTGTCAGCAGGACTACAGATCCAGGTATGCAGTGTCTTTTTGCTGCTACCATTTCTGTCTCGTGTTATTAAAAAATAATATATTGATTACTGCTACTTCAGTTTGCTCAGCTTAAGAAAGCTATTTATTTTTGAAAAGTGGCAAAATGAGGAAATGACTTTCACTTGGCATAGCTTCTGACACACTTTTTGGAATCTCAGAGCCTACCCTCTACCCCTTCACCCATTTCTTGTGGGTTGAGAAAAGGAGCATACCAGTTCAGTATTATTTTAGCAACAGAAGCACTTCCACTTTGGCTATTTTTAGCATGTCAGGTGCCCTCTGCCTGCCATGAACTTGGTATATTCAAGTGTTTAATTCAGCGGCCTCTCTCATTTGAAAGGGAGACTGTTCCAGCACTCTGCCCACCATAGCTCCACTTTTACAGCTGCTCGTAAATTTCTGAACATGCAGAGATATCTTTAGCTGTGACTCCAGATATTTCCTGTTGAGCTGCAAGATGCAATCCTGCAAGCACACTGAGGCTAAATATACCCTCTCAGTCCAGGATTCAGCCAAATAAACAGGGGCAGCATCAACATGATTTTTTTAATCCAATGCTGAACAGGATTTTTTAGTTAGATTAATTAAGCAATTCTGTTTATTTTGGCAATTGAAGTCATTTCGGCTCCCCCTGAACCTTTAACACCTAAGCATCATTTTCTCTCCTGATTGAAGAACTGACCAGAAGCCCTGGTGCAGGGAACTCACATGTTTGAATACCGTGTGCCTCTTTAGCTCCGTACTTCTCGTTGCTTAAACAGATGGCCCCCTCAGCAGCCGACTCCGAGCAGCTGCCTTGTTCATTCTCACAGAATCCAGACTCCTCTTCAGCTTTGCCTAGGGCCTTAGTCATTCAAGGGAGAATAAACTCTAGGATTCCCTATCAGGAATGTATCCTTTGGGGACTTGACAAAGGAAAAGAATGTTAAAATCTTTCCAGGTGTAATCCTGTGGCAGGAGGAATCTCCTCTGTAGAGTTAAGTTCTTGTCCACAAGGATGCAGATCTTTCAATCAGACCCTAAAAAGTTAGATTGTCATCCCTGGATAAGTCCCTGGGTTCCTGGAGAAAGTTCTATTCCTCCTGAATCTTTAGGACAAGCAGTATCCACCAAATACCACTGGTCAGTTTCCCTTTAACCAAGATCAGCCAGTTGCAGGCCTTCATAGACCAGGAAGACACTGTGCCAAGAGAAGCCAGAGGAAACAATGTCAGGAAGCCTAACTTTGGCACATAGACACGAAATATGCACACGCACCCCCTCTCCAGCCCTCCTCAGGAAAGAAAGGGGGGCTTTCTTTCCTCCATGGGCTGTGCCTGGCCACACCCCACCAGATTAAAGCCCCGTCAGATGGTTGTTAGGGTCAACGAGGTCTACAGAGAACAGTTTATTCTCAACCATTTCTACCTGCCTTTTATCCAGGGTTCACGGGGGTTAAAGTTTTGGCCATGAGTGTAGCGATGGAGCCTCATGTGACACTTGCATACTTTCTCGAGGAGGCCTGCCTGCAAACATAAGTTTTGTATTCCCATTGAGGAAATCAGTTCCTCGATTCTGTCCTTTGAATATCCTTTTTTGGTTTATGATGCTGAATATTTCTGTAACTCTCTGTAGGTTGGGGGCCTCTTTGGGGACCGTTATCATTTGGCAAACACTATTACTCATCAAAATGTATTAATCAGGGCCAGCCACAAAAGCAAAGGTACTATAAGCAGTGGGCTTGAAAAATCAACAAGACAGGAGAAAAAGAAATGCAAATGAATGATAATCACAATCACTGTCCCTTATTCATGCATGCTAGGGCCAAGTGCTCTAAGCATGCTACATATAGCACCTTAGGAAGCCTCACAAAAACCCTGTGAAGCTGCATCCTTTCTGTTCCCATTCTTCCTTTTTAGTCACCTATTGTGTCCCAGGCGCTGGGCTAGACACGGGGGATATAGTGATGAATTAGATGGACAAGGCCCTGCACTCATGGAACAGAGGACATGCATGGTAATGAAACATACAATTGCACAAATATTTTCTAGAGGCCAGGGACTAGTTAGGATTCTGCAGCTCGAACAAGAGTCCTTCATCCATGCAAGTTTCTGCATGTGGCATAGAAGCTCCTAGAAACCCACACTGGGCTCCCTGGGCTCTCGGTCCATCCAACCTCTCTAGCCTGACTTCTTCCTGTCTCATGCCCTATGCTTCACAATCCAGCAATATAGAACTGCTTGTCCACAGGGCTGTTCTTTACCTTCATTACTTTGCTCATGTTGTCCCTCTTCCTCTAACACATTAACCAATTCCCACACAGCTTCCAGGATCTACTCCCGGAGAAAACTCTCCCTGACTCCCCTTGACCCAGCCAGGCTGGGTTAGTTGAGCTTCTTTTGTGATTCCAGAGTCCCCCGTGCTAATCTCTATCACTGCACTTGCCTCACCGTTTCACAGGCATCTGTTGAGGGGCCTGTTTCTCACTAGCCTAGGTGCTCCCTGGGGATATACTTTGTTCATCTTTTTAGCCCCTGTCAAGTAGCACACTTCCTGACCTGTAGAGGGCCATCAGCGAATACTTGCTGGATGAATATGCATCTGTGCATGAGAATGTGCCTTCTGTGCTCTAGTGGAGAAGGTTAGGAACTGGGGGACTCTGTGTCCTATCTAATCATCATTAATGGGATGAAAGGAAGCCTAGTAAGGTCCAGCAGTAGAGGCTGTAGCTGTTGGAGCAGGGAGGAGGAAGAAGGGGAACAACTGTGAAAACCTCTCCAATTCCCCTAACGCCCCCTCCAGACTCTCTTTGATCACTTGCAGTGGTGGGAAATGAAGCAACCTGTTCCATGGTCCATTCTGTCGAAAAGTTTTCCCTTTTGTTAAACAAACTTGGCTGAAGACTTTTAGAAAGCTGTCCTCTAGGGCCGGGTGTAGCGGCTCATGCCTGTAATCCCAGAACTTTGGGAGGCTGAGGCAGGCAGATCACCTGAGGTCAGGAGTTCAAGACCATCCTGGCCAACATGGTGAAACCCCATCTCTACTAAAAAATACAAAAATTTGCCAGGTGTGGTGATGCGTGCCTGTAATCTCAGCTACTCAGGAGGCTGAAGCAGGAGAATCACTTGAACCCGGGAGGTGGAGGTTGCAGTGAGCCGAGATTGCGCCATTGTACTCCAGCCTGGGCAACATGAGTGAAACTCCATCTCAAAAAAAAAGAAAAAGAAAAGAAAAGAAAGCTGTCCTCTAGAACAACAGAGCAATTTGACTCTCTTTTCTATATAACAATTCCTCAAGTATTTCAAGAGAGTTGTCACGACCATCCTGTACTCATTTTTCTTTCTTAAATGATTCTAGTTGTCCAGCTGTTTCTCACTCTCATGTCACACCATTCTGGATACACTCCAGCCTCTTGGTATCTCTTTCAGAACGTGGTGTCCTGAGCTGAACAATATTCCAGATGGCTTCTGATGGGTATAGAATATAGTAGTACAGTTTCTTTCCTGAATCTGCAGCTTAAGTTCAAATTCACGTGTTTTACAGCCTCATCACTTTGTCAGTTCTTACTGTTCCTTTGGGCAATGAAGCGCCTTGGTGTTCTGTATACAATGAACTCTTGTCTGGCCACATTTAATAATTATAAAGTTATTGAGCGTGTCCTGTGCCCATGAGCCAGGCGCTGTGCTAAACATGGTGCCATCAGTCCCTTTTAATTCTCCCACCTACACTGAGGCTGAGTGAGGTTAAGTAATTTTCCCGAAGTGCTGGGATTACAGCCCAGCAGACTGATTCCAAAGCCCACATTCTATCTATCCCACTTCCCTGCCTCCCATCCTGAACTTGTGTAGCTGGTTTCTTGTTCACCTGAATTCTAGATTTACCTCTGTTAAGTTTGACCTGAGTTTCTGCTCAACTTTCAGCATCTTGGAAACTCCACAGGGAGAATTTAGCTCATCTTTTCAGGTTTGTATCATTGTATCTGCTGCCTTCATCTACATCAGTGACAGTGCCTTATCACTCCCCGTTAGAGAACTCTTTCTAGATTGACACCAATCTGGGTACCAGTAGGACCAGACTTTCAGCCAGCTTCCAAGGAACCTACTCTTGACTTCTATGCACTGTTTTCCATTTTGTCCAAAAGTTGTCATGAGAGAGTTTGCCAAATACCGTGTTGTTGAGAAGTATCACATATGTGGCATTCCCCTACTATAATCAGTTAACAGCAGTACAGAATAATGGGAAAGGTGGCCTCTTTGTTTTACATATTTTCAGAAATCCTGTTTAATCTTTTGTCCTAAAACTTTGCAAGAAATCAATATCATGTTCGCCTTTACCCCCTGTGTGAAAGTGGGCTATTGCCTTGCTTCTCTTCATGGTTCATTCCAGTATTCCATTATTTATTCATTCTCGATATTAACAGTGTTTCCATAACCACAGATGCAAAAAAATATTTTTATCTTAAATCATTTTTCTTTTCCCAAAAATATTAAAATAATGCATACTTCTTATAGAAAAATCAAAATAGGTAAAGAAAGCACAAAACAAGGCTGTCTAACAATCCTAGAGACAGCCTCTAACATCTGCAGTTCTTTTAATAACCTAGAAAGCAATTTGCCTAGGTGCTAAAACAATTTATGGCCAGAACCTAGAGTTGGTCTTCCACACCTAGAGCAGGACTACAGCCTAATAGCAGCTAGAAAAATTGTAAGGGAGAGATGCTGGTTCAAGGTGAGGAGTCAGGCCGGGACCTGGGGCAAGGGCAGGGTGGATGTGGAGGGGTAGGAAGCAGGAGTTCCCTGCCACGTGAGCCCCACAGACACCAGCCTGTTCCAGCAGGTTCATTCTGTTTCTGCTGCATACTTCAGTGTGTTGATATTCAAGGCAGTATATTGGAGTCCCCCATCCCTCTGGATGTTATTTCCCTGGGGGAGTAACCAGACTGCTCTTCTGCTGCGGCTCTTCTCTTTCTGTCATAACTGCTGTGCCCTGTACCATCCAGCTGGAGAGTTTTATCTGGACACATTTCTGTCTTCCCCTCAAATGTCAGTTTGAACATCAGGGATCAGAGGAGAAATCACATGGGCGAGAAGGTTCTTTCTGGGTGACTGTGATTTGTTGGACATCTGTCTCCCAAGTACATGATGTTCATTTTAGAACCAGTCTCTCAACCAATCACTGTGATTTTTCACAGATGGATGGATGGACAAACATCTAACAAAATGTCTTGTAGATTCTCATCAAGAGAGGTTCAGGTGCCACGATGCCCAGAGGTCCCTTCCAGCTCAGTGGTTCTCTGAGTGTGTGATTGATATTTTGGAAACAGGGATATCACTTGGTGTATTTGTCAGTGGCTGGTGATCTTCAGGAAACTTTAGTTTGGTCCAGGAAAAGCCTTGAGGAAGATGTGACTAGTATGGGGGAATTTGGAGAAGAGACAAGCTAGTCATCAGATGACATGGATAAGGTGGAAAAGCCAATTCTGAGACAGTTGTTGCTGGAAAATAAACGGGGACATCAGGAGAGGACCAGAAATGTTTGATAACGTACCGAGCATACTCCTGCAGCCGAACATGGCTGGAGGGGAGGCAGGAAACCTGCTGTAACTCTCATGTCAAGAGCTTGGCCCTAAAAGGCCACAATGGGTCATACAAATCGAGGTTTCAGACCCAGATTAAAGTGTGTGTCTGGTATCAAATGAACAGCTGGGCATACATCAGTCTTTCTGGCCACCTCTGCACACACAGATCGATAACAATCAGCTGTAGTAGCCATATCTTAAAATATTAACAAAAAAAAGTTAAAAGATATATTCAGATTCTACCGTGACTCCTTGGTTTTCTTCCTTTACACAGCAACGTATACTCAGGCCACATCTGCTGAGTAGGAAGGCATACCTTCCTTCCCTGGATGGCCAGAACTGTGATTTAGACAGGAGCCTCAGGAAATGCAGACGCCTCTCTCCCAAATCAAATTTTAAAAGTTGTCCTGAGTTGACCTGTGGAGGGTCAGGTAGGAATATAACAAGGTTGCAGGAAGCAGCTAATCACAGACCTATTTTCCATCATTTGTCTATCACTAAGTCATTAGGTCCTAACTGTATGATAGGCACTGCAAGAGGCGAGTGAATACAAAGACAAAGGCTGGCAAGGGACCCTCAGCCAGGGGGAGAGAAACTGATGGGCATGCGGTTGTGACACATGCAATGAGAAGGCTAGTGGAGGAAAGGCAGAAGGTGCTTTGGATATTCAGAGAGGAAGTGACCAGCCACGGTGATGGCAGGGAGGGCTTCCTGGGTGTGATACTAGAGCTCAGAGTTCAAGGATGAGTAGAAGGAGTTAGCCAGGTAAAGAAGGTAGGGGGACTGGAGGCAGAGAAAACAGACAGGGAAGAGCAAGACACATTCAGCCAAATACAAATAGTCTGGTAGGATCAGAGGTAGCATGGGGGCTGGCATGGTGGCCCTCAACAGATGAGGCTGGAGAGGTGGGTCATGAAGTGTGCCCTGATAAGGAATAGGATTCTTTTTTTTTTTTTTTTTTTTTGAAATGGAGCCTCACTCTGTCATCCAGGCTGGAGTGCAGTGGTGCAATCTTGACTCACTGCATCTCCCAGGTTCAAGCAGTTCTCCTGTCTCAGCTTCCCCAGTAGCTGGGACTACAGGCTCACGCCACCTCGCCCAGCTAATTTTTGTATTTTTAGTAGAGATGGGGTTTCACCACATTGGTCAGGCTGGTCTCGAACTCCTGACCTCAGGTGATCCACGTGCCTCAGCATCCCAAAGTGCTGGGATTACAGGGGTGAGCCACCACACCTGGCCAGGAATAGGATTCTTACCCTGCTGGAGTGTGAGTGTGAGGGGGAGTACTGGCAGGCTCAGGACCTGGTGGCTAGAGGGTGTATTGGAGAGAAACCAGAGTGAAAAATGGACAACCAGCCAGGAGAGTAGCAGAGAGCTCCAAGGGAAAGTTGACAGCCTGGACCAATGAAATGCCAAGTAGGGTGCTGTGGAGGAGGTAAAACGCCCTGATTCTCTCATAGCTTGGATATGAAGAGAGGCGGGCAGAAGATGAAGAGTCTAGGATGATCCCCCTGGCTCAGACATCAGGCTAGCAAGATGGCAACAGCATATTCAGAGGCCAGGAACACAGAGGCATGAGTCTGAGACCAGAGCGCAGTGGGCAAGGTCACTGATTTCCTTCTGGTTCTACGGTGAATTATCTGTTGGCTGTGATAATGCGCTTCCAAGCTGCTGTACTGGCGGGAGACTTAGTCATGCATTCATATGAGGTCCTGCAATGTTAAGAGAACCTCCATAAAAATGTTAGGGAGAAGGGCAGGGGTTTTGGCTTTGCAAAACCTGGGTGTTTCCCCAGATAATTATTCTTACTTTAGTTCTCGAAAATATTGTGTGCTGCCATTCAAAAGTAGCAACCTTTTCACGGGTGCCAAACTGTCAGACATTAACTCAATTCAGAGCAAAAAGTTGCAGAGAATGTAGGGGGAAGGTGCAGTGAGCAAAGAGCTGTCCATGCTGGTAGGAGCCTAAAGCACAGCCACAACCAAGTCATTTCCAGAAGTGTTTTATTACGAGCTTGAATTTGCACACCAACTTCTCCAAGGCAGCTTCCCTGTGAGGGAGAAGTTAGCTAGTGCCTCGGGGTCCCTTTAAGGTTTAAGGCTTGGAGTCCTTGACTCTCAGGTATAATTCTTGGGATATTCTATGAGAATGCTGACAGACAACTTTTTAAGGCCAACTTTCTGTCTTCAGCCATGTGTGATTCTGTTACATAGACCAGTATACTACTGGTTTTAGTTCCTGTGTCTTGATGGAGCATAATAAAAATCTCAAAATTAAAGATCCATTTTATTCAATACCATGGACTTTAAAAGTGAATAATGTTTTATCAGTGCACATCATATTTTTCAAAATCATCAACATTTTCATTGGGTGGAGGGAGTGTTCCCTTCAAAGCATACTAAACAACCAATACATTGGGATTAGAAGGTTCAAAGTAGCATTCTTCCCCGGACAACCTACATGCTTTGCTGTTCTTATACTCCTGCAGTATGTTCATGAATACTCTGCAGAAAGTTGCTTTTTTTTCTTCTACTATGTGCCGCTTTCCTAATGAATTATGTAGATGAACAGATAACTTTTGAGTTAACTTTCACACTTAGATTTATTCTTTCCCAGACCATAGCGGGTGTTTTGACGTAAGTCCTGCAGAGCTAGAAATTTAACTTCAAATTTGCAAAAACTATTTTCAACCAACTTTGGACCCCACAGTGTTCATTAAATGAATTAGAAATTACAGAGTTAGGGGGTTTTTTTATTTTATTTTAACTGTTGCCATATCTTGATCCATTGCCTAAAATTCATACAACCAGAAATTTTGGTAGAACTTCCTACACTCTTCAGGCACTTCCTGGCCTGTTGTAGTTTCTTCAACAGACTGCGCAGGGCCCTGTGTTAAATGTGTCAATGTTTACTTAATACTGACATGCAAAAGCTCACTCTTTCTCTTTCTTTTTCTGCTGTTGTAGTAAACCATATATAGGGACCAAAAATTAATTGGAAATCCTGAATCTTGCTCTGTCGCCCAGGCTGGGGTGTAGTGGTGCGATCTCCTCTCACTGCAAGCTCCGCCTCCCGGGTTCACGCCATTCTCCTGCCTCAGCCTCCCATGTAACTGGGACTACAGGCGCCCACCACCACACCCGGCTAATTTTTTGTACATTTAGTAGAGACGGGGTTTCACCGTATTAGCCAGGATGGTCTCGAACTCCTGACCTCGTGATCCACCCGCCTCAGCCTCCCAGCACGCCTGTGCTGGGATTACAGGCGTGAGCCACCATGCTGCGCTGGCACAGTTTTCTTAAATCCACATTGCCGAGGCAGTGGGAGGTCCAAGCCAAATAAGGAGCAGGCTTTCTCTAATGTCATTCCCAGTGCGTTTCACTCCCAGAGTCTACAGGTGCTATTCCGGCTTATGGCTGTTGAAATATGGAACAGCAAACCGGCTGTCATTCATAAGAATTGGTGCCGGCCAGCTGGCCAAGCCAACTACAGGAATAAAGACGTGCCTTTTCACTCTGATACACGGGGCCTTGCTCTGAGCAGACAGCTGAAGAATCTCAGGTGACAACCCCAGGGAAATGGTGTTTGTGGCACTCAGGCATTCGCCACGCCGAAGAGGCAAAGCAACAGACATAGGATGTCAGCGTGCTGATTAAGGAGAACAGAGGCCGACCATGCCTGCTCCTGGGACTTTGGGCAGAGGAAGAGAAACTGAGGGGAAAGCTTAGATGACTACATGTTATAAATAAACTTTAAATAATTTTAAAAATTAGTTTTATTTACAGTGTCTTCTTTATTAGGAAAGAATCATGAAGAATCACAATTGCACTGGGCTGGTCATTTTTTAAAAATTGAACCTAAAGTATAATCCAGACACCCTTGTATATTCCTGATGGAAGTGTAAATAGGTCATATCTTTCCAGAGGGTATTTGATAATATGTACCAAAACAGGAGCCTTAAACACATTCATGCTCTTTGACACAAAACTTCTACTTTTAGGAATTTATTTGAAGGAAATAATCAGAGATATACATAAAAGTTTATGTACAAGAATGTTCATTTCAGCATAAAGTAGTGAAAATTGAAAATTATTTAAATGTCCAACAATAGGCAATTGGTTAAATAAATGATAACAGCTTTATACAATGGAGTAACATGCAGCTATGATCCTTGTCTTGTTTGAATGAATGTTTTGGTTGGAAATACATTGAGTGACTATCATTTTGTGGTAATAATCAGCAGTGATTTTGCTTTCCCATTTTATATTTTTCTGTGTTGTCCACATTTTCCATAGTGGATAAATTTATAATCAAGAAGAAAATAATGTTTAAAGAACTATAAGAACATAAACATGTGATTAAAATTAGTGATTTTTTACATTTAAAAACTCACCCATAATTGACCTCCCTAATACACCTTTGTTTTGCATAGTAATATTGTTTGCATTATGCACTTGTTCAAGTTTTGCAGTTTCAGTCATAGGGCATATGCCAGTTTATATGTTACTATTCAACTAATATTTTAGTCTATAATTATCACATTCATAACTTTATAACATTACAACATATTAATGTACATGTGCATAGTAGGTAGTATTAATTCTTAATTCTGCCTTGGGCAAAGAGGTTTTTCATTAACTCTTACCCCTCCCTCCACCCCAGTCTCCAGACAGAGTTAATCATTCCCTTATCTGTCTTTTGCTCATTACACAATTCTTCATTTCCATTTGTCTCCCTTCTGATGTAGGAGTTCCTTGAGGGCCAGCCATACCCGTGCGTCTTGGTAGCCATGGTGTCCAGCGCTGTGTCTGGCATATGCATGAGAGAAAGGAGAGATGGATCCACAGATGGACAAACAGAAGAAATGAGTGGGGCTAAGCTTTGATAGTTTAACATCTATTTGACTTGAGTAGCCTTGTAAACTTATTAATTCTCACCTCAGCCTCAGGGATGTATGTAGGGAAGGAGCATAAAAGATCTGCAGTTGCCCTAATACAGATATTTTTCCCTTCACTTATTTTGTAAAATTATATTTTATTTTCATGGTAGTTTTAGACTCAAGGTTATAAAGGCCTGCTTATAATAGTTCTCCTACCAGCCTCTGAAACTCATCTTTAATTTTTTTCTGTCAGGATTTTCTCCATCATGCATATTAATCACATTCCTTTCCAAATTTGTATCAATACCCATAACAGCAGTTAAAATGCTCCTAACAAAAAATAGATAGATAGATAGATAGATAGATAGATAGATAGATAGATAGATTAAAAAGAAAAGAAAAAAGCAAAGAAAGGCAGGCTGCTTAATGGGTACAGAGTTTCTGTTTAAGATGAAAAAGTTCTGGAAATAGATCATGGTATCGATCACACAACATTGTGAAGTACTTAATGCCACTGAATTGTACACTTAAAAGGAGTTAAAATGATAAATTTTATGTTATGTATATTTTACCCCAATGAAAAGGGAAAGAAGGAAAATAGGAATTGAGTGGTGTGTAACCCTCTCTTTCTACAAATCTGTTTTTCACTGGCTGAGCCCTCTCCTGAAACAGGATTCAAGACGGTCATAAGTCTTTTTGAAGACAGGAAGAATAAATTCTTCAGGTCTGTATTGTATCCTCCTATTATCTTGACCTAGCAGATAGGTTCAAAAAAATCACCCCAGCCTGCAAAGACCTCGCCATCCTATTTTCTTTCCCCCTGTTAGCTCTTCCCAGTGTCACCACAAGGAAGTAGCTAATGACATCGCATTAACAGCCTGAAGAACTATGGTTATCAATGTAGAGGGACATTTTTTTCCCTTAAAATTATTGCCTGCCTCTAGCTTTTTTTTCTTCTATAATCCAGCTAAAATCATTTAGGTGTTAGTGCTGCGATCTTCGATTGGCCATGTTTCTTCTTATCTGTACACATGCTCTCTCGGGAGAAATATGTATAAATGCTATGTGGTAAAGGTTTTTTATTATTATCATTTAGAAAAATACAGAATGTATTTGTGCCAAGCCTTCTCTGAATGAAGACATGAGAAGTCCTGGCTTCCAAAGCTTCCCATGACCTGCCAGCCACTTTCCCAGCCATCCTCTTTTTGACCCCAAAGAAGACGGTGGGGAGTGGTTATCACTCACCCCCTTTTCATAGGTGGGGTTGTGAGCACAGAGAGAGCCAGGCTAGGTCCAGGGTGGGTGCCACACACTGGAAGAGGAGTTGGGTCCGCCATGCTAGACCTGGTGGTTGTATAGGAGCCTAGTCCCAGGCCTGCGCCCATGCAACCACAGGCCTAAATACCATATCTCATTGATCCTAAGATGCACATTTTTACATCTGTGAAATCAGGATACATCTTACAACTGATGGCACACCATAGTTCTGCAAGGTGCTTTTTTCTTTCTTTCTAGTAGTACGTAACGTGAGCCTTAAAATTTATGAGTCTTAGAGCTAATGAAATAGGAATTATTAGGGAGAACCTACAGATAGCCATCTGTAACATTTTGTAGAAATTGCTGAAGTATCTACCTGCAAGGAAAGTTAGAATTCGAATCCCAAAGTCACAGTCTAGAGAAAAGATAAGGCTATTCCAGAGTTAGGCAGTAATGATAAGCTTCAGATTTCTGCTGCTGGGCTCAGACCATAGTAGTAATAAATGCAATACAGGCTTCCTTTTATATGGAGGCTCCTTGGAGGTCTCTGCTTTGAATGTGTACCTTTCTTTATCAAAAGGAGCTATACTGTAACCTTACATGCAGACACTATAAGAGATAAGAATGGATACTTTGCGGATTAGAGGTCAAAGATGTCATTGTAACTCCATGGCTTGCTGTGGGCAAAATTGTGACCTGGGCTGAGTGTATTCCAGTGTCCTCTTTCCTCCTCCCTCCAGGCACAAGGTCTACCCACTGGCTCCCTGGGGTCCATCAAACCCACCCATCTGTGTACCACCCCTTAGAACCTAAGCACTATTTAGGGTTAGGGGCTATTGTGGGTTATATATACAGGTTGAGCATCCCTAATCGGAAAAGCTGAAATCCAAAATCCTCCAAAATCCAAAATTTTTTGAGCGCTGACATGATACCACATGTGGAAAATTTCACACCTGACCTCATGTGATGGGTCACAGTCAAAATGCAGTCAAAACTTTGTTTCATGCACAAGTTATTTAAAATATTGTATGTAATTACCTTCACACTATGTGTATAACGTGTATTATGAAACATACATGAATTTTGTGTTTAGACTTGGGTCCCATTCCCAAGATACCTCATTATATATATGCAAATATTCCAAAATCCCAAGAAATTCGTAATACTTCTGATCCCAAATATTTTGGATAAGGGATACTCAACCTGAATATGTTAGACTACTCCAAGTAATATTTTAAGTATCATAGTAGTCTCCTAGAAAATCTAAACCCAAATGGGAAAATGTTATATTTAGACAGGGACATGGGAGAGATATTTTTCAGAGGCATTTTGTTATTTGGAAAATACCTATGGGTGACTACTCACCCCATCTTTCTTTGCCTACTCTGCAGGCCAGATCCAGAGTTAGACCCTGAAGACGGACGACTGACCTTCAGGTCTAACAGTCTCTAACTTCAGGAAAAGAGTGATTGAATCACAGGAGGCAGCTTGCCAGGTGTTCCAAATAGGAGTAGACATCTCCACTCCCACTACCCATAAAAGATTGCTTATTTTCAACTGAGGCCTAAGTCAGAAATGTAAAAGCAAAACAAAAACCCTTCTTCTGAAACTTCCTCCCACTTCAGTTTTTAAAAGGGGGTAGGGAGTGGGAGGTAGTGATGAGACCTGAAGATGAGAAATGCTAGGATGAAAATCTATCGCTAACTTTTGAAATTCAAAATAGAGTGCCTTAGGAAGGCCATTTTTAGGTAGAATATACAAAGAAAGTAATTGAGCCTAAAGAGGACCTAACTACCTCTTTAAATTTATATTTTTATCAGCTGCAGGAGGGTAGACTTCTTCACTGGGGTCAGACAGAGTGAACAATGGAGGAGTGAATTCCAGTGTGTCGAGTTTCATCATGTGGCGTAATATGGTTCAGATACAGCTCAATCAGTAACTCTCAAATTCAAAGAGGATTTAAGGCTTAATATCTCCAAGGAACAAAGAGAAGAAAGCCCAAAACTGCACCAAAGGCCATTTCTAGAGTCCACCTGGTTTGCATTTAGTGCAGAGGCAGCAAATGCTGAACCATCCTCAGAAGGAGGACTCACGACCCACCGCCTAGGAGGCCTCTCTTTCCCTCTGATCGGTTGATTTTATTGAAGCTAGAGAGTGACCCACAGGGGATGCTGTGTTGCTTCTAAAGTTTCTAATGCCACCTAGGAAGGACTGGGGAATTGTCACCCCTTCTTCCCTGTCACTTGGAGCTATGGGAGGCACCCAGGGGATCTGAACCCTCCCTTTCTCTTCACTTAGCATTGAAATATCATGTGGGCAATGAGCTACCTTATCTTGGGGGTTTGGAATTCTTGCAGATGAATTCCAAAGCACTCTGCCATTCAGAGTTTCTTGTGTGTTTCACGGCTGTGTTTGGCATCCTATTGGCACTTCAGGGTACAATCAAATTCACTGTCACTCTAGTGACATGAATAATCCATCCATATTAATGAAATGATAGCTGTTCCTTGCCATCTCTTTTCTTATTCTTAAGTTGATTTCAAATAACATGAATTCCACTTTTGGCAGAATAGGGTGGGGGGGGGTTCTTATTCATCTCCACTATGAGAGTTGAAAGGGGGACAAAGAGATAATGGAATGATGGTGATGTAGAATAACTGTAAAATAATTACTGCATTGCTCAAAACTCTGTATTATTCATCTATGTAGTGAGAGCTCCTGTTTGGTACCACACTTGAGTGGCAACCTCACCAATTAGCACTGCCACCGCGGGTCTGTGAATTGCATGTGAAAATAGAATTTGTCCAGAAGTGCTCATGCAAATTGTGCAACACAAATGTGGCCTCCATGTCAAGTCCTTTCACGTGTTCTGACAGACTCATGTCTTTCCAGATTTCTCTGATCGGCGCCCCCCACCCCCTTGACAGTTACCAGAGCTCATAAGCCAAAGGAAATAGTTCCTGTTGCCATGAGTACTGTGTCTGTGGTGAGGTTTATGAGCTGCTCTTAGGGCTGGGTTTTTGCCTGAGAAAACAATCAGATTTCGCTTAGATCTGCAAGAAAGCAGATTAGGAAGGGAATATATGCAAATATCTATGTTAATGCCACCAAACCTATAACTTGGCCTCATGGTGCTTGTGTAGCAGTTCTCTTAGAGAAAACTTTTTTTGCATTTAATATATATTTCATGTTTTTGAAATCTGTGTTAATGCAAAGAAACCTGGAAAGCAAAAGCATTAGGTCAAATATGAACTTGGCTATAATTTTATATAATTGGGGTATATCATATCTTTGTGAACATAGAAACTGTACATTTATAAACCATTCTTTGCCTTTTCTCAATTTGAAGAAAATTCCAGTCTTTCCTGAGGAAGGAAATATATTTTTCCATTTGAGCTCTGTTTAGAGCTTTTGGATTGTTTTTAGTTGGCAGTTTGTGGGGGGCCAGATGGGAAGGAAGAGGTGCCCTCTGGAACTTCAAGGACGTGTGCAGCCACAATCGTGCCCACACTCTATTCACCAAAGAAGCAGGGTCAAAATGGTGTGCATGCAAAGAGGAGCCCCTAAGAGAGGCTCTCTTCGGAGGCCAGCAAAACAAAGCCGGGTTGAGTTTGCAGGCCTTGAAAATGGCCGCTGGCAAAATACCTGGTCAGGCTGAGACCTTCTTTCACTTTTCCCTGCCTTTCTACTGTTCAAAACCTCGGAGCTTGAAATTGCTCAACTTTCCAAAGCTAGTTGCATTCAGACTGAAAGAAAAAAAGAAATTTTACCCCAATTGTGCTTTTGCTCCTTACCCCAGAAACATATAGACTATAGAAAGCACAGCTGTGGTCAAGCTGAACCTCATCCTGATTTGGGGGACTGAGCCGGAAGTGTCCTCCCAGCCAGGGTCTGTTCTTGGCCTCTTCTCAGCCTGACTTTTCCCCAGCAGCCTCCTGCTCCTTCAGTTTTACTCATTTCCACTGATGCATTTTGTCCTGTTCTCTCCCCCTTGTTGTACGTTTTGATGTTCAGGACCAGAGATCCTTTCTCCAGTTGGTTCTCAATCTGAGCTCCACTTCTTTCCATTTCTAGACCCTCCTCCTGGTATTCAGGTCCCTTAGTGACTCTGTTTTGGGGTGTGAGCCTGTTTCTCTGAAGCCCCTGAAAGGAAAGTGATAGGCATCTTGGTGACCAGCCCTAGAAACCCCAGCCTAGGGAGTGTCTTCTCTTATGGCTCAAGTGCCCCAAACCTCAATTCCCATCTTCCTGTTTAGGCCCTGGACAATGTAAAGAGATGGAGGCCCTCTTAGAGCCTGTGGGTATCTGGAAGCTGAATATACCATGGGCAGTGTTCCTGTGAATTTGTTTTCCCATCCTCCTTTCAAAGGCCCACTACCTCTATATGTGCATTCTTTTTTTTTTTTTTTTTTTTTTTAGACGAAGTCTTGCTCTGTCCACCCAGGCTGGAGTGCAGTGGCGTGATCTTGGCTCACTGCAACCTCCACCTCCCGGGTTCAAGCAATTCTCCTGCCTCAGCCTCCCAAGTAGCTGGGATTATAGGCATCCACCACCATGCCCAGCTAATTTTTGTATTTTTGGTAGAGATGGGGTTTCACTGTATCGATCAGGCTTGTGTCGAACTCCTAACCTCAGGTGATCCGCCCACCTTGGCTTCCCAAAGTCCTGGGATTACAGGCATGAGCCACCACGCCCAGCCTATATATGCATTCTTATTACTCTTAGTAAGTATCAGTAATCAAATGATGTGTGCAAGGAATTTTTTTTTTTCTTTTCTGAGAGGGAGTCTTGCTCTCTTGCCCAGGCTGGAGTGCAGTGGCACTATCTCGGCTCACTGTAACCTCCACCCTCCCGGTTCAGGCAGTTCTCCTGCCTCAGCCTCCCAAGTAGCTGGGATTACAGGCACACACCACCACAGCCGGCTAATTTTTGTATTTTTAGTAGAGACGGGGTTTCACCATGTTGGCCATGCTGGTCTTGAACTCCAGACCTCAGGTGATCCACCTGCCTCGGCCTCCCAAAGTGCTGGGATTACAGGCGTGAGCCACTGTGCCCGACCTACAAGGAAGACATTTTTAAAGTTCTTCCCCCTAGAATTCATTCTCTAACTAAAGAGATGCATGCAGATGCTAAAAGGAAAAGTTTCTGTCTAAAAGGTGGGGGAAAGTTGCCCGCGCTCTGCACTCTTCTCCCTCCTCCCACCGGCGCCACAAACTCTCAAGTTACATTTCCTTCCTCAGTGATGCAGAAGGTGTGGATTTGGTATAAGCTTTAAGGGTTCAAATAGACTGGTATTTCCACCCTACAGAAACCATCATTTAAGGATTGACTTCCCTGCACATTCTGAGGACAGGGCTTCCCTCCATCCTCAACCCCTTTGCTTTTCCCAGAGCACAAGACAAAACCACTAAGGGCTGCACAGACTCAGTAGGTTCCAAACACAGGAACAGTGAGAAGCAATTGCTGCAAGCCTTGGGCCATGAGGGAAAGCCACGGCCGGTGGCCCACAATTTCTTAAGATGAACCCCCGACAAAAGCTGGCCTAGTCCAGGACAGCAGACGCCAGCAACCCCCTCCCACCCGATTCTCCCTAGGCTTTTTATTACCTTTACTTGATCAAAGGAAGGAAAGCAATCCGTCTCTCTTCTACTTGTTTCATAAAAGAAAACATAATCATAGTTTGACACATTACTTTTGGTGGGTGCACAGAAAGAATATGCTATATTAGAAAGGGAGAGAGGAGGAGAAGGGGGGAGGTGAAAGGAAAACAAATTGGCTGCCTGCGGAGGTCCAGTGTCAAACGTCTGCGGAATCTTGTTCCTTTAGATACTGTGGGAAAGACCATGGCAACGAGGGGCCCGCAGAGCGAGAGAGACAGATGGGGAGATTTGCAGCCCCTCCCTGGGATTAGAAGACAGAACAAATAGGTGAAGCAATCCATTTTCCAGAGCCCAGTGGTAATTTCAGAGTGTTGTGGACCAGGGTATCTGCTTCTCCTCTGTTGTCTTGATAAGGGGTAGGAAAATTTTTAAAGGGAAGATTTTTCATTTTTTTCAGAGAAGACACTCAGTCTCCAAGTTGGTGATATAAAACATGTTTTTACCTGAAACCACCAAGGTATTCTTAACTTCAATCATAAATTTTCAACAGTCCAACTGGTTGTGTACTGATGAATTATTTTGTTAGAAATTATTCTTATTACCATCTCTAGTTCAGATTTAAAAGGTTAGTGGAATACATGCCATGTTAATTATCTTACAAAAATATAACATACCATTTCTGTTGCAAACAAGATTTAGCAATAAGACCGAGAGTGATTTTCTGACTTTTTAATAAAAAATCCAACTGAGAGCTTATGCTTAGGAAATATTTAGTTATCACATTTGTTATGAAGTCTACTTGTCATGAAAAGTCTTTAATTGGGCCACCATAGAACTTTCGTTATTACTTGTCAGGACTTCTTGAAAAAAGTTGAGTGAATGAAACATTTAGTAGCAGGAGAAAGTTGGAGAAACAAGTTAAGGAAGCACAAAAACTAAAAGGTTTCTTCTTCTCCAAGTTGTTGTGGTCACATTTCCTGTTACTGCCTGCCATCTTTCCTCCATCCCCAGGATGTATTGTTAGGGCTTTGAAAATATTCACAGTATATACCTACTGTTCTACTCCCTGTCAAAAACCAGGTGGTATGTTTAAAATCCTGTATACTAAATTCACATTTAAATAAATTTAGTTTTTTAAAAATAGGGAAGACCAGAAAAACTAGCATTATTTTTACCTGATTTTAAAGCAGGGATCACTATATCTCTGCCAGGTTTCTGGTAGCCATGTGGACTGGGCAGAGCACAATAATAGAGAAGAGAAATGAGTGGGAGGAGGTGGGATCCCAGACCGGAAAATGACCCCAGATATTTGCACATGAGAATTCTTATTCTTGCAGGAATATGCCTGGCAGGTGCATTTGGCTTTTTTCAGTTCCCACAGTCAAGTGCCAAATCTCAGCCAGCTTCCCCTCACCTCCTGATGGGATTACCCCCATGGCTACCTCCCAACCCTTCCTGCCCACTTTTCTCCAGATCCAGCCCTGTTCTAATCTGACACTAGCTTACCTGACACTAGCTTAATCTCCTTAAAGTAATGCATTTAGCGTTTATTCCCTTTAAGAACCTGCTGTGGCTCCTGATGGACGGTGGTCGAGTCGGCTGGATCTGCCTGCATGCAGATCTGTCCATGGCCAGTCCCACCCTGTGAAGCTTTCCTCTCACACATCCCAGCAAACACCCCAACTTTGGGTGGCCACCTCCCTCCTTGCAGGTGGCCGCTCTCCTTCCTTCCTTCTCTTCTCACTCAAATCCAAATCTACACTTCCATCAAGGCTCTCAGTCAAGTCCCTGCTAATCCATGAAGCTCTTTCCAAGTGGAACCAGAGAAATGTTAGAGCGAGTAGAAACCTTGGAGATTACCTGGACTGGCTTCCTCATTTCATAAAGGAGAATACTGAAGCTTAGAAATGTTCAGTGACTTGCCCCAGGTCAAACACTGCCTAGAACTCATGTGCCTTGTATCCACATTTGGGCCTATTTCTACGCCATGCCACCACTCTGCCCATCCCGGGTCTGGTCAGCCTGGCTCTATGGAAATCGAATGGAAACAGAACACACGCCACACAGCTTGCCTCTTGACCAGCTGGTGTCATCTTTGAGCTTTTCCGTGAAGTGCACCTTGTCTCTGCACTAGGATTTCAGTCTCCCTCCAGGACAGGGGCCGTGGCTGCACTGCAGTGAGAGTCTGAGAGTCCCACCATAGCCCCTGCCATTGTGCTGGGGTACTGGGCCTGTGCAGACTCCTTGAGCAATAAAAGTTTTTCAAAAAGTGGGATGCATATTCAAATTGAAAGCAAACTTTAATAGCAAAATATACACGCCACACATTGTGTTCTAGTGCTCAGACTTCAGGGGGAGGTATACTTGTTTTCTGAGCAATATTTGCATGTTAGCCATGCAGTGACTTACTCCACATAAAATCCCAAGCAAAGCTATAACCACAACCCATGCTCCTGGGGGGTGGTATATCATATTAAGCAAGTGGGTTGTTTGCTTATTTGTTTTATTTGTTTGTTTTAGCTGTGAGTGTTCTTTAAGAAAAATCAACTCTAAGATCTGGAAGCTGAGACTGAAAATGACACTAAGGATATGCAATGCTGCACAGCTTGAAGGGAAGGGTCTGAGGCTCCATGTTCTCAAACCAGATCCCTGAACCTCTATTAGGTCAGCCACCCTGGCAATCAATTTAACTGACCTAGTCAGCCTTCCTTATCTAAGTCTCTTAGCAGAAGGTGAATCAGAGTATTCCAGACCTCTCTAGGTTCCTACCCAAGGTGTTTGTGCATCTGACTACAGGATATATTTGGGCTGTGTCCCCAAGAAACCTCTGAGAGGTACTAAGAGTGACTGGGACCCTGCTACAGCAGTGACAACTGTTAGTGACAATGACCATGGCAGGACTCTATGGCCATAGGGATGGCCCCTCCACATGTGAGCTCTCAGCACCCTGTACATGAATGTACATGAGGACTTACTTTTATTTATTAATGGGGACTCAGAGACCCCATCTTTCCTTCAAAATTCTCTGTGACTACATCAAAGAAAAAAGAAATCAAGATTGGCCTTGTCGACCTTTTTTATATGCTTCTAAATATGATTAAGAGGTAGTGTTCTCAAGGCTTTCTATAGAAAGTAACCTTCAGTACAAATTATCCCCTGAGAACCTAAGGAAAATAAAGAAAGGAATCTCACACTGGCTGGCTTTTCCCCGTGTGGTATCCTTGGGATCTGAGACAGATTTCAAGTTCAGTTTCCAGGTTTGTCATCCCCACTCACCCCTCCTCCACTCCTCAGCAAGTTTACAGCCATGTATATTTAGTGTCAGCTTCCAGAAAAGGTTTGGTTGACTTGAGAAAGGTTTAATAATTGCTGATTGAGAAATTGTGTATTCTTAAAATGGGGGAGAGGATAAAGGGAAACAGAAACACAAAGGGGAAAGTAATTATTTGGGCCAAAGTACAAGAAACGGTGTCTATCAGAGAAATGGTCCAAAGGGAAGGAAGACCAGAAACAGGATCCCTAGTGTCCGGGAAGCTTTCTCAGGTTGAGAAGTCTCCTGAACAGCAGGTTAGATCTCCCTGTCCTACTCCAGCATTAATCACCCTGCCCCTCCTGTTCTGCTGTTATCCTCCCACAAGCAGTCACCTTGGAGAGAAGTGGTAATGGTTGCAGCAGCTCTTAAAGGAGGCGTGTAACTTTAGGTGGAGACGTGTATATGTGAATCGTGGTTATGCTGTAAAGCAGCCTGCCTGGATCTGGGAAGCAGAGTGAAGGTGGGTATGAAGTCAACTAGCTAGAGGAGAAATTACCCCAGAAAGCTTTTGGGGAAAAATGAGGGGGTGGTAGTGGGCATTTGAGGGGATATCATGGTAAGGAGGTCAGACTTGGCTTCAGTTTCTGGTGGAAAGAAATTAGGAAACTGGTGCTACATCCCAGATGTTTAAGCAAAAATATTTATGCTTTTAGAAGGGATAGGTGGCAAAAAATACTTGGTGCATAACCTCCATCTTTGAAGGCCTCTATTGTTATAGTCAAAAAGGTGGATTTATTCCTCACTAAAAGTTTCCCATCAACTTCCCAAGGGCAATTATACTGTGCACAGGATAAACACAAGACGTATAAAGAATGTTTATTCTAGGGTCTCATTTCATATTTAGCTACCAACTTAACTTTTATCCTAAGCAAAAGTGGTCATTTGTAAACAGGGATGTTTTCCTTTACACAGCTGAGGAACTGATGTGACCGTTAAGAACCAACAAAATCTGAGCTGAAAATATAGGCCCCACCTAAAGTTTCTAACTTCCTCATTATTAATAGGGACGATACTAAGAGCAAACCTTTATGAGCGCCTACTATAAGCCAAGCACTGCTGAATCATGCTTCCCAAGAAGAGTTCTGATTAAAGAGTGAAAAGTTTAAGACGGCCAGGTGCGGTGGCTCTCGCCTGTAGTCCCAGCACTTTGGGAGGCCAAGGCGGGCAGATTACCTGGGGTCAGGAGTTTGAGACCAGCCTGGCCAACACGGTGAAACCCTGCCTCTACTAAAAATACAAAAATTAGCCGGGCGTGGTGGCACACGCCTGTAATCCCAGCTACTAGGGAGGCTGAGGCAGAAGAATTGCTTGAGCCCGGGAGGCGGAGGTTGCAGTGAGCCGAGATTGTGCCACTGCACTTCAGCCTGGCTGACAGAGCGAGACTCTCTCTCAAAAAAAAAAAAAAAAAGAAAAGAAAAGAAAAGTTTAAGATCTGTAGAGAGGATGATTTCTCATTGTTTCCAGATTCCTTTATCCAGGTTACCATGTGTATGTGTGGCGTGGAGTCAAGGGCTGTGTTAGACCTCTTTGAGTGCTATATTCTTTCTAAAACTTATTTTTATGCCCGTGTGTCTCCAAGTCTTTCAAGGTTAAGAAAATACCTGAGCCATTTCTATTTTTTGGAGTGCCCAGGTATATTTACAAAATGAAGAAATGACAATAGGGCGTTTTAAAAATGCAATGTTTTTATTTTAAAAAATACAGCATAGGGCAATTATACCGTGCACAAGATAAACACAGGACATATAAAGAATGTTAATTGATAATGGACTTAGAGCAGCCCGATCTAATAACAGGGCAGAATTTTTTTTGAGACAGGGTCTCACTCTGTCACCCAAGCTGGAGTGCAGTGGCACAATCACAGCTCACTGCAGCCTCAACCTCCCAGGCTCAAGCGATCCTCCCACCTCAGCCTCCTGAGTAATTGGGACTACAGGTGCACACCACCATGCCCAGCTAATTTTTTTATTTTTAGTAGAGATGAGGTCTTGCTGTTGCCCAGGCTGGTCCTGAACTGAACTCAAGCAATCCTCCCACCTCAGCCTCCCAAAGTGCTGGGATTACAGGCATGAGCCACCACGCTCAGCTCAGGGCACAATTTAAAGCTGTAAAATAGATGCTATTTTTCAATCCTCTCAGGATTTCTCAGTGACTATATATGTAAAACCTTGTTCGAAGAATATGTCTAAAAATCTAAACTCAAGGTTCTTGTGGATGCAAGGCCCAGGGTCAGGTGGTCTTATGCCCTGATCCCCCATAGGCCCTCACGGACCAGGTATGAGCCCTTCTCCTAGACTTGCTTCCTCTAAGAAGCTGGTCGTCAGCCACAATCTTTACATAAGGAGAAGTACCAATCCCAGATTTCTAAGTGTTTCTGTTTTTCATTCTGCTTCCTTGTTTTTCCCTGCTCTAAGTCCTAGCCTCCTCAAACCCCACCACCGCAGCTGGGCAGGCTTCTACTCATAGGAATGGGGGCCGAGGGTGGGGAAAAGGGTAGCCCTCCTCTCAGAGCCTCAGCATCACATAGTCAAACCCAGCTTCCCACAGACAGGTTCAGCAGTCGGGAAACCGGCAGAGCAGGCTGACACGGGCCCTCCCTCTCACGGCCTCTGGAAGGAAGGAAGGAAGAACATGGGGACACCAGAAAGGCAGCTTGTGGAAGGCCTCTTCTCAGGCAGTCAGCACTGATCTCTCTCAGCCCCCCTCCCAAGGCTGTGGCGGTTCTGGAGATGACGGCGGGAAGTGCCCTCGCCTTCCCTCCACAGCATGCCCTGAGCACTCAGCTTCCCTTCCCTTCCCTTCTTCCTGTCTTGTAGTGGTTGCAGCAGAGAGCTCCATTTGGCAGCGTGGTGGTGCTCTTGTCTATTAATGGAAACATTGGCCTGTCTCCCAGTATAACACAAGATAGGCCTATGCATCAGTTATGCAATCTTTGCTTTGATGACTTCATCAGAAAGGGTGGGTACAATAAGAGAGAAAGGCTCGGGTTGGGGGAAACAGTAGCTCAGGAGGGGGAAAAAAATCTCCCTAGCAGCTGAAGACAGCTGAGACTGCTCCCCCTCCCTATTTTTAAATCAAGGAAAGAAAGGTAGCAAACATATGGGTAAAAAAAACCTAATGGAGCAGCTGACAAACCACTTTCAGTCCATGTGTCCTGACAGCGGCCACTTGCATGCCGGCAGAGGCTGTGCTCGTCTCAGTGGTGCAGGTTTCCCAGCCCTGGTGACTCAGGTCTTCTTTCCACGGAGAAGACAGTCTGTGGAGGCAATGGCAGTTTTCACCCACCTCTCGAGTTCTTGAACTCCAAAGGTCTGGCTGGTTCTGGCCATGCACTGTGGCTTCAAGCCTAAGACAGAGAAAAGCCACAGAGAGCTGGGTGGTGCCACAGAGAGCAGGCTTGTCCAGGTAGACCAAAGAATTCTTGGAAGATGGTCAGTACCCTTCCTCTGGGACTTAGGAGCTCTTTGTGGCAGCAATGTAAAGCCGACCTAGTTGCTGAACCTGTATCCAAGCCCAGTTGTGGAAGCCATGTACAGGTTTTAAAAGGGGACCTGCCACTTAAGCATGTCTGTTACACCCTCTAGAGCGTAAGGTGGGCTCAGGGAGAAATAGTCCAGGTCCCAGACATAACCTGGGCCCCTCTTGAACTCTACATTTCATTCCATAATAGTTTAGCCTTATTCTTAACAAGCTTTTAAAAATAATACTAAAAGTAATATATATTCATAATATAAAATTTGAAAAAGTATAAAAATAAAAATCCCTTATAATTCTTGTCTAACAAGACTATCCAGTGGCTAGTGTTTTTAGAAACTGCTTTTTTCTTTTTTTTTTTTTAGTTTTAACACCTGAGGACATAAAAGAAAAAAAAAAAAAAACTGCTTTCCTCCCCTGCCTTTCTTAACTATATATGGTAAGCTTTTTCCTATGTGATTAGATAGTCTAAGGAGGCATGATTTTTATTGGCTGCCTAGTATTCATGGTATGGATGTACCATAATTTATTTAATCAAGCTTCTATTGTTGTACACTAATGAACTTTTAACCAATGTAGAATTGCTTTGGTGGTGGAATTAATCACAAGAAAGGGATCAAAAGGACTCTATAACTTACATCAAAGGCAGACGAAAAGCATAACTCTCAAAGTTGTGTTTCCATTGGAGGGACTTATGGTAACTATGTTCAAAGCACTGATAAGGACAAATGGTATTTTTGTTGCTTTTATCCCTGCAAAAAAGGGCCTTGAAAGGCTGACCTTCCTGTGGCTGGTGGCATTCTCACATTTAGCACTGGACTGCCAACTTTAACCCTTTCTTTAACATTCAGCAGAGGGTCAGCTCAGGAGCTCGGAGAAGCTGTCCATTATAGGGCCATCATTTTGTCATCTCCAGTTATACCTGATGTTGGTTTAGGCTAGAATTCATCCCAGCCAATTAGTCAGTTGAGTTCAGTAAATCTGTATTTTGCTGCAGCTGTGGCCCTAGCTCTGTGCTGGATACTGGGAAGACTCATAGTCTTGGTCCCAAAGGAGCTTAAAAGCCTTGCCAGGAAGGATGCCATAAGGATATCATCCTGCCAGGAAATGATCACTTGGAAGCACTTGGAAAGTTAGAAGCTTCTACCTCTCCCATGTTACTTAGTTAAGAATCAGTAGGTGTGTGTAATTGTGTATATACCATGATCATAAGCATAAAAATATGTTATTGCATCTGGGATAAAACTAGGAGGAAATATAAAAACACATCAAAATATTAACAGTGGTTACCTTTGAGTGTAAAAAATGAGTGTTAGCTTTTTTCTGTATACTTTTTTTCTATCTATACTTTTCTGCATTTTTTTTTCTCTGTACCTTTTTTTCTATCTATACTTTTCTGCATTGTTTTTCAAATGTTCCCCAGCAATTGGGCAGCAGAGGAAGGAATCGGCAAAATGTATATTTTTTAAGTAATTGCCCTATCAATTAAGCATTTAGCTCCTAAAATAATGGGGACCAAGACCTTTTTTTTGTTTGTTTGAGACAGAGTGTCGCTGTATTGTGCCCAGGCTGGAGTGCAGTGGTGCAATCTCGGCTCACTGCAACCTCCGCCTCCCAGGTTCAAGCAATTCTCCTGCCTCAGCCTCCTGAGTAACTGGGACTACAGGCACACGCCACCAAGCCCAGCTAATTTTTGTATTTTAGTAGAGATGGGGTTTCACCATGTTGGCCAGGCTGGTCTTGATCTCCTGACCTCAGGTGATCCACCCGCCTTAGCCTCTCAAAGTGCTGGGATTACAGGCGTGAGCCACCATGCCTGGCCTGACCATGACAAGTCTTGTTCCCCTTTATTTTAGGAGCTAAAGCTAGCACCAGAAACACAGCACTTCCCTCACCCTGAAGGATGCCCTGCATGATCAAGAGGTTTCGGCAGTAAGAATAACAACCACAAGCTGTTTGTTATGTGCCAGTCACTGGGCCCATGGTGGAGCTGAGTTTCTACCCAGGCCTGTGGGGTTCCCCCAATGTACACTGTTCCTTTCTAGAAGCTGAACCAAGAGCTTTGCTGGACCCATTTAGCAGCCTTCGCATTGGGCCCCAAGTTATTGCTGCTTCAGTGATAAGCCTCCTAAATTGATGAACTCTGCCTCAAACTCAATCATCTTGGGGACACAACCATCACACATCACAAAACAAACCTTTTAATCCAATCTTCTTCAATAATCTGCTGAGACAGAGGATATTAGATGGGGTGGGCCCTTTTGGAGCTCTGCTATGAATTTATTGTAAACACCTCTCCAAACCCACAGTAAAAATTTTTCTGGAAAAAGAAAGTTTGTAAAAGAAAACCAAATCACTGCCTTGACACCTGATCAACTTCAAAGGGAATTGTAAGGTTTTATTTTATTTTGTTTCTTCCTTCCACTTATGGTTGAATGATCTAATCTTATGCCCTTTCTTTAAATGTCAAAGTTGATACCACAGAGGCATCCCAATTTTGGGTACCAGACAACATATTAAAAAAAATGATGCATATTTTGGTGCTCTTTCAGTTGCATCCTTTGATCCCAAGGGTTTCTACCTTTTTATTCTATGCCCATTCCTCTCCCCACCCCCTTCCCATTTCTTTTTATTCCAACATCCTCCTGGGTGGTCCGCTCAATTTAGACCAGATGCATGTTATGGTCAGTGGAAAAGTCAGAATCCCAGAGACGCCACCACCAGACAAGTTCCTTAACCTCTCAGAAATTTGGGCTTAAAAAAAAAAAATCAACAAAATGAGTTAAACATACAGGTGAAAGCCCCTAGTAGAGTGTTTTGCAATGAGTAGGTGCCCCATAAGTGTTACATTCTTCATATTTGAAGAACTCTTTCAATCAGAGGGAACTTTCCTCAAATCATAGCTTTCCATAGTTCACCTTATTACACGAGGGACTTGTAAGTCTAGGGATGTCTGATGCTCCCCTTAGCAAGGGCATTATAGGGGACTCGCCCTTCCTCAGTCATGGATGCTCCTCAGCCTCCACAGCACAGTTGCAACTGGAGTAGTCCGTCCTGGAAGAATTGGCTCCTTTCAGCCATGGGCTCCTTTCAGAATTCTTGGGTTTGCATTGCAAACATCACTGGCCTGAGCAACCCTCTGAAAATTTTGAAAATTTTGTTCCAAAGCAGGAAATTTTGCAATAGAAACTAAGCAACTCAGCACCCTGACTTGCTTTTGAAAGTGCAGCTTTGCAATCTAATCAGGGCACAGGATTATTTGCCCCAATGATTCTCTATGGGACATCGTAACCACCTGGAGAGCTTGTTAAAACACCCCCAAAAGTTCTAATTCAGGAGGCCTAGAGGGGAGCCTGGGAATTTGCATTTCTAACAAGCTCCCAGGTGGGGACTAATGCATTTGATCCTGGAACCACACTTTGAGAACCCCTAATTTTTAGTTACTCATTTTTCCCAAATTGCCCATACTGGGAATGGGGAGGTTTTAGAGTATTCTTAGCTATTTCCTTTCTATGACACTTCATTAACTATGTCACCTCCAAAATTTCCATTGTCAAGGAGTCTTATGAGTATGGTTTTCATTTCAGGGGGTGGGGACTGAGAGAGGTCAGATGGCTTGCCTGAACCTCTGGGAGTCACAGCCAGGCGCCTCTGTCTAGCCATCGTGGGTGTTCGATTCATCCTGTGCTGCTCAATAACATAAAACTGCTGCGCTCTTTGGCCAAGCAATTGTCATGTTAGCTTTCACCTCTGATACATACTTTCGCCTTCTCAAACTTACTAATAAAACTTTCAATAGTATCTTTGCAGGAGAAAGCCTCTGGATTCTGGTGAGAGGTTGGATGTAGCTATCTTTTGATATATACAATTTCGTCGAAATCCCAGTTGGGCTAAAGATTCCTTCCTTTAAAAAAAATTTTTTTTTACTTGACCCAATTCAGAGTGAGTGAGTGAGTGAGTGTGTGTGTATGTGTGTGTGTGTCTGAAAAGCACAGGTTTTCTGGGGCATCCTTTTTGTTTATGCATTGATTTATTTTTACTCTTTCCTGCCACGAACAATCCTCATCTCTGTCCTCGTGTCCTTCCCAGCCACTAACACACACGATGTGGCGGGGCCTGGGAAATGCGCCCGCTGGAGCACACCGCAGCCTCGCGGGCTCCCGAGCGGCGCGCGCGGGCCGAGGACCTCCAGGGCCCCTCGCGGGTCTCCCGAGCGCCGCCGCACCGCCCCTGCCCGCGCCCGGGACCGCCTCGTGGGCTTCTTTGTTAGGGCCGCCTGCGCCGAGAGGCAGTCTAGGTCCTGCCGGGGACGCACGGGCCCCACTCCTGACTTCCTAGCCGGAGTCCCCTGAGGACTTGTAAGCATATAGGCTGGAGTCGAGAGGCTAAATTAGGCCCCAGGGGACTTTTTCAATAAAACCCTAAATTTCATTTAGGTTGTTCGTAGGCCAAGCGATTGCAAGGACTCTGAGCCGAAGCAGCGGTGCCGGGCCGACCCGAGGCTCGCTCCTTATCGCCCCCTCCCCGGGCCGGCTTTGTGCAGCTGGGGTCCTGGAACCCGGTCCCTCCCGGGCTGTCGGCCCTGGGGTCTGGTGTCCGCCACCCTCCCCCCCCGGAGGTCGCCACTGCCCCCCTACCCCACTCCCAGCCCTTCCGTTTCCCTCCACGTCCCCTTCCCGCGCCCTCCCCCACTTGAATTCTTCCTCCCCTCCGGCTGGAAGAAAAGTCGGTAATGAGAAACCAGTTCAGTGTCAGTCGGAGGAGGGGGGCAGATAACCCCAGAGATACACGGCAATGGAGAGAGAACTCATTTTGTGCAAAGAGGGCCTCGAGTCACCAGGGAATTCCTGGATTGTCTCAGGCTGTCGTGTGTGATGTCCATCACGCCGTGCGAACACCATCTGCTCGGTATTGTGCTCTCAGTTGCCAGGCTACCTGCTGTACGCAGTAACACTTGACTGCCTGGCTCCACGTTCGCAGCGCTCGCCCAGACGCGCGGGGCGGGGGCCGCGGAGGGGCGGGCGGGAGCCCTGATTAAGCCATCTGCGAGGGGAGGGGGCGCGGGCGCAGCGGCGGCCGGGCACGAGGCCGGGCTGACACCACCATCTGCTGGGGCGCGGGAAGAACGGCAGCTGCTCTGCGTTGCCCCGGCGAGGGACGCCTGGAAAAGGCTGAAGCCCTGGGCGTCCTCAAGCCCGTTATCCACGGGGTCCCCGTCACCCCAGCCTGCTCGCCGCCGGCCGTCTTTTGTGATTCCCTGCTCTTTGGTTCGCCGCCAGCAAGGCTGGCCCCTCTCACCCAAACACTATGCATGTTCTTGAAAACACTTCAGAAAAATAAAGCTTCCCTACGCACAGATTTATAAATAAACAGCTGGCTGTTCTTGGGAGATATTTTTACCACAACTGTTTTTTGAAGTCGAAAACTGCCTGTTTGGGGGAGGTAAGGGTGCTTTTGACACCTCCTACCTCACTCTAGCCTTTAGAAAATTGCTAAGATCTTTTCCCTGGAGGGGAAGATATGTAAAATAGGTTCGTTGGTTTTGATTTCTTTCTCCTCCCTTTATTTTACTGAAGAGTCAGAGGGTTGGGCGAGTAGTGAAGATCTATGTAGCCACAGTTGGATTTTTGAGGGGAAGAAACTGTATTAAGATTCTTGGGAGAAGCAAGGGAGGTCGTTGGGCAAGGAGTGGATTGGAGAACAAGCCAGTAATTACAACTAAAAATACTGCATCATTTGGCTTCAAGGCATTACATCTCGCATGACGAAAGCTCAGCCTGGTTTTCTCTAATTGCACAACACAGTGTGTGTCCTTCTTAGAAACAAGAGCAGTGGCTTGAAATCCTGAAATTTGACAGACTATTTCTCATTAAGCCCTCTGAGACTGGAGGTTAAAAGAAGCCATGTATTATGTTAGTGGCCTCGGCCAGCTTAATGTGTAAGTCAAGTCACTGAGTACATTTTCACACTTTGGAATACACCTCAGAGTCGGGGGCTGTAGGTGTCTCTCATCCACTGTTGAATGCCGCAGAGCTTTGTTGCGAACTAAAGATGTTTCGTATGGAAGGCAGTCCTTTAAGAATGCACATAGTGGCTGGGAGCAGTGGCTCATGCTTGTAATCCCAACATTTTGGGAGGCCAAGGCAGGAGGATTGTTTGAGGCCAGGAGTTCAAGACCAGCTTGGGCAACACAGATGGGCAACAACCCATCTATACAAAGAATTTAAAAATTAGCAGGGCATGGTGGCTTAAACCTGTAGTCCCCCACCTACCCAGGAGGCTGAGGCAGGAAGATTGCTTGAGCCCAGGAGTTGGAGGTTGCAGTGAGCTATGATCATACCACTGCACCCCAGCCTGGGCAACGGAGTGAAACCCTGTCTCTAAAAAATAATCATAAAATAATACATACAGCCCTTCCTGCCTGTAGGTCTTCAGTGAGAAGCCTGAAGGCAAAACCTCTGGGAGGGAATTATTTGGGGAAATACATAATCCTATCCCTTTGGGAGGGTTTTTTTTTTTTTTTTTTCACACTGTGCTTTTGAAGTATTTCTTCTTGGCCCAGGAAGACACGGGCAAAAAGTGGTTTGATGTATCGTCGTCACCCCATTTGCCTCTCTCTTTCTTTTCCCAGTGGAGAGGAGGCTGGGAAAGCAACACTTCTTCACTCCTTACCACTTCCCCAGCTGTGCGGGCTGGTCACACAGGACAAGCATATCTCAAAGTGCACAAAGATAAACAGGGCCATCCCAGACCAACCCTCTCAAAAAATCAAGCTGAAGAAAACTTTATCTTCCCTTGGGCCTCATTTTCTTTCCAACTCTCTCCTCCTTATCAAAACTGGAAAGTATCAAATATACTGAGACAGAAAAAACAAACTACATATCTGCATTTTTGCTGATTGGCTGTTTATATGTCAGTGTGAATTCATTTGTTAAAGTGTAAAGCCAATCAGCCATTTGTCCCTAAAGGTGCCAAGAAACAGCTTTATTTCACTGGAAGGAAGGGCTTGGAAAACAGGTAGCAAATATTTGGGGGAAAAGGGAAGACCCTGAAATATCTAGGCCCCTGCAAGGGTTAGTCCTGAAGTAAACTTTTTGGTAGCACAAAGGTTCCTGGCATTTTTTAGTGTAAGATCTTTTTATTAACATCAAAAATATTTCCTAGCTGTCTTTGTGTATTTATAGAGAAAATACACAAAGGCAAAACATTTTATTAATTTCAGCTACAGCATTTACACATAAAAAATAGAACGCAGTACACTTATGAGAGACACAGTATATAGGTCTACAGGCTGTTCTTAGGTGCACACTTAACACCATGAAGACACTGCCTGGGAGAGGCCTGAGCTAGTAGGAATACTGAATTGAGAATCAAAATCAGCGTTCTGCTTACTCATGTAACCAAATACCACCTGTACCCCGATAACTTATGGAAATTTTTTTTTTAATTTTAAGTTACATTTTTTAAAAAAGTAAAGACAAGCTATCTGTTACAAAAAAAAAAAAAATAGCGTTCTAGTTCTGCTAGTTCTGTGTCTTCCATTCATTGATTGTGTGACCTAAGCTACTGCACGAACAAACCAGAGCTTCTTGGGTGATTGTTTCTAGGGTAAGAGGAGTAGCGTTTTGGTTTGGTTTGGCTTTTGTTTGCTTTGCTGTTTTGTTTTGTTTGGAGGGAAGAAGAGCAACTGAAGATGCAGTTGAAGTCAGTCATAGTGGAGAGGGAAGCCTGCATGGTTCTACAGCACACCACAGAAGGAAGGGAGGAACACAAGCCCAAGCCATAGGGAATCAAATCCAGGACGGTCTCTCTAGGAGAGACAGAGAGAAACTTCACCTATTTGCTTTGAGAAAAAACTGCCAATATGTTTAACGGTATCTGCATTGGAAAGGCAATAAAGTAAAAAGAAGAAAAATGTTAAAATCCAATTTGGATTTAAAAATTTTTAAATGACAGAGTTATTCACATTTGCTTCTTGCTATTTAGGTCTCATAATAGTGCTTCACAAAATGACTGTGAATGTCCTTATATGTGTGCCCATTTAATCTGTGTCAACTCCTCCATTTCACATTAATTACTTGAAACTTCAGTGAGGTAGAAGGAATTTCTGCAGAATGTTCAGAACATACTTGCCACTGCTAGGTAGTCTTGGTAGAAAAAATAGGAAAGGAAGTGTCTAGAAATTGAATCTGGGCCACACACCTTTTCTTCCCATTCACTGTTTTCCCCTAATAGTCTACACTGTCCAGCTCAGAGCATAAACTTCGCCTTTGAGCACATTCTCCATGTAGTCACCTGGGCTGTGTGGAATTAGGTCTTTACCACTTGACCTCCTCTTCCCTAAGGACCAGTCCTTAAAAGTTGCCATCATTCGACTGGCTGACATATAATTATAGAATCAAGAGACCCAATCCAACACCCCATGTTTAAATTATCCCAGACATAGAAGACTCAATTCTTTTTTTTTGAGAAAGAGTCTCACTCTGTCGCCCAGGCTGGAAAGCAGTGGCGCGACCTCGGCTCACTGCAACCTCCGCCTCCCGGGTTCAAGCAATTCTCTGCCTTAGCTTCCCGAGTAGCTGGGATTACAGGTGCCCACCACCATGTCTGGCTAATTTTTTTTTTTTTTTTTTTTTTTTTTTTTTTTTAGTAGAGACAGGGTTTCACCATCTTGGCCAAGCTGGTCTCGAACTGACCTCGTGATCCACCCAAAGTACTGGGCCTCCCAAAGTACTGGGATTACAGGCGTGAGACACCGCGCCCGGCCGACTCAATTCTATTTTTAAAAATATTAGGAGATTACATAGCTTTGATCGGTGTAAAACATTCCCAGTTCTCACCATCAACAACTCTGGCCAGGAGGATTTTTCTTTCTGACATATATCTAAGCTCTCAAATGTTGCAACTCGTTAGAATTCCATCAAATATCAGATCTGTTGATTAACAAATTCCTGCAGTTTTCTGCAAATGTCCCTCCTACTTGCAAAGAAGACGTCCATTTTGGCCAAGTAGACAGTAAGAAATAAGGATTAACAGGTGAGGTCAGGATGTGTCTCGTGTTCCAGACTTTAGGTGAGCTCAGCCTGAGGGCTTATTCCCTTTCCTTGGAGGAACACAGGATGTTAGTTGAAAATCCAGTCTATATGCAATAGTCAGTCCCATCCGAAACAGACTGGACTTGGCCTTGGACTTCCCAGAGCCATGCTCTCTTACTGTCCCTTGTGGCCTCTCTCATTCTACTCAGGTAAGGTCGGGTTTGAAGCTACGTTTATGGAAATGCAATGCGTGCCACTCAAAAACCCTCCAGTCCATAAGCTGGGACTTCTGCCCCGTTCCCTTTTTCCAGGGGCTTCCCTTCAAACAGCAGTGAGTCTCTATGGGGAATCCCTGCATCTCCCTCTCTCTTGTCTTCCCAGGAGCAGCATCCAGTTGGACTTCCCCGAACCACAGGCCCCATGCAGTCCTCCGTGCCCCCAGGCTCAGGTGGCATGGTCTCAGGAGCCAGTCCCGCAGGCCCCGGCTTCCTGGGCAGCCAGCCCCAAGCAGCCATCATGAAGCAGATGCTCATTGATCAGCGGGCCCAGTTGATAGAGCAGCAGAAGCAACAGTTCCTGCGGGAGCAAAGGCAGCAGCAGCAGCAGCAGCAGCAGCAGATTTTGGCGGAACAGGTAACATGCCCCTTGGCGTGATTCATTCATTCATTCAGCAAGCACTTATTCAGCACCTGCCTGCTGCCTGTGAGGAAGTGGCAGTTCACATCCTCCATCAAGATGCTCACGGTCTAGCATTTCCCAGGATCACAAGAGAACCTGAAGAATTTAGACCTTTCAATTAGTTAGGGTTTTTCCTATAATGAATTAATTTGTTCTTAAAAGACAGGCTCCAGCCATCAATTTGAAGGCCTGTGTGCCAGAGACATTTCTTTGATTCAAGTCTGACTCCTTTCCTTCTGATTTCTGGTACAGGGGTCTGTGTAATCAGCACATGGCGGGGACTGTCTCACATGCTCCATAAGCCGTAATATTTCTAGCTTGAAGAAAAAAATAATAATTCAGAGAACTCTGTTTCTTAGAGGAAATTGACAGGAAGAGGAATTGAGAAGAATTCTATAGAATGGGTAATGAACAATGGATCAGGAACAATAGCAGAATAATAAGGCCTGCAGAACTACCTGGAAACCTGAACTCTGGGTCACACACAGGGTGCAAACTTAAGAAAACTCCCCACAGCTTTTAAAACAGCTCAGGAAATCTGTGAGTTAAAGGAAAGCCTAACACAAATACAGCTTTACCTTAAGCATCTTTGTCCACCCTCGCCCTATAATTCCTCAGCTTTGAGAGAAAGCCTTCCCTGCAGACTGCTACTGTAGATTTCAATTTGTTTTGTTTTTAGAGATGCCCATACCTGACTTAGCATTATCCTAGGGAAAGGCCTGAGGCTGTCCACAAGAGATCCCCAGGCGGCTTCTGTGAGGGTCTGCACAGAGAATCTTGCACAGCAGGCTCTTTCTTATAGGAGGTGTGAGGTTGTCATATAAAGCTGAAGGCCCAACATAAGTCTGCCTCACAGTTATCCTTCTAGAATATTCCTGATAGGGTCAGAATTTTATGAATTTTTTCTTAAAGAAATAGAGACGGGGTCGCACTATGTTGACCAGGCTGGTCTCGAACTTCTGGCCTCAAGCGATCCTCCCATCTCAGCCTCCCAAAGTGCTAGGATTACAGATGTGAGCCACCACGCCCTGCCAGAATTTTGCAAATTTACTAAGCATCCACCACCGTGTATCCTGTGTAGGACACGGGCCCATGGAGGTCCCTATTAACCAAGAATAGCAGTTCAAAGTAACACCAGGCATCCCCCAAAGAGAAAAATTGTACTGCTGAGCACAGTTCACTTATGTTCCCTTTTTTTTTTTTTTTTTTTTTTTGCTTTTGTTCCTGAACAGCTGTGTAATTATCTCCCTTTTTACCAAGGTCAGTCAGCCGCCTGGCAGCTATTGTACAAACAAACCTCTATCCCTCTCACCTACATAAGGTGTGCGACAAGGAGCCATGCTAATCTCTCTCAGGCAGTGACAAATGGAGCTGCCGAGGGCAGCTGGGCTCTGTAAATCCTCTCCTCAGCCAATCCCAGGAAATCTCAGGTGTGCCTGATGTTTTGAGTGATGGCTTTTGATATGTGTGCTGTGACCAAAGACACAAAGAAGGCCCAGGGCAAGCAGGCAGAGCTCAGCTGTGCAGCCCAAGGGTGTTCCCACACGGTGAGGCCAGCCCGACCCTGGGGAGCACAGGGTGTGGGAAGAGTGTGAGAAGAGACACGTCAAGATGATGCCCCCAGACAAGGAGGTGAGAGGTCAGGGGAGACCCCTCAGAATCCAGAGCATGGAGAGAGCTGGGGCTTCTTGGGAAAGACAAGGGAAATGGGAAGCCGTGACCTGTGGATCATTCCGTAGCAACTGTGTGTACCAAAAGATGATGAGGGATGAGGGGAGGATCACTTTCCTCAGGGCCAAGATTTGTCCGTTCTTTTGCATGTGATGTGATTTTGGAAAAACCACTAACTTCCCTCTTCATCTGCCAGATTAGGTTTTAATAATTTCCCAGCCCACCTCATGTAGCTGCTTTAAGGATCACATAAGATCATGTGTATAAAATGTTTTGGAAGCTGTATGTGCTGCACACATGTATGTGGGGGCCTGTCACGTGGCCCTGGTGTCAGCGAATGTCATGTGAGAGCTGCAGCCACATGGCCCAGCCAGGTCAGTGGAGCGTCTTGCCTGTACCTGAGGAGGGTGCAGATTTAGTGCAGGTTGTCCAAGTGCAGGTCTACAAGGAGTAAGTGCTCAACTTTTTTTTGTTTGTTTTGTTTTGAGACAGGGTCTCACTTTGTCACCCAGGCTGGAGTGCAGTGGCATGATCTCGGCTCACTACAACCTCTGCCTGATGAGCTCAAGCAATCTTCCCACCTCAGCCTCCAGAATAGCTGGGACCACAGGCAAACACCATCACGCCTGGCTAATTTTTGTATTTTAGTAGAGATGGGGTTTCACCATGTTGGCCAGGCTGGTCTCGAACTCCTGGGCTCAAGCAATCTGCCTGCCTCGGCCTCCCAAAGTGCTGGGGTTACAGGTGTGAGCCACGGCACCCGGCCAGCTCTCAGTTTTTCGTTTTGAGAGTGAATACTGCCAGATCAACACCAATCTTGGTTGCTGCAGCATTGAAAGTGTCCTCACACTTTGGATTTTGGAAACAGATTTTGGGTTTCCTGAAAGGACATGTGAGGGAAAACAGAAGGATTTGGGATCTTACATATTTTGGGAAACTTTAAAATGATTCTCAGTAGACTTGGCAATCAGAGCAGTGCAGGTTGAAAGTAGGCATGAATTCACATTTAATGCCGTATTCTCCAAAAGTTCAAAGCACATAACCTCTCATCCATTCACAAAGGTTAGACAGAACTTAGAAACATTCTACATCATGAAGTCCCATCATTTTACAAATGAGGAACTGAGGTTATGTGGGGAAACTGAGCTTATGTGATTTATATGAGATCACAGAGCTAGAGAGAGACAGAGCCAGGATGGAACTGAGGACTCCTGATTCCTGACTCCAGGATACACCCTCAGTCCCCCACAGGCTGCCAGGGGCTCATTCCTAGTCGTAAGTGGGACAGTTAAATTCTTATATTATATGGGAAGTTTGACTGAGGAGAAGCTGTTAAATGCTCAGCTTACTCTCAGTAATGCCCTTCTATTGCTGCCTAAAAGATTTGTGTGGTTTCTTGTCTACACTTTAATGGTCTACACAATCAATTAATTTCAACAGTTTTCTGTAGAACATTATGGTAGGAACCATGGGATGGGGTCAACGAGTCAGAGGCTGTTTTTTCTTTGGTTGCCAGAATACTGGCTGGCCTTGTAGAGAAAGAGAAAAAGAAAAGAAAATTATAGAGCAGCCCAGGAACAAACACAAGAGAAAAAATTGAAATAAACACAGGCGTTAAGAGGTGGTCAGTGTGTGTTATTTTTATAATGAACACTCTAAAGAACAGGGACCTTGTTGTATATTCTTTATAGCCCTTGCAGATGAAAGGTGCTTAATGAATATTCAGCAGCTGCAGGGAGCAGGTTAAACAACATCCCCAAGGTCACGCAAGCTACTTGACGGCAGACCTAGAACTGAAACCTCTTTCTCTGCTCTTTCTACATCACTCTTATTTTCTTTCCCTTTGCACATACAGCATGATAATGATAATAGCCTTCCCAGCATATTGGTAGCAACACTAGCAGTGCAGCATCCCCGTGAGTGGAAGAAGAAAGACTAATATGCAGGCCTCCTGGTCTGCTGGTATATGTGGAATCCCACATGGTTTCCTCAAAGCAGTAAATGCTGAATAGTTTACATGTAGAGATGTATTTTACAGGCAGTGTGGCTTCATGGGAATAAGATTAGCCTTTTTTGTATAACTCCTGAGGATGTCATCTTCCTATGCCCAAAGCATCCACTTAGGTCATTAAAAAGCAGTTGCTTGTCCCTTTCAACTCAGTCCCCACAGCCTAAGGAAAGCATGCAGGCTGATGTTGGGCAGTCCATGTCAAAACCCCTTCCCTCAGCACGCATTCCTCATGAGCCAGCAAGTCCACACATCAGAAATACATACAGATGTTCACCAAAGGCATGTACAGGAATGTTCATAGCAGTCACATTTGAAACACAAAAACTAGAAACACCAAAGGTGACATCACTAGTAGAATGGGTAAATAAATTATGGTATATTCATATGATGGAATACTATCCAACAGTGAGAATGAACAAGCAACAAGAATTCACATCCACGTGGATGAATCTCACAAATACAGTGGTGAATGCAAGAAGCCAGACACAAAAGCAGCATCATGTGAATCCTTTTCTGCAAAGTACAAAAGCAGACATAACTGCTCTATGTTGTTAAAAGTTAGGACAGTGATGCCCATGGGTCAAGGGAGAGTGATGACTGGAAGGGGCACGAGGGGCTCCTGGCAGCGTTCTGTTTCTTGATGTGGGGGCTGGTGGCCCTGAGTGTGTTCGTTTTGTGAAAACCTACCTGACTCTATCCTTAGACTTTGTGCACTTGCCTGTATGCATATGATTCTTCAACACAAAGTTTAGTTTTGGGGAAAACACTACCTTCCTCGGAACTGCTGGGATATTGAATTGTGTGCTTGCTCCCTATCTCACCTCTCCACCCCTCTTGTGTTCTGTTGTTCTAGCAGTTGCAGCAATCACATCTACCCCGGCAGCACCTCCAGCCACAGCGGAATCCATACCCAGTGCAGCAGGTCAATCAGTTTCAAGGTGAGGCCAGTGCAACCTCTCTCATTTTATACCTTCCAGTGGTGAAGCGTAAGTGAATGTGTAGCCAGAGGCATTGCCTTACTGGCTGTATTTGTGTCCAGGAAATACTCAAAATATGTAACTACTGGTAGGTTAAGAGTACTAACCAATCAGAATGGATTCCTAGAGGCCTCCTGTTGTGCCAGGCATTAACCTTTTGGTCACTGAGTCACAGAGAGGTTCTAGAAGGCACAGGGAAGGGTCAGGGTAGCTGTCGGAGTTGGGACTAGAACAGCTGTTCTTTACCAAAGGTACATAGTATTGTAATAGTTTAACAACCAGTAAAGATATACTGGTGCCTGTTGGCTGCATATCAATTTTGTTTATGTTTAGATCGTCATCTTAGTGACTACAGGGGCAAAAATCTTGTGCCACATCTTTTTTGCTTATCCCAGCAGGTCACCTGACCAAAGCCCTTACCTCTAAAGCTGAAGTGGAAGAATCTGGCTTGCAACAACCACTAGTCTCTTTTGAATGTAGAAGACAAATAGGGCCTTGAGGCTGATTGAACTGATCCTGTAGCCGTTTGCGGGAATCCTAAATCATGACCTAGTAGCAGTGGGCGCACTGTATGTCAGTGTTGGCACTCCTTTATAAATGTGGAAGGCCCGTTCAAATATCAAACCCTTCCATCTCTAATAGAGAGAGCCCTTGGCCGGGTGCGGTGGCTCACGCCTATAATCCTAGCACTTTGGGAGGCTGAGGTGGACGGATCACTTGAGGCCAGGAGTTCAAGACCAGCCTGGCCAACATAGCAAAACCCTGTCTCTCTAAAAATGCAAAAAATTAGCCAGGAGTGGTGATGCATACCTGTAATCTCAGTTACTTAGGAGGTTGAGGCACAAGAATCGCTTGAACCCGGGAGGTGGAGGTTGCAGTGAGCTACTCCAGCCTGGGCAACAGAGCGAGACTCTGTCTCAAAAAAAAAAAAAAAAAGACCCTTGAGGGTCTTATATGGGGTGAAGAAAATAGCCTGAGGAGCCTTCCTAATCTTATCCACAGGAGTTTTCAGGGGGCTACAGGGGTCACCTAGCAGCAGAAATCCTAATCCCATCCTCTGCCCATTTTGTGGGATCTAGATCAATGTGTCCTAGCTTCTCAAAAGTTACCTATTCCTTTAAGTGTCTGCAAAAAGCTATGAAGCCTCTTGCAGAGAAACATATAATATGTAAATATATACAAACTTTTATATAATTTCACAAGTATCCCTGAACTTTATCAATAGACTGGGTGAAAATTTTCTGATCTAAGGTAGCATTTTTAACTTCTCAGATTGCAACACACAAGGTTATTGGAAACAACTTAGTGGGTCACAACCAACATTTTCAAAATGAAATACAACAGAAATTACCAGAGCATATCAGAAACTTTTCTTTCTGTTTTAAACCCACATGTATATATCCTAGATCATGAACTGTGAGCTGTAGTTTACAGTCTGAAAGCCATTGATATTTACTGACAGATCACATTGAAGATCACCTGTAAAAATACTGGGTCTTGAGTAGCTACCACTCCCTTCCACCTCTGGAATGCTTATATCACATTAGATCCTTTGGCCTTGACACAGGGAAGGACAAAAGGAATTGAGTTATCCACAGGTGTTCTGTGCACTAAATCAGTGCCAGTGGTTTTTGAAGAATTATGTTTCTAATTTTGCCATGGGTAGCTTCGGAAGAGTGGGGACTAGTCATCATTACATAGTTGTTGTTGCAGATACAGAGCCCTCCTTTGTATCTGTAGTTCTCAAACTTTAGCCTGCACTGAAAGCACCAGCGGAGCTTGTTAAAACATACACAGTGTTTCTGATTCAGTAAATCTGAAGCGGGGCTTGAGAATCTGCATTTTTTACAAGTTCCCAGGAGTCACTGATTTTGCTAGCTAGGGAACCACGCTTGAGAGCTGCTGCATTATATTATGAACTAATTAAAAACATAAAAGCTGATAAACCCAGCATAATGTCTCTTGAGTTTTCCAGGTTCATAACTCATGTATTATTTGTGGGGGAAAAGGGGAATTATTTAATAATTCCCCTGTGTTACAGAACATAGACACATATGAGCTATTCTGAATGTTTTGGGTCCAGTTAAAAACTTCTATTCCAGGCAGGTGCAGTTGCTCACTCCTGTAATCCCAGCACGTTGGGAGGCCGAGGCGGGCAGTTCACCTGAGGTCGGGAGTTCGAGACCAGCCTGACCAACATGGAGAAACCCCGTCTCTACTAAAAATACAAAAAATTAGCCAGGCATAGTGGCGCATGCCTGTAATCCCAGCTACTCCGGAGGCTGGGGCAGGAGAATTGCTTGAACTCAGGAGGCAGAGGTTGTGGTGAGCCAAGATCGTGCCATTGCACTCCAGCCTGGGCAACAAGAGCAAAACTGTGTCCCAGAAAAAAGAAACAAAAAAAACCAGAGACAAAAATTAAAGTCACCTGAAATCCCACCATCCAGAGATGATCAATCCTATTCTTTTGTTTCTATATAAATAGACACCCACAAAAATTGGGATTGTACTGTACATGGGTTTTTGAAGCTGACTTTTCCACTTAACAGATCCTGATGTAATTCTTGTTTATACTTCAGAAGCAAATTATTTCGCACTCATATAGATATGATATCATCCTCAACCAATAAGATACTATTTTCTTTGGAGGTGAGAGAGAATTCACCTTTGGGGCTAAATTAGAAAGAAATGGCTGATCACTTTGCATTTTCTATTCGTGACGTGGAACACGGTTCAGTAGAGAATACTATCAGTAAAGCCAGTGTGACATTTTAGGGTCCTTGAACTGATTGGTTTGAGATATATAATTTGTTTTACTATCTTCAGTATTTTCATGTGTTTACAGACACCCTAGATAGCATGATGTTATGCATCTGGGAAAATAGCAAACTGAAAAATAAGAAATATCATTCTTGGAGAGAAGTTTTGTTAGGTATAACTTGCATGAGAACCTATCCCATACTCTCACCATTATACATTTCAAAGGTCTTAATGACTGTCTTTCCCTCATTAGGTTCTGGATCTCTGGGCAATGTTACATGACTATGGGGAAATACTTATTTTTTTCACAAATACAGGCTTCTTGTGAGTGAAAATAGAACATAGACTTTTTTAGGAAAAAGTTGGATACTATCATCTGTATTTGAATATACAAGATTTTCTTGGACATTGTGATGTTAACCAGCAGACAAGAAAATTAGATTACAGTGTCTCACAATAATATCTGCTTTAGACCAAAAAAAGAAAAAGAAAACATAATCTGTTGTTTAACACATGTAGTAATCATGTAAAGACAAGTTAATTCCTTGGACACATCTGAATTTTTTTCCTTTGTATATTTAAAATCACGGAAGGCATAAAACTAGATTAATAAAAGTCCTTTTATTTCCCTTAGGTGAAAAAGAATGTGGCAATTGCTGATTTTAAAATGCCTTTTAAAAATAAGAATTACATCAAGATAGTGCAGTCATTTACACTAAATAAAAAATAAAGGTTGGCTTGGATTAATGTATCACTGCCTATTAAAAAGCATTGTAACGCTTCTGCCCTCTAAAGAAAGGAACCTATTTCTCATTCACAAAATTATTCCAGACAGTATCTAGTCCTTTACCATATCCATTATAAATATACCCCAAAATGGCCAAATTATAGATGTCCTTTCATCTATTTCTAGCAGCCCATCAGACTGTTTATATAATTTGGGTCTATCCAATCAATCTCTGACTCAGCAATATTTTTCCCTTAAACTTTTTTTATAAACAACTCAATAACCCATTTCACCACAGTTGATCTTATTGGCCATGCAGCCGATAAAAATTTAGTCGTTAAGGTCACAAAACTGCATGACAATATTACAAGTTGCAGTATATACTACCTTCCAGTGTTTTACTAGGAACTTTCGATTTTTCAAAAAATCACTTAGATATAATGAAGCTTAAAAAAATATATGAAAACATTTCTAGGGATTTCCCCCAGATCTTTCAGGTTTCCTGATAGAAATCGTTTCATTTTTCAATGCAGTATGATATTGATCTCAAGCCACAAAAACTTGAGACATAATCAAAATTCCAGTAATTTTCTTTCTTAAAGAAAGGAAGAAACTATGGAGACATATTTGCAGCCCAGAAATCAATAGCCACATCAGGAAGACAAAAACATGCTTCAGTTATCTACCAGGGTGCCAGGTTTAACAAGGTTAGACTATTCTCATCTGGTTTCTCATCACAGTTCCAGGTGGGATCAAATTTGCTTAGAATATTGACTGGCTCCCATGCTGCACCTTCTTTAAATGTCCAGGAAAAAAACTATTTTTCTTCTTCTCATAGACTCAATCATTAGCAGGGACATAGAAAAATCCGTTTTTGTGTACCTCCTAGACCTTTGCAACGTTGACTGGTGTTCTACTGGCGACATTTCCATTCCCTTGGCTGTTTGGAAATTTCCTGGTAACATGTAAAGAAGGACTCACTCAAATGCCTAATTAAGGTTGAATGACTTGGTATGGACACTCTGGCCACCTTTTAAACAGCATTATTAAAATTGTGTTAGCAATTTGCTGAGAGAAATAGTCGTTGCCGATTTGAAGGAATGGACTTTGCTGTAGAAATGCGTAAAGTTTATGGCCAAGTCGCACGTAGCAGGATGATTTCTTTTTCTAGCTCAGGAAGCTGGCCAGTTTGCAATGACAAGTTATGATTCAGAGAATCTGGAGCATGTTGAAATCTACAGAGTGGATCCGAAAAATGTCCTATCTGTCAAAATAGCTGCTTAGCAGAAGCAGTGGCCTTTAACCTCTCAAATCCTACTCAAGTCTTAAGGGAAATTAGTCTAATGGTCTTTATTGATAGTATTCTCTACTGAACCATGTTCCACTTCACAAATAGAAAATACAAAGTGATCAGCCATTTCTTTCTAATTTAGCCCCAGAGGTGGATTCTCTCTCACCTCCAAAGAAAATAGTATCTTATTGGTTGAGGATGATGTCATACCTATAAGAGTACGAAATAATTTGCTTCTGAAGTATAAACAAGAATTACATCAGGATCTGTTTAGTGGAAAAGTCAGCTACAAAAACACATGCACAGTACGATCCCAATTTTTGTGGGTGTCTATTTATATACAAATAAAAGAATAGGAATGATCATCTCTGGATAGTGGGATTTCAGGTGACTTTAATTTTTGTCTCTGTATTTTTTAACACTTTCAAAATTTTCACAATCAGCATATGCTATAATCAGAAAAATAATCATTTTTGTTACAGATTTATTATCAGAGTAGATCCTTTCATATAAAGGAATTTTGTCATTCCCAAAGAAAATTCCAACATCTTGTTGCAGTATATTGCTTATGGAGAAGAGTGAGTGGTATGTGTCCTCTTTTTCACTGCAGGTTCTCCCCAGGATATAGCAGCCGTAAGAAGCCAAGCAGCCCTCCAGAGCATGCGAACGTCACGGCTGATGGCACAGAACGCAGGCATGATGGGAATAGGACCCTCCCAGAACCCTGGGACGATGGCCACCGCAGCTGCGCAGTCGGAGATGGGACTGGCCCCTTATAGCACCACGCCTACCAGCCAACCAGGAATGTACAATATGAGCACAGGCATGACCCAAATGTTGCAGCATCCAAACCAAAGTGGCATGAGCATCACACATAACCAAGCCCAGGGACCGAGGCAACCTGCCTCTGGGCAGGGGGTTGGAATGGTGAGTGGCTTTGGTCAGAGCATGCTGGTGAACTCAGCCATTACCCAGCAACATCCACAGATGAAAGGGCCAGTAGGCCAGGCCTTGCCTAGGCCCCAAGCCCCTCCAAGGCTGCAGAGCCTTATGGGAACAGTCCAGCAAGGAGCACAAAGCTGGCAACAGAGGAGCTTGCAGGGCATGCCTGGGAGGACTAGTGGAGAATTGGGACCATTCAACAATGGCGCCAGCTACCCTCTTCAAGCTGGGCAGCCGAGACTGACCAAGCAGCACTTCCCACAGGGACTGAGCCAGTCAGTCGTGGATGCTAACACGGGCACAGTGAGGACCCTCAACCCAGCTGCCATGGGTCGGCAGATGATGCCATCGCTCCCGGGGCAGCAAGGCACCAGCCAGGCGAGGCCAATGGTCATGTCTGGCCTGAGCCAGGGAGTCCCAGGCATGCCAGCGTTCAGCCAGCCCCCAGCACAGCAGCAGATACCCAGTGGCAGCTTTGCTCCAAGCAGCCAGAGCCAAGCCTATGAGCGGAATGCCCCTCAGGACGTGTCATACAATTACAGTGGCGACGGAGCTGGGGGTTCCTTCCCTGGCCTCCCGGACGGTGCAGACCTTGTGGACTCCATCATCAAAGGCGGGCCAGGGGACGAGTGGATGCAGGAGCTTGATGAATTGTTTGGTAACCCCTAATCAAGAGAGGCCCCAAGATCCACAACTCGAGTGGTTAAAGCTTAAAAAGTGAAAAAGAAACAGGATGTTGACCCATCCTTGTTTTTTGTTTTTTTGACCCACGTAAACTGAGCAAAACTGCAGCTGGCTGACAATGGAAGATCCAGGTGCCAATCCACAGCCCCACCAGGCCTCATTTCACCTGATTTTCACACAGCAATCGAGATGAGACGCCATGCAGATCCCGGCTGCGAGAGAGGGAGACACCCGGAGGAGCAGGTGGGAAGATGAAGCCGGCCAGAGCCCCTCTGCCCAGCATGCCCTGTGATCGCCTGGCCCAGCAGGAGCTGCTTCAGCCGAGAGGGACTATTACCCAAGAGAGGTATCCTCAGCCCCTCCTGCCCCAGGTCGGGAGACAGCAGCTTTGGAGACACAAAAGAGACAGAGCCTCAGCCAGGGAGAGTGAGTCCCCCAGAAGAGGCTGGGTGGTTGCACAGGCCAGGTGCACAGGTTGGAAATGCACTGAACTCTGGGTGCCGAGAGATGTAAGGCTTTGAGACATGCTACTGAATTTGGAGGGCAGGCACGAAGAACAGTGAGATTGTCAAAAGGAGACAACCACAGATCCTACAGGACTGTCTGTCTCCTGCCCCATGATGACCCTCAGGAATTGCAAAGGCTCTGCTGTCACAAGGAGAGCAGGCTGAGTTTGGAGCAGGGTCCATCCGGCAGTCCTGGGACGGCTTCCCTCTGCTGGTGCCCCTGGTGGCAGTCCCTCCAGGTGGGGCTGGAGCCTGCTGGCGCCCAATACAAAACCCATACATCCAGGTGGGTCACATCTACTTCTGGCGGCCGCAGGGCAGGGAAACCCCTACTGGACCCTGTGTGTCTGCCAGCCTGGAGCCTTTGTCTCCAGCCCTGCCTTTATTCCTCCTTGCCTCCACACCAGCCTCCCCTTGCTTCTCCTTACAGACTATCCAAGAAGTGAAGCTTATGTCTTTAGGGAGCCTTGGGCAGAGTCCACATAAATGCAGGAAGAACTTAGACAATGCCTGAAATGCAAAGGCGACACTGGAGTCTTCTTTCTCTAACGTGTAGCGTTGAATGAATATCTGCCTGGAACCAAGAGGGCTGCTCTGATGTTTGGGAGTCGGTTTTTTGTGAGCCACATCTGATATTTCTGATATCCCCAGGAAGGAGTGGCCTGGAGGTCACTGGTTCAGGCTCCCTTTGGGCGAAATCCTGGGAGTGATGCTCTAAAAATCCACCTTTCCCATCATCCCTACTCATCAGAAAGACAAATATAAAATCCCAGAGAGGTGGAGGAGCTAAAAAAGCAATTGCTCCACCTTACAAATTTGGATAGAAAGGAGATGTAGTTTATTTCATATGGGCAAAGTAGTCCTCTTCCAAAGTCCTGTACAGTTGTTCTCTGCAATTGACGCACATCTGCCCTAAGCGAAATCTGTCAGAAGGAATCAACAAGGCTCCTTGCCTCCCCTCCCAATCCCCCTTTTGGAGGACTTGTGGCTTCGGTGTCGTCCTAAGTGAGAGTGGCGTGTGCTTTTTTCCTGTCCCCTCCTCCCTCCGTGTCCTAGACGCTGGCTGCCTTCTGTGCACTCCCAGGCAGATCACTACGGAAGAGTCGGAGCCTGTGGGGTTGGACTGGCCACACTCAGTCCTGAGAAGGCGAGTTGCCATGGAAAGCTGGGGGCAGAGGTGTTTTTGGAGAGGAGGCGGCAGGCAAACATTGCCTTTGACTTGCTCTCCGCGTACCCGGGGTTGTAGAGCTGCTCAGGAAGGGGCAGGATGTAAGGCCAGAGGTGCCTGGTGGGTGAGAAGCCCAGGCAGGGGCTGGGCGCCCTCTCCGAAGAGGTGGCAGCAGGGTGACCCTGAACTCCCCAAATGGGGAGTGATGCCACTGGGGAAACTGAGTGGATCAAAGAGATGAAACCAAAAAAAAGCAAACAAACAAATGAGAAGACACAAAACATAATTACCTTTTCCTGAAAGGTACAGGAAATAAATATATAAGCAATGATGAGAAACTGGAGGTGGCTAATGGAAGTGAGACAGACAGGGGTGGGGGGCTCCATTATCTTTTAAAAGCTTCCTCCAAATGCTCAGTACTGGGACCAACTAATAGGTAGATTTTAATATGGTGGTTTTGTTTTGGTTTTGTTTTTACTACGGTGCTGATGTATATGTAATGTCTAAAAAAAGTTATTTGTACATAAGTTTTTACAATACTGCAGATATCACTGGGTCTACTATCTGTAAAAAATATACATATAAATATATATATACTGTTTGTTTAAAATAGAGTATTTTTATTTCATTCCTTAACTCATCATCACAGCAGTGGTATTGCACTTCAGATGACATCTAATTACTAATTTGTACTGTATGACCTCTGGCAACTTGCTCCATTTTATTCAGATTTTTCTAGTTTTCTGTTTTTACTTTGTACATTGAGCATTGCTTATTTCCTTTTAAGAAATGTACAGAACGCTGAAATGTAGAAATGAAGTGATGTTGACATACCACTTTTAAAGAAAACAAAAACAAAAATAAAAGATTATCTGAATCAATCCAAAGTATAGTTTATTTTAAGATCCTCACTGGAGCTCCAATCTTAATTAAGCAGACATATTATTCCTGGGTTTTAATTAACTGCAGTTCTTTTCTCAAAATTTTGATATCATTCTTTAAACATTTATTTAATGGGAGAGATCAATCATTCCCAGCCTTTGCATTCAACTGCACAACTGATGATACTTTCTGAATTTACTGCCGCACTCTGAAGGATGTGGCAAAGGGAAGGGAGGAAAGTCAACTTTGCATGGAACATAGTGCAATCCATTTGTAGATTCAGTACCATAACAATTCCATTTCCAACTAGTTCATCTGGAGGTAGGGAGGCTCCACTGGAAAAATAAATATTTTTGTCAAAAAAAGAAAAATCGGAATATATTGAGGGGAAGTAATAAAGGTTCTTGTTCCACTGTAGTGAGCACTGTCAGTAAACAGCCTCCACCACCCCACTCCTACCAGGCCACTTCTTTGCATCTCAAACCATGGCCTGGCTTCACCTGCACCCACAGAATTGAAAGTGCTTAGAAGTTTATACCCCTCTGGATTGACTTTAGCCAGTGACTCACTGGTGCAGGAGTATAAAAGCCCAGTTGACTTGTCTGAACAAACTCAGATATAATTTTGCTCCAGAGCTCTACTGCAAGATCAGGCAAAGGCTGGGACTTGGTTTAAAGGTGCCCCCCAGACCGGGCACTGTAGCTTACACCTGCAATCCCACCCAGCACTTTGGGAGGGCAAGGCAAGCGGATCACTTGAGCCCAGGAGTTTTGTCAGAGGCGTGTGAACCAGAGCAACTCCATGTTAAATAGGAGCTGGGTAAAATGAGACTGAAACCTACTGGGCTGCATTCCCAGACGGTTAAGGCATTCTAAGTCACAGGATGAGATAGGAGTTCAGCACAAAATACACGGCATAAAGACCTTGCTGATAAAACAGTTTGCAGTAAAGGAGCCAGCCAAAGCCCACCAAAACCAAAATAGCGACGAGGGTGACCTCTGGTCGTCCTCACTGCCACACTCCCACCAGTGCCATGACAGTTTACAAATGCCATGGCAAGGTCAGGAAGTTACCCTATATGGTCTAAAAAGGGGAGGCATGAATAATGCACCCCTTGTTTAGCATATCATCAAGAGATAACCATAAAAATGGACAACCAGCAGCCCTCGGGGCTGCTCTATGGAGTAGCCATTCTTTTATTCCTTTACTTTCTTAATAAACTTGCTTTCACTGTGCACTGCAGACTCACCCTGAATTCTTTCTTGCGCAAGAGCCAAGAACCCTCTCTTGGGGTCTGCATCAGGACCCCTTTCCTGTAACACATTTCTCTGTCCTGCAACATATTTCTGGCAACCACCGAAGGGACAATAGTGTAGAAACCTAGACCCAACAGCTACCTTTGGGTAAGTATTGGAGTCCTCTAACATATTTCTGGAGAACGATGGGACGATACTGGGGAGACACCCCCTAACACAAAGGAAATAGACTGCAGCACTGATTGGAAGACTTTGGGTAAGTGGTGGGGTACCTGGGTAAAGAATGGGATTGGGTTAGAGGCCCAGCTTAGTGGAGTTAGAGTCTCTCCTAAGATAGAGGTGGTTAAAGGCTCCCCCTTAATAAAAGGCAAGGATGCTTGACCGACCTCTGGTTAGAGGCCCGACTTAGGAGAGTTAGAGTCCCTTCTAAGATTTAGCGGGTTAGAGGCCCCTCTTCGGTAAAGTCCCTCTCGGCTAAGAACAGGTTCGGCACTATGGGATGTTAACTGCTATTCTCTTTGGATTAATCTCCCTTGTACTTTGCTGATGGCTATGGGTGACAGAATTAGGAATGTACAGGATCCTGGGACATGGGGAGCTTTTTCCTCCCTAACAAGGGAAATTTGAGAGCTGGTAGGATTACTGGAAAAGATCCTTGCTCCACCGACAGCAGCCACCTGAACTTTTTAGTGTCGCTGCAATGGGTGGTTCTTTCTCTGGCCTCCCTGATCATTTCACCTTCCCCGCCCTGCCACAGGCAATGTTTTTCTCTCTCTCCTTTCTCTTTCTTTTCTATTACTCAGGGCGACCATCTTGCCCAGAGACCACATGTTGAAACTCCTAGTCGGAGGTTAGATTAAAGATGACAGGGCCCACCTGAGGGCAAATTTAAGCCTTGCCAGTTTGATATTGGATGCTAAGCAGCCTGGTTAATATCTATGTTTTATTACGCGTATTTTGCTTTGGCCAGAACAAAAAGAAATACTTTTCCTTTATGATGCGGCTTGGCCCCCAAAGGCAGTTGTGCCACAAGCCAGATCACTAGGGCCCCTCAGGGAAAGAGAACCCAGAAGCTTAGCATGCTGGCAAAAGGGTAGGAATTTCTTCCCAGTCAGATTTCTGGCTTCTGTCTCTGTGTGCAAATAGTTAAATGAATGGGGGGAAAAAATCAGTGTTTATGTCCTCTGTAAAGTTTTGATTAATGCCAAAAAGAATTCTAAGGCTAGTCTTAAGCTGGTGTATTTTGTGCCATGAATTCGTTTTTCTGTGTAAAGGGGTACTTTAGGATAAAACATGGGCTTAGAATACCTGTAAGCCCGCTTTTCAGGATGACCTCACAAGCTGGTCAGTAATAAACTTGGCTGCAGGTCCCTGAAACAAACAAAAAACTGGATGAAATCTCCACCTTGTTTTATGTCCTTGGGAGCTTGACCTTTTAACCATGTGGTGGTACCTTCCCGTGGTCTCCACCTTCCAGGAAATAGGAATTTTAGGATTCATGTCATAGCTCTAAAAATCATATTAAATAGTTAAAAGCCTTTGCAAGCTCAAAATTAACTACTCTAGACTCTTCCTGGGAAAGGAACTGGAGACCACGCTTTGCTATAGCTCAGTAGCTAAGATCGTGCACTTTCATATTGGTAGCCAGGGTTCGATTTCCCCGCCTACCATTTCTGGTTTCATATCTGCATGACCTTGTCTATTCTCTTCTTCTCCATGGACTGTCTTAAATTTTCCTTTCACTAAGCACCTAGGAGGTTATCTCTGGTAGAGTTCAGAAGCTAGAAATATTGGCCGCTTGGCATTGTTAAAGTCAGGTAATAAGAGATCCAAAAGTATTTCTTTTTTAAAGAACACTATGGTTAGAAGTCAGCTTAATTAAAAGTAGATAAACAAGCAATAGATATATTTAAAAGGCCATTAATGATTTTCTCTTTTTGGAACTTGTTTTTCTGGAAAAAGGTTTTTTCTTCTCAGTCAACTGAATTATTTTTCTCCTTTTTTTTTTTTTTTTTTTTTTCTGTCTTGCCACTCTTAATGAACACACGAGAGGCCCTAAGATAACTTCTGGTAGCCTGGGACTCCTTGGGAAAAACAAAGGAGGTGTCACAGACTCATTGGGAAAAACAAAGGAGGTGTCACAGACTCCGTTTTGGGAAAAAACCTGTTTTTATCTTGAAACCCCAGGAATTAAAAGCAGATGGATCCCTCTCAAAATCAAATGCTCTGTTCTGTTTTGTATTGTGTTATCTGATGGTTTTGAGTTTGGGGGGTATCAGAAATTACTTTGCATTTTGAGACAGCTTTGCTGTGAAATAACTAGGTAGGAAATATACTTTAAGGGATGGCTAATAGTAGTTATGGAGGGATACTTTGACTCCGCACACTTGGAACAGAGAAGCATGCTTTGCTTTGTTTTTCAGAGTCAAGGAAACTTTTCTTTTGAGCTATTTATAGCTTGTAGCAATTGAGTAAAGCATACTGCTGTGAACAAAATTTGGAACATATTTGTTTCTCTCTAACCTGACTTCAGAATTTGGAAATTAGTTGTGAGTATTCTTAACTTATGGCAATATACTTATTTGCATAAATGCAATACGAATCTGTTTTCTTTTGTAACAGGACACAATTGGAGAAATGGGTCATTTTACCAAGGCTTTGACTGGAATGGTGTGCTTTCCTTTAAGGAATCAAACTTGACTTGTAGAGCCAATAAAAACCCTTTGGGGAACTGGCCTCATACCTTGCCTACACAGTCCCTGTATAGGGTTTCTGACCTATGGTAAGTAAAGAATTTCACTTTCTCACAGGTCCAGGAGCCCCAAGTTATCTTGGGACCTCAAAAGGACAGGAATTTACCTAACTCATAGGTATTTCAGGGTACAAACCCATGGCAGGGCTCGGCTTTTTAAAAAGTCTTATCTGAGATTCCTTATGAAACAGAGTTCCATCAAAGCCAATTAAAATGCCTGTGTGAAAAATAATTATCCTTGCTGTACTTTATACAAATAATCAGGCCAAGTATAATAAAGCAAATCAGTCTTACCATAATTCGTCTTTAGTAAAAATGGGAAACTGGAGCGAGAACTATTATGTTTCAAGAACTATGGTACACTTGTTATTAAATTCTAGTCTCACTAGTTGTTTTTAAGTTTGTTTCTGCAATTTAAGCTAACCCTGTTTATTCCTGTGAACTAACCAGTGATCTCTAACTGCTGCTCAGAGGAAACAAGAGGGATGGGTAATGTAAAAGTCTGGATCAGTATTCTAATTCTGGGCACATTGCAATCAGCTGCCAACCCCATATCAGCTTGGTTTCAACAGTTGCACAGTTGATGGAAAGCCTTCTAATTTAGCTTGCTTGGAATAACTTTACTTATTTTGCTTTACTCTTGTGGAATACATTACTGCTATACTCTTTGTGTAGGAATACAGAACAAGCTTACTGAATGTTTTCTTAAACTAAACACTTATTAATCTTCCAGATATCACCTCTTGTCAAAACTCAAGAGTCATGAATGGCCCTCACCATACTGATGCTTTCTGACTGAGCTCCTCTATACCCTGAATGCAAGAGACCCTCATAGTTAGGCAGGAATATCATCGCCCCTATTCAGCCTGAAGAAGTTACAGAAGATGGATCTTTGTCCCTCTGCAACCCTTAGGATTAAAGGTTCTCTTATAAAAGAAAGGGGGGAAATGTCAGAGGCGGCAACTCCATCTTAAATAGGAACTGGGTGAAATGAGGCTGAAACCTACTGGGCTACATTCCCAGACAGTTAAGGCATTCTAAGTCACAGGATGAGATAGGTCAGCACAAAATACATGTCATAAAGACCTTGCCGATAAACCAGGTTGCAGTAAAGGAGCTGGCCAAAATCCAGCAAAACCAAAATGGCGACGAGAGTGACCTCTGGTCTTCCTCTCTGCTACACTCCCACCAGTGCCATGAGAGTTTACAAATGCCATGGCAATACCAGGGAGTTACCCTATATGTTCTAAAAAGGAGAGACATGAATAATCCACCCCTTGTTTAGTATATCATCAAGAGATAACCATAAAAATAGGCAACCAGCAGCCCTCGGGGCTGCTCTATGGAGTAGCCATTCTTTTATTCCTTTACTTTCTTAATAAACTTGCTTTCACTTTGCACTGAGCACTCACTCGTGCAAGAATTCTTTCTTGCACGAGATCCAAGAACCTTCTCTTGGGGTCTGGATTGGGACCTTTTCCTGTAACATATTTCTCTGTCCTGTAACAGTTTGAGACCAGCCTGGGCAACATGGCGAAACCCCATCTCTACAAAAAATAGAAAACAGCCGGTCATGGTGATGCATTCCTGTAGTCCCAGCTACTCAGGAGGCTGAGGTGGGAGAATCACCTGAGCCCAGGAAGTCAAGGCTGCAGTGGATTGTGATCACGCCACTGCACTCCAACCAGGGTGACAGAGAGAGACCCTGTCTCAAAACAAAAAAAAAAAAAGGGAAAAATAAAGGAGCCCCCTATTTTGGCTTGTTCCCCTTCTCTGTCCTGTTACCCCCACTCTCTTTCTTTTTCCCCTATTGAGAGCCCTTTGTTAATAAATCACATAGATGTGAATCCACCTCTCCACTTCTAGGAAATGACCTAAGACTCCTCATCAAACTTTAAAAAGCTTAGTATCACAACATGTTTCAAAACTGGGTTAAGAGGAAAAGTAGGCCACAGAATAAAGTCATCATCAAATTTAGGCACAAAACAAAGGTAAGTTTTAATATACACAAACCAAAAGAAAGAATTTAATTATGAAGAAGAGGCCATCGCTACCCTTAGTGGGCTATGGTTCCAGACAGGTTGGCAAATAACACCATGTAGGAAACAGCATGGCATTGGGCTTTGTTCTTTTGATATTGGCTTAGCACTCTCCCAGAAAACATGGGAGAGAAAATGAACTGATTCCGGGGTGGAGGGAGGGCACAGGGGGACGCTGACACTAGAAGTAAAAACGTGAAGCTCTGAGAAGTGTTGATTACTCCTAGTTCCAATCAATTCAAGCCACATATTCTTACTTATACTCGTTTGGCACTGGATGAATGGAATACCTTTCTCTTTTCAAATGAGTTCTTACATGTAATCTTACTGACCTTTATAAAATCCTAGTGCAGTAAGTATGGTGATGGGGGAAGAAAGAGGAGAGAATAAACATTTTTCTAGAAAGTCACTAGACATCTGCCCCCAGTGAGAAAGACGTATTTCACTGGTGATTAAGGAACATTCCATAGCATTCAATGAGCTGTTTCTGCCTCTGACCATTCTTTTCAAGGAAGATTGTGTCTGGAGAAAAAGGGTGAACCTCAAATGACCTGATTTTGTTTATTAATGACTTTTTTGGCCATACCCCACCCACCTCCAACCCCTAAAAGAAAAGTGGAACAAGAAAAATTATCTGAAAATGGAACAGAGCTACCTCTTTGGGTAACCAGTCTTTACCTTTTAATTTTCTTTTTGATTTGTTTCCTCTTTTTGTAAATCCGATTTTGTCCTCAATTCTCTTTTAAGTACTAAGGACATTAAATTCCTCCACTAGTGTCCTCTGGAGTAGCTGGCACAGACACCTGCCTCATTTCATGCAACAGGTGGAGGTAATTACTGCAGCTCTCACACATGTGGGGCCCAGGCATCTGTGCCACACCCAGGACAGCTGCCAGGCCAGCATGGATGACTGTGGATCCATCAATACCACTGGATCTCTTAACAATGCTCAACACAGAAAATCTTCAGGGCTACCAAGAATCTGATTTTAGGTTTTAACTTCTCTTCAGATCCTTTAACTCTTTATTATAAACATTTTTAAACAACCAGGAAAGTAGAAATAATAATACAACGAATACCTATACACTTACCAATTAGATGTAATCATTAACACTTTGCCATAAATGCTTCACATATATATTTCGCAGAACCATTTTAAAGTACATCCAACCACTTTACCCCTTAATGCCTCAGGACACAGCTCCAGAGAATTAGGGCATTCTCTTCTCTAGCCACGATATAATTATCACACCTAACACAATTAACATTAATTCCCTAATATCATCTATCTGTATTCCATGCTTAAATTGTTTCCATTGTCTGGCCGGGCGTGATGGCTCACACCTGTAATCCCAGCACTTTGGGAGGCTGAGGTGGGCGGATCATGAGGTCAGGAGATCAAGACCATCCTGGCTAACACGGTGAAACCCAGTCTCTACTAAAAAATACAAAAAATTAGCTGGGCGTGGTGGCGGGCGCCTCTAGTCCCAGCTACTTGGGAGGCTGAGGCAGGAGAATGGTGTGAACCTGGGAGGCAGAGCTTGCAATGAGCAGAAATCGCACCACTGCACTCCGGCCTGGGCGACAGAGTGAGACTCCATCTCAAAAAAAAAAAAAAAAAAAAAAAAAAAAATTTTTTCCATTGTCTCACAAAGGTCATCCATAGTTGTTTTTTTCTTTTTCTTTTTCTTTTTTTTTTTTTTTTGAGACGGAGTTTTGCTCTCGTTGCCCAGGCTGGAGTGCAGTGGTGCCATCTCCGCTCACCACAACCTCCTCCTGGGTTCAAGTGATTCTCCTGCCTCAGCCTCCAGAGTAGCTGAGATTACAGGTGTGTGCCACCATGCCCGGCTAATTTTGTATTTTTAGTAGAGACGGGATTTCTTCATGTTGGTCAGGCTGGTCTCAAACTCTTGACCTCAGGTGATCCACCCACCTCGGCCTCCCAAAGTGCTGGGATTACAGGCGTGAGCCACCGCGCCTGGCCCATAGTTGTTTTTTTCTAACCAGAATTTGATCAAGGATCTCACATTGCCATTTGGTTTTTATGCCACTTAAGGACTAATTTATAGATTCAATGCCATCCCCATCAAGCTACCAATGACTTTCTTCACAGAATTGGAAAAAACTACTTTAAAGTTCATATGGAACCAAAAAAGAGCCCACATCACCAAGTCAATCCTAAGCCAAAAGAACAAAGCCGGAGGCATCACGATACCTGACTTCAAACTATACTACAAGGCTACAGTCAACAAAACAGCATGGTACTGGTACCAAAAAAGAGATATAGATCAATGGAACAGAACAGAGCCCTCAGAAATAATGCCGCATATCTACAACCATCTGATCTTTGATAAACCTGACAAAAACAAGCAATGGGGAAAGGATTCCCTATTTAATAAATGGTGCTGGGAAAACTGGCTAGCCATATGTAGAAAGCTGAAACTGGATCCCTTCCTTACACCTTATACAAAAATTAATTCAAGATGGAATAAAGACTTACGTGTTAGACCTAAAACCATAAAAACCCTAGAAGAAAACCTAGGCAATATCATTCAGGACATAGGCATGGGCAAGGACAAGGACTTCATGTCTAAAACACCAAAAGCAATGGCAACAAAAGACAAAATGGACAAACGGGATCTAATTAAACTCAAGAGCTTCTGCACAGCAAAAGAAACTACCATCAGAGTGAACAGGCAACCTACAGAATGGGAGAAAATTTTTGCAACCTACTCATCTGACAAAGGGCTAATATCCAGAATCTACAATGAACTCAAACAAATTTACAAGAAAAAAACAAACAACCCCATCAAAAAGTGGGCGAAGGACATGAACAGACACTTCTCAAAAGAAGACATTTATGCAGCCAAAAAATACATGAAAAAATGCTCATCATCACTGGCCATCAGAGAAATGCAAATCAAAACCACAATGAGATACCATCTCACACCAGTTAGAATGGCGATCATTCAAAAGTCAGGAAACAACAGGTGCTGGAGAGGATGTGGAGAAATAGGAACACTTTTACACTGTTGGTGGGACTGTAAACTAGTTCAACCATTGTGGAAGTCAGTGTGGCGATTCCTCAGGGATCTAGAACTAGAAATACCATTTGACCCAGCCATCCCATTACTGGGTATATACCCAAAGGATTATAAATCATGCTGCTTGCTATAAAGACACATGCACACGTATGTTTATTGCGGCATTATTCACAATAGCAAAGACTTGGAACCAACCCAAATGTCCAACAATGATAGACTGGATTAAGAAAATGTGGCACATATACACCATGGAATACTATGCAGCCATAAAAAATGAAGAGTTCATGTCCTTTGTAGGGACATGGATGAAACTGGAAACCATCATTCTCAGCAAACTATCACAAGGACAAAAAACCAAACACCTCATGTTCTCACTCATAGGTGGGAATTGAACAATGAGAACACATGGACACAGGAAGGGGAACATCACACTCCGGGGACTGTTGTGGGGTGGGGAGAGGGGGGAGGTATAGCATTAGGAGATATACCTAATGCTAAATGACGAGTTAATGGGTGCAGCACACCAACATGGCACATGTATACATATGTAACAAACCTGCACATTGTGCACATGTACCCTAAAACTTAAAGTATAATAATAATAAAATAAAAATAAAAAAATTTAAAAAAGACTCTTAATGCAGAAAAGTTCTTCTCTATCCCCCACTTCCTGACACTGACTTTTTAAGGCAATGAATCTGATTTCTAAAAATAAAATTGATCAATTTAGTAATATACAAAAAATGTACATGTAATTGTCAAACCGATCAGAAACCCACATCTCTGTGGCCAGAAATGGTTGCTCTCTGTAGCCAAATCTAATAGGAATGAAAATAATCAAAAGGTTGCCTGGTGACAATGCAATTAGAACAAAGGAAAATCTATCGTTTGAATGTTTAAAGTGACAAGGCCTTGATAGTCTGCTACACCCATAGCTTATTTCCACGTGTTTAACCAAAGTGTGTGTGTGTGTGTGTATGTGTGTGTTTTACCCTGCCCAGAGCCAATTTAAGTGCAAAACAGAAATTGCTTAAAAATCTTCAGTTGTAAGATTTGGAAAGTTTCTTTTCAACTTGCAAAGGACATGGTTATGAAGTAATTATGCCTTAGTATCAAAAATTTGCATTCTCATCCTTCATTGGTCTCAGTGTATAAAACAATTAAAATGTCACAATCCAAGTCACGATCATAACTGAAAAGAATATTAAGTAAAAAGACCATAGAATCATAGCTTTTTAGCATATTTGCCCTATTTTACCTAAAAGAAAACCAAGGCAGAGAGCTACAAAGTGCTGGGGTAGCACAGCCAGCAAGTGATAGGACAGGATAGGGTGGTCTGGTTCTGGAGTCTTCACTTCTTTGATTCACAACCTCCTACTGATGGGGTGCCTTGTCCAAATTCAAATGACCAATGAGTAGGGGAACCTGAGCTAGTATGCAAATGTGCCCACTCCCAGGCCAGTATATTCTCAGTGTGCTTTGGGGTATTTAATACTGTACTGCTATTTGGGATGCAGGAGGTTATGTATTATGGGAACACTAGTATTTAAGTGTCTCTCTTTCTTTTTCTATTAATATTTTTCCCGGCCTTTTTAACTTCTATTGTATCCACAAAAAAAGAAAAGTACTACTAAACAATTTTTGAAGATGCCCACACCAGACTCAAGCCCTTTTCCTGACGTCAAAATGTGTTATGTATGCTCATAATTCATTTTGCCTTTTATTTGAAAGCTGTGAGGTAGAATCGTTCTCATTTTACAGATGAAGAAAATGAGGAAAAGTCATCTGCATTTTGCCAGACAATAACTGCACTTCAGGGTCAGAACAGCTTTGGGGGTTCCGCTGTACTTCCCGTATCACCCTCCAAACCCCACATGACACAGGGCATGCAGCAGAACCCAACCCACGTTCTACAGCCGTGAGCATGACCCACCTTCCTCAGCCAAGAGAAAGAATATTCTCTTCGCACTTGTCCCTGGGCAATTCCTTGAAATGGTATCCTTTTTTTACTTCTTCCTCTTGAAATTGTGCCCCAAAGAGTTCAAGAAACCAATAACTAAAGGAAATTCTTGAATTTGGAGGATGGCAGATAAGAAAAGAAATAACTTACTGAAACACTGAAACTCTCTCTCCTTATGAGATTAAAAAAAAACTGGCTGAAATTTGTTGGAACCAAGATGGCTAACTGGAGTCTGCACAGAACAAGCTTGCTGATGTCACAGCCTGAATTTCCATGACATTTCATACTAACTCCTCTGGAATTTGCACATGCTACCTCTGAGGCAGCATAAAGAGATAACTGGACATGCCCAAGGACTTTTCAGACCTCCCCTTTCTTTCCACCAATCACCTACTAATCTCAGAATTTACCCCCTGACATTTTCTAATAAAAATACTGCTTGGAAGCCAGCAGAGGGAGACAGATTTGAGCTTGACTCCTATCTTCCTGTGAGTTGACTTGCAATATAAAGCTTTTGTTGCCCGGGCAGAGTGGCTCACACCTGAATCCCAGCACTTTGGGAGGCTGAAGCAGGAGGCTCGCTTGAGCCCATGTGTTGGAGGCTCCGGCCTGGGTGACAGCAAGACCGTCTCTTTTTTAAAATTAAATTTCTTTCTTTTCCCAAAAACCTGGTTTTACAGTATGGGCATCAGGCAGCAAGCTCTTTTGGCCTGGAAACACTTTTTTCTTTATAAAGTACATTTTTATAATCTGTTTTTGTTTTTCTTTGGGTTTTTTGTTGGTTTGAGACAGAGTCTGTCACCCAGGCTGGAGTGCAGTGGCGCGATCTTGGCTCACTGCAAGCTCCGCCTCCCAGGTTCACACCATTCTCCTGCCTCAGCCTCCCGAGTAGCTAGGACTACAGGCACCCGCCACCATGCCCGGCTAATTTTTTGTATCTTTAGTAGAGACAGGGTTTCACTGTGTTAGCCAGGATGGTCTCGATCTCCTGACCTTGTGATCTGCCCGCCTCGGCTTCTCAAAGTGCTGGGATTACAGGCATGAGCCACCACGCCCAGCCTTCTATAACCTGTTTTGTTTTGTGCTATCAGTTGATGACTCCCTTCTCTGGCTACTCTATGTGTTTGCCTGATGTCCCCCACATGCCTTCCTATCTGTTGTTTTCCTATAACCAATGAAAGGGCTCAGCTGCTTTATCAGCTTCTGTCTGAAACTTTCCATCAAGAGAGAAGCAGTCAGAGTGGCAGGATATGTCAGTAGTCCTCGGAACGGCCAGCACACGGGTCAGGCTGCTGTGTCCCTACACAACCGGTCATGACTTCAGCATGCATTTCTAAAACTAGGGCACAACACACTTCCACTGATGATATGGATGTACCTACCCCAAGCAAATTTCAGTTCTTAAACAGGAAATGTATTCTCTAAAGTGTGTGTTTCTACAAAGCCATTTCAAGAAAAACAGAATAAAGACTTTATTTTTATTTAACAAATGATACCATATTACCTTCATGGTGGGAACAGCTTCTGCAAGTATTAAAGGGAAGAGAAAAAGTTAGAATTGCCGCCTCAGTTTCTTGGCAATATTGAGGTCCAGATATTCATCCAGAAAGCTGTTTGCAATTCCCAGGGCACCTAGGAGGGTCAACAAGGCCAAAATCCCCAGACTCAGTCGGAAACCGGTGATCCTGCAGAGTGGACATGAGGGAGAAAAGTGACAAACTGGACTGTAATAAGGAAGCTGAGAGTCCTGAGGTAGGCTGTCCTATCGTTAACACTGTCCAGAACTTCTATATTTTTGCAATTTGAAAATTTTAGCTCATCACATAAGTTAAAGGGAATGCCTAGCCATAGAGATCACTTGGTTTCTTTGAACATTCAAAGCATTATCAAGGCTAGGCAGGATTATTTCCTCGGTAACTTTCTGGAGACAATGCAAAATTTTTGCAAGGAACTAGAGTCCACATTCAGTGCACAGTTTTATACTTGCATTTTCCCATCTCATGCCTAATTGTGTATGAACTGGCAAGACTTGACCTCAGACAGTATGGATTACTTTTGCCACCACAACTCACAGTGCTGTTAATATCTCTCAGGAGAAGGAAACTGACCCAGACCTTATCCTGCTACTTTTTGCATAAATACAAAATTACTGGGTTCTCCTTACCGTTTTTTAGCAGCTTCTGAATATCCCCAGAAGTATAGGTGACGGCCATATATGTACACCAGACCCAGACAAGTAGCAAAAACTATAGGGGGGTGGGAAAAAAAAAGAAAAGGCACAAAATACAACAGCAGTCTCTTAAGATGTTGTACGACGACTGAGAAAATATTCACAAAACATATATTGGACAAGATACTTATATTCAGAATATAGAGAGAATCCACATAGGAAGGAAACAAATGTGCCAATAATCTCAAGAAAAATGTTTCAACATGATTCAACATCAACAAATTCCCACTTAAATCTATAATGAGGCTGGACGTGGTAGCTCAGGCCTGTATTCCCAACACTTTGAGAGGCCGAGGGGGGGTGAATCACTTGAGGTCAGGAGTTCAAGACCAGCCTGGCCAACATTGTGAAACCTCGTCTCTACTAAAAATACAAAAATTAGCTGGGCATGGTGGCGGGCACCTGCAGTCCCAGCTACTCAGGAAGCTGAGGCAGGAGAATCGTTTGAACCCAGGAGGTGGAGGTTGCAGTGAGCCAAGATCATGCCACTGAACTCCAGCCTGGGTGACAAATTGAGACTCCATCTGAAAAATAAATAAATAAATAAAAAACTATAATGAGATGGCACCACCACACATCCAACAGAATGGCTAAAATTGTAAAAAAAAAAAAAAAAAAAAAAAAAACCAGTAACACAAAATGTTGGTGAGGATGTGAAGCAACTGGAATCCGCACACATCATTGGCAGGAATGCAAAATAGTACAGCCACTTTGGGAAAAGTTCTGGTAGTTTCTTATAAAATCGAACGTAACATTTGACTCAGCAATCTCATTCCTATGTATTTACCCAAGAGAAATGAAAGCATGTGTTCACAAAAGGACTTGTTTAAGAATGTTCATTGCAGATTTATTCATTATAGACAAAAACTGGAAACAGTCCAGAAGCCTATCAACAGGAGAATGGATAACCAAGCTGTGATAGAGTCTATTCAATTAAAAGAAACAGATCTATGCAACACAACATTTTGCAATGAAAAAAAACAGATCTATGCAACACAACATTTTGCTGAGTGAATGAAGCATTATACAGGCTACATACTGTATGATTCCAATTATACGAAGTTCTAGAATGGACAAACCTAACTGATGAAAACAATCAGAAGTGCTTGCATCTGGGAGTGAGAATGGGGACTGACTGGGAGAAGCAGGAGGACACTTTCTGGGTGGTTGTCATGTTCTAGATCTTGATAGAGATCTGGACCACACAGGTGTGTGTACTTCTCAACATTCATTGAAGATTTATGCATTTTATTACATACAAAATTTATCTCAAAAAGAATTATGAAATACAGTATGATGATGTTCTATCATCGCATCCAGTGAAACATATCAATACATATCAATGTCTTCCCTATGTTAGGGCCCCACTCTCTTCCTCAGCACCTCACAGATGCAAGTTGCCAGAGCCCTACTGTAAACATTTGGAGTCTATGTGTGGGACTGCGATATGCTAGATTAAATTAAATTTATTATTTTACTTGGCCGCATGATTTTTTTTTTTTCTTGAGACAGGGTCTTGCTCTGTCACCCAGGCAGGAATGTGTGGCATGATCACAGCTCAGCACAGCTTTAACCTCCTGGGCTCAAGCAATCCTCCCACCTCAGCCTCCTAAGTAGCTGGGACCACTGGTGTATGCCACCAGGCCTGGCCAATTTTTTAATTTTTTTTTTCAGAGAAAAGGCCTCCCTATGTTGCCTAGGCTGGTCTTGAACTCCTGGACTCAAGCCATCCTCCTGTCTTGGCCTCCCAAAGTGCTGGGATTGCAGGTGTGAGCCACCACACCCAGCCCCGTATCTACCATAAACCAGGTATTACTTTAAGGATTGAGGTCGGCAGTGAAAAAGATACAAGCTCCCTGACTTCAGAGAGTATACATTCTCTCAGCAAAGACAGACAACAAAGAAAAAAATGAGAAGAAAAGTGCAAACTTGAAAGTGCTGTGAAAGAAATGAAGAGAGATGGGAGAGAGAGGAACTGGAGGAGGTTGCCAAAATGGGGTATAGGAAGGCCTCTGGAGGGGATGACATCTGTATCGGCACCACAGGACAGGAACGAGCGGACCAAGCAAAGAGCTGGGAAGGAAGAGCTGGTGGACCCTTCCCAGGGTCTGAGGAAGCCAAAGAGTTCTGAACATGGTTCTCAGTTTTGAGACTCCCTGTCTAGGGAGTTACTCCCAGAAAGCCAATGAGAACAGTTCAGGAACAGTTAGTAGGTGACTTACTTTGGATGAGAAAGAATGAAAAGAAATTTCTGACAAGATACTCAAGCAATCCTTTCTGACAGGCAGTCTGCCTCATTCAGCCTATCACAGAGAAATCCAAAGGGTCAAATGGCAGAGACAGAGTCCCATTACCAAAAGGCGCTTTTCTTATTAGTTGTTAACGTGCTCTTACGTGACAAGGAACAGCGGTTTCATTCATGCCCTTAAGCGACACAAGTATAGTTGTAATAAAGTGAAGAAGTCTTTCTCTAAAGGACATTGTACCTGAAATTACTCAGTTCACAGTAAAAACTAAAAGAAAGAGAGTGATGGGGTTGCCTTTGAAAGCAGCTGGATTTTGGTTTATTTAAATCTTGGCAATCAAGTATAGACCAAAATGAGACAGTGAAAGTTACCAGAAAAAGGAGATTGAATTTCTCCAACGAAGGTAGCAGGGGCTGGTCTGACTCACTGTTAAACGCATAAGCCAAGTTTGGAGAAAGCCCTCAGCTCACCAAGGATACCCCAGTCAAATAGAAAGTGGATGTTTGTAGAGTCGCTACATACAAACGGCAGCACTACATACTTGGAGACCTTTAAGAAAAGGTGCATGGGTTGTTGGTACAAATACTTACAGACCCGGCTCTGCACTTGAAAGGAAAAATTTCCCCACATTGGTGAATGTCAAGTTGGAAAAATTACTTAACATCTCTGTACCTCAGCTTCCTCATCTGTAAAGTATAAATTAATTATAGACCCTCCCTCATATGAAGGCTTTAAATCCTGTAAATCTTACACATGGGACAATGTATGCATAAAACTTAAAAACAGTACCTGGTGGCCGGGCGTGGTGGCTCACGCCTGTAATCCCAGCACTTTGGGAGGCCGAGACTGGCGGATCACGAGATCAGGAGATCGAGACCATCCTGGCTAACACAGTGAAACAGCATCTCTACTAAAAATACGAAAAATTAGCTGGGCGTGGTGGCAGGCACCTATAGTCCCAGCTACTCCGGAGGCTGAGGCAGGAGAATGGCGTGAACCCGGGAGGCGGAGCTTGCAGTGAGCCGAGATCGCACCACTGCACTCCAGCCTGGGCAACAAAGCGAGACTCCATCTCAAAAAAAAAAAAAAAAAAAAAAGCAAAACCAAAGACCAAAAAACAAAAACAGTACCTGGCACATAGTAAGGGCTCAATAAATAATAGCTATAATGATAATTATTATTATTTTCTTTTTGAGACAGGGTCTCACTCTGTCACCCATGCTGGAGTGCAGTGGCACTGTCATGATTCACTGCAGCCTGAAACTCTTGGGCTTGAGAGCTCCTCTCACCTCAGCCTCCCAAGTAGCTGGGACTACATGTGTGCCCAGATAGTTTTTTAAAAAAAATTTTGTAGACACAGGGTCTCCTTTGTTGCCCAGGCTGGTCGTGAATTTCTGGCCTCAAGCAATCCCTCCACCTTAGCCTCCCAAATTGCTGGGATTACAGGCATAAGCTTCTGGGCCTCGCCAGCTATAATTATTAATGTGAATTTTTCATTCTGTGTCCTCCTCCTTCAGTTAATTAGAATTATAGGTGACCCTTGAACAACATGGGTTTGAACTGCACAGGTCCATTTATGCATGGATATTTTCAAATAAATATATTGGATTGTGCAGGAGGTGGCTTTACAAAAATAAACATAAATATATTGGAAAACATTTTGGAGATTTGTGACAATGTGACAAAACTCACAAATGAATCACATAGCCCAGAAATACTGAAAAATTAGGAAAAAGGTCTGTCACAAATGCACAAAACAGATGTAGATACTGGTCTATTTTATCATTTACTATCATAAAATATACGCAAATTTTTACAAAGCTTCAGCAGAAAGACTATATAGATATATATATGAATTTTATGCAAAGTTAAAATTTATCAAAGCATACAAACACAGACCATAATGCATGATGCCACTTGTAGTTGAGAGAAATGTAAACAAGTGTAAAGATGCAGTATTAAATCATAACTGCATAAAATTAACTATAGAAATACTGTACTACTGTAAATATTTTGTAGCCACCTCCTGTTGCTATTGCAGTGAGCTCAAGTGTTGCAAGTATCTGCTTAAAAGGTGATGCTAATTATCTCCAACTGAGCAGTTCTTCTTTCCAGAAAATTGCGTATCGCAGTAAAAAGTGATCTCTCAGGGTTTTTGCCTATTTTTCATCAATGTTTAGTGCAATACCATAAACCTTGAATAATGCCATGATACCCATACAGATTGCTACTAGTGGTGCTGAAAGTGCTCCCAAAAAGCAGAGAAAAGTTATGATATTACAAGAAAAAATTGAATGGCTTAATATGTGTCATAGATTGAGGTCTGCAGCTGTGAGCTGTGGTTGACCACCATTGCAAGATAAATGAATTCAGTGCAAGGACCAGTGGAAAAAAAAAAAAGAAGATGAAGAAAGAAGAAAGGAAAAGATAAGAAAAGAAAAAAGAAAGAAAAAGTGATTTGTAAAGCTGTCACTTGCAGCTACACCAGCAGGGGGAAAAACCTTGCACTTTTTCCAAAATGTCTTTTTATCTCATATTGAAATGCAGCTTTTATGTGGGAGCAGGATTGCTATAAGAAACACATACTTGGCTCTCCAACGCCAGCGCCGCCTCTCGCTCGCCGAGCTCCAGCCGAAGGAGAAGGGGGGTAAGTAAGGAGGTCTCTGTACCATGGCTCGTACAAAGCAGACTGCCCGCAAATCGACCGGTGGTAAAGCACCCAGGAAGCAACTGGCTACAAAAGCCGCTCGCAAGAGTGCGCCCTCTACTGGAGGGGTGAAGAAACCTCATCGTTACAGGCCTGGTACTGTGGCGCTCCGTGAAATTAGACGTTATCAGAAGTCCACTGAACTTCTGGTTCGCAAACTTCCCTTCCAGCGTCTGGTGCGAGAAATTGCTCAGGACTTTAAAACAGATCTGCGCTTCCAGAGCGCAGCTATCGGTGCTTTGCAGGAGGCAAGTGAGGCCTATCTGGTTGGCCTTTTTGAAGACACCAACCTGTGTGCTATCCATGCCAAACGTGTAACAATTATGCCAAAAGACATCCAGCTAGCACACAGCATACGTGGAGAACGTGCTTAAGAATCCACTATGATGGGAAACATTTCATTCTCAAAAAAAAAAAAATTTCTCTTCTTCCTGTTATTGGTAGTTCTGAACGTTAGATAATTTTTTTCCATGGGGTCAAAAGGTACCTAAGTATATGATTGCGAGTGGAAAAATAGGGGACAGAAATCAGGTATTGGCAGTTTTTCCATTTTCATTTGTGTGTGAATTTTTAATATAAATGCGGAGACGTAAAGCATTAATGCAAGTTAAAATGTTTCAGTGAACAAGTTTCAGCGGTTCAACTTTATAATAATTATAAATAAACCTGTTAAATTTTTCTGGACAATGCCAGCATTTGGATTTTTTTAAAACAAGTAAATTTCTTATTGATGGCAACTAAATGGTGCTTGTAGCATTTTTATCATACAGTAGATTCCATCCATTCACTATACTTTTCTAACTGAGTTGTCCTACATGCAAGTACATGTTTTTAATGTTGTCTGTCTTCTGTGCTGTTCCTGTAAGTTTGCTATTAAAATACATTAAACTATTAAAAGAAAAAAGAAACACATACTTGTAGACTCTAATAGGATTCGAGAAAAAGCAAAATCCTTGTATGACAACTTTAAGCAAAAGGAAGATGAAGGATCTAAAGCTGAAGAATTTAATGCCAGCAAAGGATGGTTTGATAATTTTAGAAAGAAGTTTAGCTTTTAAAATATCAAGATAACAGGAGAAGCAGCTTCTACCAACCAAGAAGCAATACATGAGTTCCCAGGCACCATTAAGAAAATCATTGAGGAGAAAGGATATCTGCCTGAACAGGTTTTTAATGCAAACAAAAGTGCCCTGTCCCGGGGGAGAAAAAAAAAGTCACAAAGGACATTTATTAGTAAAGAAGAGAAGCAAGCTCCAGGATTTAAGGCAGGAAGGGATAGGCTAACTCTACTGTTTTGTGTAAATGCAGTCAGGTTTATAATCAGGACTGCCCTTATCTATAAAGTTGCTAACCCCCTGAGCCTTAAGGAAAAAGATAAACAGCACCTGCCAGTCATTTGGTTGTACAAAAAAAAAGCTTGGACAACAAGAACCCCTTCTCTGGATTGGTTCCATCAATGCTTTGTCCCTGAAGTCAGGACGGGATTACCTTCTAACATTCTTTTGATATTGGACACTGTCCCTGACCACCCAGAACCCCATGAGTTCAACGTGGAAGGCATAAAAGTAGTCTACTTGCCCCCAAACACAACATCTTTAATTCAGCCTCTAAATCAGGGGGTTATCAGGACCTTTAAGGCTCATGATACAAGGTACTCTATGGATATGATCGTCAATGTTGTGGAAGAGAACCCTGATAGAAACAGCATTATGAATGCCTAGAAGGATTACACCATTGAAGATGCTAGCATTGTTATAGGAAGGTTGTGAAAGCCGTCAAACCTGAAACAATAAATTCTTGCTGAAGAACACTGTGTACAGGCGTTGTGCATGACACTCACAGGATTTACAACAGAGCCAATCAAGGAAATCATGAAAGAGATAGTGGCTGTGGCAAAGAATGTGGGGGATGAAGGGTCTCAAGATATGAATCTTGGAGAAATTCAAGAGCTAATAGACACCACGCCAGATGAATTAACAGAAGATGACTTGGTAGAGACGAGTGCTCTGAACCACTGCCAGATGATAAGGAAGAAGACAGAAGAGGCAGTACCAGAAAACAAATTGACATTAGACAATCTGGCAGAAGGGTTCTGATGATTCAAGTCTGCTTTTTTACTTCTTTTATGACATGGACCCTTCTATGATACAAGCACTGAAACTAAACGTAACAGTGGAAGAAGGATTGGTACTATATAGAAACATTTTTAGAGAAAAAAAGCAAAAACGTCAGAAATGATATTTCTATAAATTTATACCTACTGCGCCTGCCAATTCTGTCTCCGCTTCCACCTCCTTCACCTTTTCTGACTCTGCCACCCTTGAGGCAGCAAAACCAACCCCTCTTCTTCCTCTTCCTCAGCTTACTCAACGTGAAAATGATGAGGATGAAGACCTTTATGATGGTCCACTTCCACTTAATAAATAGTAAATATTTGTTCTTACTTATAATTTTAATAACATTTTCTTTTCCCTAGCTTGCTTTATTGCAAGAATACAGTATATGATACATAAAACATGCAAAATATTTATTAGTAGACTGTACTCAGTAAGGCTTCCAGACCAATAGGATATCAGTAGTCAAGTTTTGGGTTATCAAGTTACATGCAGATTTTCTACTGTGTGTGTGTGGGGCGGGGGGTCAGCACCCCAACCCCTCCATTGTTCGAGTCAACTGTAGATTATTAGATTTGAAGACAAAGCTCATGTCGTTCTCATTCTTGAGTATCTAGCATATAGTTTGTCTCAATATTTTTTTCATTATTGAATTAAATTAGAATGAAGCCAAAGTTCATATACCTGCAACATAGCACTCTGATGCACACACTGTTTATTTTGTTTAGTCTCCAGGATTGGTAGCTATATAGTTGCATATCTGCTCCTTTTTTTGTTTGTTTTTTTGAGATGGAGTCTCTGTCACCCAGACTGGAGTGTAGTGGCACGATCTCAGCTCACTGCAGCCTCCACCTCCTGGGTTCAAGTGATTCTCCTGTCTCAGCCTCCCAAGTAGCTGGGATTACAGGCATGCGCCACCACACTTAGCTAATTTTTGTATTTTTAGTAGAGACAGGGTTTCACCATTTTGGCCAGGCTGGTCTCGAACTCCTGACCTCAGGTGATCCACCCACCTGGGCCTCCCAAAGTGCTGGGAATATAGGTGTGAGCCACCGTGCCTGGCCATATATCTACTCCTTAATCGTTTAAGCATCACAGTCATCATTAGAACACAGTTGACTGTATTTTAACATTACCTTGGTTGAAATACCACCCAGCCATCCACAATGTAATTATGAATATAGGATAAAACTCCACACAGTTTTGTCTGCAGAAAAAAATAAAGACATAGGTTATTTTATGAGAAAAGTATACACTGAAGCATTGATTTTTCATCTAGAGGTAAATGTTCAGCCTATTTTAACAAAATATAAGAACTTACAAAAGAGTTTAAATGACCTTTACATTTAAAATCAATCTTTCAAGGTTGAACATTGTTTAAACCTCAGAGCAGGGCCAAGAATATTCTCTTACGTATTAAGTTGCCGGTAGTAGAAGTGAGTTATAGCACTTTCCCAAAAGACAGGCCTCCTGAGCCTAAAGATCACTCCATATCTTATCTAAAGAACTTAAGAGATTACTCAATTCATATTCAAGAGATTTCTTATTTTAAAAATTCCCTCACATCCATTGCCTTCCACTTGAGTTACCCAGAACATTACAAAATGGTCTTTAAATAATTCCCTTAAAATCTCCTGAAGTAAATCAGTGAGCATATTTCATTCCCATTTTATGGAGGAAGAAACTAAGGCCTGAGAGCCCAGACTGACATGCATTGCAGAGAATCAAAGATAGACAGCATCCATCTCTAGATTCCAAAGCTCTGTCCTAATGTCAAGTCATATTGCCTCTATTCATAGAAGACGTGGATGGAAAATCTGACACTAATTTAAGCAAAAGGGAATAGTTCTCTGGGAACTATAATTAATTCATCTGCATCTAACAAAGGGGAAAAAGATGACTTATATTCATCCTCCCTCCTAAGGTATAACTCCAAGTGATCTTGGTTAGGTTGGCCGAGCTCTTTGCTGACAATTTCACCACCAGAAAGAATTTAACATAATGTGTGATGAGGTCTTGAGTAGATCCTGGTGGAAGGTCATAGTCTACAGGATTGTAAATGACCCCATATCTTTCCTTCAGTAAGCCTCAAAGCTTAAATACTTAATATTACAAGGCAATTGATCTAGAAATAGATGACGCTGGTTGTTGAAGACCTAGGTCTTTTAGCCTGGGTCACCATAAGTGATCTTTTTTCTCTGAATTTAAAAAAAAAAAAAAGCATAATTACAAAGCGTAATTCTTCCCTCATTCTCCATAATCCCACAGAAAACTGCGTCTAGGTCAGCTCAACCTTATCAACTTATGCCTCAACTACATGGGAAAAAACTCCCCAATAATAACTCCCCAGTAATAACTCAATCATCTTTTAAAGCTGGGTAAGAAACATGCATCATTAACAAGCTCAATGCTCACAGAAAGACATGGCTGAGGTAGAGTCCTGAAGCACGTATGGAAAATTTTAACCCCACCAGCAAAGACACCAGCGAGGTTACCCACACACATCTCTAAGGGCCAGGAGAGTGACCATCAGTCCCCTAAAAAATTGGAAATGGATAATATGAATGCAAAATTGCTTTCTTCTTCCTTTTTGGACTGTGGCCATTACCACCCAAAAGGCCACTGGTGACCCAAGGAATGTCTTGTCTAAAGCCTAACACTGATACTCTTGCAAACCGTAACTACAACTTTCTAGAACTCACAGAAGTAACCAAAGTTTTTCCTCCTGCTGCTTCTCGTTCTTGGCATGATTTTGCTTCTGATGGTTGTCTTTCCATTAACATCTTTTTGAGTGGCTATGATAGGTTGAGTGAAAAGATACTTGATAAAATTCATACTTTATATTACGGCTATGCAAGGAATAAACAGCATTCCCACGTTTCTTTTTCCTTGGCTAAATCCATAGGCCTGTTTCCCACGAGGTAAAATGTAGTAGTAGCAGAGGAAGGCTCTAGTCCTTCCACACTCACTGAAAATTTCTTTTTTTTTTTTTTTTTTTTGAGACGTAGTCTTGCTCTGTCGCCCAGGCTGGAGTGCAGTGGCACGATCTCGGCTCACTACAAGCTCCGCCTCCTGGGTTCACGCCATTCTCCTGCCCCAGCCTCCCGAGTAGCTGGGACTACAGGCACCTGCCACCGCGCCCGGCTAATTTTTTGTATTTTTAGTAGAGACGGGGTTTCATCGTGGTCTCGATCTCCTGACCTCGTGATCCGCCCACCTCGGCCTCCCAAAGTGCTGGGATTACAGGCGTGAGCCACCGCGCCCAGCCCACTCACTGAAATTTTATATGAACTTTTTTGGAAACATAACACAATTGTCCCATCATTTATTGTTTTGTAATACACCTTAAATTATTCCAAATGTAAGCATCAAGTTTTTCCACAACATATCTTTATTCAAAATTAGGTGTGATAAGATTGTTTTAAAAGCACCTTCAAAAATAGCCCAGGTTAGCCTTCATAAAAGTCTAATTATTTAGAGGTTTTTCTAGTGGCCTTGGCTTGGCATCTGGGGACAAAGAGATAATATTGTGTAAGAATGTCCTAAGTCCAAACTGCACTGCAGAGGGCAGAAGCCCTTTGGGTGTCTGTCCACATAAATTGATAGGCATGTGTGCTTTTGTGTCTCTTATCTGAAAGAGGAAGAAGGCCTTTGAGCAAGGAGAAAGGAAATAAAAATAGAGGGGATGTTTTGGAGTTCCCCTGCTGCCCTCACAAGCTAGGGAACTAGTTTCACACCTAATGGGAAACCAGAGACCAGAACAGATGCTGACGGATCGTCCTCATGAAAAACTTGGTGAGATTCCAGATACAAGTGGTGCCATGCCTCAGATGACAGAAGAGACAAAGTCGGGGAGAGTCACACCCTTAATCTCCCTCTGCCACAGACCCAGAGCAGCTCCTGGTGGTGGTGGAAGGCACTCCAGAACCTGGGGAGGGTATTGTACTCACAGAGGACTGGGGAGCAGGACAGTGGCATAGCCCCTTGCTTCAGCTGCTTGCCAGCAGGAGCTGTGTCCCTGGGCACATCCCCTGTATTCCCAGAAGGAATTGGGAAGATGGGGAACCGGGGTGCTGGGATCCTGGGTGAGCAGCAGGTGGCTGGAAGCCACTGAGATTTAGGCAAGGATGTGATTGCAGCTGCGTTTGTGCTCACAGGATGGCAACACCTGGAGTACTGGAGCAGCTCAGCACCATATCTCTGTACCTTTCTTTCTCAAGAAATAGGCCCTTTGTCCCCTACAAGTGGCTGGTCACTGCTGAGCTCACCCCAACCTCACGTCCCAGCTGTGCTCATTGTACTTTCACCCTGGTCCCTCTTTTGCTGACCTGCCTCAAGCCTTAGTCCCTTGGAAATGAGACTTTGCCCATTTCTTGCTATCATCTCTCAGAGATTGAAAATAATTGCTGGGCGCAGTGGCTCATGCCTGTAATCCCAGCACTTTGGGAGGCCGAGGTGGGCAAATCACGAGGTCAGGAGATCGAGACCGTCCTGGCTAACACGGTGAAACCCCGTCTCTACTTAAAAAATATAAAAAATTAGCCGGGCGTGGTGGCGGGTGCCTGTAGTCCCAGTTACTCGGGAGACTAAGGCAGGAGAATGGTGTGAGCCCAGGAGGCGGAGCTTGCAGTGAGCCGAGATCACGCCACTGCACTCCAGCCTGGGTGACAGAGTGAGATTCCGTCTCAAATAATAATAATAATAATCATCATCATCATCATCATCATCATCATCATCTGACTGCCAGTGGGGTGCCCTGTTTGTTGCTGACAGTCTTCCCTGCTGCCTGCCTGGTGAAAGCACCAAGTATTGGTTTGGCCTTGAAATACCTGGAATCCCATTCTACCTGCTAATTGTCACCTCCTCCAGCCCCTCCACCATGTGACCATGTCCTTCTGCCTGATTCTGGGTCCCTCCAGGCCTGGATGGTGTCCCACAATAACACGTCCTCAGTAAGCTGTCAGCAGGCATGTTTAACTCAAGGGGACCAAACTCTGAAAATTACTTCTTGACAATCCTGTCAGTGGCTAATTACAGTTTCATTGACATGAAAATAATTTATAGCCTCTTTTAAGTCATGAAGGCAGATATATTCTATCCTCTTATTACAGGGGATCCTCAGGAAAATTTCCCAAATGGAACAGCAAACAGCCTGCAGTAGCTGTCAATCTTCCCTTCCTGTGAGAACAGGGGGTAGAGTTGATTATGACCACTGTCTCCTCTCTGCATGTCCATACTGGAAAAACAGGCTGTCCATGGGAAAACAGGCTGTGTATACTCATTCCCTGGCGAGAGCCCTCTTTGAACAATCCCCTGCTCCTTTGATATTGAAGCTTCCCATGAACGCTATCTTGGTTTGCCTGGGACTGAGGAATTTAGGGGGACATGGAGCTTTAAGTGCTAAAACTGGGTAAGACCCAGAAGAACTGGAAAGAGTCTGGTGGGCACTGTGGAGATTGAGTAGTTAAAGCTGCTGAGACCCCTTGTTGTTCATCCCAGTACCATGGAGCCTGGGCCCTGGGGGCTCAGGACTACTGCACATTCCCACCTGGATCTGGTAACCAGGAGCAGTAAGGATGGCCCAAACTAAGTGCTATTTGGGCCTTGTCTCAGTCAATAAGTATACTACAAAGTTTATGTTATTTGGGGGTGGGAAAAAGAATCAAACTGTGGCCTGGCAGCTCCAAATGTGGCAGTTCCTTCAACACTAGTCTCCAAACTTTTCTGATTGCATAGCTCTAACAGTTGCACAGCCCCATAAAAATATGCACACATCCTCCTGCAGCAGAGGAGGCCCACACCCAGGAGCTCCCACATAGGACCAGACTTGAGCAAGACATGAACTTCCACTGTGTTAAACCATGGAGAATCTGGGATTTATCCATTAGCACAGCTAATACATTCAACTGGAAAAGAATATCATATTCATTATAAAACAAACATCATAAAAATTAAAGGATGGGGGATCAGGAAGCTGGTTCACACCTGTAATCCCGGGCCTTTGGGAGGCAGAGACAGAAGGATCATTTGAGCCAGGAGTTTGAGACCAGCCTGGGCAACACAGTGAGACCTCATCTCTATAAAAAAATAAAATTTTTTTAAAAAAATTTAAGGCCAGGAGCGGTGGCTCACACCTGTAATCCTAGCAGTTTGGGAGGCCGAGGCAGGTGGATCACTTGAGGTCAGGAGTTCAAGACCAGCCTGGACAATATGGTGAAACCCTGACTCTATTACAAATACAAAAATTAACTGAGCATGGTGGTGCGTGCCTGTAGTCCCAGCTACTCAGGAGGCTGAGGCAGAAGAATCGCTTGAACCCAGGAGGCGGAGGCTGCAGTGAGCCAAGATCGCACCACTGCACTCCAGCCTGGGCAACAGAGCAAGGCTCTGTCTCAAAAAAAATTTTTTTTAATTAAAGGATAGGATTTTAAGAATAAGTATAAACAGATGCTCCAATATTTTCCTCACCCTCACAGTGGATTACTTAGTGTATTCCTTCAATGTGGGCACATCACTTGGGAGACTTCTGGCCTAAAACTTTTTATGAATATTTCTCTATTTGACCGTGTCCAACGAACACAATATGCAACTTTGCTTGCAACAACTTTGTTCAGAAAATATGAAACATTCTCCTAAGGAAAACCTCATGAGCCATTTCTAATGCCAGGTTCACAGTAGATCTTTTTCTAAATAAAAACAGACAAAGCAATTCAAAGGAAGTTTGCTTCTTGCAGGTTTTCTGTTTGCTTCTGATTTTTTCTCTTCTTGTTTAGGTGACTCATCCTGAACCAGTGGGCTGTACACTGCCATGAGCCATTTGCACTCTGAATGGATGACCCGGCCTTGGTCTTCTGACTTTGGACCCTGGGCGGTCTTTTGGATGATTACACTGACTGGGATCAGAGCAACAGGTTAATATGCTCAGAAAAGGCTTGGGGATGAGAGGTTGCTGGAGTTAATCTTTTTATAAAGACGTGTAACTGTCTAAATTGCTCCTTGTCAAGTAACTCTGAGTGGGACACAATAGGGAGGTGGCGGCTGGTGGCAGGAGAGCATGAGTCCCACCACTGCCCTTCAGTGGTGCTGCTTGTAGGGAACACAAAGAGCATGCAGGGAAAGGAGATTTGCAGTTCCTCCACCTCCCAGCTCCCTCTTGTCCCCTGACCACCTGGAGAATCTCCCGGATTATGTGACAGATGCTGCTTGGTATTGGTAAGGACACTGGAGTTTGAGGAGCTCATCACACAGAGTCACTCTGTCATTTTGGGAGATCCCTTTTTTTTTTTTTTTTTTTTTTGAGATGGCGTCTCACTCTGTCACCCAGGCTGGAGTGCAGTGGTGTGATCTCAGCTCACTGCAACCTCCGCCTCCTGGGTTCAAATGATTCTCCTGCCTCAGCTCCCAAGTAGCTGGGATTACAGGCATGTGCCACCACGCCCAGCTAATTTTTGTAATTTTTAGTAGAGACGAGGTTTCATCACGTTGGCCAGGCTGGTCCTGAACTCCTGACCTCAAGTGATCCACCCACCTTGGCCTCCCAAAGTGCTGTGATTACAGGCACGGGCCACTGCGCCCAGCCCCCAGCCCTTTATAATAATTCAGTGGATAAGGGCATCTAGTGCTTTCTGCTATTGTCCATGATGGTTACACTTGTAAGAAAACAGGAATATGTTTACTGTCTCTTTTTTTTCCACTTATTACAAAAGCCAGTTGCCCACATTACTGTAATCTTATAGTTGCACAATACCTGAAAAATCACTATTCTTGTAAATTTTCTTTTTCTCCATAGTTTTTAGACATGCATTAAGGTCACTAGTTTTAATTTCCAAATTTCAGAATCAGAATTCAAAATGACATTAAAAAGTTAATAAAATGTAAAAAAAAAAAATACAGAATCACAGTAGAATGAGAAGAGGCTAATATTTCTAAAGGGTACCGAGATTCACGATGATCAGGCTTACCTGTGCCTTGTGGCAGGTTAATTTTGGAACAGGAACTGAATAATTCAGCATTAAGCAAATAGGAGTGCATTCACAAGAACTAAGAAGCAATTCTTCTGTCTTAACCAGCACCAAAGAAACCATTATTAGTATACTAGATATACATCTAGACTCCAGGTTTAGAAATAATATTAAAAATTTTTGTCTAAAGAGAACCAAAATTTCTAAATGGTTGGAGAAAAAAAGCTGAAGAATTAGTGCTCCCTAGCCTCAAAATCCAGAAGATGAAAGATGCTTAATAATGGTCTTTCAGCACATGAAAAGGAGTGAGGTCAGCAGCTATTCTCCCCTTCCAGTGAAGGTAGAATCAGAGGAAATGTATTTAAATTGCAAGAAAATCAATTTATTACTTGGATCTACTTTTTAGATTTTATAAAATGACTTTACTCTAAAGGGATCAAGGTGCTCAGATTAGATGAGATAGAATTTTCTAAATTCAGTAATAACGTAAAGGAATGGTCCTTGGTGAAATTATAGTTGCTATTTTCACAATTTTAAAAAATGTATTCTGGCAAAAGACGGCAAGACTCTAGAGACTGTCATCTGTAAGTCCTCTCCTGTAAGGAAGGGAAGAGGAAGTGAATGGAGATTTTAAGGAGCCCAGGGCTAGTAACTCAGAAAGGCTGGACTCCATATCAGCTCTGGTCACAAATAGATACCCACCCTGAGATGACCTTCCAACAAGAAACAGTCCTTTAGGATCAGTGAACCTTGAAGTGACGCTGATGAGATGTCCAGGTCCACCTAAAGATAGAATTAGTCATAACTTTGGGCTTCTTGGCTATGCTGAGGGCAAAATCAGCAGGAGAAAAGGGTAGGGAAAAGGCTGGACCTCTAAGCTCTAAGTCCTTCCAAAGAGGCAAAGGGAAACCAGTGCTTCTGGTCCAGGAGAGCCAGAAAAGACAGTGCATTCCTCCTCCAGGGAAAAAAACAGATAACCAAGTAGGCTTTGGACTGAACTGGTTATCCCAGGGAATTCTGCTCTAACTACTTCAGATAAAGTCTAAATGGCTTTGCAAGCAATGACTCTTGATTTGGTTTGGCCCGATTTATCCTACGCCTTAGAATCTAAGGCAAAAATTGGGCTAGGGCTGGGAAAATTCAAGAAGAAATTCAAAGTATGGAGTGGAGCCATCCCCATTCACTCTTCAGTGAGAAACCAGGGGAACAACTACTGTGTTGTTGCTCAAAGTATTTCCTGGCTCCAAATCTGTCCTGATTATTGATCGTCATTTTTTAACTACTCTCTGTTCTACCATGATTAATCCAACAAAGCAAAACATCTCTAACAAGGAAACTGGGTTTGTATACAGTACTTACTTTATAAATAGTAACTTGAGAGAAATACTTGGAAATGGTGTTCAGTTTTATTCCTGGGACAAGAGGATTCCAGATATAGAAGAGGAGGGAGAGCAAAATAACTTCAAAGAAAGTCAAATTTGTGGAAACTATGAGAATAAAAATAGAACCAAGAAGTGGCCCAGGGACTTAGCCTCCTTGATACCCAGTAGTTCCCAACAAGTTTTCAGATCATGAAAGACAAAGTGGGAAGATCCGGAATTTCCTCCCGTGATGATTTTTATAAATAGCATAGTGTCTCCCAAACTTCAAGCATTAATCTAACACTGTGAAAGTTTTAGCCTTTTAATGTATCACTATCTTTCTACAAATCAGCTTTTTTGCTTAAATTAAGAAAAAATAAATTTTACATCATTACAAGAGCAGAAAGAGTGTAGCTTTCTAAATAAAGGTTAAGTATAAAAATAAATCCAATGAAAGCAAAAAGTTACTAAATTCTAGTTAGATACTAATGATTGCTGACGGCTCTGACCATGAGATTCTTTCTCTGTTGAATAGGGTGTAAACCAAAAATTAAATTCTAAGGCCCCCCAACCATCTGAATGGACTTCCTCCTCAGCCAGGGCTCTTTTAAAAATTTAACCTGAGAGGCTGTTTCAGGCCATGATGGAAAGTGAGAGTCAGACATACCCCCTTATACCTCTTCAGCATTCACAGCAACACAGACTTTAAGGCTGATAAGAAACGTTTTACAAACTATTCTCTCTGAAGCCTACCATCTGAAGGCTTCCTCTGCAAACAAGAACTTTGGTCTCCATAATCCTTTATCTTAACCCAGACATTCCCTTCTGTTGATCCCAGGTCTTTAGATAAACTCAACCAGTTGTCAACCAGGAAAAATTTTAAATCTACCTATAAGCTGGAAGCCCCCTGCTCCCACCCCACCACACTTCACATTGTCCCACTTTTCTGGACAAAACCAATGTATTTCTTAAATGTATTTGATTGAAGTTTCATATCTCCCTAAAATGTATAACGCCAAGTTGCACCCCAAACAAACTGGGCACGTGTTCTCAGGACCTCCTGAGGGCTGTGGCATGGGCTATGATCACTCATATTTGGCTCAGAATAAATCTCTTCAGGCTGGGTGTGGTGGCTCATGCCTGTAATCCCAGCACTTTGGGAGGCCAAGGAGGGTGGATCACTTGAGGTCAGGACTTTGAGACCAGCCTGGCCAAGATGGTGAAACCCTGTCTCTACTAAAAATACAAAAATTAGCCGGGTGTGGTGGCACATGCCTGTAGTCCCAGCTACTGGGGAGGCTGAGGCAAGAGAATCGCTTGAACCCAGGAAGGGGAGGTTGCAGTGAGCCAAGATTGCGCCATTGCACTCCAGTATGGGCGACAGAGTGAGATTCTGTCTAAAAATAAATAAATACATACATAAATCTCTTTAAGTATTTTATAGAGTTTGACTCTTTTTGTTGACAAGGGAAAATGGGTGTGCACAGGATATCAAAAATGTATCATGATGACTTCCTGTTAAACATGGCAGATTGAACCCATGCTCATTTCTTCTCACTTCTGAAGCTTCACTAAAATGCTAGTTAAAGAAAAAAAAATAGATATGAGTAATCAAGAACAAAGAGAATGAGAGCAGACACAAGAGTAAAAGAGAGGAAGTGAGGGTAATCTGGCTGCAACATCTGTCACCCCATCAATTGCCAGGGTTGATTCGGCTGATCTGGCTGGCTAGGCGGGTGTTCCCTTCCTCCCTCCCCACTCCATGTGCGTCCCTCCCAAAGCTGCATGCTCAGTCAAAGAGGACGACCATCCTCCATAGAGGAGGACCAGTTTTCGGTCAAGGGTATATGAGTAGCTATGCTCCCCTGCTGGAACCTCCAAACAATCTCTCAAGAGTGGAAGAGAGCCATTAGCAAAATTCTGCGGGAAAGACAGCACATGGAGGAACAGTGGCTGGACTGGTAGAGTACAGAAAGCTGAAACCTATGTGCCTGCTGAAGGAAGAAGCAATGAAGACTGAGACCATCCTTACCCCAGAACCAAAAGAAGCTCAGGAATTGGGCACCCCAGGTACCTTAGAGGCCAAAGGCTGGAACTTAAGAGTGGTTGAAAAACTGAATAAGGAGGGCTTAGCTGCCCTCCACCTCTGCTTCCCACTCCTGAGCCCCAGCCTGCTCCCCATCACAGGAGGTGGGAGGCTTATTGCCTGGAGAAACAGAACCAGAGACTGTTAGGGACTTCAGGAATAATAGAGGGTGGGGGTAAAATTCTGTCCTGAAAACAGTCAGAATCTGCATGCTGCACACTGCACAGTCGAAAAACCTTCCTGTCTTTACTACTGCACTCTCAAAAGTCAGGCCTATTATCCTATCTCCACCCCTCTTTCCTTCAACCCCTGAAGGAGGTTTAAAGAGTTTTCTCTAGAGAAACTAAGTGGTACCAGAAAGATGACCTACAGATACTTTGAGGGTTCTCCAGAAGAAAGCTGCCTCCTGACCAATCATAAGCCCCAGCCATGCACATGGAGCTTCCACGTCACTCTCTAATGCCTCTTTCTTAACAGCCAGTTGAGAATTATTAATACCAGATGTTTGGGTAAAACCTCTAAGATCTCCTTTATTCAGATCTCTCTGCAGGACCCTTGTCATCATCTTGACCTCCTGATGCCATCAGGGCTCAGTCCTCTTTTGTTCTTTACCTACTGATATGGTTTGGCTGTGTCCCCACCCCAGTCTCATCTTGAATTCCCACGTGTTGTAGGAGGGACCTGGTGGGAGGTAATTGAATCATGGAGGCAAGTCTTTCCCATGCTATTCTTGTGACAGTGAATATGTCTCACAAGATCTGATGGTTTTAGGCCGGGTACGGTGGTTCATACCTGTAATCCCAGCACTTTGGGAGGCCAAGGCAGTCAGATCACCTGAGTTTAGGCATTCAAGACCAGCCCAGTCAACATGGTGAAACCCTGTCTCCATTAAAAATACAAAAAATTAGCTAGGCATGGTGGCAGGCACCTGTAGTCCCAGTACGCAGGAGGCTGAGGCACAAGAATTGCTTGAACCTGGGAGGCGGAGGTTGCAGTGAGCCAAGATTGTGGCCACTGCACTCCAGCCTGGGTGACAGGGTGAGACTCCATCTCAAAAAAAAAAAAAAAAAAAAAAACACAAAACTGATGGTTTTTAAAAGAGGCATTCCCCTGCACAAGCTCTCTCATTTTTTGCCTGCTGCCATCCATGTAAAATGTGACTTGCCTTTCTCCATGACTGTGAGGCTTCCCCAACCACATGGAACTGTAAGTCCAATTAAACCTCTTTGTTTTGTAAATTGCTCAGTCTCGGGTATGTCTTTATCAGCAGTGTGAAAACGGACTAATACACCTACACACACTCCCCTAAGTGATTTTATCCAGTCTCATGGCTGTAAATCATCTTCCTGTGCCAATGACCCCTGAATTTATATTTCCAGCTCAGCTCTCTCTCCTAAAATGCAGATTTGTTTATCCAGCTGCCTCTCTACTTGGAGGTGTAACCAACAATGTATTTGTCAGTTTATGATGCAATCATAAACAATCCAAATAGCTTAGTAGATCATAATGCTTAAGGCCTCTCCTTAAGTCACATCTCAAACACAACATGTCAAGACAGAACCTCCTAATACTTCCCCAAAACCAGTTCTCCTGCAGCCTTCTCCATCTCAGATCATCGCAAGGCCATCCTTTGGGATGGATGCTCAGGCCAATAATCCAAGAATCATTCTTGACTGTTCTCACACTTCACATTCATTATGTCAGAAAATTCTATGAGTCTACCCTCAAAATATATCCAGAACCTGACCACTTCCCATCATTTCACTGCTATCTCCCTGGCTCTAGCTGACAGAGACAGGAGACAGCCAAGGGTCCCTGGTGAAACCCCACCCTCAAGTCTAAAAAAGCTTGAAGGCTGAAAGCCTGGACTGCTGGTCCAGGATGAAACTTGCCACCCTGAGGGAGAACTGCCCCCGCTTGCCTGCCCTTTCCAAACTGATTCTTTCTGAATAAAGCCTGCATGCTCACTGGAGGAACAGGGTGGAGCCACAGGAAGTTCGAACCTTGTGCAGAGGGAGGAGCCTGGTCTCCAGCTCGTGGGTGGTGACCTGGAATTAATCTGCGAGGCAGGGGCCTGTGAGTAGGACCCCCTCCCGCTTTGTTGAGTTTCTTTTTTTTTTTTTCTTTTTTTCCTTTACATCCAATAAATTCTGCTCTACTCACCCTTCAATGTGTCAGCACGCCTAATCTTTCCTGGCCATGTGACAAGAACCCAGTTTTAGCTGAACTAAGGAGCAAAAATTCTGCAACACAGCCACCATCATCTCTTGCCTGGAATTCTAAATGCATTTTCTGCTTCTACCAATGCCTCTATACAGGCTCTTCTCAGCAAAGCAAACAGGATTCTCCTTTTAAAATATAAGATCATGTCACTCTTTTGCTTAAAACCCTGTCATGACTTTCCATTTCACTCAGAGAAAAGCCAAAGTCCCCTACAGTGGCCTTTAAGGCCCAGTGTGACCCAGCCGTCTATGACCTCTCTGAGTTGACCTCCTCCCACTCCCTGCCAGGCTCCCTGCAGCCCCCTAACCTCCTGACTAACCCACTGGGTGTATCCTCAGCTAAGGGCTTTTCTCTGACTATTGTCTCTGACCCAAGAGCTCTTTCTCTACATGTTCACAAATGCCACCTTCTCAGCGGGACCTACACCCATAGCTTTATTGTATATCACAGACCACCCAACTTACCCCCCAGGAACCCATCCCATACCCTCTTACAACGCTATCCTTTCTGTTTTTGTTTTTTTTTTTTTTAGCACCAATTACCTTCTAACATAATATATGATTTTCTCTTTCATTTTGAGTTGGGGTCTTTCGCTGTTGCCCAGGCTGGAGTATAGTGGCATGATCATAGCTCACTGAAGCCTTGAACTCCTGGGCTCAACCAATCCTCCAACCTCAGCCTCCCAAGTAGCTAGGACTGCAGGTATGTACCCACATGTGGCTAATTTTTTAATTTTTTTTTAATAGAGAGAGGGGGCTCTTGCTATGTTGCCCAGGCTGCTCTTGAACTTCTGGTCTCAAGCAGTTCTCCCGCCTGGGCCTACTGAGTCCCTGGGATTACAGGTGTGAGCTACTATGCCCAGCTTATATTATTTTCTTATAATATCATCTGCTTATTGTTTATTTTCTGGCTTCCTCAGCAAACTCCAAGAGGGCAAGGATTTTTGTGGGATTTGTTCATGGATCTAGGCCAAGCTATTATAACAATGCCCGGTACACAGAAGTGCTCAATAAATACTTAATGGGTAAATAATAAATACAAATGAAAGACAAAGGCCAAAAAAGACACAAAGATACTTGGAAGAAACAGAAATGTTACAGAGAATTTTTAAAATTATAATTAAAATCCTCAAATATAAGAGAATAAACTACATCAATGAAATAAAAAAGTGACGGTTTAACATCAGCACCAACAACTAAAAAGCAATCAGAGAATAAAAATAAGTTATTGGAAATTAAAATTATGATATCTCAAATTTCAGATAAAAAGTTAGAAGTTGAGGAAATTCCTCTGAAAGAACAAAAATCCAAAATTATGAAAACCTGAAGATAAAAGAAAACTAGAGGATCAGTCCTGGAGGTTAACACACAACTAGTATGCGTTTTAAGAATGAAAGAACAGAGAAAATGAAGGAGAGGAAATCTGGGGGAAGAAATAATATTAAAAAATATTCTGGGCCAGGAGTAGTGGCTAACACCTGTATTCCCAGCACTTTGGGAGGCTGAGGTGGGCAGATTGCTTGAGCCCAGATGTTTGAGACCAGACTGGGCAACATGGTGAAACCTTATCTCTACCAAAAAATACAAATATTAGCAGGGCATTGTAGCACAGATCTGTAGTCCTAGATACTCAGGAGGCAGAGGTAGGAGGATTGCCTGAGGCTGGCAGGTCAAGGCTGCAGTGAGGTGAGATTGTGCCACTGTACTTCAGCCAAGGCAACACTGAGACCCTGTCTCAAAACAAAAAAAAAATTCTAAAACAGAAGGACATGAGTTTTCAGGCTGTGAAAAGGCCTCACCTGGGGTTGAGCACAGTGAAGAAAAAGCCTCTCAACAAGCACAATGCTATTAACATCTCGGGACAGTAGGCCAGGCAAGATCCTGAAGCTTCCATAGTTTCCAAACAAAAGGTCCAGAATCAGAATAGCACAGAACATCTCAACAATATCAGTGGGAACTAGGAAGCCATGGAGCAAATTTTTTCAAAAACTCTAAGGGTAAGGATTTCTAATACAGAAATGCATTTAAACAAGCCATCCCTTAACTGTGAGGCAAGATAAAGGTGCATTTTCAGATATGTGAAGTCTCAAAACTTTACCAAACATTCACCCTTTCTCAGGAAGCTTCTGAAGGGTGCACTCCACTAAAAAGAGAGAGAAAACCAATAAACAGGAAAACAGGAGGTCCAGGAAATCCAAATCAGGACAGTATAAGGGAAATTTCTAGGATGGTGACAGGAAGTCCCAGGATAGCAGCTGTGCAGCAAGCACCAAGAGCATCCCGCAACTTGAAGCGAAAAGTGGAGGACTCAGGCAGAAATGACTCCAAGACAGAAAAATGTATTACTAGATTATCTAATGCATTTGAATGTAACGAAAGGAGATTTTCAGTTCTGCAGAAGATTTGGGCATGAAACTAAGCAAACAAAGAAATAAAGAGCAATTATTAACCCTAGGGAAAAAAAATTGCACAAGAAGGAAATGTAACCACAGTATACTATAAGGCCCTGCTTTCAACATTATTTTCTTAATCACAATAATTATAAACATTGGCTATTGATTTAACCTAACAGAGTGATATAATGTTACTGGAAGGATGAGGTAAGGAAAAGAAGAAGTAAAGGAGCATGAAATTATTTCTTCCATAAAAAGAAGCCAACTGACAATGTCTAAAATTTGTGAATCAATAAATAGCAGTGAAAGTATAATGTTTAGAAATACAGAAGTAAATACCCAAAGTAGTAATCAAAAAGGGTTATCTCTAGGGATAGAGGGAGAGGGGAGGTAGGGACAAGGAAGAGTTATTTGTTGTCATAAAACCTGTAATCCCACTTTATCTTCAGATCACGTACATAAATTACTTTGATAAAAATAAACATTAATTTTGAGGTGTGGGACATGCTGGCTCCAAACCAATACTTTCCACTTGACTTAACCATAAGGATTCAAAGATAATTGAAATGAGAATGACTTCTCATCATGTAGTTCAATGTTATTTAAAACCAAGTCTACACACCTCTTACAATTATCTCGTGTACTCCCGGTGGTATTCACCCCACGCTTTCAAGCCTAGGGAGTAGTCTGTAAAACCCTCCTTGGAGCAAGTGGATAATCAAGAGACCAATGTTATCATCTCAAGGACCAAGGCCTACCAAAATTGATTCAAGATGTAACAAAAAGCCTGCCTAGTCCAATAATCATTAAAGAATGCAAATCCCATAATTTAAAAATTTCCCACCAGAAAAACATTAGGCCCAGATTATTTTAAGGCAAGTTCTACACAACCTTGAAGGAACACACTCTTCCAACCTTATTAAAATTATCTGAGAAAGTAGAACAGGATGCTTCCTCCAACTCATTTGACACTAGGTTCATCTGTATCAAAATGAGACAAGAACCAGACAAGAAAGGCAAAGTGTAGGCCAATCTCACTTGTAAACATAAATGAAAAATCCCAAGATGGTAACAAAAGAACCCAATGATATATCAGTGGTGACGCATGAAATGTTTCTTAAAGCACGTATTTTGGGGGATGAAATATAAAGTACGCCCTAGCATTCCTGCAGCAGGCAAGTTCACGGTGTTTATGGTGGAACATTTTGTGTGGGTCTGAAAAAACAAGGAGCACAAGATGATCAAAAAACATGGCGCATGCATGTGAGCTGGCAAGCTTTCTCATTCTTACAGGTTTCTGATTTTAAGAAATGGTTCACAGAGAAACTGGCAAAAGATTAATCCTGATCTACCTCTGTTTTGAAGTAGGGAGGAAAAAATAAGATAGAAAATTGTAGCATAACGAATCCAACTTCAGACTATTGTGGTCTCACAAGGCTCCAGGGGGCCTCTTTGACCCAGTGACCCTCCTTGGGAGACACAGCAGTCCCTCCTGAGATCCCAGCCTTTTCTGTAAATATACCCTGCTGAATTGGTAATAGATGTGGGCAGAGACTTCATGCCCCGAACCCTTCAAACTTTCTGGATTCTGAGAACGGTCTTGGCTGTGAAGAGTGACTTGTTATAACTAGATATTGCACATGAACTTAGGGTCTTCTCCATATCCCTTTCCCCTAGTCAGGAATTGTGTCTGTATGGCAGGCACAGATCCATGAAGGGTGGAAGAAGCATTACTTACTGTGCCCGAAATACTCTCTCAAACTCTGGTGACCCAGTGACTGCTGGGGGCGTAACTTTGTATTTTAATCTTGCCTTTCCAACTTGCAAAGCAAAATAACCTGCAAGTAAAGGGAAATGTTGCGTTAAAGATGGGGCACGTCATTAGTCATTAGTGGAATGCAAATTTAAATCACAATTAGATAGTACTACATACCTATTACAATGTCTAAAATCAAAAAGACAGATGATAGCAATTAAAAAAGACAGGAGAGGATATGAGAGCAACTGAAACTTTCATACAATGCTGGTGGGAATGTAAAACGGTACAACCACTTTGAAAAACAGTTTGGAAGGGAGTCTTTTAGTTAGACATACCTCCAATGTATAACCCAGTCATTCCATTCATAGGTATTTCCCTAAGAGAAACAAAATTGTATGTCCATACTGTAGGGGCCAAAGCCCTTGGCCCCCTGGAGGTTCACTGAAAATCACTGACATGAGGCAGATTAATTAACAGACATTAAAAGAAAGATCACACACATTTATTTCATATGTATACATAGCAGCCTTCAGAACAAAGACCCCGCTCCACAGTGAGGTACAGAAGTTCATATGCCATCTTGAGGCTACAGAAATGTGAAAGGAAAATAAATCTCAGGACCCCAAAATCACTAAGCCAAGGGAAAAGTCAAGCTGAGAACTCCAGCAGGCAAACCTGCCTCCCATTTTAATTCCTAAATAAGATAGCTACAAAGCACAATTTGCCCACAAGGAAAAGCTTATCTTCACAGGTGCTGGACAGAAAGTCACCCTCTGCTCATCTGAGACAAACGCATATCTGATTGCTTATGTAAAAATGTGCCGATCACGGTGGCTCACGCCTGTAATCCCAGCACTTTGGGAGGCTGAGACGGGTGGATTACCCAAGGTCGGGAGTTCGAGACCAGCCTGACCAACATGGAGAAACCCTGTCTCTACTAAAAATACAAAAAATTTGCTGGACGTGGTGGTGCATGCCTGTAATCCCAGCTACTCAGGAGGCTAAGGCAGGATAATCACTTGAACCTGGGAGACAGAGGTTGCAGTGAGCCGAGATCATGCCATTGCACTCCAGCCTGGACAACAAGAGTGAAACTCTGTCTCAAAAAAAAAAAAAATGCAGATTCACTGAGCCAGACTAAATTGTGTATTCAGTGAAAGGCTTATCAAGGACTCAAAAGAATGTAACCTTTATCTCTTATCTATCTATGACCTGGAAGCCCCTGCTTTGATTTGTCCTGCCTTACCTAGACCAAACCAATGTACATGTTACACATACTGATTGATGTCTCATGTCCCTCTGAAATGTATAAAAGCAAGTTGTACCCTGACCATCTTGGGCACATGTCATCAGGACCTCCTGAGGCTATGTCACGGGCATGTCCTTTTATGTCACGGGCATGTCCTTAACCTTGACAAAATAAACTTTCTAAATTGGTTGAGACCTATCAGATATTTTGGGTTCACAGAAGCAATGCAGGCTCAGAACATGGCCAAAAAAACAGGTTATGGTGGTAAGTCAGGTTTTAGTGGCAAGACAGGATATGGGAGGGGAAGAAGAGGAGGCTCAGCTAGCCAAGGGAGTCATGTTATACAGACGAAATCTCACAGATAGCAGCCCCTTAGAGAAAATAGATGGTAAGTGTTTCTTCCAGATCTTTACAGGTGTCAGACTCCATTAATCTCTCCCAGATCTGGACAAGGGAAGGCCTTGCTGCATTCATGGAGATTCTCCACAATGCAAAGTTCCCCCACAAAAAACAGCTTTGCAGGGCCATTTGAAAATCTGTCAAAGAAATCTATCTTGGGTAAAATATTTTTATTTCCTTCAGTACAAAGAATTGTACACAAATATTCACAGCAGCTTTGTTTGTAACAGGAACAACTCTGTGATGGCTAATTTTATGCATCAGCTTGGCTAGCATACGGTGCCTAGTTGTTTGGTCAAACACCAGCCTAAATGTTGCTGTGAAGGTGTTTTTTTAGATGTGATTAATATTGAAATCAATTGACTTGGAGTAAAGCAGATTACCCTCCTTAATGTGGGTGGGCCTCATCCAATCAGTTGAAGGCCCTAGGAGGTAAGACTGAGGTCCCCCAAAGAGAAAGGACTTCTGCCTCCAGACTGCCTTCAACACCAGATTGTAACATCAACTTTTGCCTACCAGCCTTTCCTGCAGATTTCAGACTTGCCAGCCCCCACAACTGTGTGAGCCAATTCCTTAAAATAATTCTCCGTGTGTGTGTCTATGTGTGAGTGTGTGTATTGATTCTGTTTCTCTGGAGAACCCTGACTCACAAGAGTATCCATCAACAGGTGAGTAGATAAATAAATCATGATAGAGCCATACAATGGGATACTACTTAACAATAAGAAAAAGGAATAAACTATTGATACCCCCCAAAAATGAGTGAATCTCAAAATAATTATGCTGAATGAAAGCAAGGATTTTAAAAAAGAGTACTACTGAATAATTTCACTTATATAAAATTCTCAAAATGCAAATGAATCTATAGTGACATAAAGATTGCCTGGAGATGAGGAGGCCAGGAGGGAGGGGCCACTAAAGAGAGCAAAGACCACCTGGTGGCCATGAAGCCGACCATCCAGAGGCAGAACTCCTTATCTGAGGAGTTTAGAAATAATTGATCTTCCCTATATCTAAGGCCGGTTCCAGGCTTCTTTCCCCAAAATTTATATGTAACTAGACTTTCTCTACCTCTATACATCTCCGGAATGCATGCATGACAAAACTCATTGTGCAACCCTTGCTGACATTACGACACCAAAATGTCTACAAATGTAATCATTTATCATGACATATGTGGCTAATATGGACCAAATTACCCCTAAGCTCTTGCTTTAAGGTCCATAAATACCCCTAAGGAAAATCCTCCCCGGCGCGCTCAGTCCTCTCGCTGAGGCAGCCCGCTGCACTCTTCTGCAGCTTTCTCTCAATCTAATAAAACTTTCCTTTTCAAACCTATATTGTTGTCGGTAAATTCTTACTCCCTGTGGGCCAATCACTTTCCATTGCCAGGGCTCTGACACCTTGCCCAGCAGGTACAAGAAAACTTTGGGGATGATGGCTCCTACCTGCCGACGTTTCCCTGTTATAAAACAGTATGACTTTCTTCTCCTTTATTTCATTAGATAATCAACTCTGATGCCTGGGACCACCTTCATCTTGTGATGAGCTCTGTGGACTTCTTTCACTTCCACATCCATACTTCCTCCTCTGTCAGTTTTTGAGCCTTCAGTAGGTCTTGCCTCCTGTCCTTAACTTCCTCTTTTCACCCCATAATAAACTTCTGGCATGGAGACAGAGCAAGGAACACTCTTAGGGACCTGCTAGCCACCTCAAGCACGGAAATAAAAACTCTTGAGTTCCTTCAAGGGAAATTCCAAGCACCTTGCTATCCTTCAGTCCCGCTAAGCGAGAAGATAATAATAGTTTAAATAATAGTCACCCAAATAAGACAGAGTTACAAGACGTTCGGTTCCCTATAGAAACTAAAGACAACGTCTTCACATAAGTTCTTGAGTTGTTTCTCAGAAACCAGGACCTCCACCAGATGGAAAATGCTGACCACTGTCACACAGACCTCAGCTAAGCGGGAACTGAGGACTGAATTCTGACCACCATTCCCTGTTCTAAATTTCTTCCTGAGGGGCCTGCAGAGAATCACACACACGGGTTAAACCTCATGAAAGGAAAATAAATCTTAGGACCCCCAAATCACTAAGCCAAAGGGAAAAGTCAAGCTGGGAACTGCATTGGACAAACCTGCCTCCCATTCTATACCTAAATAAGATAGCTATAAAGATTTTGTTTTTTTAAGAGACAGAGTCTCATTCTGTCACCCAGGCTGGAGTGCAGTGGCATGATCTCAGCTCACTGCAACCTTCACCTCCTGGGTTCAAGCAATTCTCCTGCCTCAACCTCCTGAGTAGCTGGGATTACAGGCATGTGCCACCATGCCCAGCTAGTTTTTTGTATTTTTAGCAGAGATGGGGTTTCACCATGTTGGCCAGGCTGGTCTTGAACTCCTGACCTCAAGTGATCTACCCGCCTTAGCCTCCAAAAGTGCTGGGATTACAGAAGTGAGCCACTTTGCCTAGACACCAGATAAAAAAAGAAAAAAAAAAAAAACTACATAGCTCCCTCACAATTTACCCACAAGGAAATTCCTTGTGGACAAAGGACAGACAGAACTCAAAGTGATTCCTCTGCTCACTTGAGACAAATACATATCTGATTGCTTCCTTTGATTCAGTAAAAGGCTAATCAGAAACTCAAAAGAATGTCTCCTATCTACCTATGACCTGGATATAGACTTTGAGTTGTCTCGCCTTTCCGGACTGAACCAATGTACATCTGACATAAATGAATTGATGTCTCATGTCTCCCTAAAATGTATAAAACCAGGCTGTGCCCTGACCACCTTGGGCACATGTTGTCAGGAGCCCCTGAGGCTGTGTCACGGGCATGTCCTTAACCCTGGCAAAATAAATTTTCTAAATTGTCTCAGATACTTTTTAGCTTAGAACCTTAATATTTCTTTCTGCTGACCCAAGTTTTTAGACAAAGCCTTGCTCCCTTAACCAACTGCAAACCAAAGAATCTCTGAATCCACCTGTGGCCTGTAAGCCCCTGTGTCAAGATATCCTGCCTTTTGAGGCCAAACCAAGGTATAACCTCCATGTATTGATTTATTATCTTTCCTATACCTTCTGCTTTCCTGAAATATACCCCTGCCTTTAAAAACCCTTGCTTGGGCCAAGTCTGTTGGCTCACTCCTGTAATCCAGAATTTCAGGAGGCCAAGGTGGGAGGATCACTTGAGACTAGGAGTTCAAGACCAGCCTGGGCAACATGGTGTGACCCTATCTCAAATTTTAAAAACCCATTTAGGCATGGTGGTTCACACCTGTAATTCCAGCATTCTGGGAGGCCGAGGCAGGAGGACTGCTTGAGCCCAGGAGTTTGAGACCAGCCTGGACAACATAGTGAGAACCCATGTCTAGAAAATAAAAATACAAAAATTAACCAGGTGTGGTGATGGTGCACGCCTGTAGTTCCAGCTACTTAGGAGGCTGAGTAGGCAGGATCGCTTGAGCCTGGGAGGACAAGGCTGCAGTGAGCCAGGATCAATGCACTCCAGCCTGGGTGACAGAGCAAGACCCTGTTTCAAATAACAATAAAATAAATAAAATTTTAAAACCCTTGCCTGAAAGCCATTGGGGAGTTAGGGTCTTAAGCATTAGCTGCCCAGTTCTCCTTGCTTGGCACCCTGCAATCAATGCTTCCCTTTCTGTCACTGCAAATCCTGGTGCTTGTGTTTGTTTCTGTATGCTGGGTGAATGGACCCACGTTCAGTTGGGTTACAGTAACTATTATTTCGCTTCACATTATTTATTTCAGTTTTAGCTCCTTACCAGTTGTCTCCCCCACTATCTCCTTGTCTGACTTGTTTTAGTACCTCAATATCTGTTTCCTACCTGCTAATATTTTAAAAATGTTTCCTTTTAAAATTCCACACCAAGTGTATAGTTTGGGTCTCTCCCTGTGTTAAGAGTATTAGAGGCAATGTGTTTCCTACTGGAACAGGATATGATCTCCCCCTCTCACAAGAAGTCAATATTGATCCTGGTGTAGCAAGGGCTCTCAAAGCAGGCTCTTCCCTTCCACTAATCCCCTTCTGCTACAAATAAGCTGTTGTTTAGGATTTAAACATTGTCACTGAATATCTAAAGTGTGTAAATGCTGTCCGGGCCCAGTAGTAGCTCACGCCTGTAATCCCAACACTTTGGGAGGCTGAGGCTAGTGGATCACTTGAGGTCAGGAGTTTGAGACAAGCCCGGCCAACATGGTGAAACCCCGTCTCTACTAAAAATACAAAAATTAGCTGAGTTTGGTGGTGCACACCTGTAGTCCCAGCTACTCAGGAGGCTGAGACAGGAGATTTGCTGAAACCCAGGAGGCGGAGGTTGCAGTGAGCTGAGATCGCACCACTGTACTCCGAGTCAAAAAAAAAAAAAAAAGTGTGTAAATGCTTGGGATTGGAGTTTTCTCATTCATACTGCAGCCTGAGAGAGCAGAGTGAGGAGAAGGAATGTACAGATGGGCCCTGACTGTCTCCAACCCTGGGCTCCATCCCTCCAGGGCAGCATCAATCTGGAAAGGCCAATGACTCATGGGCTCAGCTAAAGGGATTTGTCCATTGAGGGGGAAATGAGGACTTGGCCACTCTGCACCTGCTATTACCATTGCTTCTAACATGCTTCACAGCCTTGCAGAAAATACTTGGCAAGTCTTCTTGTTTCCACCTATAAAATGGAAATAATGAAAGGTATGTGCTCCTAGACTTATGAATTAGTAATGCACAGGAGCCTAGAGCTTCAAAATGAGGCTGGGAGTAAGCAAGCCTTAAAAGTGCTATCTTTTCTTACGTTAATTGCACCCAATGGGCATCTGTTTGTGACACTAGCAAGTGTGAGGAATGAGCTTCAGTAAATGGAAGAGGTACTGAGATATCCCACCTACTCCCAGTCCAGCCCCAAGAAAGAGGATTCAGCTGGGCTCACCTCCAGCCCCAAGGGATAGAAGCCCTTCTGTTCTCTCAGGTGAGGGGCCTCAGAGAGACCATGGCTATTTTTGGAATAATATGATGAGAGTGGGGCCAGGTGCGGTAGTTCGTGCCTGTAATCCCAGCACTTTGGGAGGTTGAGGCGGGTGGATCACTTGAGGTCAGGTGATCAAGACCAGCCTGGCCCACACGGTGAAACCCCATCTCTACTAAAAATACAAAAATTAGCCAGGTGCAGTGTCGTGTGCCTGTAGTCCCAGATACTCAGGAGGCTGAGCCGGGAGAATCACTTGAACCTGGGAGGCAGAGGTTGCAGTGAGCCGAGATCACACCACTGCACTCCAGCCTGGGCCACAGAGTGAGACTCCCTCTCAAAAAAACAAAAAGAACAACAACAAAAATTAGCCGGGCATGGTGGCGCACCTGTAGTCCCAGCTACTCGGGAGGCTGAGGCAGGAGAATTGCTTGACCTTGGGAGGCAGAGGCTGCAGTTGAGCTGAGATCACACCACTGCACTCCAGCCCGGGCGACAGAGCAGTAGGTCTGAAAATATATATACGTATATATGATGAATATATGATGACAGTGGGGTGCTATTTCACCTCCTTTTCTGTAGAGTTTCAACTTTATTTCCCTTATGAGTTGATTAAAACCTCTAGATAATAATCTCCTTTTGCTTTGCCTGTCTTTCCTCTTTCCCTAGCTTTCTCCAGAGATACACATGTGCTGAGGAGAAACCAAAAATGAAATCCTAACCCCCAAACAACTGAACAGACCCACTCTTGGCCGAGGGAACCCCAGAGAGACCTGAAAAACTGAATTCCCTGCCGTGAGGGGAAGGGAGGTAGGACACACCTGGTTGTGCCCCCTCCCTTTTGGAGTTTAGGCACAACTGCCCAGGATTAAGGTTAAAATGGGGATCATAAGACTAACAAAGCCGGCTGCAGCAAGAAGACATCAAATTGTAGACAAGACCTAAGGCCTTACAAGGCAAGGGTTAAGTCACGCCCTACAAACCATCAAATCTCATTAGGCCAGTTCTTTTAAATTAACCCAGTATGTGGCTTACTTTCCAACTGACTCTGGTATAGCATCACATGACCTCTTTATCTTTTTTTTTTTTTTTTTGAGATAGGGTCTCACTCTCACCCAGTCTGGAGTGCAGTGGCATGATCTCGGCTCACTGCAACCCATGGACTCAAGCAATTCTCACACCTCAGCCTCCCAAGTGGCTGGGATTACAGGTGAGTGCCACAACACTCAGCTAATTTTTTGTATTTTTAATAGAGACAGCATTTCATCATGTTGCCCAGGCTGGTCTTGAACTCCTGGGCTTAAGTGATCTACCCACCTTGGTCACCCAAAGTGCTTGATTAAAGGCATGAACCACCACACCTGGCCACCCCTTCTCTTAATGTAAGCATTTCTTTGTGCTGAATTCAAGTCTTTAAACAAAGCTTTACTCCTTTAACAACTGCAAATCTGAGAATCTCTGAGTCCACTTATAATCTGTAAGCCCCCTGGCTTTAAGATATCCCACCTTTTGGGGCCGAACCAATAGATACCTTCCATGTATTGATTTATGTCTTTGCCTATAATTCCTGCCTCCTTAAAATGTATAAAACCAAACTGTAACCCAATTGCCTTGGGACCACCCACTGAAGGCTTCTTGGGTTTGTGTTTTCTCCGAGCCATGGTCACTCATATTGGCTCAGAATAAACCTCTTTAAAAGATTTCACAGAGTTTGGTATTTCTGTTAACCGCCCCCCCCCCGCCCCCCACCGAAGGAAATCAGAATATTACACCTCAAAATATGACTGAACTAAAGAAGCTGCCTCAAGGTCTTTGTGACCTCTCCACTGCCTCCTGTCTCAACCTGTGGTCTCTACCAAGGCACAGGATGCAGCTGGGCAGTCCTCTGAAACTCCCTTATCTACCTAGAAACCAGACCCCCTAAGACAAACACAATTGCCTGCCGTCTCCTCCCTCAGACCTCATTATCTCATGTGGAAAAGAAGACCGAGGAATGCACACACCTGGACGAACTTTCCCACCAGATTAAGCCTACCCCTCTGGCCAATCAAATTCCAGAGAATCATTGACAAGTTACTTTGTCTCCCAGTCCATTCATTCTCCCTAATAATTGTTTACTACCACTCAAAAGAATTGTCTGCATTCCCCATTTCCTCCCTCCCCTGTGAAGAATGGTATACAAACTGCTGTACCCCTTTGGATTATTGGGCAACCATTCTCTCATGCTGTGCATATTAAAATAAATTGTCACAGCCTTTCTCCTGTTAATCTGCCTTTTGTCAGTTGACGTTCAGTGAACCTTCAGAGGGTGAAGGGGAAGCTTTCTCTGCCCCTTACCCCCTGTGATGCCCACCCAGCCACAGCTGGGTACCTTCACCCTGTCTCTACCTCTCCATGCAGCAGAAACTTCTCTCTTCGAAGAAGGACCTTAGGATGGGAACTGACAGTGCTGAGCGCCTACATGGGGCCAGGAACTATGGTGGGATTTCCTCCCCAGCGTCCCATTAAACCCTCTTTGATGGTAACATTGAAGGGCAGTGTATCCTGAACGGGGACACCCAGCTGGGAAGTGGCTAGACCAACAGATACAGCTCTGTCTGTCTTCAAAACCTAAGCTGCTTCAACCATGGCACATGGTGTCCCGACTCCATGAACATCAGACTTGCAAAAGGAGCAAATTCTGGTTCCTAATGCCAGCTAAACAGTTGTGTCTTCCTCTCTCTGTCTCCCTCTTACACACTCTCTCTCTCCTTTGTAAACCAAAAATAAAATTCTAAGCCCCCCAACCATCTAAATGGAGTCCTCCTCTCAGCCAAGGGCATTCCAAAGTTAACCTAAAAAACGAGTTCAGGCCATGATGGGGAAAAGGTGTCAGATGTGCCTCATTATATCCTCCGCCCTTTGGAATTCAGGCATAACTGACCAGCATTAACATTGAAACAGACCTTAATGTTAGTCCAAACTACACCATTTTGTAAGCCCCCTGCCATTTCACAGGCCTTTGTCAAAGTGAAACATTCCATGGGGGTTCGGGCCCTGAGAAATCCTGCCTAGCCACCTGACCACAAGACACAGGAACATCTTTATCATACCCTGCCAAGCAAAGACCCAACTGAAGAAATATCCCTATCAAATCCTGACAGAGCCCAAGGAATATCCCTGGCCAAACCACCTGAACATAAGAACATCTTATCAATATCCTCCAGGGCAGCAAGCCATACTGCCCAAAACCCTCCTGCCCATACCTGTACATACCCCAGCCTGTAAGCAATGGCGGGCTCTGGCATTAAGCTGGTCCCCCACCTCCACAGGTTTTTGTAATAAACCTGTGTTGTTGTAAAGCCTCTCTCTCTCTCCCTCTCCCCCTCTACCCCCTCCCCCTCCTCTCTCTCTCTCTCTCTCTGTGTCTTTCTTGAACCCCACCTTCCCTTTAAAAAATCTAACACTTAAGACTTTTTGTAGAAATAAGACACCAAATTCCAGCCTGACTCCAGTATAGCATCACATGACAGATAGCAGGCCTTGAAAGAAATTGAAGTATTTTACCCTAAAATATATTTCTTTGTCATATTTTGAAATGGTCCTGCAAAGTTGTCTCTTGTGGGGAAAGTCTACATTCTGTAGAAAATCCCTTTCCCTTGCCAGGTCTTTTCTCTGATCCAGGAGAGAATTAACAGAGTCTGGCACCTTTTCAAGTCTCATAAGAAACATTTACAATCTATTCTCTCCAAACGCTGCTACCTGGAAGCTTCATTTGCATAGTAAGAACCTTGGCCTCCACAACCCCTTATCTTAACCCAGGCACTCCCTTCTATGGATTTGAGGTCTGTAGATAAACTCTTTTAATCAATTGCCAATCAGAAAATCTTTAAATCCACCTATGACCTGGAAGCCCATGCCCCACTTCCAGTTGTCCCGCCTTTTGGGACCAAACTAATGTACATCTTACATGAATTGGTTGATGTCTTATGTCTCCCTAAAATGTATAAAACCAATCTGTAGCCAGACCCCTTTGGGCAGATGTTCTTAGAATCTCCTTGGGCTGTGTCACCGGCCACTCGTCCCTCATGTTTGGCTCAGAATACAGCTTTTCAATTATTTTACAAAGTTCAACTCTTCATCAACATCTTTTTTTTTTCTTTGAGATGGAGTCTCGCTCTGTTGCCAGGCTGGAGTGTAGTGCTGTGATCTCAGTCCACTGCAACCTCCCCCTCCCAGGTTCAAGCGATTCTCCTGCCTCAGCCTCCCTAGTAGCTGGGACTACAGGAGCGTGCCACCATGTCCAGCAAATTTGTGTATTTTAAGTAGAGACGGAGTTTCACCATGTTGGCCAGGATGGTCTCGATCTCTTGACCTCGTGATCCACCTGCCTTGGCCTCCCAAAGTACTCGGATTACAGGGGTGAGCCACCGTGCCCGGCCCTAACACCTTGTCATTAAACATTCCCTGTCCACCATTAATCATCATTCACCCAGTCTCCTCTCCTCTCTCCCCACCCCTACCCCCACTCCATCCAGCCCCCTAACATTCTGGCCCCAGTTCACACAGCCCCCTGCACAAGCAGCAAACAGGGAGGATGAGCACCTCTGTCAGCTTTGGGACATCTGTGGACCTGCAGGCCTAGGATAAAGGCGCATGCAGGTTTGGTAGCACCTGTGAGTCAGGATGCTACCAACAGTGAGCCTTAGACCTGCTAAATTAGGTTTAGCCTAAAGCTGCCTTCTGACATATTTTAAGTTCAGCCTAAAGGTTTCTCCGTACATCGTGAACTATATGCTTCCGTTTTCTGGGAGTCGCTTTCCTTTTTCTGTCCATAAATCTTCTTCTACCACGTGGCAGCCCCAGAGTCTCTCTGAACCTATTCCGGTTCCCCATGCCCAACTGTGAATCGTTCTTTGCTCAATTAAACTCAGTTAAATGTAATTTGTCTAGGGTTTTCCTTTTAACAGATCTAAGTGCTTCTTTAATTAGAAACAAATATCCTGCTCTTCTCCACAACAGATTGTGTGAATCAAACCACAAAACGTGAGTCTGAAGGTTCAAGATCTTCATACAATCTCAAAACAGACTGGCTAGGCAAGACATTGAGCATGCACGGAGGCCTGGACTGGATCCTCAGCTGTGAGGCCTTCCTGCTTCTGGCTGTTTGTGTAACCTGAGCAGTCTACGGCTTGGCCCTATTTCCTGGTACAGGCATACTTGGAAATATAAAGAAATATGCATGCTTGGTAAGAAGTCTTGCACTCTTGCACTCGGACCCCTTTCCCCAGCTGACATTGTAGGTAAGATAATATGAATTGAGCAAATGTGACTCCCATGGAGTAAAAGCCCTCTATTTAACCAGGCAGTCGAGATATTGAATAATCCTAGTGGGAAGCTGTTTTAAAATTTAGAGCTAATTACTTAATCTAAAGCTAATATTTCTGAAGGAAGTTTTTTTCAATCTGATAATCATACCACCATAGGCAGTTTATTTAAGAAAACACATTAATTAAAACATCAACGTTCAAGAAATCACAACCAGGTTTAGAAGCAGGCACGTTTCCTTTGGAACACTTGTAATTAATATTCACACCACTTCCTGCAGGTTAGCAGGCTACTAACGCTCGTTTGAACGGGCTGTGGGTCGTAATCACAGATGATGCAGAATCGCTGAGCTCTGAGGCCCCACAGCGTTCCAGTTGGGAGAACTAATCTCTGGAATGTTCTCAGTCTCTGCTTGCCCCTGGGAAGGAGGGTAGCAGGCGGCATGGGTGACCCTGAGGCGACTGTGCTCTGAGGACCCAGAGCTACCTGCAAGGGCAAGTAGGAAACAAAACACCGGACCCATCTCCCTCCCTCCCTCTCTCTCCCGCAAGCCTTGTCACACACACACACACACGCACACACGCGCACACACACGAACTTCCCATGCCTCTTACTTTGCTGACAGGCCGAGAGAATAGAGACAGCAGCCAGCAGGATCGAGTTCCCGGCCATCTTTCTCACGGAACTATTTGTAGAGCGCACGGGAAGATAAATGGCGCTTCTTGACTTTGAATGCTGACCTTCCTTATCGGGTAAACAAAGTTGGGGACCGGGTGGGGGGAAAAGGCTGATTCAAGCGGCTGAATGACCTTTGCTCTGGAACAGAAGTCAGGAAGGCAGGCAGGTCTGGGGCTGCCGGTCACAGATCTTTATGGGGCTGGGAGTTGCTTCCGGCGTTTGTTTTAAGCCTCTCCCACGGCCAGCGGGCAGGGCTGTAGCTCACTGTGGGACCAGCCCTCCAGCCGCAGTGCCAGTTACACTATCTTCTCTGCCAATGCACAGACTCTCTGGATCCCTTTCATCCCCACGCCCTTCCCTCCTAGGGCCTTGCTGAGACCTTTCTCACCTCCTGTGGAAAAAGTGAGAAGGAACTACTTACTTAATCCTGTTGACATTTTAAATGCTAATTTAAGCCAGTTCTAATGTATTCACGCTCTGAATGGCCGATTTAGGATTTGAACCCAGTCTAGCAGATTACAACTGTGCCCTATCCCCTGCACCAGGCTGCCTCTCACTGTCACCTAGAGACTCTGATAATAATCATACTTTTTTTTTTTAAGACAGGGTCTTGATCTGTCACCCAGGCTGGAGTGTGTGGTGGCACGATCATAGCTCACTGCAGCCTCCAACTCTTGGGCTTAAGTAATCCTCCTGCCTCAGCCTCCCAAGTAGCTAGAACTACAGCCACAAGTCACTGTGCCCAGCCATTTTTAAAAAAATAAACCGGCCGGGCGCGATGGCTCACACTTGTAATCCCAGCACTTTAAGAGGCCAAGGAGGGTGAATCACGAGGTCAGGAGATCAAGACTATCCTGGCTAACACAGTAAAACCCCTTCTCTACTAAAAATACAAAAAATCAGCTGGGCATGGTGGCACGAACCTGTAGTCCCAGCTACGCAGGAGGCTGAGGCAGGAGAATCTGCTCTTTAGAGATGCAGATTCTGGCCTGGAAGGATGGCTCATGCCTGTAATCCCAACAGTTTGGGAGGCTGAAATGGGCAGATGGTTTGAGCTCAGGAGTTCGAGACCAGCCTGGGTAACATGGCAAAACCCCATCTCTTAAAGAAATACAAAAATTAGCAGGGCATGGTGGCACGTGCCTGTAGTCCCAGCTACTTAGGGGGCTGAGGCAAGGGGATTGCTTGAACCCAGGAGCCTGAGACTGCAGTGAGCCAAGGTCGTTCCACTGCACTTCAGCCTGGGTGACAAAGTGAGACCCTGTCTCAAACAAATAATAAAAATAAAGATGCAGCTTCCCAAAAACCAGAGCTGGGGGCCTTTCCTCACCCCATCCTACAGCACCATTAGAGGGTATATCTTGGCTCAAGCTGCTATAACAAAGATACCATAGACTGGGTGGCTTACAATAGCAATTTATTCGTCACAGTCCTGAAGGCTGGGAAGTCCAAGATGACAGTGCTGGCCAATCAGTTCCTGGTGAGGGCCCTCTTCCTGGTTTGCAGAAGGACACCTTCATGTTGGAGACAGAGAAAGAGTAAGCTTCCTGGTCACTTCTTATAAGGGCACAGATCCCATTATGGGGGCCTATGCTCATAACCTCACCTGTAGCTAATTATCTGCCAAATGCCTGATAACATCACGTTGGGGGTTAGGGTCTCAACATATGAATTGCAGAGGGGACACAAACATTTAGTCCCTAGCAGGGAGCTCCCAGTGTCTTCTGGGGAGGGCAGTTGCCTCAGCCTCACACAGACCCTACAATTTAATAACACAACCTTGGGCCTCTCTGAGCCTCCATTTAATAAGATAGGGCTAATAAGAGCTGAAGAGAAGTTTAAATGACATAATCCTATTCTAAGGATTGAATTAGTTAATACTTATAGAGCACTTAAAACAGCACCTGGCATATACAAATGTGTTCTGTGTGTCTGCAAAATAAACACATAAAGTATCTAGACAAGTACTTAGCATATAATGTACCTAATGTTAAAAAATACTTTCAGAGGCAAAAATCATGCCTTTCATACAACATAAAATGAAAACATATCAAAATTTTTATGTAACTCATTCATGAGGGAACCAGTAAGATGTTATAACCAGTTCAAAGTAGAATTCATGGAACTACACATATACAGGAAAGAAGGAATAACAAAATTAATTTATAAATAGTTGCAAGCCAGGTCTGCTCAAAGTTTCTGTTGGTCTTCAGGCTTCCTTGGCTGTTTGCTCTTGAAATCATTGACAACTAAGATTAGATAAGAAAGTAGAGCCAAGAAGCTGGGGCAGCACCAAAACATTCTTGTATACTCAGTTTAATAGTTTTGGGCTTCAGTACATGGCAGAGATTCTAAACTGCAAACTAGCTGCCCTGAACCCATATCACCATCTACTATAATAACCTCCCAAATGACAGATCTCGAAGGAGAGGTCTACATTAGGCCTGGGGACAGGCAGAGGCTCTCAAAGTCAGAGAACGGCTCGGGAAGAGAGGAACAACAGCAGGAGGAGCTGAGCAGAGAATTGTGGCCCTGGCTGATGACTGTAACTTTTGGGTGTTGGTAACTCTTATTTTGAGAAACTCTTGGGTACACCTGTACTAGTCAACTGGTTTAAAATCTACAACTTCCGGCCGGGCGTGGTGGCTCACGCCTGTAATCCCACACTTTGGGAGGCCGAGGTGGGCGAATCACCCGAGGTTGGGAGTTCCAGACCATCCTGGCTAACACGGTGAAACCCCGTCTCTACTAAAAATACAAAAAAATTAGCCGGGCGTGTTGGCGGGCGCCTGTAGTCCCAGCTACTCGGGAGGCTGAGGCAGGAGAATGGCGTGAACCTCGAAAGCGGAGCTTGCAGTGAGCTGAGATCGTGCCACTGCACTCCAGCCTGGGTGACAGAGCGAGACTTCGTCTCAAAAAAAAAAAAAAAATGAAACTTCCCAGCTTCTGGACAAATCCTGAGGTTCCCTACTGACTTCTCCCAGCCAATCTTAAGTCAGTCCCCCAAATCCAGATTCTAAGAGATGGTTGACACAAAGTAAAAAAATAAAAAATCAATTAATCAATAAAATCTCAAGTGCTTCAAAACCCCACGTGTCTATTTAAAAAGATCTTCATTGTCGGTATATGTAGTTATTGCCTCTAGGAAAGTATAAAAGAATAGAGCATTGTATAATGAAATGTTTATCACCTTCTGCAGTGATAAAATTTCCAGGTGACCCACAGCTGAAATACTGCCATAGCATTAACAAAAACTCACAAAAATTAGAGTTTCTCTGTACGTTTTCCCTGGATTGGTTGAAGAGGAATGGCATTTTCCCTGAATGTTGTTCCCATAGATCCTTCTAGTATGTTCCATTTATTACATTTTTCTATGAAAAGGAAAATAAGAGGACAAACAGCATACTGGTAATTGCTATGGTCTGAATGTTTGTCCCCTCCAAAACTCATGTTAAAATTTAACTTCCATTATAATGGTATTAAGAGGTAGGACAATAAGGGGTGATTAGGCCATGAGAGCTCTGCTCCCATGAATGGATTAATGTTGTTATAGGAGTGGATTGTTATAAATGTGAGCTTGGCCCTCTCTTGCCCCCCCGCTTTGGGATGACATAGCACAAAGGTCCTTACCAGATGCCAGCACCTTGATATTAAACCTCCTAACCTCCAGAACTGTGAGAAATAAATTTCTTTTCTTTATAAATTACCCAGTGTGTGGTATTCTGTTATAGCAACAAAATGGAATAAGACAGTAATGATAGTAAAATGTTTTTAAAATATTTTTATTATCTATGTAAACTCAAAAGAAACCTAAAAGACTTTCTGAGGACTTTGGTTACTACTGAATCACTGTTACCAAAACTATACTCTAGGTAAGGTGAAACAGAGAGGCCAAGATTTGATCACATAAAAACAAACCTGAACCATGTAAAAGAACTGCTTTCATGAAATGTGAACTCTAAATGTAACTCTTTCAGTATAATTTTGGTAATAGATGAAAAGAAATGATATATTAAACTATAGAAATGTTTTTCCTCAGCCGGGCATGGTGGCTCACACTTGTAATCCCAGAACTTTGGGAGGCCAAGGTGGGTGGATCACCTGAGGTCAGGAGTTCAAGACCAGCCTAGCCAACATGGTGAAACCCCATCTCTACTAAAAATACAAAAATTAGCCAGGCATGATGGTGCACATCTGTAATCCCAGCTACTGGGGAGGCTGAGACATGAGAATCACTTGAACCCAAGAGGTGGAAGTTGCAGTGAGCCGAGAATGCGCTACAACACTCCAGCCTGGGTGACAGAGCTTGCTCTGCCAAGCTCTGTCTCCATCTCAAAAAAAAAAAAAAAAAAAAAAAAAGGTTTTTCCTCAAACCAATTGCAACCCCCGCAAATTATTCCCTGGTCTCACCCTCTCTGTTCACTTGCTACCCTTCCAAAATTGACAGCACATCATCCAGGTTTCTGCTGAGCACTACAGCAGGGCTGTCCTCACTGCCATCAGGCCAGGTAGCAGAAAGAGACAGAAAATACACCTCTTTCCCAGGAACTATCAGAGTGATCATGATTATCAATGACCACATAACTCTCCATGTACCCAGAGTTCATTACATTATCTTGCTAGAAGTCCTGACTAGTTGAAGAATCTTGTAACTACACAGCAGTTTTTCTGTGTTTTGTTTTGTTTTGAGACAGGGTCTTACTCTATCACCCTGGCTGGAGTGCAGTGACATGATCATGGCTCACTGCAGCCTCAACTTCCAGGGTTCAAGCAACCCTCCCACCTCAGTCTCCTGAGTAGCTGGGTTTAATAGTGGCTTTAACACAGTAAGTTTTTAAGCAAAGCTCAGATAAACACAATTTGAAATTATGCTCCATTTTGCTACATGTTGCAAAAATTTAGGAAATTTTAGTCATCCTACGGAATATTTTCTCCCATTTCAGAAACTGCAGCATTTTGCTTTGTAGCCCTGAGTGTGAAGAAATGAGCTAAAGAAGGCAAAGGCATTTTATTCCCATTGAGGAGACTTTGCCCTGGACCAGACAGGGCAAAGGGTTACAGTTGAATGCCAGCTACCTTCCAGCAGAAACTGCCCACTACCCAGCACCAGTAATGACATATCAAGGCTCAAAGATAAAGACAGAAAAAGAGAAGAAAGGCAAGGAAAATAAAGATCAGTTACCAATGTAGTGTAGAAAAAAAGAGTACAAGGTTTAAGCTCCTATCTCTGTGTCACGGTGGAAAGTTGCTAAACTTCCTGGACATGTGTTTTCAAAGGGAAATAATAATACTGACCTTGCAGGGTTCCTCTGATGAATAAAGGAAGTCATGTGAAGGAAGCAAATAGCACAGAACCCGGCATGATGCTGGCTGTCCACAGGTGTCACCACCCTGCCCATTCTCTCTGCCATCCTGATGCCCTCCAACCCTGGGCGAAAGCAGAAGAGACTAGGCCTATTTGTTGAAAAGGCCATATTACAAAGCAACAGATGATTTTAGAATGCCATTAGAATTTCTGAGACAGCACAGATTTCCCAGAAGAATAGAAACAGAACATTTGAATTGCTTCAAAATGGCTTTTGACAGTAATAGAGGGTCTCAACCTGAGTTGTCTTAAGTTTGCATAAGGCTTAGGAGAGGATAAAATAAAGCAGGATCTAGAGATTGGTGAGGAGAAATAGAAGTCCCCATTCTTGACAGCTCTCAGCACATGCAGCCCTCCCCACACACACAAAGTCACACACACACACATCCAGATTCATACACATTCCTACGCACACACACCCACACTCATAAACACCCACACACACGCACACACACTTGTGCACTCACACATTCACATTCATGTACTCCCATCACACATTCAAAACACACACTCATACACTTACATACTCTACAAAAACTTACGTTCCAAAAGGAAATTTGTAAGCTGAATGTTTAGACCTCAGAACACATATTTTCACAAAAATAATATTATGGCCAGGAGCGGTGGCTCACGCCTCTAATCCCAACTCTTTGGGAAGCCGAGGTGGGCGGATCACTTGAGGTCAGGAGTTCAGGACCAGCCTGGCCAACATGGTGAAACCCTGTCTCTACTAAAAATAGAAAAATTAGCCAGGCATGGTGTCACGTGCCTGTAGTCCCAGCTACTCTACTCAGGAGGCTGAGGCAGGAGAATCACTTGAACCCAGGAGGCGGAGGTTGCAGTGAACTGTGATCGTGCCACTGCACTGCAGCCTGGACGACAGAGCCAGACTCCGTCTCAAAAAATAATAATAATAATATAAATGGTGGCCATGTTTCCAGGTTACCACACATGAAACAAAACTTTCTATTCTTTTTTTTTTTTTTTTGCTTTTGTGTTTTAAATCAAATTTGAACCCATAAATTAGGTAACATACTGCATATTGGCAATTAAGCAACAACAAAAACAACTAATACTATTGGTTTGCCTTTTTCATGGAATCATTACAAACTTTTTAAACTGAATAGTACTTTGTATTAGATACTTTAAAACAGGGTCACTGGCGTGAACGTGCCCTGGCTCCTGTAGGCCATGCTCAGAGCTCGACTGTTGAACTTGCTGGGATAGAGCAGCAAGAGACGGGACAGCCTGGAGCCCAGAGGCCTGAGGTGTTCTGGATGAGCCCAGGGCTGCTGAGAAGGCCTCACTCTGATGGGGGCCTCTCATGCCCACCCTGCCAGCTCCCAAATCCAGTCAACAGAAGGCACTGTACTAGGCCCTATGCCAACCACTGGACAGAATTATCTCAACTAATCTGCATAGTCAAACAGTAAAGTGCATATATTATTCCCATTCTTCAGATGGAGAAACTGAGGCTGAGAGGTTAGTGACTGGCCCAGAGTCAGTACAACCCAGTCCTGCTGCCCCAGAGCCTTTACTCTTAACTTTGGCTGCACATTGGAATCATGTGAGGAGGGGTCATTAAAAATTACAGAACTTCAGATTTAATTAGCTCAGGTTCAGCCTAGGCACCTGAACGTTTTAAAGCTTCCCAGGTAATCCTAATGCACAGCCAGGTGGAGAACCACTGTCTTAACCAATGTTTCTCAGCATAGCCCATACCACTGCTACCACACTGGAGGTGACAGAAACACACAGATGTCTGGGCCTCATCCAGGATCCATTATGACACGCCAGCAAAGCACACATGGTCTCATGTAACTTGCACAAAACTCCCAGGAGCCTGTAAATTATTCCCATTTTATAGATAAGGAAACTGAAACTGAGACCTAGAAAGCTTCAAGAGCTTGACAAATCACTCCATTTGACTGCATCCAAAAGAGGGAAGATGGGGCAGGGCTGTTGAGGGGGTGAATAATCTGGTAGGTGCCCAAAGTGAGCATCAGTGGTGCCAGGATAGAGGAGAAAGGGGTGTGGAAGGTTCTGCAGTGGCAGAAGGGAAGAGGTGAGGCTGGGAATAGATGGGACCTGTAGGCCTCACGGGTGCAGCCCAGGAGAAATGCTGGTTTCCACTGGAGGAGTTTACAGTATGCCTGGGTGGAAGAGAGAAGGACAGACAGACATGGGAGGGAAATCTGAGGCTGAGATGGGGCAACAGGCTCTGAGGCACCAGCAAAGGTAAGTGTGGCTGGAGCCGAGTCTCAGCTGATTGGGCCCAGTACTTCCCCGCCCACTGGCTTTGAAGTGCATGGAGACTGGTGATTCTCACATTAGAATCACCAAGGGCGTTTTTGAAATAAACACTGATTTAACTGAAAAATCTCCAGGACTACCAACTACTGCCTCAGAGAACTTACTGAGATTTCTATGCACCAGAGGAGAGTTTACTCTCTTGAAACCTACAGCATATTATGTGATTGGGCTACTTAAAGAAAAAAAGGGGTACCGTGGCTTCACTTGGTGTCTCTCTGGGGCTTAAGGCAAAAGAAAAAGGGCAAGCTACCCCTCTTTTGATGAGAAAACACAAAAGGTTGGTGGATTAAGAACAAACAGTTAAAAGCAGCTCTTATTCACTTTGAAATGTGGTGCTAAACCTGCATCTGGGCTGACACACCAAACAACAGTCATTTCAACACAGCACAATCCTGTTAGAACATGACTCACAAAAACACCGATGTGTCTAGATCGGAGGCCAAGTCACGTCCTGCACAAAAAGAAAGGAAACACAGCAAAACAAGAAACCTACTGGCCCCAAACAGGAAAGCCCTCCTGTGCATGCGGGCCTGTGACTGCATCCTTCAGCTACCTTAGCAAGATGATAAAGAACTTTGAAAACTGCTTGCCTGCTTCTCTTTTCTTTCTTTCTTTCTTTCTTTCTTTCTTTCTTTCTTTCTTTCTTTCTTTCTTTCTTTCTTTCTTCTTCCTCTTCCACTTCTTCCTTTCCTTTCTCCGCCTCTCCCTCCCCTCCTTCTCCTCCCCTTCCTCCCCCTCCCTTCTCCTCCTCCTCTTCCTCCTTCTTCTTTCTTTCTTCTTGTTCTTCCCTCGTTCTTCTTTCTTTTCTTCTTCCCTCCTGCTTGCCCTTAGGGTGTGCCTGGTTCTCACCTTTGCTTCTGGGACTTGGGCAGGATGATATCCTCAGAATTTCAGTTTCTGGCCATTCCCAGACAAACCTGTCTGGGACAGGAATTCCAGACAAAACAGCTTATCCGCCCTTCCACGCCCTCTCCTGCATGAGCCTATTTTTCATTCTCTTCTCAGAGGTCCCACTGGCTGGTCATCTAATTTCATCCCTAATTTGTAGTAGAAGGATTCTAACAGCCACACATTTAGAGCTAGGAGCTGCAGTTTAAGGTGCTCTATCAAAATAACATATTTTGTGAAACCGCTAGGGGGAGTCAATCCAGGGCTGCCAGACCTGCCGGGATAACACCACCAGAGGCAGCTCAGCTTCCAGGCAAGCCACCCTCTGAGGTCCCTGTGATAGCTTACTCCTCCAGGTTTCCAGAAGTCCCTACAGATGCACATCAGTGAAAATGGAACAAGTCAGTTAACACAAACTGTCAAAATCATCTCTAAATAATGTCCTATAAAAATTCAGTTTTTCAGGTATGAACACATTGACCATTTCCAGCAAGCGACCTGTAACAGTCAATTGCTCAAAACCCACAGGTGCTCAAATGTAAAAATACCAGGATTTAACCGTTAGTCCTGATCCACTCAGAGCTAGACGGAAGCCAAACACAGACGCTGCCCCAGAGACGTACATTCCATGGAGAAGGGTCAGAAAAGGACACTTTACGTTTGGCATCCCTGTGGCAAACTGCGAGGGGATAGAGGAGGGGTGAGAAAAGACACAAGGTTTCCACCTGGTGGTGGGGAAATCCCTAGCCAAGGGGATGCCCGTTTTTTGATCAATATTCCGAGGAATTGGATACCACACCTTGGACTTTGATTTGATCCCTTGATGTACCCCTAGCTTTTAAAGTGGCTTGGTTAAAAAAAAAAACAAAAACTTTGCAAAAATTATTTGGAAAGGAGTGGGTCAGAGAGCTGGGCAGTGTCTGAAGAGTTTCTCAAGATCAGGCAGACAGTTTGGTTGGTAAAACATCCGAGAACTGGGTTTTTATTCATACTGGAATGAGGGTACTGCTTTGCAATGAAAGAGAAAAATCTAAAGCAAGGAAAGGGGGCCAGGTGCAGTGGCTCACGCCTGTAATCCCAGCAACTCAGGAAGCTGAGGCAGGAGGATCGCTTGAGTCCAGGAGTTCTAGGCTGCAGTGAGCTATGACTGCACCACTGCACTCCAGCCTGAGCTGCCATCTCAAAAAAAAAAGAAAAGAAAAAAGAAAGAAAGAAAGGAACAAACCAGAAAATAGCAATGCACATAAGGCCGGGCGTGGTGGCTTATGCCTGTAATCTCAGGATTTTGGGAGGGCGAGGCGGGCGGATCACTTGAGGTCAGGAGTTCAAGACCAGCCTGGCCAACATGGTGAAACCCCATTTCCACTAAAAATACAAAAAAATAGCCAGGTGTGATGGCATGCTCCTGTAGTCCCAGCTACTCGGGAGGCTGAGGCAGGAGAATCACTTGAATCTGGGAGGCAGAGGTTGCAGTAAGCCGAGATCGCCCCACTGCACTCCAGCCTGGGAGACGGTGCAAGAATCCTTCTCAAAAAAAAAAGAAAAAAAAAAAGAATGTGCATAAGTTCATTTATTCATTCATTCATCAAATGCATTGAGTACCTACCACATGCCAAGCTCCATACTAAGTGCTGAGACCCAGGAATAAGCAAGACAGACAACAGCCCTGCTCTTACAGTATTTACAGCAGAGTGAGGAGGATGTACATTAACAAGCCATAACCAAAGCGAATTAATTCATGATCAATGTGGGGAGTGCTGTGAGAGGTCCCAACTGCCATACGAATGTATGTCAGGGGGCCTAACCTAGTCTGGGAGGCAAGAAGAGCCTTCGCAAAAGTGACATTTTGGCTGAGGACTGATCCTAAAGTGTTAGCTAGATGAATGGTGCACAGGTGTGTGTGTGTCAGAGGGTGGACTGGAAGGAGAAAGGGGAATATTCCAGGCTGAGAAAGAACAGGAAAAGGCTTGTAGAGGGAAAGGCTATGGCATGGTCAAAGAATCCTGAATGAAGTCCGGTGTGGCTGTTGCTTAGAGACCTGGAAGAGAGTAGTGTCTGCTGTGCCAGGGTTGGCCCACATAGGGTCATGTTAAGTATGCTTACTTCATACCGGCTGTTCTCAACCTGGGATGATTTTGTCCTCAGGGGACATTGGGTGATGCCTGTAGACATTTTACTTATTACAGCTGGGGAGTGAGGTGCTACTGGCACCTAGTGGGTAGAGTCCAGAGATGCTGCTAAATATCTTATGTTGCACAGGGCAGCCCCCACAGCACAGCAAAGAGTTGCCCCGCTCACAATGTCAGTAGTGCTGAGGTTGAGAGACCCTGTTTACAAGGAGGATGTGAAGCCTGTCATGGGTTTTAAGCTGGAAGGTTTTGTGATGAGATTTGTTTCAAAAAGATCACTCTGACACCAGTGTGGACTGATGGGGCAGTATCACTCGTGTAGATACGAATGGATCTGTTAGGAAAGCATATTATGGTCTAGGCAAGAGAAGATGTTGGCCTGGCCTAGGGAAATGTCAGTGTGGATGGAGAAAGAGATTTAAAAGAACAAATCAATTGCATTTCAGGGCAGATGGGTTGTAGAGGGTCCCTTAGCCCATGCTTTCTAGACAAGGCTGGAATGCTGAGGCTTTATTTGGCGGGTGCAGTATCAGGGCAGCAAAAGTGATGGGAGAGCCAAGTATGGCAGATTGGCCAGAAGCAGAGCATGTCCACGTGGGGTGCTGCTTCAGATGCCCTGTGATGAGATGTAGCCAGTCACTGCACAGGCACCCCAGCCAGCCCTCGGGGAATCTCTGGACAGGCTGAGTGGAGAAACTGCACCTCAGCACAATCCACTGAAGGGAGGAAAGGAGAGGGAACTTATTTTCTTTTATTATATATATTTTTTAACTTTTATTTTAAGTTCGGGAGTACATATGCAGGTTTGTTACATACATAAACGTGTGTCACGGGGTTGGTTGTGCAGATTATTTCATTATCCAGGTATTAAGCCTAGTACCCATTTGTTATTTTTCCTGATCCTCTCCCTCCTCCCACCCTCCACCCTCAGAAAGGACCTGGTATGTGTGTTCCCTCCATGTGTCCATGTGTTCTCAGGACTTTGTCTTCTACACCTCATCTCCCATTGGGGCAGTTTCCCCCATGGCAGTTTTTAAACAGAACTGCAAATTCTTTGCCATTTCTCCCGTCTTGAGGTGGGGACACGCAGCAGGAGTGATGCTGGGCAGCTTCTGCTTTATTCACCGGGGCCCTCATGCTTGGAGCCCTCGGCTGCCATGAGAGAAATCAGCTACCCGAAGGGCACCATGTGAGCCCACGTGTAAGGGCTCTGGGTGACAGCTCCAGCTATGGCCCCAGCACGCAGCCCCACCTGCATGGATATACGTTCATATGATTCTAGCCCACAGCTGTGGGGGCACTCCCAGCCATTGTCTCCTCAGCTGAGGCCTCAGACATTGAAGAGCAGAGACATGCCAGTCCTACCGTGCCCTACTGACCCACATAACTCATTAGAGCCTAATTAAATGGTTGTTATAAACCCCTAAACTTTGGGGTACTTTGTCACACCTGAGTAGTCACCAGAACAACCTCATTGCAAGGTAACAACTCAGCTTCCCAGGGTTCATCATTTGGCTCCAGTGATACCACCCCATGCCCTGCAAGTGTGGCACTTCAGACAGGAGCCAGGGACACCAGGAGTATGGCTGGTGGCCCTTAGGTGGCAGGATTGCAGAGGCCCCACCGGAAGTCAGCTGGCCACAGCAGAGCCAAGGTAGAGTGCATGATTGAAAATTCAGGAGACAGGATGAGCTCCAGAAAATTGGGCGCTGCACTGGACGTGCCTGATAAAGCAAAGAGGGAGAGAAAAGAGGAGTTAAGGATTTCCACATTTCTGGTTTCTGAACAGCTAGATACATTAATGATGGGGCAATTTACTGCCACAGAATTTAGACCAAAGGAGGGGGCTAGGTTTGAAGTGCCTGTGAGTCCATTAGAAATGACAAGAAGTGGGAGCCCAGGTCACCAAAGATGGTCAAGGTCATTGATCTTGAGACCACAGGGCCCCAAGAAGGCTTAAGGGTCTGTCCCTGATTCTTGTTTCCTGTGTGAGAAATATTTTGCAGGTGTCAGGCTGGGACTCTTGACCAGCTGAATTACGTATTTCCAGAACAGGGTGTTAAAGAAGACAGAAGCGACCCCAGGAAAAAGCGTGGCTTCCACAAGAGCTGCCATATACAAACAAGCATGCCCCACAACGCTGGCAGGAGAGATATCATCAGATTTATTTATTTATTTATTTATTTATTTATTTATTTATTTATTTATTATTTGAGACAGGGTCTTGCTCCATTGCCCAGACTGGAGTGCAGTGGCAAGATCTCTCTTGGCCCATCAGATATATATTTTTTAAAAACTGGGAGGAGAAGTGCAGGCGCAGTGGCTCACGCCTGTAATCCCAGCACTTTGGGAGACCAAGGCATGTAGATCACAAGGTCAGGAGTTCAAGACCAGCCTGGCCAATATGGTGAAACCCCGTCCGTACTAAAAATAAAAAAATTAGCTGGGCGTGGTGGCAGGCACCTGTAGTCTCAGCTACTCAGGAGGCTGAGGCAGGAGAATCGCTTGAACCCAGGAGGCGGAGGTTGCAGTGAGTTGACAGTGTACCACTGCACTCCAGCATGGGCGACAGACCAAGATTCTGTCTTAAAAAACAAAACAAAACAAAACAAAAAACTGGGAGGGGAAAATATTTTTTTATTTTCTAATATGTTAGAACCCTTTCTCAATGTGTAACTCTCCTCATTCTTCTCCCTCTCATCTTTAACCAAAATTGTAAATGTTCTACATGTGCATCATGTTAGTCTATCAGGTGTTATTTAGATAATTGGTGCCTTTGACTTACATTCTTGTAAACGTTGCTTTAGTTCATAAACTCATAATATTCCCAGACCTGAAGCCTGTCTTAAAATTGATAATGTAAATCATCTAGGTCTGAATGCCTAAAGTGATGGGGAGCTCACCACCTCTTGTTTCTGGTCATAGGTAGGTGAGATCCCTTCTGCAGCAAGAAGTCAGGGGCAGGCCTGTGACACTAGCTCTGATTCCTGCAAATGACCAAATGAGGGGCAGGGCCTGGTGGTCTCCCAGTCCCAGCTGAGGCTCCCATGACCTGCACCCTCCTGCCCTCCCAACTCTCAGGTTCTCCCAACAGCCCTCCCCCAGCTAATTTCATAAAAGGCACTAAAAACTTTTGATCAGTCACAAAATCATGGGAAGAGAAAGAAATACAAGAAGAGAGAAAGAAGGGAAAGTGGCGTGAATCATTAACAAAGGCACCACATCCCTGATACTGTACTGTTCTGGGTGCTTTTTTCTCAATGAATTCTCACAAAATCCTGTTGGTATTAGTGATTCATATTTCTTACATATAGAAACTGAGTCGCAAAGAGGTTATTACTTAACTTGCCCAAGATCGTACAGCTAATAAGATGCAGAGATAGAGTCCACTTTTGACTCCAGTCCAGTGCTCTTTGCACTATTGCTTTCTTCCCAGGAGTCATTGTATCCACTCCTCTTAAAGAAAGGAAGGCGTTAAGTTTGGGATAGACTGTGTATGCACAAGAACCACTGTACCTCTCCCTGAACGCCACCAGATGGCGCAGTGGAAGGCTAAAATCCTGTTGCTTTTTATCAGTTCACTTGGCGAGACAGGCGTGGGGGAGGCCAGCTGCAGGGAGAATGTCAAAACAGAGTTCTATTTAGGAAAATGAAGCCTTCTGCCTGCCCCGTCTCCCACCGGGATCCTTGGATGGCTCTCGGCAGACTATAAATGAATTCGCTTCTTTCTTCCTTCCCCATCCTACTGCTAACCCACATCTCTGATTCTATTTTCTCTCCATCTCTGACACAAGGGCACTAGTTCCACCCACATCAGAGAATAGTGTGTCCTGAAGACAGAGAGGAGCAGGCAAGATGGGTGGTAGGGAGAATCAAGACCTGCAGTTCCCTGTAGCAACTGGAGGGGCATTTCCCAGACATATCCCTTCCTGCCTGCTTACCCAACACGCACACACACACACACACACACACCATAACACAGACATGCACAACACACACATATCATAACACACACACATCTCATAACACCATAACATGCACATATCATAACATACACATACACATGAACATGCACACAACACACAAGTGCTAATCTAAGGGCCCTGTCTTAGCCTGATGTGGCTGCCATAATAAAGTACCACACACTATGTGGCTTAAACCAGCTTGAGGGAGACCAGCTGCAGGGAGAACGTCAAAAAAGAGTGCTATTTAGGAAAATGAAGCCTTCTATTTTCTCAGAGATCTATTTTCTCACAGTTCTGGAAGCTGTAAGTCCAAGATCAAGGTGTGGATAGGTTTTGTTTCTTCCGATACCTCTCTCCTGGGCTTGCAGATAGCTGCCTTCTCACTGTGTCCTCACAGGGTCTTTTCTATGTGCACCCTGGTGTCTCTCTGTGTGTCCTAATCTCCTTTTCGGACACCAGTCAGATTGCATTAGAGCCCATCCTAACAGCCTTATTTTAACTTCATCACCACAACCCCACCACCTTTTTTTTTTACTTTAAAGACAGGGCATCACTCTGTTGCCCAGGCTGGAGTGCAGTGGCGTGAACATGGCTCACTGCAGACTCAACCTCCCGGGCTCAAGTGATCCTCTCACCTCAGCCTCCGGAGTTGCTGGGACTACAGGTGTGTGCCACCACGCCCACCTAATTTTTAAATTTTTTCTAGAGACAGGGGTCTCCCTATGTTGCCCAGGCTGACCTCGAACTCTTGGCCTAGAGCAATCCTCCCACCTCAGCCTCCCAAATTGCTGGGATTTCAGGCATAAGTCACTGCACCCAGCCTATCACCCGGCCTATCACGTGGCCTGTCTCCAAATACAGTCATATTCTGAGGTACTGGGAGCTAGGGCTTCAACATATGACTTTGGAAGTGGGAGGATACAACTCAGTCCATAACAGGACCGAATCACTTATTTTATTTTATTTTAATTCTGAGTAGTGGGTGCAACTTTGTGCTTAATAAAGATGTTTGACCCCTAGAGGTCACAGGAGAAGTCCTAGGTTACAATATGCTCACTAACAAATGAAGCTCATCAATTGTGTGACACTAAGGGTAAATATGGCTGAAATGATCCAAGTAATTTTAAGATTAATCTTCCCTCCCAGGAGCCTCACATAGTTACCTGGATAGATCTGGTTTGGAGGTCTCTATTGATGACCAGAACATCACCAGTGTCCACTTCTTTGTGAAAAGCTGTCCTTTCTCTGTTCACTCTCCTTTGGATGTCCTCCAAAGCAGACCATTCCTGGAGTTCATAGAACTCCCTCATTCTCTGAGATTTTTCTAACCTGGAAGATGGTGCTGAGAAGGCGTCCTAGATCTACCTGATATAACCTGGGTGACTGTAGAGGTAGCAGAGTTGTCTTCAGGTTGAAAGTTTAAAGCAGAGGGTCTGTTCAACCCAGAAGTGTCCCAGGCCAGGCTACATGGTGCCTTGTTTAGAAGAAAGTCATATAAAATTAAGAAACCCCAAAGAATGAGGATCACTTGAGGCCAGGAGTTTGTGACCAGCCTGGCCAACGTAGACAGTCCACGTTTTACAAAAAAATAAAATAAAATTTTTGTAACTAGCCAGATGTGGTGGCAGACAACTGCAGTCCCGCTACTTGGGAGGATGAGGCGGGAGGATGAGGCAGGAGGATCACTTGAGCCCAGAAGTTGGAGGCTGCAGTGAGCTGTGATTGCACCACTGCACTTTGCAAGGGTAACAGAGCCAGATCCTGTCTCTAAAAGAAAAGAAATCCCAAAGAATTTGTCCCCTCCCAGAGGGAAAATTATATATATACATATATATAGAGAGAGAGAGAGAGAGAGAGTGTGTGTGCGAAGTGAAATAAATAAAGCAGCTTCTGCTTGATGAGGCCAATAAGGCCTGGGGTCTGGGATCAGGGTTTTCTCGAAGCTGGGCGGTGATCATAAGATCACTTTGATACCTGTGGACCTCCAACACCTGCTATTCCCAAAAACCACTCTGCTATCCCCTTAGATGGCAAACTAGCACTGTCTGCTGACCTAAGTAATTCTCAACCCACTCAATGGGGCAGCTTGCCTTATTTAAGACATATGATTTTTGTACTTGAATAAAGTTAAAGTTACATGAAGCTGAAATGCAGCCACAACTGAGTGCAGGCAATAATTGTGAGTCCAGCCTCCTACAGTTAAGAGTTGCTCTCTTTTGGCCAGGCGTGGTGGCTCACGCCTGTAATCCCAGCACTTTGGGAGGCCGAGGCGGGCGGATCATAAGGTCAGGAGATCGAGACCATCCTGGCTAACATGGTGAAACCCCGCCTCTGCTAAAAATACAAAAAAATTAGCCTGGTGTGGTGGCATGCACCTGTAGTCCCAGCTACTCAGGAGGCTGAGGCAGGAGAATCTCTTGAATGAGGGAGGAGGAGGAGGTTGCAGTGAGCTGAGATGGCGCCACTGCACTCCAGCCTGGCAGAGCGAGACTCCATCTCAAAAAAAAAAAAAAGAGTTGTGCTCCTTTGGGGACAGGGAGAGACAAGTAGCAGGGGGCACTTCCCTGAATGCTCTCCTTAGTGGTGGGAATTTGACCTGTTTAGAAGTTCTACTCCATGAGGGTTTTTTCTGGGTTGTTGTTTGTTTGTTTTCGTTTCTTTTTTTTTTTTTTTTTGAGATGGAGTCTTGCTATGTTACCCAGGCTGGAGTGCAGTGGCATGATCTCAACTCACTGAAACCTTTGCCTCCTGGGTTCAAGTGATTCTCCTGCCTCACCCTCCCGAGTAGCTTGGATTACAGGCGCGTGCCACCATGCCTGGCTAATTTTTGTATTTTTAGTAGAGATGGGGTTTCACCATGTTGGCCAAGCTCGTCTCGAACTCCTGACCTCCGGCGATCTGCCTGTTTCGGCCTCCCAAAGTGCTGGGATTACAGGCATGAGCCACCATACCCGGCCTACTCCATGAGGTTTTGATTAAACAGTTCAAAATTTATACTCAGGAATACCTCGTTTTATTGTGCTTAGCCTCATTGCACTTTGCAAATATTGTATTGGTTTGTGGCAACCCTGTGTTGAGCAAGTCTATCTGTGTCATTTATCCAACAGTGCATGCTCACTTTGGGTCTCTGTGTCAGCATTTTTCAGCAATAAGGTATTTTTTAATTAAGGTATGTACATTGTTTCTCCAGTGCAATACTATTGCACACAATAGACTACAGTATAGTTACTTTTATATGTACTAGAAAACCAACAAATTTTTGTGATTCAACCCACTCACTTTTTATGTTATTTGCTTTATTGAGATCATCTGGAACCAAACCCACAATATCTCCAAAGTATTGCCAGTAATGAAGCACTACATCACATCAGGCCCCATGCTAGGTGCTGGAAATACAAAGGTAATAGTCTGCTGGAGGAGACAGGGATCTAATTAAATTTATGTATTTATGTATTTATTTGAGACCAAGTCTTGCTCTGTTGCCCAGGCTGGAGTACAATGGTGTGATCTTAGCTCACTGCAACCTCCGCCTCCCAGATTCAAGCAATTTTCCTGCCTCAGCCTCCCGAGTACCTGGGATTACAGGCGTGTGCCACCATGCCTGGCTAATTTTTGTATTTTTGATAGAAACAAGGTTTCCCCATGTTGACCAGGCTGGTCTCGAACTCCTGACCTCTGGTGATCTGCCCGTCTCGGCCTCCCAAAGTGCTGGGATTACAGGTGTGAGCCACTGCACCCGGCCATCTAATTAAATTTAATACAGTAAGGCATGTGCAATAATAAAAGTTGGTGTAGGGTACAAAACCAGCCAAAAGAGGAAAGAGTTAGTTCTTCATGGAAAGGTCAGAGTGGGCTTTACAGTGGAGGTGACCCATGGACAAGGGTATTTGAAGGATGAGTAAGAGTTCACCACACAAGAAAGGGTGGAACAGAGAAAGCTCCACCCAGAAAGTGCACAAGGCATGGAACAAAAGCAGAGTGATGCAAGACAGTGTATCTCCGGAACTGCAAGCATTTTGGTAAGGTGGAAGCAGAAGTGTGTGTGAAGGAAGAATGTAGGATGAGTTGAGAGGGGTAGGAGACAGATCATCTAAAAGAGCCTCAGGTAAGCTCATGCAAAGAGTTTGAACATTCTTCTGAAAGTCTTTATATGATTTGAAGCAGGCTTGTGGCCTAGTCAGGTGGACATATGAGAACAGCCTGGGGGAGGAAGGATGGTGGCTACTGCAGTCGTCCTAGTGAGATCACATAAGGCCAGTGGCAACGAGCATGAAAAGGAGAGGATGCATTTACCAAATATCTGGGAGGGGTTTAGTGTGTGTGGGAGAGAGAGGGATTTAGATATGATTTCATACTTTTTTCTAGAGTGGCTGGGATGGTGGTGCCAGAGGTGGAGAATGTTAGAAGGGAGTCGATTTGGAATGAGAAGATGAGAATTGTCTTCAGTATGCCATGTTTTTCAGTCAAGTGGGAATGTCAATAGGCCTCTGAATATATGGGTGGTCTAGAGCTTGAGGAAACATCAGAATTGGCAGAAGAGATGCAGGCATCATCAACATATAAGCATTTAAACCACCTATGACGATGAAATATCCCAGGAAGTGTGAGTGAGAAGAGAGAGCAGAGGTTGGAACTATGAGAGGCAACAAAACATAATGGCTCAGCCCATAGGATGGGAGGAAATATTTGCAAATTGTGTGTCTGATAAGAGAATAATATCCAGAATATGGCCAGGTGCGGTGGTGGCTCATGCCTGTAACCCCAGCACTTTGGGAGGCCAAGGCGGGAGGATCACTTGAGTCCAGAAGTTCAAGACCAGCCTGGGCAACATGGTAAAATCCCATTTCTACAAAAAGTACAAAACATAGCTGAACGTCGTAGCGCATGCTTGTAGTCCCAGCTACTTGGGATGCTAAGGTAGGAGGATCGCTTGAGGCTGTGGTGAGCCATGACAGCACCGCTGCACTCCAGCTTCACCCTGCCTAAAAAAAAAAACAAAAAAACAAAAAAACAAAAAACCCAGATTATATAATGAACACTTAAAACTCAACAATATAAAAGCGAACATCTCAATTCAAAAATGGGCAAAGAATGTAAATAGACATTTCTCCAAAGATACGCAAATGGCCGTCTTGGTCTATTCAGGCTCCTACAACAAAATATCATAGACTAAGCAGTTTCTTAAAAACGAAAATTTGCTTCTCAAGTTCTGGAGGCTGGGAAGTCCCAGATCAAGGTGCTGGCAGATTTGATGTGTGGTGAAGGCTGTCTTCTGGTTCATAGAAGACTAATTGCTTCCTAAAGGCCCAGCTTCTTAATACTGTCACATTGGCAATTAGGTTTCAACATAAAAATTTGGGGAGTGGGGGACACGAACATTCAGACATGGCAACATGAAAAGATGCTCAACATGACTAGTCATTAGGGAAATACAAATCAAAGCCACAATGAGATGCCATTTTACACTTGCTGGGATAGCTATGGTATTAAAAATGGAAAATAGGTGTTGGAGAAATTGGAACCATCATACATTGCTGATAGGAATAAACAAATGGTGCAGCTGCTATGAAGAACAGTTTGGTTGTTCCTGAAAAAGCTAAGCACAGAATTATGATATGAGTCAGTGATGCCACTCCTAGGTGGGTACACAAAGGGATTGAAAGCAGGAACTCAGATACTTGTATGCCAACATTCATAACTGCATGATTCACAAAAGCCTAAAGGTGGAAACAATCTGTCTCCATCAAGAGACAAATGGTAAAACAGGCCGGGCGCGGTGGCCCATGCCTGTAATCTCAGCTCTTTGGGAGGCCGAGGCGAGCAGATCACCTGAGGTCAGGAGCTCAAGACCAGCCTGGCCAACATGACGAAACCCCATCTCTACAAAAAACAAAAACAAAAATTAGCTGGGTGTAGCGGCACTCACCTGTAGTCCCAGCTACTCAGGAGGCTGAGGCACAAGAATCGCTTGAACCTAGGAGGCTGAGGTTTCAGTGAGCCGAGATCGTGCCACTGCACTCCAGCCTGGGTGACAACGAGACTCCATCTCCAAAAAAAAAAAAAAAATGATGAATGGAAAAACAAAATGTGTTATATGCATACGGTGAAATATCATTCAGCCATAAAAAGGAATGAAATTCTGACACATGCTACAACACAGATGAACCGGAAAACATTATGCTAAGTGAAATAACCCAGTCATGAAAGCACAAATATTGTATGATTCCACTTATAGGAGGTACCTACAATAGGCAAATTCATGGGGACAGAAAGAAGATTAAAGTTTACCAGGAGCTGGAGAGAGTGGAGAATGGGGAGCTATTGCTTAATGGTTATAGAGTTTCTGTTTGGGGTGATGAAAAAGTTTTGCAAATAGTGATGATGACTGCACAACATGTGAATGTACTTAATGCTACTGAACTGCACATGTAAAAATGCTTAATGATAGGTTTTATGGTATATACATTTTACCATAATTTTCAAAAATTAATAATATAATAAATATGTAATAACTTAATAATGCAGTACACCAAAAACAATGGAATTGTATACTTTAAATGAGTGAATTGTATGCAATGTATCATATGTAAAGATTGAATGGAAGACCAGTCGCAGTGGCTCACGCCTGTAATCCTAGCACTTTGGGAGGCCAAGGCAAGCGAGACCTCATCTGAGGTCATAAGTTCAAAACCAGCCTGGCCAACATGGTGAAACCCCTAAAAATACAAAAATTAGCCAGGCATGGTGGTGCTTGCCTGTAATCCCAGGTACACAGGAGGCTGAGGCATGAGAATCACTTGAACCCAGGAGGCAGAGGTTGCGGTGAGCCAAGATCGCGCCATTGCACTCCAGCCTGGGCGACAGAGCGAGACCCTGTCTCAAAAACAAACAAACAAACAAAAAAGATTGAATGGAGATTTCTCAAAGAACTAAAAATAGAACTAGCATTCTATCCAGCAATTCCACTACTGGATATGTACCCAAAGGAAAAGAAATTATTATATCAAAAAGATACCTGTACCCATATATTTATCCCAGCACTATTCACGATAGCAAAGATATGGAATCAACCTAAGTGTCCATCAACAGATGATTGGATAAAGAAAATGTGCTATACATACACTTTAGGATGCCACTCAGCCATAAAAAGAATGAAATCATGTCTTTTGCAGCCACATGGATGGAACTGGAGGCCATTACATTAAGTGACACAAGTCAGACACACAAAGACAAATACTGCATGTTCTCACTTGTAAGGGGGAGTTAATAATGTGTACACACAGACATAGAGAGTGAAATGATAGACAATGGAGACTTGGATGGGTGGGGGATGGGAAGGGGGTGGAGGATGAAAAATTACTTACTGGGTACAATGTACATTATCCGGGTGACAGATACCCTAAAAGCTCTGACTTCACCACTATGCAATCTGTGCATGTAACAAAATTACACCTGTACCCCATACATTTATACAAAAATTTTTCAATAAGTAAAGATTGACCAGAAGAAGATTTCAATGAAGAAGACAGAGAGGGGCTGGCCCGAGCAGTAGGAGAAGAACCAGAGGAGTGTGACACCGAGGAACTGAAGGAGGAGAGTTTCGAGGAGGAAATGGTCAGCAGGGTCAAGTGCCACAGATGAGAACAAACAAAGCATTCACTGAATTATCACCATTGAGAAATTTACTCAAATAGGCATTCAACCCACTTTTATTGAGCACCACAACATGCCAAGCACTGTCCAGGAAACTGGGAATACAAGACAAATGAGTCCAGCAACTTACGCCTTGGTGACAAAGACAGACAGCAACATCTGTGAGCAGAGGTGCCCCCGCTCAGTGTCATGCAAGCTGGTTGCACAGGGTGCTGAGGAGGAAGAAGGAGAGGCAGCTATACCAGAGGGGAGAGCTCAAGGAGGGCAATGCAAAGCAGGTGACACAAACTGAGTTTTGAAACCTGTAGAAGACGAGGAGGACATTGGTGCTAGCAAGAATAGCACAGACAAAAGCACAGGGATATAAAATGGCTCCTTGCATTTGAGGAACAGCAGCTAATTCGCTGTGGCTGGAGCCAAGGGTGAGTGTGGGAGAATGAGGGAACGGCATTGCCCAGGGAAGGAAGTGTGATGAATGCAGTATGGGCAAGATCAGCAGGGCCTTGGGCTTGGAGGAGTTTGAGGAAGGTGGCGGGACTGCGAGTAGGGAAGCCAGTTAAAAGTTTGTTGCCATAATCCAGCAGAGAAGTAAAGCAGGCGTGAGCTAGAGTGGCAGCAATGGGAGCAGAGAGGAGGGAAAGGGCATTGGAGTACATTCTAGGAAAAAAATGTACTGAGGGCTGTTCAAATATATGGGCGGAAATAGAGGGTAGGATTTGGCTTGGATAAGTGGTACAGTGTGGTGCCTTTCATTAAAATGAGAAATACAGAAGAAATGAGTTTGCAAGAAAGATGACGAATTCATACGCTCAGAGACAAGGGAGCATCTCCCCAAAAACAACTATCAGCAAGAATTCCAGCCCTGAGCCATGTGTGGCTAAGCTAAGTATTTCAGATTGTAAGAGAAAACCAAGTTCCCATCCTCCTGTACTCCCAGCATACCTCAAATCCCTGTTTGCCTTAGTTACTGTCCTCTCACCCTGCAGCTAGGACCTCATCAGGAGCACCCTATGACCACTTGACTACAGAAGACAAAATTCAGGTCTGATTTACAGAGGGTTCTGCCAGATAGGCTGGGCACTATCTGAAATATGAATGGCTACTTAAGTCTGAAGCAGTGGCATGTGCAATACCACAGCAATGAATGAGGCATTCCATAAGTTCACAGGTCATGGTTTAGGCAGACACACTGCAGGCCTGGAAGGCAAATGAGTATCCAGAATAAGTGTCGATCGCAGTGAGAACAAAGTGCTGCCACTTCCATTATGAAAGTGATCTTTTGTAATCAGTCACCTGCTAGCAGGTGACTGGCCATGTTTCCCATTTTCTGAAAGAGCTGGCCTGATAGAATGGTGAGATGGCCTTTATTTTTTATTATTGTGGTAAAAAAAAAAAAAAAAAAAAACAACACCTAACATGAAATCTACTCATGTAACAAAACTTTAAGTATACAGTATTGTTAACTATATGCACACTGTTGTGCAGGGGGATGGCCTTTTGGTGGCCCACTTATGGTACCAGCTCAGTGGCAACCCTTTGTGGAACTGGGGAAATGTCCTCTAGATTGCATGATATTCTAAATCAGCAATGGTGTGGTTCTTTTTCTCCTATAATTAGGATTCACAGGCTTGAATCATTTCGCTATTACACCTAGTGATCCTCTAGGGAACATTTTGCTTCCCATCTATGCAACTTTAGGCTCGGTTAGCCAAGGTATGTTAGTTCCCAAGGAAGGACTGCTTCTTTTTTTTTTTTTTTTTTTAGAGACGGAGTCTCACTCTGTCGCCCAGGCTGGAGTGCAGTGGCGTGATCTCAGCTCACTGCAAGCTCTGCCTCCCGGGTTCACACCATTCTCCTGCCTCAGCCTCCTGAGTAGCTGGGACTACAGGCACCTGCCTCCACGCCCGGCTAATTTTTGTAATTTTTGTATTTTTAGTAGAGAGGGGGTTTCACCACGTTAGCCAGGATAGTCTCGATCTCCTGACCTCGTGATCTGCCCGCCTCAGCCTCCCAAAGTGCTGGGATTACAGGCGTGAGCCACTGCACCTGGCCAGGAAGGACTGCTTCTATCAGGGACACAGCAATGTTTCCATAAAACTGGCCGCTTTGTGTTCCTCATGTCAATGCATCAATAGAAAAAGAAGGGGGTTCTTTACTGGCTAAGATATTGGCCCTGATTATCAAGGGGAATGGGGTTGCAACCATACATTGGGAGTATGAGGAGTATGTCTGGAATGCAGGAGCTTCCCTGGAGTGTCTCAGTACTCATGACCTGGATTAAAGTCAACAGAAAACTACATCATCAGGACTGCTAATGGCCAGACCTTTCAGCAATCATGGCTTAGGTCATCCACCAGGCAAGGGATCATGTCCAGCCAAATTTGCTAAGTGCAAAGGAACTATGGAATAAATAATGGGAGAATGTAGTTATAAATACCAGCTATGAGCCGGGTGCAGTGGCTCACACCTATAATCCCAGCACTTTGAGAGGCCGAGACAGGCAGACCACTTGAGCCCAGGACTTCAAGACCCACCTGTGCAACATGATGAAATCTCATCTCTATCAAAAAAGCAAAAAAATACAAAAATTAGTGCACACGCAGCCCCAGGCTTGGCCTTCTGGCCTCTATCCTAGGCCTCCTCACCTGCCAACCTTGTTTCTTTGCTCAGAGCTCTCCACAGCTGCACTGGCCCCATGGCTGCCTCTAATCCTCTGTCTAGTCTCCTTCTTCAGCAATTAGTCATTTGCTGCTTAGACACCATATTGGATGAACCTTACTTGGGGTTTTGATCATCTCCCATCCCCTTCTTTTACCAAATGGCCCAAGCACTATCTCCTTTCACAGGCTGAATGGAAAGGGAAGCTGGGTTGGTGTACACTAGAGATCAATGAGGCAGGTTGCGCCTTTGCACAGTGGAGTCTGTGATTGTAGCTTTTGTGCCTTCTACACAAATATTTTTGTTTCAAAAAAAAAAAAATTAGTGCACATGTATCCCAGCTGTTCAGAAGGCTAAGGTGAGAGGATGGCTTGAGCCCAGGTGGCAGAGGTAGCAGTGAGCCATAATTGCACCACTGCACTCCAGCCTGTGTGACAGGGTGAGACCCTGTCTCAAATAATAATAATAATAATAAAAAATAAATAAATACCAGGTATAACCATGTGACTACTTTCAGAGGAAAATTGTAATAATTATGAGTATTTATTTCTTATTTTGATACAAATGTATATACATATAAACTATTTTTTCTTTTCCTTTCTTCCGTCCCCCTGCATCTAAATGCATCTTTACGTCTCAAGGAGACAATGTGACTCTGTTAGAAGACAAATAATCATGGCCCAAAGAGGGATAAAGGGACTTTGGATCCTCTTTTGGAGAAAGAGTTAGTATGGGTTTGGTTATATAATGGACAGTTGCATTATGAGATGAAAGAGCTCTTTATTTGGAAGTAAATCTAAGTATCATTTAAAGATGTGTACAGATTCCATGCTGGTATGAACTCTGGTGGGTTTGTAGCATGTTAACTTAGCTAAGCTGGAACTGAGTTCTCCATGTTCTACTCCCTTCCTGAGTAGTTCTGGGTTAGTCTGGGCCACAAAAGAGACATTATGTGTAAGATTTGGAGGGCAGAAGTGCAGCAGCAATGATTGACTTCTGCTACTTGGAAGGTCAGTGCAAAACACAAGATGATGTTGCAGCTCGGGCACATCATCCCTTGTGTGCTGGTCAGCTTGTTGGCAGCAGGCAGCAGGCAGCTGCAGCTGACATCTTGCCTCAGCTGCTTTGTCACTGGGCCAGGTACATGTTGGATTCCATGATGAAGGGCACCAGATTCCACTGGAGATCACTTGCATCATCAGTGTAGGAGGTGGGAGGGGATGAGAGACTGATAGGAGTTTCAGTCCGTCCTCGTGGAGTGTGGCGCATCCATGGAGGTTCATGTGTCCTTGATTCCCCCCTCACACCTGTCTTCCTTTCCCAACTGCCCAGTTGCCTGCCCTATAGCCTTCGGCCAGCAACTGAAGCAACAGCCACATGGAGACTGCATAATCAGTCCCACAATTGCACAAGGTCAAGCTCCTATAGTAAATCCCTTTATATAAATATATGTGTCTACACAGGCATCCTTGTGTGTGTCTAAGTATGTGCGTGTGTGTGTGTGTCTTTCTGTTTTTCACACTGAACTCTGGCTGACACAGAGTGGAAGGGTAAGAACGGATGCCAAGTAACAAAAGGGAAAGACTGTTCCAGTGGTTGGTCTCTTTTATCTTATATCTCTTTCTTATTCTTGCCCTGCTCTGCTCCATATTGTTGGAGCCTTACCCACATGGGCTGAGTTTTCCAGACTTCTTTTTCATCTGGCTTCCAGCTTGGTTTATACACCAGGAAACCCTGTCAGGAGCTAGGAGGATAGTGGGGAGAAAAACTCAAGGAATTTCTCCCTCACATTCTCTGGCTCTATCTGCGACTCTTGCCTGTCTCCAGCTCTTCCCAACATGCCCACCATGCTTTCACCTGTCACTCAGTGACTTTGTTCCTGGGCTGGTGATGTGGTCTCCTCCTTTGTCTCTCCAACTTAAGGGTGGTAGCAGCTTCATGCCGTTACATCTTTGGGCTATCTCACCAGCCCTTGTTTGACTTCTCAGTCCATCCGTTATCGGGGGAACCAGCCCTCAATATTTCTACATAGGTTGTTTCTATTTTCCATAAGTGTTGGCTGGCTGAGAAATAAAGAGAAAGAGTAAAAAGAGAGGAGTTTTACAGCTGGGCCTCCAGGGGGGACATCACATATCGGTAGGACCATGATGCCCACCTGAGCTGCAAAACAGGCAGGTTTTTACTTAGGATTTCAAAAAGGGGTGGGGTGCAAGAACAGGGAGTAGGTCACAAGATTACATGCTTCAAAGGGCAAAAAGGAAAACAAGATCAGATGCTTCTGAGGCCAATAAAGATCACAAGGCAAAGGGCAAAGCAAAGATCACAAGGCAAAGGGCAAAATCAAAAACTTCTGATAAGGGTCTATGTTCAGCTGTGCACGTATTGTCTTGATAAACATCTTAAACAACAGAAAACAGGGTTTGAAAGCAGAGAACTGGTCTGAACTCAAAGTTACCAGGGTGGGATCTTTTCCCCACCCTAATAATCCTGAGGGTACTGCAGGAGACCAGGATGTATTTCAGTCCTTATTGCAACCTCATAAGACAGACACTCCCAGAGCAGCTGTTTACAGACCTCCCCCAAGGAATGCAATTCCTTTCCCAGGGTCTTAATATTAATATTCCTTGCTAGGAAAAGAATTTAGCAATATCTCTCCTACTTGCGTATCCGTTTATAGGCTCTCTGCAAGAAGAAAAATATGGATCTTTTTGCCTGATCCTGCAGGCCCTTAGACCTTATGGTTGTCTTCCCTTGTTCCCTAAAATTGCTGTTATTCTGTTCTTTTTCAAGGTGCACTGATTTTACATTGTTCAAACACACATGTTTTACAATCAGTTTGTACAGTTAGATACAATTATAGTGGTCCTGAGGTGACGTACATCCTCAGCTTACAAAGATAACAGGATTAAGAGATTAAAGTAAGACAGGTATAAGAAATTATAAGAGTATTATTTGGGAACTGATAAATGTCCATGAAATCTTCACAATTTATGTTCAGAGATGGCAGGAAAGACAGGCATAAGAAATTATAAAGGTATTAATTTTGGGAACTGACATATGTCCATATTAAAATGAAATCTTCACAATTTATGTTCCTCTGCCACGGCTCTAGCCGGTCCATCCATTCGCAATCCCTGACTTCCCGCAACATCTCTCCCTTTGTTTTTATATAAATGTGCCATGGCAATGAAGGCTTGTTCATTCTCTCAGTTTTGACGCAGGATTCTTTGATTGGTCCAGCACATTAAAAACAAGCAGATTAAATAGAGAAACATAATTCCAAAATTTACTACAGTGAAGCCCCCAGTAGACTTAATCCAAGTCATGTGGTTTAGTCTAGAAAGACTTTCTGCCACCTGATCTAATGCCTCAGTTTCAGGCACAATGGATAAATGAGCTTGAGAGGATTTAAAAATTTGTTTCTTTAATTTGGTTATGTCCAAGGATAAATTATCTTCCCTACCCAGAAGTTGTCCTTTGACCATTTCCCATGAATGATCAGTCTCATTGTAGGAATATGGTGTGATACAGAAATCAGAAGTATTCCAATTGCACTGCATTTGCATGTGATGTTCGAGACTCATTAGCCAATCCCCAAGCCAAATAACAGACTGTCTTTTTTTTGTTTGTTTGTTTGAGACAGAGTCTCATACTGTCACCCAGGCTGGAGTGCAGTGGTGCGGTCTTGGCTCACTGCAAGCTCCACCTCCCGGGTTCATGCCATTCTCCTGCCTCAGCCTCCCGAGTAGCTGGACTACAGGCACCCACCACCACACCCAGCTAATTTTTTTGTATTTTTAGTAGAGATGGGGTTTCACTGTGTTAGCCAGGATGGTCTCGATCTCCTGACCTCATGATCCACCTGCCTTGGCCTCCCAAAGTGCTGGGATTACAGGCGTGAGCCACCACGCCCAGCCAGACTGTCTTAAATCATTAATTTGATTAGCTAATTTTTGATCAGTGCCTTGTTGAGAATTCCACATTTGAGTAGAATTGGCTTGCCAATCATTAACAAAATGAGCTGTTTGAAGAGATTGATGTAATGCCATTCCGGCAGTGGTGGACAGTGCAGTGACTGTAATTAGGCCCATGAACACAGCGATTAAAGTGAAAACAAATCTCTTAGATCTTTTGAGAATTCGTAGTAACACTACATTAATTAAATGTACTGGGGGGGAAGATTCCCAAGGTCTGGGTACGGTTACCGGTATCCAGATTCCTTCTCGAGTTCGAACCAACATTACACTTCTCCTGGAGTCAAAACGGGAGTTAACACAAGTATATAAATGAAAATTAATGCATTGGACAGTTTGATTGTTCATCCGAATTTTGATATTTCCCACTAACAGCATGTAAGGAGGCTTAACACAACTCTGTATAGGAATAGCCAGGTTAGAGGTAAACAAAGCAGAATGTTTGAATCTACATTGATACTGAGGGAGAAAAGCGGTGGTGGCCATGCCCGATGTTCTCCGCCATAAAGAAGCAATCTGAGATGCCCAGGGATGCCAAAGAGGTAGGGGGCATACCTGGGTTGAGAAGAATTATCATAATGCCAATTGGAGTCCCATAAAGGAGGATTGGCATCAAAAAGAGGAAAAGGATTCAAAGGGGATTTATCATGGGGTTCAGAATCATAGATTGGAGGGGTGGTAGGGAGGACAACAGACAGAAAAGTTTCCCCTTCCCATACTCGCAGTCCGTACATGGCAACAGCCAATTTTCAAAGTTCAAAGTGTTCTGGGCTCAGAATGGGGAATATCATAAGAGGCCTCAGGGGGCAGGGGTAATTCCCTTATCTTCCCATTTTAAGGGAAAGAATGAGCTGAACCTCCCATGCAAAGTAGGATGATGATCCTTGTCCTCCCAATAAGAAATAAAATAAATAGCCTCCAGGCATTCCCTTCCGCCAGAGGAGCAATTGTTTTTTAAATAACCCTTTGGTGCCCAGTCTATTACTAAACCATATGAGTCATTTTTTAATACTACTGCATATGAGTTAACACAATCTTCCCAAATTAAAGTTTTAGATGGGCCTTCAAAATTTTTAGGACATGGTTTTCCTACAGGTTTATATTGAAAGTATGGGGTATCTCCTATTACTCCCCTTTCATTTGTTTTAAAGGAGAAAGGGAGAGGCCGGAGACCAAATGTCCCCGTTGTCTTGTAGCTAATCTCTCCGGAAGATAAGCAGCCCAGACTTGAGTTTCTAGATGGATACAACCAGGTGCGTATCCGAGGCACAGAGGAGGGTATTTATAACCCATAGTAACATTAAGTGCAGTGCCTTCTTCTCCTGGTTGAGCGGGGCAATGGTCATCTGTAGCTCCAGGCATCCACACACTATCCTCAGTATAGATTTCCGCAGGAGCATCCATCCAGGTCAGAGGTCGAATAAGTGGAGGAAAAGGCACATAAGCCCAATAAGAATAATTTTGTGTAGCAGGTAAATCAGTGTGAGGGAAACTGGTGAGATAGAAAGTATAAGGAGGAGAATTATTAAATAAAACCTATTGTAACTGAAATTCAGTGCTAAAGGAGGAAGAGAAGAACAGAGAGATGTTATTTTCAGGCTAATAGAAAGGTTGAGATTTTTAGGTTTGTAAGGAGAAAAAGAAAGGTAATTAGGAGAAGTGGGATTAGTTAGGGGGTCTCCGTTGCCATTAGGGAGGATTGAACCAGACCCATTTTGATTTGGTGTGCCAGTTTCTGAGGAGTCAGCACAGATCTCACCACATATCAGGGCAGTCTCTGACACGGACGTCTTTTCCCTGTGGTTTTCTTTGTCAGTATTCACACGAAGTGTAAGTCTTCTAGTGGGCACCCATACAGGGGATTGATGATCTCCTGGTGAAGCGCAAGCATACCCTCTTTCCCACGTTATAATTGTTCCAGGTTTCCAGGTATTGGTTTAGGAGTTTTTCCATAACACTGGCTTGCCTTCATTTAGGGAGAATTTTTTGCCTGTATAATGGCATTCAGCTGCAGTCAGAGTATTGTCTTTAGGAACATTTAGAAAGTTGAAAGTAAACAATGCTAAATGTAATTGAGGTAAATTTTGTCATTGGACAGAACACATGGCCATTTTATGCTCATGATTCGCATTCTCAAAAGCTAACGTACGAAGGAGAATACCTTGAGCGCGCTCATCAGAGACAGGTTTTTGAACAGCATCTTGTAATTTGACCAAAAAATAAGGATATAATTCATTGTGACCCTGTTTAACAGTAGTAAAAGAAACAGGAGCTTGGCCTGGGGCACGTAATTTATCTCAAGCTCTCATACACACTTTGTTACTTGTTCCGTGGTGAGAGCATCAAAGCCTAGTTGGGCAGTAGTATCAGAGTAATTATCAGGGCCTGTGAGCTGAGCCTGAGTTATTAGAATGCCATCAGCCCGATTTAGCTGAGTCTGCAAAGGGGACTCCTCTGACTGCCTGGTACGGAATTGTAAATGCTGAGATGGACTTAGAACAGCTTTTGCCAAAAGATCCCAGTCTAAAGGAAGCAAAATGACCTCAGTACAAAGAGTCTGTAATACCATTTTAACATATGGAGAAGTAGGACCATACTGAGTACAAGCATCCTTGAATTCTTTTAAAAAGGTAAGATTGAGTGGCGCATATCGACGCACTCCTACCCCTTGAGCATTTGGAGGTTCCAGCGCAACTGGATAAGCCCACGCATCTAATCTACTTGCTTCTTTGCTTTGGCGTAATAAGCGTTGCATGGAAGTTTCAAGAGCAGGCACGTGAGATGGAGTCGGCATAGAAGTGACAGGAAAAGTATGTGTAGATAAGAGAAACTGAAGTTGAGGATGTCGGACTGGTATGAGAGTGTGAGAAGGGGCATTGGGGGAGCAGAAGAGGTAAAAGCATACTGGTGGTTATTGGCGCAATCCTGTGCAACAAGAATGGCAGGGGCATCCATGCATGAAGAAGGGTACAGAGAAGCAGGTTGAGTGGATGGCAAAGTGACCGGTTGAGGGACCGAAATGACAGGAGGATGAGGGGCTGCGGTGGATGGGGGAAGGCCTGCAGAATTACAGGTAAATTGTAGTTTGGTCCTGGGGCCATTAGATGGCTCTGGAGCCAAAGGCTGCAAAGCTTTGAAGAGGGAAAAATTAGCATAGTTATGATCCTGGGCTGTCCGAGTCCGGGCCTCGGGAGCTACAAGTATCGGCTCTTCATGGAAAGAAATAAGATCATCAGGGGGTGAGGTTAAGCCAAAGTCACCGGAGTTAGATATTGAATTCTCACCATCTTCAGGTGGGGGAGGAGTAGGCGAAGGGAGAGGCTGAGCAGATAACAAAGGCCGAGTGGGAGAGGAAAGCTGAGGAAGAGGTAGAGGGTTGCCGGATTCCGAAACTTGTGGTAACTGCAGGGGGTCACAGGATTGGTATGTCATTAGGATGGCACGTACCAAGGCCCAATCACCCCAAACAGTGACGGGAACATAATTCCCTGTTGGGACCAGTTCCCGGAATTTTGCAGCAACACAATCCCATAGTTTCACATCTAACGTTCCCTTTTCAGGAAACCAAGGACAGTGTTCTTCCACTGCCCTGAATAGAGTGACCATATTTTCCACGGGCACTCAAACTCTCCCCTGTTTTAACAGGAGTTTAATATAGCAGAGATAAGCATAACGTTTAGACTCCGCGTGACCCATAGTTACCCCGGACAATACACAGACAACTCAGCAATCGTCAGGGAGCCGAACAAGCGTTTCTGTGGACCGGACGGATGAACGTTTCACTGCACCTACCAAAGGGAATCGGGTTCCCACATGCACTTAGGAGAAAGAAAACCATGTTGGCGCACCAGATACCGGGGGAACCGGCTCCCAATATTTCAGCATAGGTTCTTTCTATTTTCCATAAGTGTTGGCTGGCTGAGAAATAAAAAGAAAGAGTACAAAGAGAGGAATTTTACAGCTGGGCCTCCGGGGCTGAATCACATATCGGTAGGACCGTGATGTCCACCTGAGCCACAAAACCGGCAGGTTTTTATTGAGGATTTCAAAAGGGGAGGGGGTGTAAAACAGAGAATAGGTCACAAGATCACATGCTTCAAAGGGCAAAAAGGAGAACAAGATCACATGCTTCTGAGGCATGATCACAAAGATCACAAGGCAAAGGGCAAAATCAAAAACTCCTGATAAGGGTCTATGTTCAGCTGTGCACCTATTGTCTTGATAAACATCTTAAACAACAGAAAACAGGGTTCGAGAGCAGAGAACTGGTCTGAACTCAAATTTACCAGAGTGGAATCTTTTCCACCTGTTCCCTAAAATCACTGTTATTCTGTTCTTTTTCAAGGTGCACTGATTTCATATTGTTCAAACACACGTTTTACAATCAATTTGTACAGTTAGAAACAATTACAGTGGTCCTGAGGTGACGTACATCCTCAGCTAACAAAGATAACAGGATTAAGAGATTAAAGTAAGACAGGTGTAAGAAATTATAAGAGTATTATTTGGGAACTGATAAATGTCCATGAAATTGTCACAATTTATATTCAGAGATTGCAGTAAAGACAGACATAAGAAATTATAAAAATATTACTTTTGGGAACTGATATATGTCCATATTAAAATGAAATCTTTACAATTTATGTTCTTCTGCCGCAGCTCCAGCTGGTCCCTCCATTCGTGGTCCCTGACTTGCTGCAACAATCCATCGCTTACATAACCAGTTCCCTGCATTACATTCCCACTGTTTGAAACACTTAAAGTAGTTTCTTTTTGCCTGGCTGGACCCAGGCTGACACAGCCCACTTGAAATTTGAGTTCATAAATTTAAAGTGAGACCCATTAAGATGGCATGTGACTTTTCCCAGTGGCATTCAGTTCTTCTTCAGGGGCAGACACAGAGTAGGCAGATTTGGGTGAACTAGGGCTAGAGTTTGGCTGGAAAATTTGAAGGAATGGGGGAAGTTGAAGGTGAAGGATGGCTTTTGGCCAAGTTAGGAGAGAAGTGAAGTTACGAAAGCTGAATGGCAATGTGAAGATGAGACCATCAGAGGCTTAAAAATCCATGTGTGGGTGATCATTGTTAGAGCAGGGGTGCTGCAACAAGTGAGCAGGGAAAATCCAAAAGGGTAATCAGGCATTTTAGGATGCTTGAAAGCAAAATTTTGGAAGAATGCAACAATTAGTAATGATAAGACATATAGTATGACCATGGGAGTGAGTGGCTAGAAGGATTGGAGGCTAGGTTCAGGGAAATGAGATGAAGAAGCTGAGAGGCCAAAGTGTTGAATGGATTCTTTATGGAGATATTGAACCAGTGCAACCCTAAGATTTCTAAAAAACTTGGGTCTCTCATCTCTCACTTAAACCCTAGAGAATGGGGCCCAGCTTGTTCTCTTCTCTTTTCTTTCTGCTGTTCTCTCTCAACCGTTACCCTCCATACATGGCCATGGCTGTTCCTTGTATTCCACAAGCTCCAGTAGCACATAGCTGTTATGTATAATAGACATTCATCAAATGTTTACAGGTAAAAGACCACAGCAAAGCACGAAGCTAGAAATAATTTAAAGCTAAACATTATGCATAATGTCCTAAAGTCCTTGAGAGGAATTTCTCAAGGACCATTTTCCCCTTAAATCTCCACCTCTGCCAGTTTTGTTCAGGTCACTTCCCTCTCTAGAGATTCTTTACGTTTCCTCCTGTCCAGGGCATCTGAAACCACCCTCACAGGTTAACAAGAATGACAAGCCATGCTTTAGGCAGAATTTTAGTTAGGCATTGACCAGGGTGCACAGGTGCACTTTGACCCACTTCCCTGCACCAGCTAACTAACCGAGAGTCACAGAGCAGGCTGACCACCAGCTCCTCTATTGTTCCTATCGATGGAATCTGTGACATTTGACCTTTTTACCCAAGAACTGCTTAAAGTGTTTTTCAGAACCTGAATTCCTGCAGAACGGCTGCCACCAATCGGTTTAAAGACCCCCACCAAGAAACTCACTCAGCACAGGAATGTTGTTTCTTCATCTCCCTGTCCCATGACTTCACTCCTCACTTCTGGACCAATCAACAATCCCCACACTTTAGCCATTTGCCCATACAGAGCCCTTAAAAACCTCATCCCCAATCCTCTCAGGGAGGTGGATTTGAGGTTTCCTCTTGTCTCCTCATTTGGCTGCCCTACCATTATTAAACCCTTTCTCTGTTGCAACTCCTTCTGTTTTGGTGTATTGATCTATTACTGCACAATGGGAAATCAAACCTGGTGTTCCTATAATATATATGATCCTCTGGCCCCCTCTTGCAAGCCTATAGGGAAATACTCTTAAATTCATGTACAGTGAATGTACATGCAGCATGCAGTCCTCTTTTCACAATCCCTGCCCCTGTGGCATCTCATTCTTATTTTTAAAAGTCTTTTCAAGGTATTTCCCAAAGAAAAGAGTCATCAGTCTTTATGATGAATTCTGCTCCTTCTCAGAAACGCATAATTGCAATAATCATAGAATTATTTTGATAAAGAACTTCATAATGTTGCTGTTACTCAAGACAAAATGACATCATGTAGGTGACAGTGTCGGAAATCTGAAAAGCACTTTTGTAATTCAAGTATAAAAGGAGAGAAATATTACATACAATCCCACAACCTAGTCTAGTTAAAAGATGATCCAAAAACTGAAGATCCATTGGTCTACAAGTCCTCAGACATGGCAAACTTGAAGAAACTGGGCTGTGGCTACATGCAATGCTCAGTTGAATGCATACTTAAATAAATGAAAGAAGTGTGCATAGGGTGTAACACAAGGAGATACTTAACTAGGCAGATTTTAGCCATTCCATTGAAAAATGTTTCAGAATCATCATGGAAGCCAGGCTAGGTTGGAGAATGAATGGGAGTGAGAAAATGGAGAAATCAGCATGGCTTTTGTTTTCCTAGAAGTTGAGTGTGAAAAGGAGAAAGACAGCATAGTAACCACTTAGTTTCAGCCATAACACTCCATGGCATGATCCACACTCTCCTCTGAAGTCTGGTTTTTTCACACTCATCCTGTCTCCTAGAGAAGATCCTAATAAAGGGTCCCTTCCAGCATCCAGCTCTCCATTCCTCAAGTGCATTGGGCCATGTCAGACCATTTCCTGAGTTAAGCTTAGTGTAACTGGAGAGACAAGTAAAAGGGACAGGCGTGCAAACATGGAAAGAAAAGCAGGGAGGTATGCTATGGACTAGACTGTGTCCTTCCCAAAAACCCTATGTTGAAGCCCTAATCACCACTGTGACTGTGTTTGGAGTTAAGGCCTTTTAGGAAGTGATTTCCTTAAAGAAGCTTCGAGGATCACTTGAGATTAAATAAGGCCAGAAGAGGAGGGCCCTCCTCCAATAGGACTGGTGTCTTTATAAGAAGAGGAAGAGACACCAAAAGGAAAGGCCATGTGAGGACATGGCAAGAAGGCAGCTAGCCGCAAGCCAGGAAGAGAGGCCTGCTGGCACCTTGACCCTGGATTTCCAGCCTCCAGAACTGTGAGAAAATAAAGTTCTGCTATTTAAGCCACCCAGTCTGTGGTATTTTGTTATGGCAGCCTGAGTAGACTAACATAGGATGGTTAAGAAAAACAAACAAACAAACAAACAAACCTACAGTCATCCTTGGTTATATACAGGGTATTGGTTCCAGGACCCCCACAGATATCAAAATCCGAACATACTCAAGTCCATACTCAAGTCCTACAGAACCCATGTGAAAAGCCAGTCCTCAGGTTTTGCATCCTGGGAATACTGTATTATCGATTAGCTTTGGTTGAAAAAAAAAATCCAAGTATAAGTGGACCCTTGAAGTTCAAACCCGTGTTGAACTGTACAGTGCAGGGGTCAACTGTAATAATAAAGGAGGAGGAGGGGGGAGGGATAGCTTTAGGAGATATACCTAATGCTAAATGACGAGTTAATGGGTGCAGCACACCAGCATGGCACATGTATACATATGTAACTAACCTGCACATTGTGCACATGTACCCTAAAACTTAAAGTATAATAATAATAAAATAAAATAAAAATAAAAAAGAGCAGTAAAAAAAATATAATGATAATAATAAAGGAGGGAACTTGTACTTTGTACTTTTCTTCACAATTTTGGGTAGGTCTGGCTCTAATGGCATAACTTGAGAGAGAAAGGGAGAAGGGGAGTATGTGACACATGTCAATCTGTCACAGCACAGGACACCGGCTCCCACCGGCCTCACCCTCCCTCCCCATCCCTATTTGCTGTCCTCCACTCCCTGGGCTTCTTGGCTGCTGGTCAGCCTCAGAGGTTGCTTAGTTTTAAAATATCCCTGCTTAGACGGCTAATGTTCCGTGGTGGGACTCGTGGATTTTTTTTTCTTCTGATTTATGCTAGGATCAAAAGAAGCTTTAGAGTCTTTCCTGTTGCTATCGACCCATTGAGATCGGCTCTGCAGCCAGAGGCCTCGCTGTGATCCGCCGAACGCCAGGGATTAGTGAAGATTCCACAAGAGATTTGAACAGTACCCAGTGAGTACACCTTGCATTCGTCTTTGAAAGTATATTATGGACCCAAAGTGGTGTATCACCCACAAATTCTTCCTCCTCCTTTTCTTTCTAACCTTAGGGGAGCAAGGCATTAATTAGTTAAACAGTCGAGCAGCTCAAAGGTTTCTTTTCAGCAGCAATGGCTCACGTGGCTGCTTCTCATATGGACAGGTTGCTGCTGCCAAGCGGGGGTAAGGGTGGGCAGCACTTACAGGGAGTGCTTGTTTAAACAAGGCCAATTTCCAGCCTACTTTGCAATGCAAATGCTTTCAAGAGCATCCCGATTGCTCCTCAGAATTAGCTGGAATAAAGACACTTAGGAGGGATGTAGCTTGGTTTGTTTCCAGCCTTTTCTTCTTATGGCTGAAACCAGTTTCTTCAGATTATTATTTGGCTTTGATGTGTTCAGAGTTTATATCATAAGGAAAATCATTTTATTCTACAAGGCAAACAGTTTAAAATGGGAATAATTTAATGTTGTTTTTGTTTCGTTTTAATTTAAAAAATAGTGTCTTTTAAATGGACATTTTAAAACTGTATGCCCTCGAAACGTTATTTTCGTGTGGCCAATTTCAGGCTTCTTGGGCTCTTGGTCATCATGAAGCCATCCTGCTTGCAGAAGCCTGTGGGAGGCCAACGTGGTCTTAGCATTTCTGTGTCTGTCCAGGTGCGTGCCAAGCCCACAGTAAGCCCTCTTTAAATAGCCCCTTTGGTGAATTATTTATAGTGCAATTGAATTAATCTTTTAACTCTAATTCACACCCTAAAATGTTGGTTTGGCCATTTTGCAAATATTTGTCACAAATGAGCTTTTGTCCTGTATTCGTCGGTTAGAAGTTCAACCAAAAAGTGTTACCATGTACTAGAATATGTTCTCTGGTTAATTTAACTTATTACTAAATTAATACCCTTACGTATTACTAAGATTGTCCACTTTATGATAGTTCTTCCAGCAGTGATTCTCCAACTCCTAAGTGCAATGAAGGAGGCACAGCTTTTTGTGTCAAGCTTAGTAATATTTTTAGGTGTACTCCTAAAAAAAAAAAAGCATTCTGGGGCATTTCATTAATTCTTTTGCTCATATATTGACACAAGCATTTTTTTTAAACATTTGTAGAAGTTTTTTATTGAGACAAAATTGTACATATTTATGGAGTACATGTCATATTTTGATACATACTTACAATGTGTAACGATTACATCAGGCTAACTGGAATATCCATCACCTCAAACACTTAGCATTTCTTTGTATGGAGAACATTTCAAATTCTCTCTTCTCGTTATTTTGAAATATACAATAAATTATTGGTAACCACAGTCACCCTACTTTGCTATCCAAAGCTAGAGCTTACTCTTTTTTTTTTTTGAGACAGAGTCTCACTCTGTCACCCAGGCTGGAGTGCAGTGGCGTGATCTTGGCTCACTGCAACCTCCACCTCCCAGGTTCCAGCCATTCTCCTGCCTCAGCCTCCCAAGTAGCTGGGATTACAGGTGTGCACCACCACCCCCAGCTAAATTTTTGGATTTTTGGTAGACATGGGGTTTTACCATGTTGGCCAGGCTGGACTCGAACTCCTGACCTCAGGTGATCTGCCCACCTCAGCCTCCCAAAGTGCTGGGATTACAGGCATGAGCCATGGCACCCAGCCAACTAGAACTTATCCTATCTAACCATATTTTGGGGCCTTTGTTTTTTAATAGAGACAGAGTCTCACTGCATTGCCCAGGCTGGTCTCAAACTCCTGAACTTAAGCACTCCTCTAGCCTCAGCCTCCCAAAGTGATAGGATCACAGGCATGAGCCACTGCGCCTGGCCTAACTGTAGCCATTAACAAAGCTACCAAACTCTCTTCATTCCCATCAGCCCCGTACCCTTCTCAGACTCTAGTAATTATAATTCTTCTCTCCACCTCCTTAAGATCAACTTTTTAAGCTCCCATAAGTGACTAAGAGCATGCAATATTTATCTTTCTGTGCCTGGCTTATTTTACTTATAATGTGCTCCAAGCTCATCCATGGTGCTGCAAATGGCAGGATCTCATTCTTTTTATGGCTGAATAATATTCCATTGTGTATCTATATCACGTTTTCTTTATCCATTTATCCATTGATGTACACTTAGGTTGATTTCATATCCTGTCTATTGTGAATAGTGGTGCAATAAACAGGGGAGTGCAGCTATCTCTTCAATATACTGATTTCCTTTCTTTTGGGTATATACCCAGCAGTGGGATTGCTGGATCATCTGGTAGTTCTATTTTCAGTGTTTTGAGGAATCTCCATACTGTTCTCCATAGTGGTTGTACTAATTCACATTCTCACCAACAGTGTACAAGGAGTGTTCCCCTTTCTCCACATCCTCACCAGCTCTGTTATATTTTGTCTTTTTGATAATAGCCACTTTAACTGGAGTGAGTAATATCTCATTTTGGTTTTGATTTGCATTTCCTTGAAGATTAGTGATGGTGACCATTTTTTCATATACCACACAGACATTCATTGAGTAGACTTCAGCTCTCCTATGAGAAACCCATAATCTAGGGAAACACATAAGCAAATGATTACAAAATAAAGTGATAATGATGGCCATTTTCATAGCTTTTTTATTTATTAAATATCACCATTGGGTTGACTCAGTAGCATCTCATATACCTACCTGATGGGCTGCAGCAGATATTGGCACTCAGACAAGCCAATTTTAGGCATCAGAGCCCTGTAGCCGTGGTAACCTCACCCCTGTGCTGGACGGGAGGCAGGTCGGCTAAGCAGAGGTGCTGGAAGTGTGTGTGGTACCAGGACTGGGCCGCAGGAGCTGCACAGCCTCACAGCACATTAGCCAATGGCCCCATGCCAACCCCCTTGGCTGGGTTTTCTGGAACAGGTACCTCCTTACCATTCCAAGAAAAAGTCTCCTCCTGCCCCCCAAAAGTGGGGGGCAGGTGATCCAAAAGATCACTAAGCAAATGCCTGTTTGTCCTTTGGAATACTCAACCCTGATCAGTGGTGAATACTCAGTCACCAACTATGTGGAAGAGGCACAACCATGGCAGACAACAGATATGGAAAGAGCAGGAATTCTTCTAGCAGGAATTCTTATATCAAATGCAATGGTGGCCATGCCCCCAACAGCTCTGCAGTTGGAAAAATGAAGCCTTCAAGTAAGGCCAAAGTCCTACTGTTTGAGGGCAATTCATCTGGGCCAAATCCCTCAGGAGCAGGGCCATGCGGGGGTTACAACTGTTCATGCAACACAACAGATTGGGCTTAAGCTGGCCAGGGCAGTGACGGGCTTTTCATCTTAATTGTAGTTGTCTGTGTCCCAAGAAAATGTTATCAGCTTTTCAGAAAAACTTTCAAGAGACTCGAGCAAGTCAAACCCAAGCTGCCCTCCTTGTCTGCATATCCTGCTCTGTTTTCCCATTTGGGAAATGAAACCAGCAGCAGCTGAGAGGGAGAAGGTTCTACACTCACTGGTTTTCTCCACTCCTACCACTCCCTCCTTCCCCCTCCTCTCTGTCACCCTGAAGAAATCTCCTTCTGGAATAAGGTGTCATTCATCCTTGTCACCTCCAGTATAGTTATGTCAGATGCAGTGAGGTGCTGGATTTAGATTACAAGAAGCGGGAGGATTCTTGCAAAGAGAGGACAACATTTGCTTAACTATGCCAAGGGTCCCCTTGTCCCCCGACCAAGAGGGCCTTCATGCTCCCTCAGCTTGACTGAACTTTAGGCAGGATTCTTCCTAACCTCCCTTTTTTTTTTAGAGCATTTCTTGTCATTGTACATTTTTTCTCTGCCCCTTTGAGATGTATGTAAATCTCTTCAAAAGCCTCCTGCCAGTTTTACAATCCAGGAATGTCTTTCTCAAGGACCTGGGAGCCCTCCCTTTGAAATGTAATCATCAAAGGAGATGGCACCCCTGTCTCCCAGTCTTTGTGGAGAGTTTTTGTGGGAGTCTAACTTCAGCAGGACACCTTCCTCCAAGTCATAAAACCATCCCTTGTCAAAAGATAGAAGTTTATTAGCAAACACAAATGGCCTACGACCTCTTCACAACATCCTCTGGCATGTTTCACTAGCCTTTAAAAGCCTTTAAAAACTTTGCACCCTCTGCATCAGCAGCATTGAGTTCACACTGAGTTCTAGTCCCTCTCTCCTGTTGCAATAACTTCGGATAAACTTCCTTGCGTGTTTAACTTTTCCAGGCAAGTAATTTTTTTTCTAATACTAATTAGAAAATTTTGCTTTGATGTCCCCCTCCTTACACCTCCAAAATCTGTCTCATTTCTTTGTAGCATTGGTCCTCAAATTTCAAAAAGCATGTTTTTACATAACCTGGAGGGCTAGTTAAAACACATTTCTGAGGATGGACGTGGTGGCTCACACCTGTAATCCCAGCACTTTGGGAGGCCGAGGCAGGCGGATCACTTGAGGTCAGGAGTTTGAAACCAGTCTGGCCAACATGGTACGACCCCATCTCAATTAAAAATATGAAAATTAGCCGGCATGGTGGCACGCACCTGTAATCCCAGCTACTCTGGAGGCTAAGGCAGAAGAATCACTTGAATCCAGGAGGCAGAGGTTGCAGTGAGCCAAGATCGCACCACTGCAATGTGGTTACCAGCCTGGGCCACAGAGCAAGACTCTGTCTCAAAAAACAAACAAACAAACACGTTTCTGAAGCAGGAGGCCTGGGATGGGGCTTCAGAATGACACTTTCAACAAGTTTCCAGATGAATTGGGGCTGGTCTAGAAACCACACCTTTAGAATGACGTTAGCATGTTTTTTGCACAGACAATCTTAACTCCCTGAATTCCCTTTAGTTAATGGAGACTCTAGTACACCATCCTGCAGTGGGGCCATTTCCATAGCTGGTGAAGAAATTTTCTTTCCCACAGTCTTCCTCCTCTCTTTTTCATACTTTTCCCTCTTTTGCTTTCTGGCCATATGCCTTCTTTTGCTTTCCTCCCCTTCCACCTCTAACTCACAGCAATTCTCTTCCCTCTACCAACCAGCCTGTTCCAAAAAAAAAAAAAAAAAAAAAAAAGGTCCCCTTTTATTCCTTAGGGTAGCACTTGTTTTTGTTTTTTAACATCCAAATCCTTCTTGGAGCCCCTTCGTATTCTCTCTCTGAGGAAGACGGAGGGGGCTTCCCTCATCCTCCCTTGTTACCTAGCAACTTGTCTTCTTCCTGACAAGTCACCACCCTGCCAGGATGCCAGCTGATGCACACACAATAAAGGGAAAGTGAGCAGACACCACCACTCCAGTCCACTCATAGAGGACCCTCTGCGCATTAGCACTCCGATGAGTGGCTTGCTATGGGCAGGTCCCCCAGACGCCTCTCCCCCAGTAAGCTGGCCACACTGCTCCTCCAGGGATCTCAGAGAGATGGCAGCTTGTCAAGTTCCTGAGTCGCTGGGTATGTACTGGGAATTTCAGATTTAATCCCTAATTACATCCAGCTCATCACCTTTGTAATAGGAGCCATAATCATCTTTTCATTGTTGTCTTTGAGTCACTGGGGCTGTGTGGAACACTATATCCATATTCATGCATGTGTTTTCTATTTTGCTACTACATCCTCTTCCTTAGACTTCAAAATGAAGGGGGATTTTCTTTTCTCCTGCAAAAGCCTTTATGAAAGAAGGTGTTTGCTTAACACTTTCAAGCTTCCCCATTGACATCCTTTGTTCTTTCTCTACACATTCATGGATTAACTACTTTGGGTCCAGCCGTGGTAACCAACTTCAATTTGTCACAGAAAATGTAGATGTTTTTAGGTAGGGCTTATATAGTGGAAAAGATATGGACACAAACTCCCTTCCTGGACCAACTGAGGAAGGAAGATTTCTCAACCTCACTTTCTGTAATCCTAAAAGAAACAGTAGAATAGGAAAGGAGGAAAGGAGAGAAAGATAGAAAGAGAAAAAAATTAACTCCACTCTAAAAAGGCATTCATAGCAATAATACTTATAACAGAGAACAATGGAAAACTACCCAGATGCTTGGTCAGGCGCGGGGGCTCATGCCTGTAAACCCAGCACTTTGGGAGGCTGAGGTGGGTGGATCACGAGGTCAGGAGTTCAAGACCAGCCTGGCCAAGATGGTGAAACCCTGTCTCTACTAAAAATACAAAAATTAGCCAGGTGTGGCAGTGCACACCTGTAATCCCAGCTACTCAGGAGGCTGAGGCAGGACAATTACTTGAACCCAGGAGGTGGAGGTTGCAGTGAGCTGAGATTGCACCATTGCACTCCAGCCTGGGCAACATAGCAAGACTGTGTCCCCACCACCAAAAAAAGAAAGAAAATTACCCAGTTGCCCAATAGGTAAATGGACAATCATTATAGCAATGCAACAGAAGATAATTAGATCAATTTCATAAATGACAGCCTATGTAAATGGACCATACAAATCACAGAGGTATTTTAATATATATTTAAATATACACAAGCATGCAATGTATAAATATAACTGACATATATTTTAATATAATAATTTATGGGAAAAGAATCCAATAGAGATTAAACACACTGGTTAGATTCATGCAAAAATACATTAGACTGTTCAGAAAAATTAAGAACAATATGTGAAAAGGTATGAGTAGTATAGAGCTGTGCTGTCCAATATGGTAGCCACTAGCCACATGTGGTTAACTGAGTACTTGAAATGTGGCTAGTCTGAATTGAGATTTAAGTGTAAAACTTGATTTCAAAGATGTACTATTAAAATATATATATAAAATATTTCATTAATAATTTTTATGTTGACTCTGTTGAAATGATCTTTTAAATATATCAGATTAAATAAAATATATTGCTAGAGTTAATTCCACTTGTTTCTTTCTACTTTTTAATGTGGTTACCAGAAAATTTTTAATTACATATTAATTAGTGACTTGCTTTGTGGCTTGCGTTGTATTTCTATTGAACAGTGCTGGTTTAGAGTTTAATGTTTACTAGTTCTTTTGTTCTACTAAATTACCACAAAACTTCCTGCTTCATTTGTATTTATGAGGTATATGAGTTGTGGAACGTGGACTGGTTTGAAAGCAATATTTCTGCACAGACAAATTCTAGGGTTGGCTTTTTGCATACTATAATAACTCTAGACAAATCATGGAAATTGTGACTTCCCCAGGAAGATGGGGACTGGGGGGAGTGAAGTATGGAGGAAGGGAAAGGAGGCTTGGAGAGGAAAGGAAGAAGGCCATATACTCCAGAGGCGATAGGATCACTGAAAAAAACTAAATGTGTGGCTTGCAAGAAGAGGAGGTGGCCTCCTTCTAAGATGTCCCTTGTCATTCTGAAGAAGACTTCCTCCCAAACCAACTCTTTCCCATTGGGCAGTCAGCTTGATCTCTTGAGGTTGAGGAAGGCCCTGCTATTAATTGTCCTAGGAGAAAGAGCATATCCACTGAGCTATGAGTCAATGATCTGTCTTAGGGTGGGATTTATTATTTTCATTATTTGTGTGTTTGATTTTCTTGTTAGAGTTCTTTCCTTAGGACTGTTTGTTGCTTTTAACGAGGTGGATGGGGGTGGTAGTGTGCTGAGCAGAGCAGTGCTGATGCTGACAACAACACCACAGCAAACAGCAAACAGGACATGCAAAGCAGGAGGCAAACTCGTCTTCCCAACCAACATTTAGCTGAGGACTAGTCAGGGTGTGTGGCTATTATGTTCTAGTAGCTAGGAGAGTCCCAGCATGTGCTCTTAGAGGCCATTTTGGAGAGGGTGAAATAGAGAAACTAGAAACATTATTCATCTCAGAGACTCTCTGGACCTGAGAGAGAACAGTAACTGTATTCAGGCCTAATCCCTCAGATGGCTGCCTTGGCGGCCACTCTCTTTACCATGAAAATTGCCCCCCAGATGGAAACCTCTTGAACTTGGAAAAACCTCTTTATTTCCAAACAGAAAAAAAAAAAATCACTATGTATTTCTTCTTAAGAAAAAAAAATTGTTATTCAACTACTGTGTCCCATTTTCCCAATAAACATTAATTGAACTGCTAGTGGGCACCATTCATCCATTTAACAAATACTGAGCCCCCACTATGTAGCATATATTGTAAATGAGACCCTAGACTCTGAAAGATCCTGAATTCAAATTTTGGCTCTACTATTTCCTGTCTGGGTGACCATGGAAAATTACTTAATCTCTCTGAGCCTTTCTTCATCTGTAAAGAGGGGAAATAATTAATACAGTGTTGTTCTGAGATTTAAATGAGTTAATACATAGAAAAATACTTTAAAATACATAATAAGCTAAGTGCAGTGCCTCGCGCCTGTAATCCCAGCACTTTGGGAGGCTGAGGCGGGCAGATCACTTGAGGTCAGGAGTCTGAGACCAGCCTGGCCAACATGGTGAAACCCCGCCTCTACTAAAAATACAAAAATTAGCCGAGTGTGGTGGTGCATGCCTGTAATCCCAGCTACTCAGGAGGCTGAGGCACAAGAATGGCTTGAACCCAGGAGGCAGAGTTTGCAGTGAGCCAAGATCATGCCCAGCCTGGGCAACAGAGCGAGACTCCATCTCAAAAACAAAACAAAACAAAACATGATAAATGCTTACAATGTGGAAAATACTGGCACAGAGTAGGTGCTGTAAAAGTATTTGTGGTTATATGCTAGCTAGTGTCTGTTAAGGATACAAAGATGAGCACAACACAAACTTTGCCCTCAAGGAGACTCCACCTGGTGGCCTTTCATACACACTACTTCACTGAACCTTCACTGCCAGACTGTGAGTTAACATTGTTAATCTGAGGTTCAGACAGATTTTTTTTTCTTTTTTTGAGGCAGAGTTTCGCTCTTGTTGCCCAGGATGGAGTGCAATGGCACGATCTTGGCTCACCGCAACCTCCGCCTCTCTGGTTCAAGCTGTTCTCCTGGGTCAACCTCCCAAGTAGCTGGGATTACAGCCGTGAGCCACCACATTCGACTAAATTATTATTATCATTATTATTATTATTATTATTATTATTATTTGTACTTTTAGTAGAGATGTGGATTCACCAGATTGGTCAGGCTGGTCTCGAACTCCTGACCTCAGGTGATCCACCTACCTCGGCCTCCCAAAGTGCTGGGATTATAGGTGTGAGCCACCACACCCAGCTGGTTCAAACAGATTAAATTATCTGCCTGAGATCACACAAATAATAAATGGCAGGTGTGATTCGGAGCTAGTTTTTCTAACCCTAAGTCCAGGGCTCTTTGCTCAAGAGTATGCTGCCTTTTTAGTCTTCTAGAGGCCGAGTCTTAGCTCAGCCTGTGAAGCAGAAGTCTCTAACCCCAAGAGCCTTAATATAGATATTTTTCTTCTGGCAGTATTAGTTAGGGTGTCTAGGGAAGCAAGTAACAGAAAATCCTAACTTACACATTAAGAAAAATTAATTATCTCACATTTTTACAAAGTCTCAATGTAGGTTGCTGCAAGGTTTGATGCTTTAATGACATCATGAAGGACCCAGCCATTCCATCTCTCTGCTTTGCATTCCTCAATGTGTCAGCTTTGTGCCAGAGTCACAAGACGGCTACACTCCTCCAGGCATTGTATGCAGATATAACGACATACCCCAAAAGAAGAGAAGACTTCTCCAGAAGCCTCCCAGGAGACCTTCACACATGGCTTATTAGATCAGAGCCCCTCCTTAAACCAATCACTAAAAAGGAAAATGGAATTGCCATGAGTGGCTCAGCAAAATCATGATTTACCCCTGGATGGGAATCAGGGTCACCTTCAAAGAGCATATGGACATGTGAAGGAGCATAAACACAATCACAAAATTGGGGCTCCCACCATCGGTTGCAGAGGCAGTCGGCAGTGTCTGCTACAAGTGACATCAAGTAGCATCTATCAAGTGGCATTACTTTAACAAATATTAACAATAGGGTCCTCATCTCAGTTTAGAAGAAAAATCCAAAATCAAAGTAGACTGAAGATAAGGTAAACGGTGATGTTTGCCACACTAGTGGTGAGGTTTTCATAGTTTTACCCAAACCAGTTTTTATTTTTAGTGCTTGGTTGGGGTCACTGAAACTTCCAGGTTGTCCTAACCTGTTAAAATCTTTTAAAACATTATTTGTGACTGTTTCTCTTTGGACAGTGCTTTTTGTTAATCACAAAAAACAGGGTAGAAGGTAATAACACATGCAAAGGGATGTGTAGCAATCAAAGGGAAATGTTATCCTTCCTAGGAGACAGGATTTATGGGATTCCTGGATCTTTTTTGTGTCTGATTGTTAAGGTCTTGACAGCCTTTCAATTGAGGAATACGGTCGTGTCTGTTAAACTAATTGTAGCTGTTCACTCCACTATATAATTTTACAACATTTCAGCTTCAAATAGAATGGCTTCAATAAACATAAAGCAGACTGACACATCCCAGATTTCTGCAGTTTATTTTACACCAAGAAATTACATTTAGAGATTTCCAGACACATACTATAAATGAAAATTCAACAGGAAGTTTCTTTCATTTCCTCTAGATCTGACCTATATTTCAAAAATATATGAGTGGGCTATAACCAGGAACTTCTTCTCTTGCTCCCATTATTCACACCGTTTTCTGAAGAGTTTTTTTCTCGTCCGCGACTCTAATGGCCATTAAGGGAATTGCAGACATTGGAAGACTATACAACCCTAAGTGAAATGAGTGAAATGATAAATGTTATCCACAAGATGGCCAAATTGTATGGTTCTGGGCTACCTATCTCCATCAGATTAACTAGAAAAGCTAGACCTCCTCGTGCTTTTAGCATGAAATAGACAACACTCATCCTTTTCCATTTATACAACCTTAGATTTTATTTATTTATTTATTTTTGAGATGGTGTTTCACTCTTGTTGCCCAGGCTGGAATGCGATGGTGCGATCTCGGCTCACTGCAACCTTTGCCTCCTGAGTTCAAGTGATTCTCCTGCTTCAGCCTCCCGAGTAGCTGGGATTACAAGCGCCTGCCACCACGCCTGGCTAATTTTTTGTATTTTCAGTAGAGACGGGGTTTCATCATGTTGGCCAAGCTGGTCTAGAACTCCTGACCTCAGGTGATCCACCTGCCTCAGCCTCCCAAAGTGCTAGGATTATAGGCGTGAGCCACCGCGCCCAGCCAAGCTTAGATGTTTTTAATGTGAGCAGCCATTTGGTAGCTACTTCCCCAGATCATATACCACCCATCTAAAAGAAAAATGTGATGATGAATTAGATCCAGTGTATGTAATTTCTATGGTTTGAATGTATGTGTCTCTTTAAAATTGTTAGAGCTTAAATCTTAAGGTGATAGTGTTAAGAGGTGGAGGCCTTTGGCCAGCATGATGGCTCACGCCTGTAATCCCAGCACATTGGGAGGCCAAGGCAGGCGGAACATTTGAGGTCAGGAGTTCAAGACCAGCCTGGCCAACATGAGGAAACCCCATCTCTACTAAAAATGCAAAAATTAGCCAGGCATGGTGGCGCATGCCTGTAGTCCCAGCTACTCAGGAGGCTAAGGCAGGAGAATTGCTTCAACCCAGGAGGTGAAGGTTGTAGTGAACCAAGATCCTGCCACTGCACTCCAATCTGAACAACAGAGCGAGACTCCGTCTCAACAACAAAAAAAGAGGTGGGGCCTTTAGCAGGTGATTAAGTCATGAAGGCCTCATCCTCGTGAATGAGATTAGTACCCTTCTAAGAAGGCTTGAGGGAACTAGCTAGGCCTTTTGCCCTTCCACCTTCCACCATGTGAGGATGCAGCAACAAAGTATAATGTTGGAAGCAGAGAGCAAGCCCTCACCAGACACCAGACCTGCTGGCACCTTGATCTTGGACTTCCCAGCCCCAGAACTGTAAGAAATAAATTTCTGTTCTTTATAAATTATCATTACTAAACAAGATCTAGTATAAAAGAACAGCTAGGAGAGGTTGAGGTTTTTGTTGTTTGTTTTTATTAGAGATGGTGTATCTCATTATGTTGCCCAGGATGGAGTATGGGGCTTTTCACAAGAGAAATCATCATAGACTGCAGCCTTAAACTCTTGGGCTCCAGTGTTCCTTCCACCCCAGCCTTCCAAGTAGCTGGGATTACAGGTGTGCATCACTGCTGGACTGGAAGATGGCTGCTTTTTAAGGTCTTGGGTATTTCTGCTTAAAATTCAACTAGCCAGGCTCTACGTCAGATAATGTGTAGAACATGGTGTGCGCTAAGACTCATACATAGTCTTGGGTTAAATGAGACGTTGCATGTGAAATCTCTCACAGTGCTCATCATCACATAACAACAACAACAGTAATAACCACCAACACTCATGCAGTCCTCACTACGTCCCAGGCACTCTTCTAAGCACTTTACATATATTAACTCTTTTTTGATACTCAAAACAACTTTATGAAGTGGACTCTACCATCTTATAGGTAAGGAAAGAAAGGCTCAGAGTCATACTATTAAGAAGTGGTGGAGGTTAGATTTGAACCAGGACAGATACTCACTCAATGCTTCTCTACTAAACTCAATATTATTTGAGCTTCAGAAGGATTTCAATGGCTTCCTCATGATCTGGGGATCACACTAACCCTAATTCAATTGATTTAAAGCTTGAATTTCAATCTTTAAAACATTTTTATAGTAAGAAATGCATTTTCCTCATAATCTAGTACACAAAATACACAATACAATACTCACCTTCACAATATGCAATGCACAGGCATTTTCTATTCTTTCCTATTCTGTACCTTTTCTTTCAACCTTGTCACAAATAAATTAATTTCTGTAATTTGAAAATCCCTAATAAAAGAATTTTTTTCTCAGCCCAAATGGATATATGGGTCAAACATTGATTGACATGATGTACAGAAAAAAAAACCTTCATAAGAATTACCACTATTGCCTGATTTTTACCTCCCAAAGATAGGCATTAGCATACTAGCAAAATAGTGAATTCATGTCACTCTCTGCAAGCACAAATACCTCTTTCACAATTGTCATAGTTAAAAAACAATTAGTATACATACAGCACCAAAGTTCGGTCCTTGCAGCAAAATCTCACACTACTGTCCTCTATTCAAATGTCACTCAATATATCTAACTTAAGTCAGCTAAATAAAAGAAATTCACTTTTTTATTTTTATTTTTTTGAGATGGAGTCTTGCTCTGTCGCCAAACTGAAGTGCAGTAGCGTGATCTCGGCTCACTGCAACCTCCGCCTCCCAGGTTCAAGCAATTCCCCTGCCTCAGCCTTCTGAGTAGCAGGGACTACAGTCACACGCCACCATGCCTGGCTAATTTTTTTTTTATATTTTAGTAGAGACAGGGTTTCACCATGTTGGCCAGGATGGTCATGATCTCCTGACCTTGTGATCCGCCCGCCTTGGCCTCCCAAAGTGCTGGGATTACAGGCGTGAGCCCCCATGCCCGGCCGCTTTCCTTTCTTCTTTCTTCACTTATTTTTGGCTTTTAAATTTTCTTTTCTTTTTTCCTTTTTTTCTATTTTCCTTTCTTCTTCTTCTTTTTTTTTTTTCACTGCAACTGTAATAGATAAAACTTCTTTCTTTTTTTTCACCCTTGAATTCAACAAATAAGTATTGAGCATCACCCAGACAGGCACATTCTCTGCCCACATGGAGCTTACAATTCCAATGAAAGAATAAAACAAAGTAGGCAGTTAGCTCAGATAGTTATGTATTTTGTTTTTGTTTTTGTTTTGAGATACAGTCTCATTCTGTCGCCCAGGCTGGAGTGCAGTGGTGCAATCTTGGCTTATTGCAAACTCCGCTTCCCAGGTTCAAGCGATTCTCCTGCCTCAGCCTCCCGGGTAGCTGGGATTACAGGAGTGCACTGCCACAACTGGCTAATTTTTGTATTTTTAGCAGATATGGAGTTTCACCATGTTGGCAAGGCTGGTCTCAAACTCCTGACCTCAAGTGATCTACCCGCCTTGGCCTCCTAAAGTGCTGGGATTACAGGCATGAGCCACCACACCCAGCCTTTACTTTATTTTATTTTTTAGATATTTAGATGTAGATGCCAGTTTAATTCCCTCTTTTTTTATAATAATTGACACATCAAAATATCTCGAGATCGGGCATGGTGGCTCACACCTGTAATCTCAGCACACTGGGGGCCAAAGCGGGCAGATCACTTGAGGTCAGGAGTTCGAGACCAGCCTGGCCAGCATGGTGAAACCCCATCTCTACTAAAAATACAAAAATCAGTCAGGTGTGGTGGTGCTCGTCTGTAATCCCAGCTACTCAGGAGGCTGAGGCAGGAGAATCACTTGAACCCAGAAGGCGGAGGTTGCAGTGAGCTGAGATGGCACCACTGCACTCAAGCCTGGGTGACAAAGTGAGATTCCATCTCAAAAAAAAATATATATATGTGTGTGTGTGTATATATATGTATATATATGTGTGTGTATATATATGTATATATGTGTATATATGTATATATGTGTGTATATATGTGTATATATGTGTATATATATGTGTATATATATGTGTATGTGTGTGTGTGTATATATATATATATATGCAGTTCAATACATATTTTATGTTAAGACACCAGGCATCTAAAGTGAAAACAAATACAAAACCCAATATTTCTCATGTATTATTATGCTTTTTCACTGGAAGAGTTCTGCACAATAATCAAGACCAGAGAAGAAATACATATTTGGCTTTAAAGTAACTTCTCTTCTAGTTCCCTAGGTCAGTTACCTATGATTGTTTATCTTTTCTTTTTTTTCTTTTTTGGTAGAGACGGGGGTCTCACTATGTTGCCCAGGCTGGTCTTGAACTCCTGGCCTCAAGTGATCCTCCCACCTCAGTCTCCCAAAACACTGGGATTACAGGTGTGAGCCACCAGGCTCAGCCCTGATTGTTTATCTTGTCCTTGAGTTTTATAGATATCCTTTGGATTGAGTCCACATACATATAAATCAGACATACTGGAGGCAGCGGGGAAGGACATCTCTGTTTTCACCTAATGTCCAAATAATTGAGACCAAGCTGTATATTATTGGTTACAGTTTTCAGTAACTTGATAATTTAAGTTTGGGTCCTCTGCTTAATAAAAATTCCAAGGAGCCTACAGATGGTACTGTAAGTACAACATCACCCTATAAATAGTAGGTAGCAGATATTATACTGGTGCAAATTTCACTGAGAAATTTTTACAACTATAGAAAAAGAGGAATTGGATATGAGCCCAAAAAACCCGCTCTCCTCCTTCAATTGTTGTCCAAATGCCAGGCTCTCAATGAAGCCTGTCTACGTAGACCCACTCCCCGTTCCCCTGCTCTCTTCCTTTTTTTTCCCATTGTGCTTAACACCTTCTAACATACTTTATGATTAATTTAATATGTTTATATGTTATTATGCTTACTATATTAATAAGATTAGTATGTTGATTGTTGGTTGTTTATTATCTTGGCCCCCCACTTCATCCCCACTGGAAAGTAAATCTCCAATAGAACAGGAGTTTTATCTGTTTTGCTTATTGATGTACACCAAGCCCAATAAATGAACACCCTGATTGATTGATTGATTGATTGATTGGATAAATAAACGAAGACTGCATCTACTGACTATCTAGTATAATCCACAGTGCAAAGTAAGGGCTTTGGAATCAAACTGCCTGTGTTCAACTCCCAGTAATTCTATTTATTATAATGCCCCAATGCCCCGGTTTCCTTAACAATAAAATAAGCACAATAATGATACCTAGCTCTCAAAGATGTTGTAAGAGTTAATTAGAATAATTTTCCTGATGCAGCACATAACTAAATTCTCAACAAATGTTAGCTGTAATTAAGTGTGTGCCTGGTCTCTTCACACACCCTATTTAATGCAGGATCCCAACACTGTGCCAGTGGAGTGCCCCGAAGAATTTTATAAGGACTCTTGGCTGATCTGAATAGAACCCCCAATTTGGGGATCCTTGGTAAAACCAGAATAATTAAAGAATGATCTTAGAATCACATGGAATTTTATGGGAAAGTAAGAGGTACTGACTTTTCTTTCCCCCAAATAGCAAAGAATGAATTCACCAATCATTTCTCCTACATATTAACTTCCCCAAATAGGGGCTCCAAAGTGAAATTCCTGTAAAGATCAGCAAGAATAAGGTTGTGAATACAAGGATAGGTTCTCTTATAGTAAAAATAAGTTGGTCAAGAGCACATTCCAGAAATATTGTCCTTTCAACTGTAGACAATTAATGAGAAAATCACATGTAACCGGCCATTTTCCATTGACAATGGGTCAATACTAAGAGAACCAAATGCTAATACTGTCCCAGCTATGAACATGCTCAGTGTAGGGGCTGAGTGAAATGGAAAGACTGTAATTATTTGCCAATTTTTTTTTTTTTTTTGAGATGGGGGTCTCACTCTGTCGCCCAGGCCAGAGTACAGTGATGGGATCTTGACTCACTGACTGCAGCCTCCACTTCCTGGGCTCAAGTCACCCTCCACCTCAGCCTCCCAAGTAGCTGGGACTACAGGCACATGCCACCATGCCTGGCTAATTTTTACAATTTTTTTGGAGAGACAAAGTCTCTCTGTGTTGTCCAGGCTGATCTCAAACTCCTGGACTCAAATGATCCTCCCAACTTGACCTCCCAAAGTGCTGGGATTACAGGCATGAGCCACTGCACCCAGCCTATTTGCCATTTTATGACAGGTGGGGATACTCACCACCATACTAACAAGGAAGACACTTTGCCAACATTTTAAAGTGTCAGAAATAAGACTTTGTATTTTGTTTTCTGTTGCCTATATTTAAAATAGCCCTTTAAACAGCCAAACTTCAGGGTTTCCAGATAAATAACCTGATCCAATATTTTAAATTTGTTTATAAAACATGAATATGAGTCATTATTCCAATGTTTCACTCCAGTCCCTATATCTCCTTACCAAGAATTGGCACTCTGAGCACATGGAGAGGCAGACCACCTGTGTTCCCCTGGGAATGTGGATTACTGTGGCTTCATCGTAGCTCACTGGAGGAGAAAGGGCAGACACAATTTGACCAAGAATATCTTGTGTTTATTTCTTTTTTCATTTTCTTTTTTTTCCCCACTCAATTCCGTCTTCGGAGAAGACCAGGAATTTCATTTCTAGAATTTACTCTGGGCATGTAATCTAAGACAGGTCCAATGAATTGCCCACAAGAATATTTACTAGAACATTATGTATTTTAATTTAAAAAATGGAGACAGCTGGGGGCAGTGGCTAACGTTTGTAATCCCAGCACCTTGGGAGGCCAAGGTGGGCAGATAACTTGAGTCCAGGAGTTTGAAACCAGCCTAGGCAACATGGCAAAACTCTATCTCTACAAAAAATAAAAAACTATCTGGGCCCAGTGGCACCCACCTGTAGTCCCAGCTACTCAGGAGGCTGAGGCAGGAGGATCGTTTGAGCCTGGGAGATCAAAGCTGCAATAAGCTAAGATCATGCCACTGCACTCCAGCCTGGGCCACAGAGTGAGACCCTGTCTGAAAAAAAAAAAAAAAAAGAGAGAGAGAGAGAGAGACAAACTGATGTTGCGCAATTGGAGATTACATAGATCAGGAGTCAGAAAACTACAGCCCATGGACCAAATCCAGCCTGCCTACCGGTTTTGTAAATAAACTTTTATTGGAACACAGGCCCGTCCATTCACTTATGTATTGCCTATAGCTGCTTTTGGTACAATAGCTGAATTAAGTAGTTGTAATAGAAATCACATCTATTTGTTTCCTATTGCTGCCATAACAAATTACAACAAACTTAGTGGCTTAAATAATACAAATTTATTCTCCTAAAGTTCTGGAGGTCAGATATCCAAAAATCAAGGTGTTGACAGGGCTGCATTCGTCCTGGAGCAACTAGAGATCACCTGCATTCCTTGGCTCTGGGCCCCATCTTCTATCTTCAAAGGAAGTAGCACAGAATCTTACAATTTGTCTCTCTAATCCCTCTGTGTCCCTCTTATAAGGACCCTCGAGATTACACTGTGCCCACCCCGATAATCCAGGATAAACTCTCATCTCAAGATCCCTAATTTACTCACAACTACAAATTCTCATTTGCCATATGAAATAATACATTCTCAGGTTCCAGTGATTAGAATGGGAACATTTTTTGGAGGGCCCATTTTTCAGCCTGCCATACCCTATAACCCCCAAAGCCTAAAACATTTACTATCTGGCTCTTTACAAAAATGTTTGCTGATCCCTGCCTTAGACCTTGGGACTGACACATCAGAGCAGTAACACATGGCCTGTAGAAAGAACTGCTCTGCCACGTAAACCCACAAGAGCTCCCCTCTAAGCCAGTCCTCACTGGAAACACTTACCTGTAATTAACTATGAAAAACCTCAAAAACATATTTAGCATTAGAAGAAAATCTAAATTTTCAAAACATAATCAGGATTGTTTTTGGCTAAACGGTGCCCTTTTTCTTGACTTAGACATCAATTTTTTTTTCTTCTCAATAATATTGGCAGGCATAGCTAATAGCTTAATCAGTATCCATTTTCCTCTTCTTTCTTACCAATGCAACCTCAATTTTTAACCAGGTTGCAATATACCCAGTTTATATTCATCTCTCTAGCCTTGCTTACAACTAGAGATGGCTCTGTGACTCATTTGATCAATGAGTTAAAAGCAGAAATCTGCTGAATGGAGCCTCTGGGAATACTATTGTTTTTATAGCTTAAAAAGAAATGGTGCTGACTCACTCAGTTAATCCCTGCTGCCCTTCACCATATCACACTACCCTGTCCTGCTGCCTGCACTACCCCCTTCTTGCCACTTCTATTCAATATTGTACTGTAGGTTCCAGCCAGGGGAGTTCAGCAAGAAAAATGAAAAAAAAAAAAAAAAAAAAAGGCATCCAGTTAGAAAGGAAGAAATAGTTGGCCGGGCACGGTGGCTCATGCCTGTAATCCCAGCACTTTGGGAGGCCAAGGCGGGAAGATCACCTGAGGTCAGGAGTTCCAGACCAGAATGGCCAACATGGTGAAACCCCGTCTCTACTAAAAATACAAAAATTAGCCGGGTATGGTGGTGCACGCCTGTAATCCCACCTACTTGGGAGGCTGAGGCAGGAGAATCACTTGAACCCAGGAGGTGGAGGTAGCAGTGAGCTGAGATAGCGCGATTGCACTCCAACCTGGACAAGAGCAAAACTCTGTCTCAAAAAAAAAAAAAAGACAAAAAAGGAAAGGAAGAAATAGTTACCTCTATTTGCAGATGACATACTCTTGTCTACAGAAAATCCTAAATAATCTGCAAAAAAATTGATTGCAGCTAATAAATGAATTTGGCAAGGTTGCAGGATACAATATGAATATATAAAGATCAATTACATTTCTATACACTCACAATAAATAACTCCCAAATGAAAACAAATCCATTAACAATAGCATCAAAGAGAATGCTTCTGCTTTACTTGTTTCCAAAATTCTCACCACTCCCTTTACTCTCTCTGTCTCTCTCTGCCTATCCAACCCCTACCCCGTAGCCTCCCAGCCTTCTACTTTCCCCACTTTACACACAAACACACACACACACACACACACACACACTGAATTTGAATTTGTATCACAACAGCAAACAGTTTATTGAAAGCATGGATTTGGATTTGGACTGATCTAACTTTGAATCCAAGTTTCGCTTTTTGTTTGCTTGTGTCCATGAGGCATGTACCTAAGCTCTCTAAGCTGTTTCCTTGTCCACAGAAAGGGGATAATAAGAACACCTACCTCAGGGGGGTTTTGTGATGTTTAAATTAGATGTATATAAGATGTTTAGCCCAGAACCTGGCACACTGTGTGTTCTCACCTAATGGTGTATAGTAGCTGTGACTGCTGCAACTTGCTAACCACCAGAGATGTTTGTAAAAACAAAACAAAAAACTCATCCTGGACTTGTTTCATTCTGCTGAAGATCAGAGAAGAAGAGACCCTGGCTTACCCATGGGATGGCAAGAATTATATCTGTAAATAATAATAATAATTAATAATAATTCCTTGTTCCAGTAGAAATTTTCCTAGACATAATACTCCAGTGTTAAAGTACTGAACTGTCTTGAGATGCTCTCAGTAAATACATGGTTCTATCAAATCTGTTGTTTCTTTTTACTTTTTTTTTTTTTAGACGGAGTCCTGCTTTTGTTGCCCAGGCTGGAGTGCAGTGGCGCGATCTCAGCTCACTGCAACCTCTACCTCCCGGGTTCAAACGATTCTCCTGCCTCAGCCTCCCAAGTAGCTGGGATTACAGGTACATGCCACCATGCCCGGCTAATTTTTGTATTTTTCATAGAGATGGGGTTTCACCATGTTAGCCAGGATGGCCTCAATCTCCTGACCTCATGATCCACCTGCCTTGGCCTCCCAAAGTGCTGGGATTATAGGCATGAGCCACCATGCCTGGCCCAAATTTGTTGTTTCTTAATAAGGAGACTTTTTGGCTTACATATAAAATTATTAAGGGATAGAGCAATAGATACTCTGTGAAAGAGATAATAGGAGCAGGATATGGCTTGGAAAAAAGAAGTCAGGCTATGTGAAATTAATAATGGTCTTCAATAAGGATTTAACAACCTATTATGAAGAGTATAGTGGTCAGTTCTGCTCCATTTCCACTAAAACACAGATGAAGTATGAGGCTTAACTGTGGCATTTAAAGTAGAGATTTAGTCAAGTCTGGATTATACATGCTTAGAAAAGGGAATCAAGGAATGGATAATGAGGACCATTTTATAATCTAAAACTGCATTTGGCCTTAAAGTGAAGTCACTGACATTTATTCAGGGAATGTCTTTATGAAAACAACCATATTGATTGTCTTGAAGATTTTTTTTTCTTGTTGCAGTTGCATTCATTAATTGCGCAATTGATTAGATCACTCAGTAGATCATTCTTGGTAATTTTTCATGCTAAAGCATCTGGTTAATTAGGTTTTATCACGATTAAAAAAAAAAAAGAAGAAAGAAAGAAAGAAACAGCCCATTCTTAGACTGGTTTGCAGACCACGGTCAGCCAAGGGGCACATTCCTGTATTCATCCCAGCCTCCTGGGACCAGGACTTCTCCACTCGCCTGTAAACTGCTCCATCCAGGCTCCTGTCTTTCAGTGAGGATTTGGGCTCCGGCTTTGAACTCTGTCCTCCTCAAGTACCATCAGCATCTTAGGTGACCTGAAGCCTACCTCAAGGACCCATCACACCTGAGTTCCTCACTTCTTTGCTTTTCTTCTCCCCTTCAGCCGCCAATGAGTTAAAAGTACAAATCTGCTGAATGGAGCCTCTGGGAATACTATTGTTTTTATAGCTTAAAAAGAAATAGTGCTGACTCACTCAGTTAATCCCTGCTGCCGTTTACCACATCACACTACCCTGTCCTGCTGCCTGCACTACCCCCTTCTTGCCACTTCTATTCAACGTGGTACTGTAGGTTCCAGCTAGGGGAGTTCAGCAAGAAAAATGAAAAAAAAAAAAAAAAGAAAAGGGGGGCATCCAATGGACACACCTTGATCTTGTCGTCCCAGATCCGCTCCTCTTCTGAAATCAGAAAACTGAAACTTCTTACCCTTCCAACCAGGCGACTCAGTTACTTCCCAGACACCATCTCCTTGACCCCTGCAGCCCCACCTTGTTTCTTGAGTCAACTCTCCTGATCTCCTGCTTCAAATCTCCACCCTTCAATTCTGTCAGCCCCACCTCACCCTCTCAGCAGATCACCCCACCCCATCAGAAGAAAACAGATACTCCCAGAAGAGAAGAAGTGGAACACGTGCCGTCATATCTCTACACTGCTTCCGCCTTCTTCCTTCCCTTCCGTTACGACAGAGGAAGTCACTCATCCGTCCTAGCTCCTGGACGCTGGACCGCTCCTCAACTCCCTGCTCAGGGGGAGACTAGCTCCTCGTATTATGTTCAGTCTCTACGTTTCTCTACAGAAAGGTAGGAACTAGGGAGCATTTAAACACATTTGTTTTTTCCCAATCTTGAAAGTAAAATCAAAGCCCCTTGTCAAACCCCCCTCCAAATCCTAAACTGTCTTTTTCCTCTCCATGGACAGTCGTCTCTTCTCTCCCTCTGCAGCCCTCCCAAGTCCCACGGCAGCTGGGTCTTCATCTCTCCACTGCACCCAGAATCACACGCTGACCCAGATAAAGCTCAATGCAGTGAACACTCTTGGGTTTGTATCTGTTTTACCTCCAGGCAACATTTGTTGCTACAGACTACTCCCTGTTCTCTTCCTTTCTGTAATCCAAGTGCTCTCTAGGTCTCATATTCAGTCTCCCTCCTAGACGCCTCCACCCTGGAATAATGTGTTTCGTGTTTTTTCTTAGGGCTGTGTCCTGCGTTCTTTTCTCTTCTCGCTCTTCCAGCTCTCACTGGCTGCATTTGTTTCCTCTCGAGGCTTCATTTACAATCTGATGTGTGACAACCTTCAGTCCTTTTTCCCTAGGGTAGGCTTTTCTCCAGAGCTCCATGTAGCTAACTAACCACTGGACACCGGTTCTTGGAGCCAGCTCCTTCAAACCGCTCAACTCATCCTGTCTCCAACAAAATCATCCTTAGCCCTTCCTTTCTCCCAAGTCACCCTGCAGGTTCCCTTGCTCCTAGTAATAACGCCATTGTTTACCCTGTTGCTCAAGCCACGAAGTTAGGAGTTACTCCTAAAGCCTCCCTCTCTTGACTCCTCAGATCCAATCAATCATCAAGTCTTCAGTTCTCCGCTCTAGATATCTAGCTAGCTATTTCTAATCCCCACCAGCCCTTGCTTTAGTATAGCAAAACCCTCCTAACTGGTCTCCCTGGTTCCTGCCTGGCTCTTGCACACAGCTTTGAATCTATAAAATGTTAATCCAATTGTGTCCTGCATTCCCTCCCCTTCATCTGAAACCCTCTAAGACTTCTCATGGCCCCTAAGGGAAAAGGCAGCCTCCCAAAGAGGGCTCAGAAGACTCCTGGGGCTCTGCACAATTTGGCCCCCTTACCCAAGCACCGGCCTCACTCCTCTGCACTCTCTGCTGCACTCCACACCTCACTCCAGGGCCTCGTTGCGCTTCCCGCTCTCTCTGGGCAGTCCTCCAGTACTCCTCTCCTTTCCCAACTAGGCTAACCCTTACTCAGGCTTCAAATCTCAGTTTAAATGTCACTTCCACGTGAAGCCCTCTGTATTGGGTGGAATGATGCCCTTTTACTCCTCCCCTCCACAAAAGCTATTCCACATCCGGGCCGGGTGGCTCACACCTGTAATCCTAGCACTTTGGGAGGCTGAAGTGGGTGGATCACTTGATGTCAAGAGTTTGAGACCAGCCTGGCCAACATGGTGAAACCCTATCTCTACTAAAATACAAAAATTAGCCAGGCATGGTAGTGGGTGCCTGTAGTCCCAGCTACTCGGGAGGCTGAGGCAGGAGAATTGCTTGAACCTGGGAGATGGAGGTTGCAGTGATCTGAGATCGAGCCACTGCACTCCAGCCTGGGTGACAGAGTGAGACTCTATCTCAAAAAACAAAAAAAACAACAACAAAAATGCTATTCCACATCCTAATCCCTGGAACCTGTGACTATCATCTGATATGGTAAAAGACGTGATTAAACTAAAGATCTTGAGAGGAAAAGCTTTTCCTGGAGTGTCTGGGTGGGCCCTGTCTCAGTCTGCTCGAGCTGCTGTAAAAAATACCACAGATAGTGTGGCTTAAACAACAGAAATGCTTTTCCTCTTGTTTCTGCAGTCTGGAGGTCCAACATCAGGGAGTTGCCGGGACTGGTTTCAGGTGAGGCCCTGCTTCCTGGCTTGCCTTTTCTCTGTGTCCTCACATGGTCTTTCCTCAGTGCTTGTGCAGGGGGAGAGGGAGGTCTCTGGTGTCTTCCTCTTCTTATAAGGGCACCAGTCCTATTGGATTAAGGCCTCACCCTTTTGACCACATTTACCTCTTTTAAGGCCCTGTCTCCAACTACAGTCACACTAGGGGTTAGGGCTTCAACAGATTTGATTTGAGGGGGGCACGATTCAGTCCACAACAAGTCCTAGATACAATCCCATGTATCCTTATCATGTAGACACACGGAGGAGGAGACACACAGAGAAAAGGAGGCAGTGATGTGACCACAGAGGCAGAGATTGACATGATGCAGCCGCAAGGTGAGAATGCTTGGAGCTGCCCCCAATAAGGGAGAAGGAAGGACCTGATTCTCTCCTAGGGCCTTCCAGGGGAGTGCAACACCTTACTTCAGACTTCTGGCATCCAGAACTGTGAAAGAGTAACTTTTTGTTGTTTTTAGCCCTCCAGTTTGTGATAATTTGTTACAGAAGCCACAGGAGGCCAACATACTTCCATGACCTCATGGATAAGATTAGGTCCCCTGCCAGCTGCTCCCAAGGTCCCAGTACTGTACTTTCCATAATCCCCACCACACTCGATGTTTAAAGTCAATCTCGACCTCTAGACTTTAAAGTCATGAGGACAGGGACTTTGCCTTTCTTGCACACCACTTCTTCCCCAGGGCTTGGTACATAGTAGGTGCTCAATAAATATATGTGAGATGGATGAATTCATGAGCTGATATTGAGAAGCTCTTGGCTGGGAGAGTAAATAACCAACTAGCCTATGAAAACAAGCTAGGGAAGTTCTTTCCTGTAGGAGACATTCTCAGTCCTTTGAAATAATTAGGTGAGGTCTTGTCTGCAGACCACAGGAATGACCTTTCAGGGAGTTTTCTAGTCCCTGATACTGTGACCCTGTGGTTTTCAGTTTTCCTAGCAACTTGAGCTTTGGTGCCCTCTGGTGACAGAAATTACTTGTCTCTTGGTCTCTTGTTCTACATCTGTCAAAACTGACACAAATCTAGTTACCTGTTGCTGTATAGAATTTTCTCATTATGGAGAAATTGAATTTTGTCTGTGCAGTTACAAGAAATCTGCTAGAATTGTGTGATTAACCAGTCTGTAAAAGTTTCATAAAGCACATAACCTCCAAAGACCTTACAGATGCCCATTCAAGTGTTTCCTTTTGAATATGAAGATTTTCTGATGAAACACAACGTTTCAGGTTACGTTTGCTACCATACTTTTCTCCTCAAATAGCTATGTTTTTAATATGAAATTTAATTACTATTTTGAAAACCAACATTGTATTAAGTGGCTGCTTATAATCACTGGAGGCTTACAGTGCTTTCCAATGCCTTTAAACCTTTATTGTGATTGAAAAGCAAGTTGTTAGAAGATTGTGTGTGTGCTGTTTGTAAATGAGAAGTTATGGGTCTGGCTGCCTGTCCGTAAACAGACTTGCTTTATCTCCTGAGCTCGTGCAAATGCTGACAGCTCCACAGTCTTCTGATTTTAATTCTGAGTGAGTGAGTTGTGATCCAGACTGTTCCACATGGCAACTGCACGCACAAGTGTGCTCGGCTTCACACCAAAGATGTGTTTCTCAATGTGTCATTTCAAGACGATTTGAGAGGAGGCAGTAAACACAATTTTCTTTCCTCACGGACAACATAATCCTCTTAGCAATAATTTATCATAATTTCTTTGAGCTTCAAAGGGACAAATGGGTTTGTAAATATTTCAGTTTGAGGGTTTTCTGACCCCAACCACTTAGTCAAATAAATAAGCTGCTATTTCCAGGAATTCAACATTGGTTTCCTTACTAAACTGAAGAATCCCTTATATAATGTAAACAACCACCCTCTTATTTTGTTTGTATATTCTGAGTTTCACTTTCCTATTTATATATCTGTACCTACCCACAAGACACTGATGTCCCCAATCTGCTTCTTACAAAGAGGCAGAGTTATGCAGGCCTCACGATGCAACTGCTTCTGGAAAATGCAACTGCGTGCATGGTGAATCTTCAGCTGGTGAGATATTACAGATTTCTTTTAAAATTTTTTCTAGAGAGAAATGGGTTAAGGAAATAAAGATATTGGAATGGGGCGGGAACGTGAGGTGATTATTTTAAAGACTTGGGAGGGAATAGAGTATAATAGTTGAGTATAGCTTCTAGAGTTAGACTGCCTAGGTTTGAAAGCAAACATTGCTATTTGCTAGTTCCGTGCCCTTAGGAAAGTCACTTAAGCCCCTGCACCTCATATTCCTTATTTGTAAAATGGTGGTAAAGACAGTAGCTATCTTTTAAAGTTGCTGTGAGAATTGAGTGACTCAGTGTTGTAAAGACCCTCGAATAGTGTCTGGCACATAGAAATATAGATATAGTACATATAAAATTATATATACATAATATGTACATATATAATAAATATATAAACATATACATACATGTAATATATGATATATAAAATATATCATATAATAGATAAATATATACATATAATAATTATATGTACATATTTATGTTATATAATTATTATATGTATATATTCATAAGCATATATGTATTTATATATACTTATATATATACATGTATTTATATATACTTATATACATACATGTATTTATATATACTTATATACATATATATTTATAAATATATGCATTTATATATACTTAAAATGTATATATTTATAAATTTTATTATAAATGCATACATATATAACTTATATACAATATATCACATTTATATATAATATATAATTTTTATATGCATATATGTTTATGTAAATTATATATAAATATGTATATGGGCTGGCGTGGTGGCTTATGCCTGTAATCCTAGCACTCTGAGAGGCCGAGGCGGGCTGATCACCTGAGGTCGGGAGTTCCAGACCAGCCTGGCCAACATGGTGAAACTCCGTCTCTACTAAAAATACAAAAATTAGCCGGGCATAGTGGCACACGCCTGTGATCCCAGCTACTACTCGAGAGGCTGAAGCATGAGAATCGCTTGAGCCTGGGAGGCAGAGGTTGCAATGATTTGAGCTGAGACTGTGCCACTGCACTCCAGCCCGGGAGACAGAGCGAGGCTGTGTCTCAAAAAAATGTTTATATATATATATAATCCTTCTCCCTCAGTTACTAAACAGCCTTCCCTGGACCTGACTATCAGCAATGAGAATTACTCTTCTTTGCCCCATTTCTCTCCTTCTGCCTAAGCCAGAACAATCACTTCTCCTGGAGACAGATTCATTATGAAAGGACTTTAATTCTGGTCTGACAGACTGCTTGACATTGGAGTGAATTCTCAAGGCTTATCAAAATCATCTCGTGGAATGATGAGTTGACTTGCACCCACTGAAACGGGGGCAAATCTCCTTCAAAAGATCATGCCAAAGACTGTGTGGGTACCGGAAAGGCTGTGTGGCAGGGAAAAGGTTTGCTCTAACCTAGAAGCCTGCAAGGTCCCCTCTGCACGCCCAAGCAGCGGGCCCGAGTTCATTATGGCCAGCAAAGCCAACTGACACCACAGGAAACAGAGCTCGTGGGACACCCCATGACACGAAGTTTTCAACCTCATTGCTTCCCCCTGAAGTCAAGTTTAGTCACCTGTGCTGTGCTGGACCAGCCATGAAAGTAATGAGGGAACTGGATCACTCCAGGGAAGCCCAGGTGGAATAATAGGTGTCACTCAAAAGTACAGCTTTCAACTTAAAAAGGAAGGAAATTCTGATACATGCTACGTGGATGAACATTGAAGGCATGATGCTAAGTGAAATAAGCCAGTCACAAAACAACAAATATTGTATGATTCCATTTATATGCGGTACTTAGACTAGTCACATTTATAGAAACTGAAAGTAGAAGGGAGGGTGGTTGCCAAGGGCTAGGGGAAAAAGGGAATGGAGTTAGTGTGTAATGGATGTATTTCAGTTTTGCTAGATGAAAAAGTTCTGGAGATTAGTTGAACAATGTGAATGTACTTACTACTGAGTTGCAGACTGAAAAATGGTTAGTATGGGCCAGGCGCGGTGGCTCACACCTATAATCCCAACACTTTGGGAGGCCAAGGTGGGCAGATCACTTGATGTCAGGAGTTCAAGACCAGCCTGGCCAACATGGTGAAACCCATCTCTACTAAAAATACAAAAAAATTAGCCACGCATGGTGGCGCATGCCTGTAATCCCAGCTACACAGGAGGCTGAGGCACGAGAATCGCTTGAACCCAGGAGGCAGAGGTTACAGTGAGCCGAGATCACGTCACTGCACTCCAGCCTGGGCAACAGAGATAGACTCTGTCTCCAAAAAAAAAAAAAAAAAAAAAGTTAGGATGGTAAATTTAATGTTATGTATACTTTTCCACAATTGTTAATTAATTTTTTAAAGTGCAGCTTCTGATGGCACACGTATCTCTCCCTCTTCTTTGTCTCCAGAAGATGAGAGGGAGCATGAGACAGCAGATAGGATGCGTCATCTTATTGCATTTATTTCTGTAGACCATGCATTGAGGCTGTCTGACCTTCAATTATTCATTAAACAAATATTTACTGAGTTGAGTACGTACTACATGCCAAGCATTGTTCTAGAGGCTGGAGTTACAGCAGTGAACAGAAAAAGATCTCCCCAGTTCCCTAGTCACAGGGATCTCACCTTCTAGCAGGTGGAGAAAAACAATAAGTAAATAAGCAAGTAAGATATATGGTATTTATATGGCAATAAGAGCTATGGAGAAAAATAAAGCAAAGAAGGAGGAAGAAGAAGAGTGTTTCAGGGTTGTATTTTTAAATAAGGTGGTCAGGGGAGACCTCACTGAGAGGATGGTATTTGAGTAAGACTTGAATGAGATTAGGGAGTTAGCTATTTAGGTATCTGCAGGAAGAGTGTTTCAGACAAAATAAAAAGTCAGTGCAAAGGCCCTGAGGCAGAAACATGAATGGGGTGTTTAAGGAAAAGCAAAGGGGCCATTGTGGCTGAAAAGGTAAGCAGCAGCAGAGAGACAGTCTAAGAAGAGGTTAGAAACATCACAGAAGCAGCCCAGATCATGAAGGTTGAGACGGAGTCTCGCTCTGTCACCTAGGCTGGAGTGCAGTGGCACAATCTCGGCTCACTGCAACTTCTGCCTCCTGGGTTCCAGTGATTCTTCTGCTATACCTCCCGAGTAACTGGGACTACAGGCACCCACCACCATGCCCAGCTAGGTTTTATTATTATTATTAGTAGTAGTAGTAGAGACAGCGTTTCACCATGTTGGCCAGGCTGGTCTCAAACTCCTAACCTCAAGTGATCTGCCCACCTCAGCCTTCAAAAGTGCTGGGATTACAGGCGTGAGCCACCCTGCCTGGCCCCATTATTTGTAAGAGTTTGACTCATACTCTGAGACAGTAACTAGAGGAATGATATGATCCAACTTCCATGTTAAAAGGATCACCAGGGGTTGGAGGCGGGGGTGTCAAGGGCAGGATCAGGAAGACTAGTAGGACTGCAATACTCCAGGCAAGAGATGCTGAGAGCTCAGCCCAAGCAGGTAGCTATGGAGGTGGTAAGATGTGGGCAGATTCTGGGTATATTTTGAAGATAGGGCCAACAGGATTTACTGAGAGACTGGAGGTAAGGCTCCACAGAAAGAGAAATAAGAGAAACATTAAAGATGACCGTATCGGTTTCCTGGGGCTGCTGTAACACATCACCACAAACTTGGCGGCTTAAAACAACAGAAATTTATTCTCTCACAGTTCTAAGGCCAGGAAGTCTGAGATTAAGGGGTTCTTGCTTCCAGGGGCTCTAGAGCAGCAGTCCTCATCCTTCCGGGGCCGGTTTTGTGGAAGACCATGTTTCCACGGACAGGGGCAGGAGTGCCGGGGGAGAGAGGCAGCAGGGTGGTGGGTGTGTGTGTGGATGGTTTCGGGATGAAACTGCTCCACCTCAGATCATCAAGGATTAGTTAGATTCTCATAAGAGCACGCAACCTAGATCCCTCACGTGTGTGGTTCACAATAGGGTTTGCATTCCCATGAGAATCTAATGGCACTGCTCTGACAGGAGGTGGAGCTCAGGTGGCAATGCTCATGGGGCCGCTCACCTCCTGCTGTGTGGCCCAGTTCCCAACAGGCCATGGACCAGTACCATCGCAGCCCAGAGGTTGCAGACCCCTGCTGTAGAGGATATTCTATTCCTTGTCTCTTCCAGCTTCTGGTGGATCCAGGCGTTCCTTGGCTTGGGGTTACATGACTCTAGTCTCTGCCTTCTCCTCTTTTCTGTGTCACCTGTCCCTTGTAAGGACAACTGTCATTGGATTTAGGACCCACCCAGATAATCCAGGATGATTCCACCATGAAATCCTTAACTTCATTAAATCTGCAAAGACCCTTTTTCTGGCTTACACAAAAATGCTTCTGGTTGTTTTAAAAGATAAACCAGTTTTGTTTAACTTTGTTTACTGCAGGCACTAGAAGTGCAATTGGCCCTCTTGAAATTTGGGATTATTTAAAAATAAAGGCTGGGAGCAGTGGCTTATGCCTGAAATCCCAGCACTTTGGGAGGCCAAGGCAAGTGGGTCACCTGAGATCAGGAGTTCAAGACCAGCCATGGCCAACATGGCAAAACCCAGTCTCTACTAAAAATACAAAAATTAGCCAGATGTGGTGGCAGTTGCCTATAATCCCAGCTACTTGGGAAGCTGAGGCAGGAGAATTGCTTGAACCTGGGAGGCAGAGGTTGCAGTGAGCTGAGATCGCACCATTGCACTCCAGCCTGGGTGACAGTGAGACTCCGTCTCAAAAAAAAAAGATCCTTTTTCCAAATCAGGTCACATTCTCAGGGCCTGGCGTTAGGATGTGGACATACCTTTTTGTGAGCCATGATTCAACTCACTACAGTGACTCTTATTTTAATCTGAGCAACTGTAAAGATGAACTTGCCATTAACTGAGATGGAGAAGAATGCCAGTTTGGGAGAGAAGTCCAGGAGCTCGGTGCTGGACATGTCAGGGTTGAGATGCTTGTCTGACATCCAGTGGAGCTGATGAGTGGGCAGCTGGGTGAATAAGCCTGAAGCTTGGGACAGAAGTATGGGTTGGAGATGGAAATACGAAGGTTCCCAGATGTGGACAGCATCTAAAGCCACGGACCCATGGTCTCAACCAGGGGAGGAGTGTGGACAGAGGAGAAAAACATCAGGGACTGAGCCCTGGGGCACACCAGGATTCAGAGGACCCAGCCAAGAGACTGAGAAGGAGCAGCCGGGGAGAGAGGAGGCAAAACAGCAGAGTGTGAGGTCCTAGAAGGCAAGGGAGGGAACTGCTTTAAGGAGAAAGGAGTGATCAACTCACAGTAGCAAATTTTCAGAACTGGGCATTCAAGTAAAAGTTGAAATTTCCTATGCAGTTTCCTGTAACAAGATTGTGCACTTTTCATGTCACTCCCCTCTTATGATGTGGGAAAGGCAGTGACATCTGCTTAAAATCATCACTAATACCCTTATGTTATAATGAAGCATATTTTCAAAGCGTGTCGTTACCATTTTTATCAGCATAGCTTTTCCTTGGTTCCATGTTCTATGTCTACAACTCAGAAGGGAAAGAAAGGCACATGTTTCAGCCCCACATGGGGTCAGGAGAGACTGTTATGACTGAGTCCTGAGCTGCTGTTGCCTGGAGTCACACCATTTTCCTAATTTTTAGTTCCTGCGGTAAAAGTCTTGTCCTTAACAGCAGCGGGGGCTGTGTGAGGAAAATCAATCAGGGAAACTGTTTTAAAAGGTTTTAAATGATTACCAGAGCATAGTATAATCACTTCAGGAACCAAGACAACAATTTGACAAGTGAAAAACTCCCCAAATTCCACTGGCTTGCCTGAAAGCCTGTTACAAAAAAACAAACATCTGACAAATCAATCAATCTAGCTTAAACATCCAAACAGAGGGCTTTGTCACTGAGTGAGGGAGAAGCAGCATGAGATGACTGGGTGGGTTTTCCACCAAATGGACATCCAGAAGAGACAACTTAAATCTTGAGCTGTTTGGGAGGTTTTTAGTGAATGATAATGAATGGTTAAATTAGAGAACTGAGTGCTAAATCCTGAAGAATAAATATGTTTTGTGGAAATTGTTTTTGTGTCTCTGCAGCCAAAATATCTCAGGCTTCACTCATCTGTGACCACAAATGCAATTGCATCAATATTAATATCCAAATCTCTATGACTCACAGCCTCCACCAGCTTGACTTCAAAATCCCCCTCCCTTAAGTGTATTTGGGAATCCTCAGGGTGTGTACTGTATTTATAGTGTCCCTAAACTTGCATGCCTGGCCAAGAAGGGACTCAGCCCCCACCCCAGAGAAGCCTGTCCAAGCTGATGGCCTCTAGTGGCCTCTCTGCCCACCTGGAGTCACTTGTCCACCTGGGTGCCCACAGGGCTGTATCTCACATCTGACGCCTGTGGAGCTGGGACTACTCTGAAACTCCACCTAGGAGACAAGCCTCATCTCCCTTGTGAAGTAAGAACACTCCCTGGCTACTCCCAGTTGGAGGGTTGACAACGAAAGGTCTCTTGAGCCTCAGATGTCACAAGCCTTAGTCACAAGCTCTTTCAATTTAGGCACAAAGCCCTTTTTTTTCTCCCCCAGGCATGAAGTCGTGCTGCCTGGGTGGGAAGCAGTTCTGGAAACAGCCCTCTTGCAGCCGTTCTACTTGAGTCTGCCTCACTGACAGCAGGTTCCTCTCTTCCTCAGAAGGCTTCTTACCTCTCAGATATATCAATAGTTGTGAATAGATTGATGGGAGGAGGCTACCACCTAACTTTACTTTCCAGAATCTCTGAGTCTCCACTGTCTCCAGCTGGGATACTTTTTTTAGAAAGTCTTTTGTCTTTTTTTAAATTTTTCATTGATATGTAATCATTGTACATATTTATGGGGTACAACATGATGTTTCAACACATGCATAAATTACGTAGCGGCCAAATCAGGGTAATTAGCATATCCATAACTTTAAACTTTTATCATTTCTATGTTATGAGAACATTCAAAAACCTCTCTTGTAGATATTTTGAAATATACAATACATTATTGTTCATTCTACCCATCCTACTGTGCAAGAAAAAATTGTATTAAGGATTGAAAATGTTCTGTCTATAATGATAGCCCAGTAGACTATTTTCAATTCTAGCAAAAGACAGAAATTGTAGGGAAATAGAAGCAGCAGTCAAAACCTTTTGGAAGAGATCCTCTGTTCCTGTTCCTCTGCAGGCCTCCATGCTCTCCACCTGAGGGAAACCCATGGCTTGCTTAGAGCAGAGCTGGGGACACCAGTGGGATTATTCCAGCCTTCACCCAGTCTCCAAGAACCCAAGCAAAGAGAGGGACTCTTTAAGTGGAGACCAGAAGTATTTCTTTCTTTACCCCCAACTCCCTCAGATACACACTATTTGGGTTATTTTGCAGAAAGGAAAGGATTCAGCAATCCAGAGCTTTTCAATAATCGGTCAAATTTACAATAGTAGTGTTAATAAGAAGCAATTTAATTTCTTTGAATATTTACTATGTGCCAGGCACTGTGCTAAACATCACACACACACACACACACACACACTCTCTCTCATTTAATCCACACACCAAGATTATGAAGTAGATTTATTATCCCAATTTTGCAGGAAAGTAAATTGAAGTTCAGAGAATTTTCATCGTCAAGACCGCACAGCTGATAAGTGTTGACTTGAGAAGCCCAACCCAGTAGAACTCCAAAGCCTGGGCTTTTAACCCAATACCATATTAGCTCTTCACATTCAGATGTAAATATCAATTCAAACTCTGGCTGGAAAAAGAAAAGCCCTTCACAAAACACTATTTTATTACAAAAAAAAAATTTTTTTAGAGATAGGGTCTCACTATGTTGCCCAGGCTGGTCTTGAACTCCTGGGCTCAAGTGATCCTCCCGCCTTGGCCTCCCGAAGGATTGCAAGCACATGTCACTGAGCCTATACATAAAACACGATTTTATTGAGTTCCTGTGGACATTATTGCAGTTTGGTCTGTGTTCCATGAAGACTAGTGTGAGTGAGAAAAACACACATCCTGGGGCAGATCCTTGCAAGTTGTGATGCTAGGAGGCCTTAGGAGATCTCATTTCCCTGAAGCCTCCATATCTCCAATGACTGAAAAACGTGAAGTTGCTTGGCGTACAACTCTCTAGGGAGAGCCATGTATGGTGCAGAGCTCTTCCCAAAAGTCTGGAGGCTCTGGTTTTACTTGATTCAGTGGCTGTGTGTCCTCAGAAAAGTGTTGGTGCCTCCCAAGGCTTCCTCACCCCATATCTAGAAGACCAGGCTGAGGCAGCAGGTGAGGTAATGCTCCCACCACCCGCCCTGAGGGAATGTGCAGGAGATTGGGCGAGGCTGCTGAGAGAAATGTTCTATATTGCCAGAGGATAATGCTTTTTATTATTTCAGAAACCAATGAGTTTTGTCTCTCAGGCTATCACTCTGCTTCTGTTCATCACCAAGTAATTTCACTAAAAATGAACTCAGAAATGAAAAATAAAATGGCCATTAAAAATTTTATTACTGTACATGCCCAGTGGCTATTTTAAAATAAAATCCCTTTGAAATTTTATTATTTACATTTTTTCCATCAAATGGTTGGGATTGTTTGATGGATTAAATGAAACTCCACTTTCGAATTATGTTGCTTTTTAACTGCCAAAAAAATGAGGTATTCGTTTTTAGCTCTGCTTCTCATCCAAAAGGAACATCAAATTCAAGTCTAGAGAAAAGCAGTTGTGACGATTTCCTCCTTTTCTACAACATAATTGTATAAGAATTTTAAATAAATCAGTTCAGTTATTAACCTTCAAGAAATGAGGCAAATGTTAAAAACTAGGATGGCAACCAAGACTCACAAGCACCTGGAATCCTTGCAGGAACTGTATGTTGAAGGTTTGTGATAAAATGCACCGACAGAACCAATTCATTTGCATCGCATTTTATAGGATACTAAGTAGAAAAGCTAGTGTCATAATTTTATTATCCTTGTCCCTCATGCATTCTGCATTATGAATTAATGTAGTAATGCAGCATTGAAATCAGCCTGAAAGGAGTAAACATGAAGCTCAGAGCATCTTACTCTAAGGTACATCAATTCTGTCAACTAAAATTTACATCGTTGTGTTATCTCACTCTCTTGCCATAACCTAATGACATCAGAGGCACTGAATCTGGAAACCCTGAAGTGACAGGACTTGCCTCTGTGCTGCATGTAATACTTAGGAGAAGTAAAAAACTGGAAAGAAAACCCACCCCTTGGGAAATGGACAGCCAATGGGAGATTGCTTTGGTGATGTCATGCCTTTTCTCTCTGGTGTGTCCTTGGTTAAATAGAAACAAAGATAACAGTAATGTGCTCCAAGAGTTTGTGAATTCCTTCTGCCTGAGCAACTCCTAGCACTTTGCAGTCATCTCATTGATCTCAGGAGGTGAACATGATCACTATTTAGAGAATGGCAAGGCTTTAAGACGTGGCAACAGGCGAAAGCCCAAAACGACAGATGGGCCATAGCTGCCTCAGAACAGCAACATGACTCTCTCTGTCCCTAGGGTATGCCAGTCTCCCTGGGATGGGTGGCATTACCTGCATTTTTCAGTGATGGTGGGCAAGGACCACTCCAGCTAACAGAGGTGGTGGCGACCCTCCAAGAGTGAAGATGGGCTCCAGGGCATGGCTCTAGCATCTAGTTTCACTACCTCCAGTCTCTCCCACCTGAGCCATTCCAGCCTACCTCCAACAAAGCACAACACTGACCACATCTCTCTCCTGCTACAAATACAGTTCTGGCATCATCGCTGCAATCTTGTCTTTGCAAATTTAGTACCAGCTATTCTCTACCCACACTCCTGCTCCAGCCCAGCCCGACTATTCCCTCACTCACACCTGCGCTTTCCCACCTCTGAGCCTTTTTCACACTGTTCTCTCTGCCTGCAGTGCTCTTCTCTCTCATTTGTATACCAAGTCCTATCCAGTTTCCATGTGACACCATCTTTAATGTGTGTCCCCATCCACTTTTTCCTCCAAGGGAAAAAAACCTCTCTTTAGTCTAAAGATGTAAAAAGGTGCAGGATATGGTGTAGTGGTGCTCAAATATTTTTGCTTGTATATTCCTCAAATAATTTTCTTGTAAGACCAGAAATGTGTAAGGAGACCAAAATATGTCTCCTTACACATTTTAAATTAACATAAAAATATTTTCATTATCAGTTTAAATAGCTGCAAAATATGTAATTTTTGATGCAGTAGTTTTCAAACTTGAATATGTATCAGAATCACCTGGAGGACTTGTTAAAGCCCACCAGTTCTCAGAGTTTCTGATTCAGTGGGTCTGGGTAGGGCCTGAGAATCTGGATTTCTATAAAGTTCCCAAGTGATGTCAAGGCTGCTGGCTCAGGGACCACACTTTGAGAAATGCTTGTCTGGTATATCATAAATATCGACATTTTAAAAATGTCATATCACTCCTTTGAATGTATCCAGTGGAATCTAAAACCATAGGAATTTGAGAGCCACCATGATTTATTTTTAATAATACAAAAATTGGCTGGGCGCGGTGGCTCACGCCTGTAATCTGAGTACTTTGGGAGGCCGAAGCGGGTAGATCACCTGAGGTCAGGAGTTTGAGACCAGCCTGGCCAACATGGTGAAACCTCGTCTCTACTAAAAATACAAAAACTAGCCCGGCATGGTGGGGCACGCCTGTAATCCCAGCTACTCAGGAGGCTGAGGCAGGAGAATCACTTGAACCTGGGAGGCAGAAGTTGCAGTGAGCCGTGATTGCGCCACTGCACTCCAGCCTGGGCAATAAGAGTGAGACTCTGTCTCAAAATAAATAAATTAATTAATTAAAATAAGCTCTTCTTGACAATAGGAAATTTTATATTCTTTTTTCTTTTTGAACTTTTATTTCTATTCGATTTCTCCAGCAAAATATTATGCTAATATAAGATATTTTACTCACAATTTTATCGATTGCTCTCTCACATATCTCTGCTGCAAATATATATAGAAATTGAAATGGAAATTTATTTAAATCTCCTGTGACTATTAGGCTCTGAGTGTTTAAAAATTTTACTCTGGATTAAGTTATCATGACAATTAGTAGTAGTAGATCATTGGAAAAACTAACATAAGTATATATACATTTTGTGAAATCATTATTTTAAAAAGTAAAATTTTATTGAAAATATATCTTAATAAGATAGGACTAGTTTTTCTTCCAAATACTTCTTGTTGTGTTTTTTTGTTTGTTTGCTTTTTGGTTAATATTTCTAATTACTAGAATGAGACAGGTTTCTATATGAATTCTATTCCTACTTTTATTTTTTATAGACACAAGCAAGGAATATTGTTGACATAAGTAGAAATGAATCTTGTAATTGCAATTTTACTTAATTTTCTGAATGCCTTCCAAGTTCTCAATCAACAATCACAGTGATCTGACATCCAAAATTATTTTTAAAATGTTGATACTACCAGCTAAAAACTTGATGAGATTCTCCTTTAATACAGTTGAAAGCAGAGAATTAGAAACCACCTGGCTTGCAAAAAGGTCTGTTACCCAAACATTTGAGTCATTGTCTATTTCACTATTAACATCATTATTTCAAATTCTCCTTTGGTTGCTGCACTGGAGGTTTTGCTTTATTTGTTTGCTGGTTTGGGGTTTTTGTTGTTGTTGTTGTTTTCTGTCTTTTTAACTATATAGGACAGGGGTTGGCAAACTAAGGCCAGTTTGTACTGATCAAATCTTGCCTAGCTTGCTTTCATGCAGCCCTCAGGTTAAGAATGGTTTTCATATTTTTGGTTTGTTTTTTTTTTAAAAGGAAGTACTACTTCTTATTGATCAAATAAATTCTGCTTTCTTATTATCATTATTTTGTATTTGCTCAAGGAAAGCTACTTAAAGACTAAGTAAAGAACAGAGTTGGGAGAGGTAAAGTACCAACTTCTTGACCACATGTAAGGAGTTCTTAGACTGGCCTTCCTGTGTGTATACTTAGGTCTCAATTCACCACCATGATAAGGCCTGCTTTGGCATATACTCTAAACTCAGGGATGATCTCAAAATTATATCTTCTTTTTTTTTTTTTTTGAGACGGAGTCTCACTCTGTCACCCAGGCTGGAGTGCAGTGGTGTGATCTCAGCTCACTGCAAGCTCCCCCTCCCGGGTTCATGCCATTCTCCTACCTCAGCCTCCCGAGTAGCTGGGACTACAGGCACCTGCCACCATACCTGGCTAATTTTTTTGTATTTTTAGTAGAGACGGGGTTTCACTGTGTTAGCCAGGATGGTCTCGATCTCCTGACCTCGTGATCCGCCCGCCTCGGCCTCCCAAAGTGCTGGGATTACAGGCGTGAGCCACTGCGCCCGGCCTAGGTTTTCATATTTTTGAAAAGATTGTAAAACATGCATGCATGCATCCCCAACACACACAGGAGAGAGCAGGTAGCCCACAAATTCTAAAATATGTACTATCTGGTCCTTTCCAAGTAAAGTTTTCTGACCTCTGATCTAGGACGAGGAAGCCTGGCAGGAGTCAGGAGAGGCGGGGACACACCTTTACTTTGAAAAATGAAAAAATAGGCTTTATAAAAGGCACTGTCTTGATCCCAGCTTCCCATCATGATCAATTTTAGAAGAGTATCCATAGAGGATTAGAATCTGGAAAACAACCCCCTATCTATTGCTGCATAGCAAACAACCCCAAACTTAGCCTAAAATCATCACTATCATTTACTCTGCTCACAATTCTATAATTTGGGCAGGGCTCAGTGAGCAAAGCTTGTCCCTGCTCCATGTGGCGTCAGGAAGCAAGGCTTGACCAAGGATGGAGAGTCTGACTCAGAGGTGGCTCCATCTCACAGATAGCACATTGTTATCTGCTGCCAACTGGGATCTCAGTCAGGATGGAGGCCAGAGACTCTGGGCCCTGTGCAGAGAAGAATGAAATAGCAAGTCTGACTGCTATCCTTAGAAAGACCTGTTTGCAAAATTGGTCTTTAGCTGGCATTTGGGAATTAGAATTTGGGGAGGGTTCCCACCACCCTATCACCACCCTGTGTTTAAACTACTTCTACCAAAAATGTGGTAGGCAAGGAGTGCCTACATGACTAGCCCATGATAAGAACCTCAGGCACTGTGCCACTAAACCCTTTCCTGACAGACAACAGTTCACACATGTGATTTGATGTGGTTTGGCTGTGTCCCCACCCAAATCTCATCTTGAATTGTAGCTCCCATAATTCCCACATGTTGTGAAAGGGACCTGGTGAAAATCATGGGGGCAGTTTCCCCCATACTGTTCTCATAGTAGTGAATAAGTCTCATGAGATCTGATGGCTTTATAAGGGGAAACCCGTTTCACTTGGTTCTCAATCTCTCTTGTCTGCCACCATGTAAGATGTGTCTTTTGCCTTCGTCGTGATTGTGAGGCCTCCCCAGCTACGTGAAACTGTGGGTTCGCCTCTTTTTCCTTGTAAATTACCCAGTCTCAGGTGTGTCTTTATCAGCAGCATGAAAATGGACTAATACATGGTTACAACTGGTTGCTGGAGGGATTAAGTGTGTCCTGTGGGACTGCCTGAGAAAGGACTGTTGAAAGCTTGTGCCTTGTTTCTTCCTGATTTTGCCCTGTGTGCCTTTTCCCTTTGCAGATTTTGCCTTATGTAATTGCACTGTAATAAATAAACCACAACCACACAGAGTCCTGTGAGTCCTCCTAGTGAATCATTAAACCTGGAGTGGTCTTGTGGGCCCCCAACACAGTGCCTTCATATGGTCCCCACATGCCTCATGCCTCCCCATGAGGTCTGGGCTTCCTAACTGCATGGTGACTGGGCTCCAAAAGTAAGCATCCTGAGAGACAGCCAGGTGCAAGGTTATGTTATGAACTGTTATGTCCACACCTCAGAAGCCAGGCAGCATCACTCTGCCAACTCTTAGTTGAGATGTTTCACAGAGGCTCACCCAGCATCAAGGGGAAGAGACACAGATTCCTCCTTCCAAGGAGTGAGGCAAGACACCAGAAAAGCAAAAGCAAGTGGATGGGAAATATTGTTTAAGCCATGTTTGGATCATATCCTTAAAACTATCTGTGCCCACATACCCTTTGAAATACCTTTGAATACGTCTGGATTAGATTCCCCAGTTTGAGACCATTGGTACAGGGAATAAAACATTGATTGTTTTTTTTTTTTAGACAGAGTCTTACTCTGTCACCCAGGCTGAAGTGCAACGGCGCGATCTTGGTTCACTGCAACCTCCACCTCCCTGGTTTAAGCGATTCTCCTACCTCAGCCTCCTGAGTAGCTGGAATTACAGGCGTGCGCCATCATGCCTGGCAAATATATATATATATATATATATATATTTTGTATTTTTAGTAGAGATGAAGTTTTGCCATGTTGGCCAGGCTGGTCTCGAACTCCTGACCTCAGGTGATCCGCCCACCTTGACCTCCCAAAGTGGTGGGATTACAGGCGCGAGCCACCACACCCGGCCTAAAACACTGGCTTTTGAGTTAGAAATACTGGATTGGAATCCTGGCTCTGTCACTTCCTGTTTATGTGATCTGGAACAGGGTGTCACTTGCTATCCCTAAACTTCGGTGTCCTTTATTATAAATATCTATCTCAAGGTTGTTTGGAGAATTGCATGAAGTTATTTCTGTAAACCTGCCTGCGGGGCAAGGATGAGTACAAATCAGTTTCCCTTTCCGGGTTCCCCACCCCCAGCATTCTATCTTTGACTCTGCTGTAGCACTTATAACCTTGAACTTGGTCTAATAGTTATTTACATGTAAGTCTAACCTTCCTTACTAGAGCATAATCTCCTTAAGGGCATCAGCTGGCTCTTCCACTTTCGGTCCCACCACCTGTCCCCCTCCCCACAAACACACACATACACAACTCCTAGCCCCGCATCTTAGGCATTGCAGTCATTTGGCAAATCTGTGAGTGCAAATGTATGAACATTTTCTACTGAGCTCAGTTTAGTGTGGATCACAAAGATTGCACAATCAGGGCTTATTGTCTGGCTCTCTGCCACAAGTCCACCCAAGTCACCACCTTGAGTTGCATTGAGGAGAATGTTAGAGCTGTGTGCTCCACAGGAGTGCATAAGCATGTGCTCGCATGCTACACAAATGCCCAGTAGAAAGGCCGTGTGGCTCTCTGTTGTTGCCTATGACTGGGAGAAGGTAGAGTGTGTCTGTACCCCTTTAGCCTGTGAGAGGCTGTACGCATCACGGTAAAGCACTGGCTTTGGAGTCAGACAGTACTTCTCTGATCATCGACCTTCTCGTTACCTACCTCTTTACCTAAATGTTCTCTTCTCCCCAGTTCCAGTCTCTCTGTCCCAGTTCTCTTAATTTCCCTCACCAAAGCCTTCAACTTCTCAAATACAGCAAGGACACAAAGTTAGCTCACAGCCGTCAAGAGCTGGTGGCCTTTCGGGGCCCTCAGTGAGCCCTGGATGAGTGGCCCCACAGTAGAGCTTGGAGTAGACCAGCTAGCCAGATGGAGAAAGTGGTGAGAAGCTCAAGCTTGAATTGGGACGTACAGACAAAATGTAGCCACTTTGTTTTGTCTATAATTAGTCTGATCTTCTTCCTGGGCTCTGACACTGGATATGTCAGAAGAAAATTTACTTGAGTCCTACCATGTTTAACTCTGTTTCAATCTATTCATTTATGTGGGTCATTTTAGGGCTCAATCTTTCTTGGATAAAAATGCGCACTCCTTCAGACTGACAACTGTTGTAGTTGTGGAAATGTTCTACATCTTGATTGGGGTGGTGGTTACACAAGTATGTTTGCCAAAATTCAAACTATACACTTAAAATCTGAGATTTTATTGTATGTAAATATCTCGGTGATGTGATTATAAAAACCAAAAAACAAACTCACTCTTTCAGGTAGCCTTTCCCATCCCTGTGTCTCTTCTGAAATGGCTCCTGGTGTATGGGAAAATGGGCCCCTGTGTCCCTGGCTTGTCTGGAATGGGGAGTCTAGCCAGTTCTCCAACAGAAGAGGAATGAAGAATCCAGCAAGACAAGGAAATGGGTGAGATCCGTGTTTGACTCCCCAGGAGGGAAGACGTAGGGTTTTCCAGCTTGGTGTGATCCAAGTAGCAAAATAGGGCACTTTTCCCCTGGGTCCCAATGTAGCTGTGGTCCAGAGTTCTTTCTTTGTGATCATTCATTCCCTTATTGATGACCATTTTCACCTGTACCGCGGCAGGGTAACCAGCCAGTTTAAAGACTTGCTTGGCATCCTTCTGATGTGTTGATTGGTGTATGTGTCTGTGCTTGATTGTTCTCATGGTGCTGGGTGAAGGGTGTGACCCTGGCTTGGTTCTTGTCTCTGGATGCAATCTGCTGGTCTCTAGACAATGTTCCCCTTCCCTCTGGTGCTACTGGCTTCCAGTGCTGAAACTGGCAACTGCTAGTTCAGCAACTCCAAGGCAGGCAATGCAGAAACATGGCGTGGGGGGATGGGGAATTCCTCTCTTACCAACCCTGCCTCATTTCAGTTTTTGCTTCAGAAGCTTGGGCTTCTCACCACTTTCTCCATCTGGCTAGCTGGTCTACTCTAAGCCCTACTGTGGGGCCACTCATCCAGGGCTCACAGAGGGCCCCAAGGTAAGGCCACCAGCTCTTGATTCAGCTTCCGCACAATGTGGGAACTTAGGACAGCTCAGGAAACCTAACTCAGGGCCTTCCTTCTCCTTACCATACTACTTTACTCTGCTATGGCTGTGTAAAAGACTGAATGGGACAGAGATCTTGTACCAGGAGAGAAACGCCCATTAGTAATTTCCAAGCATGCACACATGTTATAGGTTCTGAGGGCTCAGGAACAGTTGCATGATGTCCAGAGTTCGATTATGAAGCTGAGGAATTTACTAATGTATTCATTCGTTGAATATTTCAGTGTATTTTGCAAGTTGGCACTGTGTGAGTGCTACACTTGGCTCTACAGTGGTTAGCAAATCTGACACAGTCCTCATGGATCTTACATAAGAGGAAAAAACTGACAACCAAATGATCACACAAATGAGTAACTACACAGTATGCAATGCTCCACAAAAGGAGGGTCATGGTGCTATCTTCACGAGAATATAAGCACCACAGTGGTTTTCTTTATTTTGTTCATTGATGTACCTAGAATGGGGCCTCACACATATTAAGTGCTAAATAAGTATTTGTTGAATGAATGAATAAATAAATGCATGAAAGCTATGAGATTACTTCTGAGAGGTCGGGGATGAATTCCTGAGGCAGTGTTATTTTGGCTGATGTTAAAGAGAAAAAAAAATTCTTAGTTCGAATTCTGCTAGATAAATTTATATTAACCAAACTCTCAGAGGACTAATTTATACAATAGGAAACATTTATTATTTTGTAGTGGAAGATAGATCTGATTTAATATTTCCCTAGAGAATATCTCCCCAAAAATGCCAAGGGGAACTATCTTTGGTATTACTGAAATTCTGAAGAGATGAGCAGTACTTAGAGACCTCTCAGGGAGCCCAATTAATTATCAGAACACTAATTTAGAAGAAGTTTGAATTAGTAAAATGGTAAATAAACAGATTAAAGAGATATTCATACAAGTCATTTATACAACTGACATGAAACCACTTTCCCACTCCGGGCATTTCAGGGCATTCCTGAGTCATCATCACAGCTCTCCCGTCTTTGGGTTGTGCTGGGGAGTCACCTTGTCCTAGATTATGAGTGAGGAACTGCATTTTTATGAAATGCCAGGGCCCTATTATTTTGCTTTTGACTGTCCATTACTTATTCTCATCAGGGCAAGGCAGTCTTCTCCTTCTTGAGCTTGTGCCTATTTTACCTTTCTCCTAGTTCCTGGCATTCTCTCTTTTTTTTTTTTTTTTTTCTTCCTTGAGATGGAGTCTTGCTCTGTCACCCAGGCTGGAGTGCAATGCTGCAATCTCGGCTCACTGCAACCTCCGCCTCCTGGGTTCAAGCGATTTTCCTGCCTCAGCCTCCTGAGTAGCTGGGATTACAGGCGCATGCCACCACGCCTGGCTAATTTTTTGTGTTTTTAGTAGAGACGGGGTTTCACCCTGTTGGCCAGACTGGTCTCGAACTCCTGACCTCGTGATCTGCCCGCTTTGGCCTCCCAAAGCTGGAATTACAGGTGTGAGCCACCTCGCCCGGCCTGGCATTCTTTTAACTCAAGATCCACGAGGGCTTTCATGTGCCTCTTACAGCAAGACCCCCATGCATCCATCTGCTTTCTCTGGGTAATGTGTCTGTTTCTCTATGGATGTGTTTGTTGTTTCTGTGTGGCTCTCTCAACATCTGCATGAATGGGCATTTAAATGTATGGGTTTAGAGTCTGATTGCAATGTTTTGCCCCTGACTTCACAAGCTCACGTGAGCATCAGTCTCACTTGTGAGGCACACTGCCCAGTGGTGGATACATGCAGTACACGTCAGGGTGTGGAAGTGTGCATACATGGATTTACTATCACAGGTCCCCCAGGGCACTTTGAAGGCTGCTGGCTCTCCTTAAGTGATAATCTGTTTAAACCAAATGAAAACCAAGTCAAGAGAGAATCTAGAAGGCTGGGCTCCAGTTGGATTCCAGAGAATCCATCATTTGCTGAGCATGGAGAAAAGAAGAGAATGAGTTAATGTGAGTGCTGGCAGATCTCAGAAGAGTATTTTGCTCACTAAAACTGAAAATAGCCTGTGGAAGTAGGACATTTGAGCCGTATGGAAAAGAATTAAATGATATTTTGTAACAAAATGCTGTTAGGAAGGCAGGGGATCTCTACAGCCCCATCTGGATCTATGCACTCTGGATCCAAAGGGTCATTTTTAGCTCGTGAAACATAATAAAGCTAATTTCTTAAAAATGAAGATTTCCCCCATCTGCCTTAAAAAAAAAAAAGACGTTACTAATCATCTACTTCCATATCAACAATAGAACAACAAATTATTTCCTTCAAGCAGCAATGCTGTGGAACTCTTATGGACACCTAGTTCCCTATAATTTCCCCCACTAGATCTGGGAAGCAAGTATCAACAGAGCAGTAAGGAAAGAGTAAGAAGTCGTGGTTGTCTCAAATGGTCCACCCTAAGGCCAGGCACAGTGGCTCACACCTGTAATCCCAGCACTTTGGGAGGCCAAAGGGGGCAGATCACTTGAGGTCAGGAGTTTGAGACCAGCTTGGCCAACATGGTGAAACCCTGTCTCTACTAAAACTATAAAAATTAGCCAGGCATGGTGGCATGCACCTGTAATCCTAGCTACTCGAGAGGCTGAGGCAGGATAATCGCTTGAACCTGGGAGGCAGAGATTGCAGTGAACTGAGATCACATCACTGCACTCCAGCCTGGGCAACAGAGCCAGACTCCAGCTCAAAAAAAAAAAAAAAAAGAAAAGAAAAAAAAGAAAAGAAAAGAAAAAAAAAAAGAAAGAAAAATAAAAAGAAAAGGTTCACCCTAAGACCTCCAAGGTCAATATGTTGGCCTCTCTGAACTGCCCCCTGTGGCCTTGCACCTGCCTCCTCTTCCCCTCTGGGATTGGGCTTTGCCTTCTCATGAGTGTTGAATTATCTTAAATTTAACATTTCATTTTTTAAAAATGCACATTCCTCATGATGTATGGTTAAATCAAGTTTAGCCTAAAGCTTCCTTCTTACATATGTAAGTTCAGCCTAAAGGTTTTTCTGTACATCGTGAACTATAACAATTGGAGGTGTAAACCAACCGTAGCCTACACCTGTGCCACTCACTGAGTTTTGGCCAATCAAATGTAGCCAACTGTTCAAACCATGTTCAAATAAGGCAAACACAGAGCTGTAACCAATTCAGCTCTTTCTGTACCTCACTTCTGTTTCCTATACCTCACTTTCCTTTTGCTGTCTATAAATCTTCTTCCACCATGTGGCTGCGATGGAGTCTCTGAATCTGCTGTGATTCTGGGGGCTGCCCAATTAGCAAATCATTTGTTGCTTAATTAAACCCCTTTAAATTTAATTTGACTGAATTTTTTCTCTTTTTTTTGTTTTTTGTTTTTTGAGACAGAGTTTTGCTTTGTCGCCCAGGCTGGAGTGCAATAGTGTGATTTCAGCTCACTGCAGCCTCTGCCTCCCGGGTTCAAGAAATTCTCCTGCCTCAGCCTCCTGAGTAGCTAGGATTACAGGCACCCCCCACCACACCCGGCTAATTTTTTGTATTTTTAGTAGAGACAGGGATTCGCCATGTTGGCCAGGCTGGTCACGAATTCCTTACCTCAGATGATCCACCTGTCTTGGCCTCCCAAAGTGCTGGGATTACAGCCATGAGCCACCGCACCAGGCCGAAGTTTTTCTTTTAGCAGTATTAGTTACCTCCTCTGAGAGAATCATATTACATCAGGGCTGCTGCCAGTCCACATGGGACTTTTGGACAAATTAGAAGAGGTGGCCCTTATGCTTTACTTTCATCTGTTGAAAAATTGTCATAATATACTGATTCTGTTTGAATAAGACCCTTTAGCACCATCTGCAGGAAAATCATCTGTGATGTCTAACATGTGAACAGGGCTCTCTTAGAGTTAAAATCATGTGGCTTCAAAACCAAACAATTTGGATTCAGCCTCTAGCTCTGCATCTTCCAGCAGCTGACCTTGGGCAAATTGCTTAAGTTTTCTGAGCTCCAGGTTTCCCTACTGGTAAAATGGGAATAATATTTGTAATTATCAAGCTTGTAACCAGGATTAAATGAGATGATGTAAAGCATTTAACATTATGCTCATCAAATACTATGGGTTGTGGAGAAAGGACAGAAACATACACATTAGCAGTGCTCATGATGTACATTAAAAATAGGGAAAATGAGCAGAGAAGTAGCAGGGTGTTCATTAGGCTCTGAGGTCCCATTATCCCTAGAGAGATCCCCCAGCACAGGGCACAGACACACCATGGAAAGATCCCAAGAGTGGGAAACCATCTTTGCAAAAATTGTATCTAAGGAAATTATGATAGTGAAAGAGACCAGGCCTAACCAACTCCACCTTGCTTCTAACCTTTCAGCTGTCCTTGCTCATTCCTGGCCATAGGCCGAACTAACCTTGGGAAGGAATTTAGTTTATGGTTTGATTCTGAAACAAAATTGTTAATAGCCCTTTCCCCACAAGACTCCCTTCTTGCCTGGGGACCCGACTGCCTTTGCAGGACTAACAAATTAGCTACAAGATTACAAATTACAGTTTAGGGGTCTGGCAGCTTCTGGCTGCAAGAGTCTGAACCTCCCCAAATTGTTCCTGGGAATAACATCACCATCGTAAAACCTTAGATCAGTGCTTGAGAGATTTCGCAGCCGCTTCACTTGATGGGTCAGCTGACACCACCCAGACTGGTAATCTGGCTCAACCAGTTCTGCGATCCCACCCAGGAACAGAAGACGCAAGAAAACCTCACTTCAACCCCGCTATGATTCCATCTCCAACCTGACCAATCAGCACTCCCCATTCCTGAGGCCCTACCCGCCAAATTATCTTTAAAAACTCTAATCCTGGAATGCTCAGGGAGACTGGTTTGAGTAATAATAAAACTCCAGTCTCCCACACAGCTGGCTCTTCATGAATTACTCTTTCTCCATTGCAATTCCTGCCCTGATAAATCAGCTCTGTCTGGACAGCAGGCAAGGTGAACCCCCTGGGCTGTTACAAGAGGGGATGGGCCCAATTGTGCTGCACACACAGAAAGAGAAAAAAGCAGGGTGATATGGTTTGGCTGTGTCCTCACCCAAATCATCTTGAATTGTAATAACCCCCACGTGTCATGGGCGAGGACAGGTGGAGATAACTGAATCATGGGGGCGGTTTCCCCTATATTGTTCTTGTGGCAGTGAATAAGTCTCACAAGATCTGATGGTTTTATAATTGGGAGCTCCCCTGCACAAGCTCTCTTGCCTGCCACCATGTAAGACATGACTTTGCTCCTCATTCATCTTCTGCCATGATTGTGAGGTCCCCAGCCATGTGGAACTGTGAGTCAATTAAACCTCTTGCCTTTATAAATTACCCGATCTAGGGTATGTCTTCATTAGCAGTGTGAGAACTGACTAATACACAGGAGAACATCTAGATAACACTGTAGTGCTGGAGCTTCTCGAGCCAGGAAACAGCTTTGGTAGAAAGGGTAGGCTGCAGAGCTCAGTCTCTGGCATCAGCCTCTTTGTCCCTTTGGCTAACCCAGGCAAGATGCCACCAAAGGGGAGGAAATGAGCCCCTAGTGCCATGTGGATTTTCCCTCCTCTGTGAGAGTCACAGAAGAAAACATGAGGAAACAGAAGCATTTGCTCACCCAAGGAATGGGTTGAACTCAGCTTTGCCAGTTTCTATAGCCATGCTGCCTCAACTAACAAGTCAGGCTAGAAATCATTAAACCAGTTTAATTGAAATTAATTCAAAATCTCTTGGAGTCATAAATTGAAAAGGACTTCAGAGATAATGAAATTCGAGCCTATATTTGTAAACAAAAGTGAGACTCAAAGTGGGTTATTTATTTGGTGACCAGTACAAAGTGGCAGAGTCAGGACTTGAACTTTTATCTTCCAAATTCCATTTCCTCCTAAATTGCAATGAAGTGCAATTTAACACACAAGTCACAGAGATCCTATTAAAAGGGCTTTATAGCTTTAATCTAAAAACGTCTGAGGAAAAGAAAGTAGCTTCCAGAGCAAACCAAGAGAGCAAGGGAACCTAAAGATGATTGATTAATTTAGTTTAAAACCTTTGACTGCTGGCCAGGCTCGGTGGCTTGCCCCTGTAATCCCAGCACTTTGGGAGGCTGAGGCGAGCAGATCAATTGAGGTCAGGAGTTCAAGAGCAGCCTGGCCAACGTGGTGAAGCCCCATCTCTGCTAAAAATACAAAAATTAGCCAGGTGCAGTGGCACACACCTGTGAGCCCAGCTACTCAGGAGGCTGAGACACAAGAATTACTTGAACCCAGGAGGCGGAAGTTGCAGTGAGCTGAGATCACACCACTGCACTCCAGCCTGGGTGACAGTGAGTGACTCTGTCTCGAATAAATAAATAAATAAATGAAACCTTTGACTTCCATAAATAACAGGGAAAAACTAGATAATTTAGCAAATAATAAGGAAAACACTATTTATTAAAGCTTATGAGATGTAGTCAATATTTGGTCAAAGAAAAAGTCACAATCTTAAAATCATTTTAGCTTAAGAACAGTGAAGGTGAAGGAAGTAATTATCCAACTCAAGAAAAATAGAAAAAGAATATTTTTTAAAATATAAGGAAAATAGAAGGAAGGAACTAAAAATGAAAGAATATAATTAGTTTGAAAACAACGTTCAAGACCAGCCTAGGCAACATGGTGAGACCCCCATCTCTACAGAAAAATTTTAAAAATTAGCCAGGCATGGTGGCATGCACCCATAGCCCTAGCTACTCAGGAGGCTGAGGTAGGAGTATTACTGAAGCCCAGAAGTTCAAGGCTGCAGTGAGCTAGGGTCGCACCACACTCAGGCTGAGCAACAGAATGAGATCCTGAAAGGAAGAAAGAAAGAAAGAAAAGAAAGAAAGAAAGAAAGAAAGAAAGAAAGAAAGAAAGAAAGAAAGAAAGAAAGAAAGGAAAGAAAGAAAAGAAAGAGAGAGAGAGAGAAAGAAAGAGAAAGAAAGAAAGAAAAGAAAAGAAAGAGAAACGAAGGAAGGAGAAAGAGAGAAAGAAAAAAGAGAAAGAAAAAAGAAAGAAAGAAAAAAAAGAAAGAAAGAAAGAAAGAAAAAGAAAAGAAAGGGCATGAAAGAAAGGAAGAAAGAAAGACAAAATCAGTGGGATTGATTGATTGATTGATTGTTGGGAGACAGTTCTCCAAAATCTCTTGGTTTGTGAATACCTCAGGACAGGGGCAGAGGCAGAGGCACTGGCTGCCTTTCTTGTGGACCATCTCTTCAGGGACGTTTGTATAGCAAACAGCTTTGCAAGACAAAGAGAGGGTCTTTACCCAGAGCCAAGCGCCCAGCTTACTGTCCTTATAAAAGATTCCGGTTCCCTAAATTTAGGACTTAGATTCCTCTCCTGTAACCCACTCTGTGTGCAGACATTATGAGACTTTCATGATGTTAGGTGGAACTGGGGTTAGGGAACTGGCACAAATCTCTCACCTAGGAGACCACTGGCAGACTAACTTGTTAGCCGGCACGTAGGAGAAAAAAAAAATATCAGGCCCTTTGCAGGTCTTCATATGGATAAAGAAATCCAAGAGCTGGTTCCACTGAGGGGAAAAAAAAACAACCAGAAACAATAATAAATAATCCATTAACTGGTCTTGAACAGCGCAAGAAGACAGCTTCAACTCCCCATGATTTCATCTCTGACCTGACCAATTAGCACTCCCCACTCCCCACCCACCAAATTATCCTTAAAAACTCTGATCTCCGAATACTCGGGCAGACTGATTTGAGTAATAATAAAGCAACTCTGGTCTCCCACACAGTCGGTTCTGTGTTAATTACTCTTTCTTTATTGCAATCCCCCTGTCTTGATAAATCAACTCTGTCTAGGCAGTGGGCAAGGTGAACCTATTGGCTGGTTACAGTCTAATTTTAAAAACTAGGGGAAAATACAAATAGATTAACACATATATAGGAAACTATAATTCTTGTAAAAGAATTATTTGCACAACTATATGCTGATAGTTTAAAAATCAGAGTGAAATGGATAATTTTTAGGAAAATGTAAAATATCAAAATTCAAGCAAAAAGAAAAACCTGAACCAAAGGTTTTTCTGAACAGGCCAATCTCATCCAATAAACTGAGAGGCCAAAGCTAAGGTCTTGGTCTACTCAGCAGATAAGCCACATTCTTCCAGGGCCCACCCATTCACTTTCCCCTGGCTCTTAATCAAAGATTGAGACAGCCTCTTCAGTCCCCAGGCCCATGCTAGGCTGTGCTCCGAGTTGAAAATGGAGGTCAAGTTTGCCAGCCTTGACTCCAAACACTATAATATCATCATATGACCAAACTAATTGCATTTTTTTTACTAGAGCAAGAAGAAAGAGAAATAAAAAACAATTTTTATTAAATTATGTTGATATATAGTCCTTATGAGTCCTAACCTTTACATTTGGTGAAGTTTTCTTTATTTATAAAATAATACCTTTGCCCTGGAAATGCTGGCTCAGAAGCAACTGATTTTGATTTGACAGTAAGATCACCAGAAAGAGTCTTTTTGTGCATGTCAGTGCATTCTTTTGGTTTAATCTGCTGCTATATACAAAGACTCTTCCCTGTACAATCCACTTGTTAGAACAGAGCAGAGGGCTGGGCGTGGTGGCTCACATCTGTAATTCCAGCACTTTGGGAGGCTGAGGCAGGTGGATCATTTGAGGTCAGGAGTTTGAGACCAGCTTGTCCAACATGGTGAAACCCCACCTCTACTAAAAATACAAAAACATTAGCCAGGCATGGTGGCACGTGCCTGTAATCCCAGCTACTTGGGAGGCTGAGATAGGAGAATCGCTTAAACTCAGGAGGCGGAGGTTGCGGTGAGCCAAGATCGCCCCACTGCACTCCAGCCTGGGTGACAGAGCGAGATCATGTTTCAAAAAATAAAAATAAAAATAAAAAATAGAGCAGTGGTTCTCAAAGTGTGGTCTCTGAACAAGCAGCATCAGCACATTTTTGGGCCATTCGCTACTGTAATGGACTGAATGTCTGTGTCTCCCACAAAATTCATATGACAAAATCGTAATCCTCAAGGTGATGATGGTACTAGGAGGTGGGGCCTTTGGGAGGTGATTGGGTTATGAGGGAAGAATTCTCATGAATAGGATCAGTGCCCTTATAAAAGAGGCCCTAGGGAGCTCCCATACCCCTTCTGCCATGTGAGAACATAGTGAGAAGTCATTGTCTATAAACCAGAAAACAGGCCTTCACCAGGCACCAAATCTGCCAGCACCTTGACCCTAGACATCCCAACCTCCAGAACTGTGCGAAATAAATGTTTGTTGTTTAAGCCACCCCGTCTATGGTACTTTTTTATAGCAGCCCGACTGGCTAAGATACAGGGTGAATCAGGAACTCTGGGGGTGGAGCCCCGCAATCTGTCTTTCAACAAGCACCCCCAGGTGATTCTGAAGCACGCTCGAGTATGATAAGTACTGTAATAAGCTATATTCATGTGATCTCCTTTAGTATCCACCAGAGCCCACTTCCTGTTGGTTGCATCAACCCTACTCAGAAGGAAAAAATTCCATTCCTTTGCAGCCCCCCTCCCGCTATAAATAGTGAACACTTGCTCACCAGCAGCTGGAGTTCCGGCCCATCCTTGCTGGAGCTCTCCAGGCTCTGTGAGGCAGCTGCTGCAGAATACCAATAGCTGAAAGAACAAGGATATTCACATGTGCTGAAAATTTGACAATCTCTTAGGCCTTGCTCAGTAGAGTTATAAGATAGTTTTGCCTTATAGGAAAGCAAGTATTCCGCACCCCCTTTTTTTAAGTGATGGAGCCAATTCACAGCTACAGCTCCCAATTCTAGCTAAATGTGGGATTTAAAGAGGCAGCAAGATCCAAAGCTGAGGCAACAAAACTAGAAGGACCAGAAACTAGAATCCTTTCTCTGTCTCTGTTCCTAATTCACCATATGACCTTGGGAACATTAGGTAAGCTTTTAATTGTTTAATATTCCTGGATGTGAAATATGAGAGATAATGACCCCTTTTTCCTTTTTCACGGACCAGTATTTAGATTCATTACATGATCTAGAAAAACAGGTTTTAAAAAGAGCCACAGGCAGAGCTGGCCCTTGGTCTAGTCTCTACCCACCTTCTCCCAAACTCAGGGAAAGATTGGGAAGGGCTAGTAATGTAAAGACTCTCTCACTCATACACACACATGCATGACATGAGCCGTTAACCCAGCACCAAAGTCACCATCAAGACAAATTGGGCACTGCAGCCCTTGGCTTGTCTCTCTGACTTCAGCGGTATGAGGGAGGTATAGGGTGCATTTTCATGATTATCTTACCCTATGTTCACCCTGATCAAAATTTTTGAGCCCAAAATAGGGACACATAGCCTAACAAATTGAGGCGACCTATGGGGAAACTAGGCAGGATTTTTAAAATCAAAGGACATAGATTGCAATCCTCTCACCTCCTGGAAAAATCTCCCAGCACTTGCCCTTCCAAGGGTTCTTGTGATCTGCCTCCACCTGCCTCGCCTTGGGAGCACTTTCAGAACCCGAGCCTTTTCTTTGCTGTTCCTTCATGCGTTCCAGGTGCTCAATATGTGTTTGTCGAATGAAAGATAAGAGTGTCTGGATGGATTCTTCCCCTTTGAGGGAGTACTTGATGCACATTTTAGCCCACTTTCACCTGCTTGTTACAGATGGCTGCATACTGCTCTGTGTTAATCCCCACCACAGGCGCCTGGGGCCATTGCTTCTCAAGATGTAGGATTTGATCACAATCAGAAGCCTTAGTTGTTGCTCCTACAACCTTCTTTCACAGATAAACCAAGGCTCAGAGAGAAGAAATGACCTGGATCTATACTTGGTCTAGAAAATTCATTGTTAATGCATTAAGTTATTGAGTGACAATTGCTATAAAAAAAACTTGGAAATCTTCAGAAGCTAATAACGGATTTGGGATATAAAGGACATCTGGATATTGTCTTTGAGGGATGAGGAGCATACTTGCACGCAATTCGGCACTTACCCCTTTGTTACTACAATCAACTAATTCAGCTACAATCACAAAGAGCAAAAGATAACACTTTTGAAACTAGGGCTGATGCAATTTGGCTCCCACAGACCTGCCTGAGTCCTTTCCAGGATTATAGACCTCCCAAAGCTCCAGGCAAGAGGGAATGTGCCCTCAAGGGTTTCTTAATATGTCCCTCAAGGAACACAGCCAAGACTTTTATAGTTGCTCTTGATCTATTGCTTACTGTGCCAATCAGTTTATGAGGGAGGCCTTGGGTTTTAAGCATCTTTGTGTTGAAGAAGCTGGCATTTGGAGAGGGGCTTTCTGCCCGAGTAGAGGAATCATAATTAGGGAAAGAATTCAAAATTCAAAATGAAGGTGCAGCCCGTGCACAGTGGCTCACGCCTGTAATCCCAGCATTTTGGGAGGCGGAGGAGGGCAGATTACCTGAGGTCAAAAGTTTGAGACCTGCCTGGCCAACATGGTGAAACTCCGTCTCTACTAAAAATACAAAAATTAGCCGGGCATGATGGCTGGTGCCTGTAATCCCAGCTACTCAGGAGGCTGAGGCAGGAGAATCACTTGAACCTGGAAGGCAGAGGTTGCAGTAAGCCAAGACTGCACCACTGTACTCCAGCCTGGGCGACAGAGTGAGACTCTGTCTCTGTCTTAAAAACTAAAAATAATAAAGTTTAAAATGAAGTCTACCCAGCAGGGTGAGCCTGGGCAGAATTCTAAGAGGCAGGAGGCTGTCCTGTCTTTAGCATCTCCCCCTTCTCTGCTTATACTTGCCCTGCATCCTTCACAGAGGCTGTGTCTCCTCAACCTCATGCCTACCTAACACCTCAGTGTCCCCCTGGCCTGACTCCATGGTCCTCTCCAGATCCACCTCTGCCTTTGCACCCCAGGCTCTAAACTTAACCTTCTCTCCCAAATGAAAGTTGCTTCTCTTCTGCATTGATCTCATTTGTGCACAGTAAAGTGTTGCTATTTCAGATCTGCCTATGGTAGATCAGAAAGGCGGGTAGATGGACAGAGACAATACCTCCTCCTTTGATAGCAAAGTGACATTTTTGTCTATTCAAGTCCCAAAGGCCAGATTCAAATTATACCTTTTCCTCTGCTGATGTAAGTTACAGGCCCACTGTTGTGCCCTTGGAAGGGTATGTGCAGAAGGCCCAAATAAGTGATAGAAAAGGTCCCCCAAAGTTCCCCAAACGTTATTCTTCCATGATAATAGCACCATGATTTGCAGACTGTCTACCAGGCATTAGGCACTCCAAATCTCACCACCAGCCTATGAGGTGTTATCACCCTCATGTTACAGATGAGAAAACTGAGGCTCAGAGACGTTAGTGTACTAACTGGCTGTTGGTGATAGAGCTTGAATCTGAACCCAGGTCTGCTTGGCTTCAATGAGTAAAACAGGGACTTTGCTCTCTAGTGAAGACCAGGGACCATGAGGATAAATTCTGATGACCATTTGAAATCAAGACCCAGTGAGAGGCTCTGCTGCCAGCTAGAGCGGACAGGAGTGTTGTCTTGTGCTTGTCTGGGTGGAAGGCAGAGAACAGTTCACTGGAAATGAGACAGTTTGTAACATGTTCTTGACAGAGTCCTGCCTGAAAGAATGCTTCTCTCTTTAAACAAAACAAATAATTCGTTTTCAAGTTTACTCACAAACAGAACCAACTTAAGTTTTTGTATCCAAACATTCTTGATAAGTAACAAACTCTTTGGTGATAACATCTTGCAGGGAAGAGACTTTAGACAGCAAAATGTAAAACACTTTTCTTACTTTGGAGAATTTTTGAGAGAAAGAACTGTTACTGTTATGGGTTCAATTGTGTCCAAACCCTAACCCCCAGAACCTCAAAATGTGCTCTCATTTAGAAATACAGGCTTTGGCCAAGCAGAGTGGCTCATGCCTGCAATCCCAGGTGGGAGGACTGCTTGAGGCCAGGAGTTTGAGACCGGCCTGGGCAAGAAAAAATAAGAAATAAAAATTAGCCAGGCATTGTGGCACATGCATCTAGTCCCAGCTACTTGGAGGCTGAGGTGGGAGGATTGTTTGAGCCTAGGAGTTTGAGGCTGCAGTGAGCCAATATTGTGCCACTGCAGAAGGAAGGAAGGAAGGAAGGAAGGAAGGAAGGAAGGAAGGAAGGAAGGAAGGGAGGGAGGGAGGGAGGGAGGGAGGGAGGGAGGAAGGGAGGGAGGGTAGAGAGAGAGGAAGGAAGGAAGGCAGGGAGGGAGACAGAGAGAGAGAAAGAAAGAAGGAAGGAAAGAAAGAAAGGAAGGAAAGAAAGAAGGAAAGAAAGAAAGAGCGAGCTTGGGAGATGTAATCAAGTTGAAATCATGATTAGGGCGGGCCTTAATCCAATATGACTAGTGTCATATTGCGGAAAGTTAGACACAAAGACCGATGTGCACACAGGAAGGCAATGTAAAGACACAGGAAGAATGTGGTCATGTGCCGCCAGTGGCTCACGCCTGTAATCCCAGCACTTTGGGAGGCCAAGGTGGGCTGATCACTTGAGGTCAGGAGTTGGAGGCCAGCCTGGCCAACATGGTGAAACCCCATTTCTATTAAAAATACAAAAATTAGCTGGGCGTGGTGGCATACACTTGCAGTCCCAGCTACTCGGGAGGCTGAGGCACGAGAATCGCTTGAACCCAGGAGGCGGAGTTTGCACTGAGCCAAGATCACGCCATTGCACTCCAGCCTGAGCGACAGCAGCGACTCCATCTCAAAAAAAAAAAGAAGAAGAAGAAGAAGAAGATGGAAGATGGCCGTGTGACTGAAGTGACACATCTACAAGCCAAGGAAACACTAGAAACTTAGAAGCAAGAAAGGATTCCCCGCTATGGGTTTCAGTGGGAGCATGGCCCTGCTGACACCTTGATTTCAGACTTCCAGCCTCTTAACCTGTAAGAAAACACTTTTCCGCTATGTAAGTCACTCAGCTTGTGGTACTTTCTTTAGAGCAGCCCTAAGAAACTGATGCAATCACCAACCTAGATTTTAAAATAATAACAACAGAAGCAATAATGGTGTGAAATAACACGTCCTCATTTAATCCTCTCAATAAACCAGTGAAGTGGGTATTATTATTTTCCTCATTTTAGAAAGAGGCAGGCCGGCACAGCTAAGTAAGGCTGAGAAATTTGCTAAAAAGGGATGGGGCTTTGATTTGACTCTGGGCCACCTGACCTGGAAGCCTTCTATGTTATACTCCTGCTGACACTGTAGAGTAGGCTCCATGGAAAACCTCAACTGCCTGGAAAGGAAACCCACACAACTCCCCAGCCAGGGAGGCCAATATTTATGGCCTTGTCTTATTATTTCAGTTAAAGTAAAATTGTAAGTAGCTACAAAATGTAACTGTTCCAAACACATTACTAAATAAAATGTAAAGTAGTTTTAAATTAGTAATCATCTGGGATTATCTAGACACTGCTTCCCACTATTAGTATAAATTAGTCAATAATTGAGACTCTGTATTTACAATACAGATAATAAAAGAAGTTATGTAAGAAGTGTGACAGTTTTCATTTTTTCCATTTGATAAAACTGAAACGTGGAGAGACAACTGACCTGTCCAGAAGACGTGGCTGCAGTAATAAATCCAGAACTAGAGCCTAGATCTTTTTATCATACTTTTTTTTTTTTTTTTTTGAGATGGAGTCTCCCTCTGTCACCTAGCCTGGAATGCAGTGGCACAGTCTCGGCTTACTGCAACCTCTGCCTCCTGGGTTCAAGCGAGTCTCCTGCCTCAGCCTCCTGAGTAGCTGAGATTACAGGCGCATGCCACGTTGCCCAGCTAATTTCTGTATTTTTAGTAGAGTCGGGGTTTCACCATGTTGGCCAGGCCAGTCTTGAACTCCTGACCTCAAGTGATACACCCACCTCAGCCTCCCAAAGTGCTGGGATTACAGGTGTAAGCCACTGCGCCGGGCTTTATCATAGTCTTAGTCCAGTATGCTCTGCCTCTTTTAAAAGCAAACTTGTACTGATGTATTCCACATATGCCTTAATGCAAAGAGAGGACATATGTAATACAATTCTTATTTTTCCAATGAGATTCCCCTTCCTCCAAATTAGCCTAATTGGATATATAAACTATTAGGATGTAGACAAGATTCAAATGTCTATGATATTTCAGAGATTAATTTGGTTGCACATATATATTACTTTTTAATTGACACATAATTGTATATATTTATGGGGGACAGAATGATATTTTGATACACATACACCATGTGTAATAATCAACTCAGGGTAATTAGCATACCATAACCTCAAACATTTATCATTTATTTGTGTTGGTGACATTCAAAATCTCTCTGATAGTTATGTGAAAATACATAGTAAATTACTGTTAACTATAATCCTACAGTGCTATAAAAAACTGGAACTTATTCCTCCTCTCTAGCTGTAATTTTTTTTTTTTTTTTTGAGACAGGGTCTCACTCTGTGACTCAGGCTGGAGTGCAGTGGCGTGATCTCAGCTCACAGCAACCTCTGCCTCCCGGGTTGGGGTGATCCTCCTGCCTTAGCCTCCCAAGTAGCTGGTATTACAAGTGTGTGCCACCACACTTGGCTAATTTTTGTATTTTTAGTAGAGATGGGGTTTCGCCATGTTGGCCAGGCTAGTCTTGAACTCCTGACCTTAAGTGATCCACCCACCTTGGCCTTCCAAAGTGCTGGGATTACAGGTGTGAGCCACCGCACCCAGCCTCTAGTTGTAATTTTGTATGTTAATCAACCTCTCCCTATTTTCCCTCTCCCTCTACCCTTCCCAACCTCTAGTTACCACTATTCTACTCTCTGCTTCTGTGAGCTCAACGTTTTTAGCTCCCACATAAGAGTGAGAGCACGTGATCTTTATCCTTCTGTGGTTGCACATATGTTTAAATCACACATTACATAAAACAATACCTTAAGAAATATAGCTTTTTAGGCCGGGCGTGGTGGCTCATGCCTGTAATCCCAGCACTTTGGGAGACCGAGGCGGGTGGATCACCCGAGGTCAGTAGTTCCAGACCAGCCTGGCCAACATGGCAAAACCCCATCTCTACTAAAAATACAAAAATTAGCCGGAAGTGGTGACATGTGCCTGTAATATCAGCTACTCGGGAGGCTGAGGCAGGAGAATCACTTGAACCCAGGAGGTGGAGGTTGCAGTGAGCTGAGCTGGTGCCACTGCACTCCAGCCTAGGTGACAGTGAAGCACCGTATCAAAAAAAAAAAAAAAGAAAGAAAAGAAATACAGGCTTTTAAACATTTGTATTAACTTATCAGGTACAAATGTAATTTTGCTACATGCATAGAAATATAGCTATCTTCAATCCCACATTTCCTGAAACAATTTTATTCAAACTCTTCACATACATCTTTGACACTAATGTCTTCATCACTAGACCCCCTTTCAGAATCATCCCATATAATTTTCAAGATCATACTCTTTTTCCTGCCTAAGCACTTAACATTCCATATAAAACACTCTTGTTGGAAATGTTACCCCATTTTGTAATTTGTCCTCTAAATTTAGATTCATCATCTAAAATATAACTATTTACTGCTATTGCTTTTAAGTGATATTTAGGAGTTCATTTACTTGACATAAAACACTTAATAATTATGAAGTACTCCTTGCAGGAATAATTCCTAACTGTGTCTTCAATTTCTTTGCTTCCTTCTTTACCAGTTCTTCTGGGGTACTCTTTCTACAAGCTTCCAAAATTAGGCTTGATTTCAGGATAATGGGTCTTTCCCAAATAGAACACTTCCTTATTCAAAATAGGAGAAATTTCAAATTCTGGAAAAACGTGAGAAATTTTAGAAGACCTCCTCTATAAGGAGATGGCCCCTGCTTTGGGGGCCTTTTAGGAGATAAAAAGCTTTTGCCTCAAAGTAGCAGCACAAATATCAGATATAGGGGGGAAATGCCTGAAATTACCATGTGGTAAACACCAACGAAACTAAAACTGAGCCCATTATTTTTTTAAGATGTAGTATCATGCTTATACTCACATAACTCAGGCAGAAGCTCTCTGAGGAACTCCATGAGACCCAGGAGCCACCCCCATCACACACTCCAATTTCGGCCTCATGGAAGACTTTCTATAGGTTGACTCCAGCCTCCAGAATTCACTGGGGAGAAGTGTGTGCGTCAGCCCCGCCTGCCCTCTGCATGCTGTGCATCTGCAGGAATGTTCCTCACACGGGCTCAGACCTGCCCAGGCCCAGCTGCTCCAGGACAGACTCGGCTTTCGTCCACAGCCCTGTCAGATGCAGGACTGTGGCCTGGCCATGACAGCTGGGCTTCCACTCCGCTCTCTGAATCTTCCACACCCCTGACCCTTGCTGCTTCTTTCTTCTTTGTTGGAAGCTGCTTTTCCCCAAGCACTAATATTCAACATAAACATTTAAATTGTATTTCTTATTCATTTTCCCTGTTGTGTTTCCTAGAATTTAAACGCATTTTGTTTTCTACTTAGCATAGTGGGTTAAATAGGCTTTTGTGGGCTAGTCTGGGAACATTGTTTCCAATGAAAAATGCATTCTGTGTTGGAAACAAACAACATACACAATGAAACTTTCGGAACACAACCTCTTTGTAGAGTGGGGACTGCCTGTCCTGCCTCATGTATCAGAATTAAAGTCTGCAAAGGTTCTCTTTTCAAATCTCGGCAGCTTTAAAAAAAAAACACACAAAACAAAACAAAACAAAAAAACAATCTGGGATGGAAAGGTAGGAATCTAGCCACATCTTAAAGAACATGAGAAACAGATGTGTTTTTTTGTTTGTTTGTTTTGTTTTGTTTTGTTTTGTTTTGAGACGGAGTCTCGCTCTGTTGCCCAGGTTGGAGTGTAGTGGCACCATCTCGGTTCACTGCAACCTCCTCCTCCCGGGTTCAAGCGATTCTCCTGCCTCAGTGTCCTGAGTAGCTGGGATTACAGGTGCCTGCCATCACGCCCAGCTAATTTTTGTATTTTTAGTAGAGACAAGGGTTCACCACGTTGGCCAGGGTGGTCTCGAACTCCTGACTTCAGGTAATCCACCTGCCTCAGCCTCCCAAAGTGCTGGGATTACAGGCATGAGCCACCGCACCCATCGTTTTTTGTTTTTTTAAATCATCCTCTTTCTAATTGGGGGTAGTGGTGGAGGGTGGGGGATGTAGAAATAAAGTGACATAATTGCCCTCTGCCTCCTTAGGAAAACACCAGACCTCTGAGAAGGAGGTGATTAAACCGTTCAGTCACTTGACAAAGATAATCTAATTAATTAATGAAAGGATTTAACACCCATGTCTGGAGCATTTGCAATGTGCTAGACACCCTTCTGCATATGCCGTGACAGCTCTGACATGACAAACAAGGCCTGTGGAGAAACGCAGACTAGGTAACAGAATAAACAAGAATGTGTAAGGTGGTGACAAATGCTATGATGAAAATTAACAAAGGGAAGTATTAAACCAGAGAAGTATTCAATAGAAGTGTGGCTGGGTAGCTACCCTTGGTTGGGTGGCCAGGGAAGACATCTTTGAGGAAGTGACTTTTATGCTGAGACCAAAAACCAGCTAAGAGAAGATAAGGGGAGGGGAATCCCAGGTAAGGAGGAACTGTGAATGCAAAGGTCCCGAGGTAGGACAGAACAAAATGCAAAGGCCCTGAGGTAGGATAGAACAAAGCAGTCTCGGCCTCCCAAAGTGCTAGGATTACAGGCATGAGCCACCACTCCTGGCTACACTGGAAGGCTTTAAGCAGGGCAAAGCCTTATGTGATCTGACTTGAAAGGCCACTCTCCTACCCATGAAGAACAGGCAAGAGTAGAGGCAGAAGCACAAATGAATTAGATGACAGCAGGGATGCTGGTGGCCACTATGTAGTGTACACTCAACCGTGTGCCTGGAGCTCCTTAAAGCCCTTTATCTGCATTATCCATTAATCCACACAACCTCTCTATAGAGTAATTTCTAGAATTTCCATATTACATATACAGAAAATAAAGTCTAGAAAAGTAATGTGCCTCCAGCTGGTAAGGTTTTTTTTTTTTTAACAACCTCTTTTTATAACTATATAAGTCAATAATAGTCATCATAAGAAACATTTTTTAATGAGCAAAAAGAAAAAATTAAATCACTTGAGATCACATCATCCTGTGATAATTACTATTAACATTTTGGCTTATTTTTACTAGATGTTGTTCCATGCAAGTACATTATCTACTGTTCTCAAAAGCATATGATGCTTGCTTCTACACATTAAATAATTTCTAGATTACGAATGTTTACAATTTTATTATTAATTTTAAGAACACTGCCTACGAGTTCATTTTTTTTTTCTTTTAAGTAGAGACAGGATTTCGCCATGTTGCCCAGGCTGGCCTCAAACTCCTGGGTTCAAGTTATCCACCCATCTCGTCCTCCCAAAGTGCTAGTATTATAGGCGTGAGCTACCACTCCTGGCCTACAAGTTCATCTTGAATGACACTATAAAAAAACGGTGGCTTACACCTGTAATCCCAACACTTTGGGAGGCCAAAGTGGGTGAATCACGAGGTCAGGAGTTCAAGACCAGCCTGGCCAAGATGGTGAAACCCCGTCTCTACTAAAAATATACAAAAATTAGCCGGGCGTGGTGGTGGGCACCTATAATCCCAGCTACTTGGGAGGCTGAGGCAGAGAATTGCTTGAACCCGGGAGGCAGAGGTTGCAGTGAGCTGAGATCACGCCACTGCACTCCAGCCTGGGCTATAGAACGAGACTCTGTCTAAAAAACAAACAAACAAACAACAAAAAAACTGTGGCTGGGTGCAGTGGCTCATGCCTGTAATCCTAGCACTTTGGGAGGCTGAGGTGGGTGGATGGCTTGGGCTCAGAATTTCAAGGCCAGCCTGGGCAACATGGTGAAACCCCATCTATATAAAAAAATTAAAAAATTAGCCAGGTGTAGTGGTGCACGCCTGTAGTCCCAGCTACTAAGAGGACACATTTAATCTATGCATATATATGTATGTATATACGTATATATATGTATAGATATTTTTTTGAGACAGAGTCTCGCTGTGTCACCCAGGCTGGAGTGCAGTGGCACAATCTCAGCTCACTGCAATCTCTGCCTCCTGGGTTCAAGCGATTCTTCTGCCTCAGCCTCCCAAGTAGCTGGGACTACAGGTGCACACCACCATGCCCAGCTAATTTTTGTATTTTTAGTAGAGACAGCGTTTCACCATGTTGCCCAGGCTGGTCTCGAACTCCTGACCTTGTGATCAGCCTGCCTCAGCCTCCCAAAGTGCTGGGATTACAGGCGTGAGCCACCACACCTGGCTATGCTTATACATTTTTATAAAGTGTCTGAAAGGGCATATACCAGATTGTTTATCGTAGTTACTGTTGGTTGTTAGGATTTTGAGTGATTTTTACATTTTCTTTTTGATATTCTATTTAATATCTCTCCAATGAATGTTTTTCTTCTAAAATTAATAAAGTAAATGGTGATTTAAAATTATAGATTAAGACTGGATTTTTAAAAAATTAATGAAGTTCGGCTGGGCTCGGTGGCTCACGCCTGTAATTCCAGCACTTTGGGAGGCCGAGCGGGTGGGTCACCTAAGTTCAGGAGTTCGAGACCAGCCTGGCCAACACGTGAAACCCCATTTCTACTAAAAATACAAAAAAAAATAGCCAGGCATGGTATTGGGCACCTGTAATCCCAGCTACTTGGGAGGCTGAGGCAGGAGAATCGCTTGAACCCAGGAGGTGGACGTTGCACTGAGCTGAGACCGTGCCATTGCACTCCAGCCCGGGCAACAAGCAAACTCCATCTCAAAAATAAATAAGTAAATAAAAATTAATGAAGTTCTTCAAAAAGCATTTTTCTGTCTTCCATTTCCACAGCTCAAAAGTCATCTGTCAGCTGTAACTTGCTCCTAAGATGGTCCTCCTTATCCATGGCCAGCCAGCCTGCTCATAGTGAGCTTGTTTGCACTGGGCCCTCAATGGTAGAAGTTTTTCCTGGCAATATGCTTGCCAAACCTCCTGGACACCTGTACGTCCAGCAGCATGCTAGGCACTGTAAAGGATGGCACATCTGCTGCAGAGAGAATCTCTGCCCTCCACTCAGCCACCAGAACCAGAAAAACAAACTGAACAACTTGAACCCAAGAAGTATATCATCTCAAATAAGGGATGGGGGTCACTTGGGACACCTTCACAAAAGCATACCCCCAGAGACAAGACCAAAGCTCTCCTCTGCCACTAGAGGCCAGCCATGTATACGCTTTTGTGATTTTGTCATTTCCCCTGTGATGCAGTTTGGATGTTGTCCCCTCCCAAATCTCATGTTGAAATGTAATCCCCCATATTGGAGGTGGGGCCTGGTGGGAGGTGGTTGGATCATGGGGGTGGATTTCTCATGAATGGTTTAGCACCATCATTCTGGTGCTGTCCTCATGATAGTGAGTGAGTTTTCAAGAGATGTGGTCGTTTAAGTGTGTAGCACCTTCTGCCTCTCTCTCTTGCTCCTGCTCTGTCCATGTGACTGCCTGCTCCCCCTTCACCTTCTGCCATGATTGTAAGTTTGCTGAGGCCTCCCCAGAAGCTGAGCAGATGCCATCATTCTTACTGTGTAGCCTGCAGAGCCATGATCCAATTAAATCTCTTTTCTTTCTAAATTACCTGGTCTCAGGTATTTCTTTACAGCAATGTGAGAACAGATTAACACACTCCATAAGTCCATCTTGTATGGCACCATAAAACTGATGTAGAGCTTCTTTAAGAACTTTTCCTTTACTCAATAATCTAGAATTATTTCTCCAAAACTGTCCTGTTACTTCCATTTCCTCTATCTGTGCCTTTTCATGGTTTGCACAGCTGTGGTTCCAATCCCACTCTCACTACTTATGTGACTCCAGACAAGTTATTTGAACTCACAGTCTCGGGTTTCCTCATCTATAAATGGAGATCATATTCTGTAAGGTCATTTTCAGGATGAAATGAAATGATGTGACTCAGTCTCCTGGGAAACAGCAGACTGTCTCTAAATGCCATCTCTTGTTGCTTCACCCCTGCCCTCCGATGCCCACCCTCTGAGGAGTCTTGTCACTCTGCATGAAGTGTGAAGTATGGCTGAAGACCCAATGGGCCTTGATTTGAGCCTCATTTGGCCACATTTCAGTTGTGGGATCCTGGGAGAGTCCTTAAACATCTCTGGTCTTGGGGATGAATTATTGTGTGGTGCAAATGAGCTCAGAGATGCCAAATTACATTCCATTCAGGATACATTCCATTCACGATAAACCTTTCCAAATACTTGAAAGGTATATGTCAGCAATAAAAATAGCCCCTTAGATGAAAATGAGCCTATAAACAAGATGACTCTGCTTGGATATAACCAATTCCACAATTCTCAATGCACATTTTCAGAAGGATTATTTTGAAATATTAAGGAAAGTTAGTTGCAGATACTCCAAATTCTATAGGATTGGCGAGAAGGGAGAGATCACTGACTTGCCCCTCTCTCTTATCTTGTCTACAACTGAGAATGAACCTGACCTGGTTCAAATCACAACCTTTGCCACACCATCTTGGGGGAGAGCACAGAACAGGGGACACAGGTGAGGTCGAGGTGCCAAGACTTTACAGCTGAGTAATAACCAGGCTCCCTGCTCTGCTGAAGAACTCACACTATCTCAGACTTAAGACATTCCCCAGATGCCAGGTTGGGAAGTGATGCTTATAACTTCAGAAGACCTACTCTCAACTGGCATTTTTCTCCAAGGAGACAGTACAAGGCCTACCACAGGGCTGCTTTCTTTTTGGTCCTCTATCTTGAGCACAGGAGCATTTGAGCAGGGCTCTTTAAATTTGTCTGAAAGACATTCCAAAAGTTGGCCACAGCATCTTTTCCCAAGAATTGATCTATGGACTCAGCAAGGAGGATCAATAAGACCTTAAATGACCTGAAAGGACACGCCAGATCCAAAGAGGCTGCAAGACAGGTCTCCAGCAAATACATACAGGAAGGGCTGGCTTAGCATCAAGCACCTCCGGGTGAGGGCTGCCTGTAGATCGAGGGTTGTCATTTCAGTGCCAGGTCCCAGAAACACTCTAATCAACCTGTCTTTGTTTGTGACTGAGTGAAGAGGACCACATGGGTATTTTCATTTCTGGATATTGGATTCAAAGCCAGACAGTCCCATTTGGAAAATGAAGAGGACACTTTGCCCTCCATCTATGTTATAGTAGATGGAATCTGCATCCTCAAGGTGGCGTTCCGTTGCCTAAGCTATCATAGCAAAGAGCCAACCTCTCCACTCCTGCACAGAATAGAAATATCTTTGAGCTGAGTGCCCAGGAAAACTTGGATGACTGTATCACAGGACAGGCCACGTGGGTCTTAATATGTCTCTGGTCTCTTTCTCAGAAATCATGGTAGCCTAAGAAGGTTGGCCCACTGTTGATGGCTTGTGAAGCAGAAATGAGGTGCTTTCCCAAGAACTTGAGAACCAGGTTGCTCTCAGAAAGTTTGACTACCAAAATCTGCACACTCAATGGTTTTGACTAGAATTCAGTGGGCATAAACCAAGAGAGTGACTCAATTTGTGACTGAGAAGTTTGAGGATTACCTCAAATTCCCATTAAAGTGACTTGGCTGTAATGCCAGGAAGATAGAGAATGTCATTATGACTTAGAAAGTGTAAATCTGCCTAATGGGCTGTATAGGACGCTGTGTGGAGAATCAGGTTTGGAGAAACTAGAGCACGGAGAAAGAAGCTTGAAGCCTCAGAAGCCATAGGGCCCATCTAAGCAGAGGTGAGTGGGATGGGTGGGCAGCCTCATTCTTTCAGAACACTGTATCAGAGTATTTGTCTTGTGGACCACACAACTAATGTCCTTCATTCTACTCCAGATAACTAAGCAAACTTTTGGATGGAATTTGTCTTCTCAAGTGCATTTATTTATATAGAGAGATCTTTTGCCCTGACAGTGTGAGTATTCTGATCTGTCCATCATAATTCAGGCATACATCTCAGTCTCTCGGGGTCTAGTTAATGTGAGTCCACTTGAGGAAGGTCAAGAGCTGACCCTTGATGAATGTTATGACATTTGTGGTAAATAGGTCAGCTGGAAATACTCCTCTGCCCATCCTGGATATTGTAGTGTCAAAAGAGTATACCATGTACCTGCCCTCTGCAATGTCTACTTTTGCAGAGGACCAATTGCAGGACTCAATAATCTTAATTTTAGCCTAGTAAAGTAATTTTTCAAAAACAATTAGAGAAAATAATATCTATGAAAACACATTTGGTTTTGGTGGCGGTTTGTCTTTATTTTTCAAGTTTCTGCAATCCTATTGTTTTTCTAAAGTAATTTCTAAAACAGATGCCCCTTTGAAAACTATTTCCAATTTTTCTTTGTGTGTGTGTGTGTGTGTGTGAGGGTTTTTTTTGTTGTTGTTTGTTTTTTTGAGATGGAGTCTCACTCCGTGGCCCAGGCTGGAGTGCAGTGCAGTGATGCCATCTCGGCTCATTGCAGCCTCCGCCTCCCAGGTTCAAGTGATTCTCCTTCCTCAGCCTCCCAAGTAGCTGGGACTACAGGCATGCACCACCAGTTTTTGTATTTTTGTAATTTTTGTATTTTTAGTAGAGACAGGGTTTCACCATGTTGGCCAGGCTGGTCATGAACTCCTGACCTCAGGTGATCCACCTGCCTCTGTCTCCCAAAGCGCTGGAATTACAGGCGTGACCCACCGTGCCTGGCCTCATTTTTTTTTTTTCAATCATTTCACTCAGCAGCTTCACTAGGCCCAAGCCTGACATAAGAGTTTTCATATCCCATAATGCAAAAAACCCCAAGAACTCTGTGAAGGAACAATATTGGCCCAGAGTCGACCCAAACAGGGAGATCTGGGCTGCATCTTCCCTCCCCTCCCCGCCCCAGAAAGTCTAAATTTAGTTTACTGGATACCCTGCAATGACATTAACATGTCATTGCAACATTAACATGTTGCAAAAACAAGAATCAAGCAAAAGAGAAAGAGGAAGCTTAATGTGGCATGAGGTATTTTAATACCATGGCAACTGTGGTGTCTTCTCTATTATTTAATTCACTTCCTTAGGTCAGGTTATTCTGCCCTCTCTCTCTTGCACTTCCTGTTGCTGTAATCAAATCAGGTCACCCTGAATCTGTAAGTCTTCTTCCTGACTGCACTCATGTCTATTTCCAGCAGAATGAATTTTCTCCATTTCTTTCTTTGCTCCCTGGACCTTTATTTGGTGCCCTTGATGTCCCTGCTCTTCCCAGTGCTCCACAAGCTGCAAACGCTTCCCTTTCATCCCCATCTCCTCCCCCACCCGTCTCCTCCTCGCTGCTCCTCTCCCAGCCCCTCCCTCCAGCTTCTGCAGTTGTCACTAACACAGTTAGCCACTTGATTAGTGACTCAGTGATTCAGAACCCAGGAACCTTGGTTCTCCTAAAACTTCCATGCTTCCCTCCCTAGAGTCAAGATAAAGGTTCTCCCCTCACCTGCCTGCCCAGATAGAGCCATTAACGTGAGAGGACTTGAGTATTCAGTTTGTTGGAGTTGCCCTGGCTTCTTCCCATTTCCTTTTTATGTGCCTTTTCCTGGGGCTTCTCAGGCTCTATTTACCTTTTCTCCAGAAAAGGTGGACAGAGAAGGTTTGAGCTTCGAATTTATGTAGCCCAACTCTTCATTTACAGATGGGAAAACGAAGGCCCCCCCCCCGGCCCCCGCAGAACTGAATTGCCCAGTTGCTTGGCTAGTTCTTGGTGGAACCAAAACAGACAAAGCAAAAACTCAATCAAACTGGCTAATTTGGTGGGAAAAAATCTTGTGAAGGAGTGAGCAGTGCCAAAACGAGACTTGATGATTATTTAAAAGGTCTTTCACTAATTTTATCCTTGTCATCCTGCTGGCGGTGTAAGCAAGTGATGGAAACCAGAGCCAGGCCAGCAACCATAAAGCCACCAGGGCTTCTGGAGAGGCTCTGATGCGACTTCCTACCGCTGAGGTCTCAGAGGCTCCTCCCTCCCAAATACATGGAGACCCAGAAGACTGCTTGGGCCCCTCCACTCCCTGCCAGCGGGCAGGATGAGGAGTCAGTAACAGCCAACAGTAGTGAATCCCACATAAGTTCCACATTCACTACTTGTTTCACAATTCGCTTAGCATGCATAGCAGCGAATTGACAGAATTGTTTCCCCTAAATGTAGGAAGGTGCATAAAATACAAGAAGCTTGTAAAAATATATTTATTGCAAAAGTTATATCAGTCTTGTATGTAAGCACCAGCCTTCTCCAGGGAAAGACAGGGGTGGTAGAATGAATAAAATTAACTCAGTATTTTGACTGCTTGCTGCAATGGAAGAGGGAATTATGTTTCCCAAGCTGGGTATGAAGAGAAGGAATATAGCCTTGGAGGCAATGGAAACTAAGCCAGAGCAGCTTAGAAAAGTCACCCCTCCTCCTGATTCAAGACCAAAGACAGGGAAAAAAAAGTCACTCTCAGTGTGAACATGAAAGCAAGTCTCACCCAGCCTAGATGTTGGATGTCCTGTGCGGTCCCGTTCCTCCCTGGTAGAGCTTGTTCTGTCTCACTGGGATCTGCCAAGTTAGGAGCTGAGCCACACTACTTCTGCTGCTGCTGTTGCTGCTGCACATTGTTTGTGATTAAGAGTTTTATTGATTTTCTAGCCCATGACCACATTGGTGGGGACAGAGTACGACAGGGGAAACTGGTGGAAAGCCAAGTAGAAAGAGAGTTTATGAAATCAGCTCTCAATGAAGAAAACTGTGGGAAAGAATGCGATGGAAGCAGATTTGGGGCCAGTCGATGTGGGAAAGTAGAACAACTCAAAAATGCTCTTCAGATTTGAACTGAAACAAAGCACTTTGCCAAAACATAGGAGGAGAATCCAGTCTGTGAGAAAGCCTCAGCACTGTTTATATAAAACAGAATATTCCTATCTGCAAAATCATTGCTGACAATGCTTAACCCACATTCTGTACCAGGCACTGTGTTGTGTTCTAGGACCATAAATAAGAATCAGTCCGTCTAGAGAAGGAGACTCGAAACATACACAACATGATTTGTAAAGATACAAGTGGATCTTAAGAGAGTCATAAAAACATTTTGCCCCAGCTTTGGGCCCAGAGCCAGCAGGAATGAATGGTGGGGGAAGAGGGATGGGACTGTGTCCCTGCTGCTGCCTGCCTCATGTGCAGATCTGGTGAAGGTTCTCTGTAGTTTGACCCCGCATCACTACTGACTTTGCTAGAAAGACCCTGCTCCCTTCCTGTCCCTGCCTCTTGTAGGTCCAGAGGACCCCTGCTTCACCGACGGCGGGGGCCGGGGTTGGGGGGTGCCGTAGGCAGGGTTTCAGGTGTTCTCAAGGTAGTAGGTAGAAAGGGAGCGCTTGACAGTTTGGGTGCTTAGTACAGGCTGGGAAAACCTCACAGCACCAAGGGGACAGTTGGACACTTGCAACATGATTCCTCCCCTCTCCTTCACTCCCACACGTACCCACCCACCATGAAACTGTGTCTTCTGTACGTCTTGAGAGATTTCTTCCAGCCTCCCAGCCCTGCCTCACTGCCTTTGAGTAAGAGAATAAAGTCTTTTTGCTGCTTCCTTCAGCTTTCAGCATTGTTTTTCACCCTGAAAATCAACTGGAAACTGGGGAAGACGAGTATCTGGTATGTTTTAGTGCACCAGTATAATATGCAAGGGAGGGGGTGATATGTAAAAAGGTTAAATGAGAAAAAATATCATATAATTCAAAACCAGTGAGTGACCGAGCTCAGTAAATGATGGCTTTTTAAAAATCAGATATAAAATCCTGTTTCTGTGGTTCATGTTTGAAAATGATGTAACCTAAAGTGGCTCTTTCATCTTCCACTGCACGTACACCTTCTCTGTTTAGCCTTGGACTCCCAGTATCTGCACTGGAGGACTTTAAGGAGGTCAAACCTAAGCCAAGAGACTTCAGAGAGGTATAGACTAAGCTAGAGGGTGTCTTGCTTGAGCCAAAGAACCTCAGAGTGCTCTAGCCTAAGCCCCAAGGACCTTATGTCAATGTAGACTAAGCCTCTAATCTGGAGGAATTCAGGCTGGCTGGCTGGGCTCCCAAGACACCTCTGCAGGTGAGCAGCACCAGGACTCAAGTCTCCTAACTTCTGGTCCAGGACCCTCCCCTTTCTAAAACAGTCAAAGGGGCTGAAATTCCTGGAAGTGTGTGGGGCTAATGTCCCTAGCATTGTTCTCTTTTTCATAGAGGAAAAGCTGACTTTAAGAAACAAGCCGGCAATACTTGACAAAAATATCTACCATTTAAGCACAGAGCCAAAAGCAAGGAGTAGTCTCCTGGGCGCTGGAAGTATTTTGAAATCCCCAAAGTCTCATTCATTGATCAGAAAACAAAATGGAATTACTTTTTTTTTGCTCCCTCCTCCCCTCCATGCAGTAGCTGTTCTTGGCGGGTGCCCAGAGCGGCACCCGGTAATTCCACGGTACATTGTGTACATTTACATCTGTTTAATCGGCTATTTACAGTCGCCCTTTACCGCCACCTGTAAGAGGCAGCGCCATAACGACACTAAGTGGCCGGGCCGGAAGCCGGGTGCCCAATGGTTTTCTCCACTTGAGGACGCCTGAATCTGTGAAGTGGTTGGCACTTGGAGAAACAGAGAGACAGCTGGGGACATCACACGTACAGGGCGGGAGGCGCGGGAAAGAGGCGCGCCAGACGGAGGGTCCTTCCTTCCTCGTTAGCTCCACTCGGCGGCTCCTTTTCCATTACCACAGCAGCAAGGAGGAACCTGCCGAGCCTTCGGTGCGGCTTGTTTCCTGCCTGACAGAGAGCCCGCTGCCATTTGGATTTGATGAATTTCTGAATCACCCGAGGGCCTGGCGACCCGAAGGAGGGCGGGGAGTGGGGGCGCTGGGGTGGACCCGCCATCCTGCGGAATCCGGGCCAGATAACAGCCCCCGAGCTGGGGAAATCGGCTTGCGGATGTGATGCGGGACCGCGAGGACACCTGCGCTCCCTTGCGTGTCGCACTCGTGCAGCTCCCGGTGGCGACGGGGTGATGTGGGGGCGAGGGTGAGAGGAAGTCCAGGCGCCAGAGCGTCAGAAACGCTTCCTTAGCTTCCCTGGCACTTTGGAGGTTGTCTCGAGGGAACACGGACAGTGCACGACGGACTTTCAAGTTGCTCCCGGCACAACGGGAGGTCGGGAGCTCGGAGCCCCTACGGGCGGTCCAAGTGTCCGCGAGAAGCCCGCAGCGCCCAGGACCGCGTTGAGCGCTCGGGGCGCGCCAAGCCGCACCTAAGCAAAAGAGAAACGCTGACGGGCCGGAGGCGGGTTGGCTGGGACGCGGAATACGCGCGGCCCCGGAGCGCCTTTCGTTTTAAGGAGCCTTACTTCTGGAAAGGGACAGGGAACTGTCAATCAGCGAGGGAGGGAGCGCACCGGCGCTGGGTGATGTCAGCGGATCAGCTGCTCGATAACAAAGAGAGGGTATTACAGGAGAAAGTTGCAGCAGCGGCAGCGGCCAAGGCGGCACACCGGAGCCTCCGAGGCGAGGGGCAAGTGGGCGAAGGGAGGGGGGACGACGGCTGCTGCCGCAGCAGCTGAAGGCCAAGGAATTGAAAGGGCTGTAGGGGGAGGCAGTGCGAGCCAGCCCCGACTGCTCCTCCTCTTCCTCCTCCTCCTCCAAACTCGCGAGCCCCAGAGCTCGCTCAGCCGCCGGGAGCACCCAGAGGGACGGGAGGCAGCCGCGCAGCCCCGAGCTGGGCAGTGTCCCCAGCCGCCATGGATAGCGACGACGAGATGGTGGAGGAGGCGGTGGAAGGTACAAGCATTTCTCCGGGGCCGGGGGAGGAGGCGCAGAGGGCCTGGAGCGCGGAAGGAGTGGCGGGCTGCGAACAGCGCGGCGCCGGGCCCCGCGGCCGCCACTGTCCCCTACACGGGTGGCCGGTTGCCCGGCTCGGGCGGGGGCCCGACAGCCACGGTCACGCCGCCGGGAGCGCGCACTGCGCGGCGGGGCGCAGGCCGAGAATGGGGCTCCGCCAGGCCGGGGGCGCTGGAAACGCACGGCCGCTCCATCCCGCCCGGCCACAGCCTGCATCCACCCTCGGAGTTGCGAAACCTGCCCCGCGCTCTGGCCTTTCCGCCTTTGGGCGCGGAGGGTGGGTGCACTCCGCAGGGCAGCCCCTTGAGGCCGGCGGACTCCGCGGAGCAATCCCCTAGCCCAGTTTTGGCCACCCCGATCCCCTCCCGGCCGCCAGCCCTTCCCTTCTGCTGCCTCTGCGCCCCGCGGCGGCCGCGGCCCCGTCCGGGTAGGTCCCCCGGCGCAGCGCACGGGGCCAGACCAGGCACGTGGCAGCCGCGGCCCAGGCGGCAGCTCTTCCGAAAAGATGAAATCATTGTCGGGCGACGGACAAGTCTCCCGACCCGGGACTCGAACGTGCGCCGTCCGGGAGGCGGGCAGCCCTCCCCTCAGCTGCCCCCGAGCGAACTCAGTCAGGCCTCCCCCTCCCCCTTCCTGCTTGGCTGGGATGCAGCCGCCACGCTGTGCAGGCGCGCCGCGAGTCCGCACCGAGATTGCTGGGTGACACTTAACTTTCTGAATTCCATGCCGTTGGCTGTGGGTGATATCACCGCCTCAGTGTCGTGTTTCTCCGCCCCTTCTCTTCTACCGCCCCTCCCCCGACTTTTCTCGCCACTTTGTTTTGCTGAGTTTCTCCACCTTTTTTTTTTTTTTTTTGTTAGTTCTGAAAAAACGATGTGGGGACGTTATACAATCTCGTTGTTTGTATCATAGGATGTTATGATTTTGTAACAGCGAATACTGGAAAATACTCTTTAGCGTATTTATTTGGTTCCACTCCATACAGTACGTCGTGATGTTTTTCAGTGTGGTGTGGTATGATACCAGAATGTTTTAAACTAAGCATGTGAGTAAATAATTTTTAGCTGTTGGTTGAATCTGGTTTCTGTCTGATTTGTATAAACACAAGTTCTGACGAAGGATAAAGAAAAAAAGTGGCGACACTACAAATGCATAAGGATACATGGTTATTGTTACACTAGGGAAAAATCAGTTTTAATGTTTTCATAAACATAACTCCCTTTGCAGTGCTTCTGAGATCTTAAGGGGAGATTAAGCAGACTAATATTTCTGAACTCTTGAAAAGTATCCAATGTAATGCCAATATTAAAACTTATTTCTTCATCTAACTTCGAAGCCAATTAAAGACTGTGGTTTTTGTTAAGAAAATTTTCACCATGTTGTGAACTCACAGAGCTATTTATCTCTCTAATAAATAAAGCCAATGTTGGGGCTTACTGGAGTGAGGCCCAGATACATTGATTGAGTTGATCCACAGGGAGCCTTCTGAGAAGTTAAAAGTTGTTGACTTCTTGTGCCTCCATGTTGTGAAAGATAAAGGAAAAATGATCTCAGATTGTTAGGGCTTGCTCTCTTTCTTCAACGTTTACTTTTACTTGTAAAAATTAAATACAAACCCTTAATTGCTGGTACTGTTCTCCATGTTAAACCACATCCATTCCCCTTTGAAGCTGTTTACAAACATATGTCCAGTTGTCCATAGTCCTCAGGCTCCTTTGCAGACTGTGACCAAGAGCTTTAGAAATGGCAGTATTGTTTTTTGAGAACATCCACTGGATTCGAAAACAGGGAAGTTCATATAAACAGGGATGGTTTTGTTTTATAGGGTAATTATGTACATTATTGTCCAAAATCAGAACCCCCTTGAGAATGAGAGGGCACACTATTAATAATGATGCTGGGGCAGGTAGCTTAAGCCTTGAATGTCTGGGGCAATCTGGGACACATGGTCACTCAGTTGTAGCTAACTAAACAATTAGAGCAGCACAGAATCTTTAAAAGCCCCTAGAAGCATCTCAGGCTCTAACTTGCACAGTGCCAGGAGTGTGTGTGTGCACATGCAGTAAACCGTACCTGTGCGTGCACTCTTGTCCAGCCATTCTTGGCCTTTTTAGTGCTGTTTGCAATAGTCTTTACATAACATCTAACACTTACATAGGGGACTGGTATAAACTGCTTCTGTTCTTTCCCAAAGAGAAGCTAGTCTGAATATCTTAGTGTTTAAGTACCAACTAATCTACCTCTTTCCATAAACAGAGCCTCTGTTCTCAGTAGTTTCATTGTCATAGCTATTATTATCATTGCTATAATTGTTTAGTTCTTATTAAGTGCAGGCTCTGTGCTAAGTGTTTCACAGACATTATCCATTCAGTCTTATTCAGTCTTATGAGGTGGGTACTAATATTATCCTAATTTTACAGAGGCGGGAACTGAGGCATACAGAAGTTAAGGACTAATCCAAGAACACTCAGTGAGGTGGAGAGACTGGCTTGGACTTCCAAAACAGCCCTCCACCAGACCAAACTGTCTTCCTACATTTTTTATTTTTAATGAGTTAGTCAAATTTATGAAACACTTGATAACTGAGTTTGGAAGCAACAGTTAAATATTATGTCAGTGCCATTTTTTATCAGTGTAACTCTGTAGAGGTTGGTTCTGACAGAGTTCAGTGACTTTCAGAAAAATGTATTTGGGGAGAAAGAACCTGTGTCCTCTGCAATAGCTATCTTTTTTCTTCTTCATTAGAGATTTACTCTGGGGAAGAAATTAGTCTCTTCAGGATTGAGTTTAAATGTCTTATATATCATGTGCATTTGGTTCTCTGTCAGGGTATGATTGTAACTCTGGGAAAGTTCTGAACTCAGAGTGGACAATTCCCTGAGGTGAGGGGAGTGGCGGAGGCTGTGTCGAGAGAGTGTTCTGTGTACTGTGTTGGCTGTGCTCTTGTGGGAAGAAGGCAGCAAGCCCTGGGCCTCAGAGGACCTCAGAGCTCCACCTGAGCTCTGGTGTGGCTTTTGGAAAACACTTTGAGACACACTGGTTCAGTGAAGAGTGATGTTTAGTTTTCCAGTGTTATTCCCCTGGGCATCTGGAAACAGAAATTTATCACAGCATCTATTTCTTTGTCTACCCATAGATACAAAGATGAATATGATGTGGTCTCTAATATGATTTCAAATAAATATATCTATACAGATGAATTGTGATGGTTGAGAGGAAGTAAAAATTAGTTCCAGCTTAGGGAAGTCAAAGGGGAAAGATTTTCCAGAAGAGGTGCCATAGAGCTGAGTCAGGTTGAGAGGGGAACTTTGTGAGTGAAGACACGGAGGCATGGAATTCTGCGGGTGCACCCAGAGAACAGTCATTTGATTTTGCTGCAACATGGAGCTTACAAGGAGAAAAGTGGAGGGGAAGACAGGGAAAGGAGGCTGGGTAGCAGGCTGAGAGCATGGACTGTGTGCTGGAAGCCATGGAAGCCGTGGGGGCTCTTTAGAAAAGGGAATGACAGGATCAAGGCTCCACTCCGGGAAGAGGAACAGGCAGTGGCCAGCAGGACAGTCAGAGGGGCTGACACAGCAGATGAGGTACCTTGAAGTCTCTTTGCAGTGGTCCAGATGCACAGTTATGATGGCAGGAAAAACAGAAGGGCCTGGAAATGTGTAGGAGACATGGAGGAAGAATGATCAAAAAGGGGAAATATCAGAACAAGGGGCCAGAATGAAAATAAGCAGCTCAGTGTTCCACTGCCACAACCCCTTCAAAATATTAAGAATATTTTTTATTAACACTCCCCCTAATATCAGATTCTACTTGTCTCTGCTAAGAGTGCTCATGCCCTGTATCTAGGGAAAATGCATATGAAGTGTATTTGTAGCACCCTTTCTGTGTGGGCCACACATTAAAATCATGACCCTCACAATTAATAGATGAACCCTTGCCAACAATTACCCTTAAAAAAAATTATCCAGGTAACAAACTTTCATATGTACCCCCGGATCTAAAATAAAAGTTGAAATAATTTTTTAAAAACCTAAAAAATTAAAAAATTTTAAAAAGATCAAAACATCAAGTTATGTTTTTAAGAGTTGGTGATTGAATGCATCACCAGGAGGGCATGTTCTTTGCATTAAACAGAATAAGCTTGCCTTTTATTATTGTTGTTTTTTGTTTTTCAATTTATTTATTTATTTAATGAGATGGGGTCTCACTGTATTGCCCAGACTGGTCTCCTGGGCTCAAGAGATCCACCTTGGCTTCCCAAAGTGCTGGGATTACAGGCATGAGCCACCGCGCCCGGCCTATTAATTGTTGTTTTTTAAAGCAATGTTCTAGTGTACAAAACCAACAGTGTGTGCGTAGGGTCTCTGGTTCTAAGGGAAATACTCACACGCCACTCTCAGATCTCTTGTGAGTAAGCCTGAGACATTAAGCAGCTGGGTGTCTGATCCAGAGGGAATTTACTTTGCTGAGATTGAGATGTACATTGCTGCTTAGAATATAGGCCTGGCTCTTATCAGATTCAGGAAGAAGCTCCCTCAGAAGTAACTAGAGGGGAAAATTGTAACTTTCTATCTGTTCAATAGATAATGACCATAGAATAAAGTGAAAAAGTAGACTTGTGAACTGATACTTTTTTCCTTTCTCTAACTTCTGTAAATATTTAAAATCATGCTACAGACAGATACACAGAACATTAGCTCCGGCAACCTTAAAAACACAGAGCAGTCATTCAAGTTAATTTTCCCTGTTGCTTGGGCCTGGTATTCACCCTCTGTTCAGTGGGAACTCGCCTGGAAGGCTGTTGGCTGACTTGGCGCATTTTACAAATTGACCTCATGCAGAGCAAGGAGGACTAGTGTTTCCCTTCAAGTTAGATAACACTTGGAAGAGATAGGACTTTGCAACCGGGACATGCTGTTGGAAACCTGGTGGTTCTGTGTGAATGATCTTAACCACAAAGCCTTCTTCCACTTCCCTGCCAGGGACCTGGGGGTTCCTACCTTTTTAGAGGTACCTTCTTACCATCACCAAGGAAGAGTGTGTTCAACTAGTTTGCCAGTGTCTAGAATGGGAATTAAAGGATTTGGAGAAGGGGCTTTCAGTATTCATCAGCACACTCAGTGTGGCAATGTCTCTTGGGCAAGTCTCATAAAGCATTGGTGTCTTCATCTGTAAGATGAGAATATGGGAGACTGTTTTGAGGCTTACATTTGATAACAGGAAAGCATATAACCCAATGCCGATCATAGTAGATTCATACACTTTTTTTCTCCTCTGTTTATCAGTACCCCTGTGCATTAAATTGACTTACTGACATGACAAAATATTACATGATCTTATTGTCCAAATATTAATGATCTTATTGGCATTTGAAAAAGTTATGTCAGATTCTGTTCTAGCACTAATGTTGAAAGAAGATGTAAGAGCACTGCAACCTAGTCTCTTCTCTTTCTCATGGAAAGTCTCTGTTATTGTTTTGGTTGTGGCTGCTGTTTTAGACATAAAGTTCTACTGCTAGGAAAACTAATCCGGGATATTAAATATTCAGAGTGGAAGTCTCGAATGATCACAACCCTTAATCTCTAGTTCCTTTAATTGATCACACCCTAGGGATGTAAAGAAAACAAAACAAGCCAGGAAGAGGCTCCTGCTGTCGTCGAATAGATTTCAGAATTCTCTCACAACCAGCAATCTAAAAGCCTTCAGAATGATAGGGAGTGGTCACATGTCCAAGCACCTCCTTAATGTGCAAGGTCACCAGAGTAATGGCCATCATTTGGTAGCTCTCCCCTGACCTTGTCTCTCCCAAGAGATTAAGATGATGATAGGGCTCCTCTTCATTTGCCTGTTGAAAGGCACTGAGGCCAGGTGTGGTGGTTCTTGCCTGTAATCCCAGCACCCAAAGTGGGTGGACCACTTGAGCTCAGGAGTTTGAGACCAGCCTGGGCAACACAGTGAGACCCTATCTCTATAAAAAAAAATTTTTAATTAGCCGTTTTGGAGGCTGAGGTGGGTAGATTGCCTGAGGTCAGAAGTTCGAGACCAGCCTGGCCAATATAGTGAAACCTCATCTCTACTAAAAATACAAAAAAATAAGCTGGGCTTGGTGGCAGGTGCCTGTAATCCCAGCTACTAGGGAGGCTGAGGCAGGACAATTGCTTGCACCCGGGAGGCGGAGGTTGCAGTGAGCCAAGATCGCACCATTGCACTCCAGTCTGGACAAAAAGAGTAAAACTCTGTCTCAAAAAAAAATTTTTTTTTTTAAATTAGCCAGTTGTGGTGATGTCTACCTATAGTCCCAGCTACATTGGAGGCTGAGGCAGAAGGATCACTTGAGCCTACAAGTTGAGGTTACAGTGAACTATGGTCTCATCACTGCACTCCAGCCTGAGTAACAGGGTGAGACCCTGTCTCTAAAAAATAAAGGAAGGAGGAAGAGAAAGAGGGAAGGAGGGAGTGAGGTAAGAAAGGAAGAAAAGGAGAGAAGGAGGGAGGGAGGCAAAAAGGGAGGAAGGAAGGAAGGAATAATTCTTCATGGAGTGGAGTTGACATTTTTGTTGTCATCTCAACTGGGATCAGTACTATCCTCCAAGGGCTTACAGTATGTTATATGACACTTTCAACTTTCCCTAATATCTAAATTCCATTGCTGAGGGTGCACCTTCAGTGTTTTATTCAGAAATAGCACAGGGCTGAAGGAAGGTGGAAATTAATTTATATTGGACATTTTTTTCTTAGTGTTCAGATTTATTGTAATTCTCTCAATCTAAAGTGGAATAACACATTTTATCAAACATAAGCTTTTAAAACTCTGAAATATGTGAACTGTTTTCTATGGTGAAAGCATTTTCAACAAGTTAATAAATGCTCTAGTATGAGGCTAAACTGATTATTTGGATATTAATACCTAAATCAAAAGTAGGACACTGAATTTATATGCCTAAATTTAACTTGATCGCAACAACATTTCACTAAAAAAAGCTCTTAGCAATACACTGAGTGGCTTTTTTTAATGAAAAGAAAAAAGCAAATTTAATTTATTTCAATGAGAGAAATGGCATCAGATATTTAGAAAATAATTGTCCAAGTGATTTCATATGACTCAAATGTCATTGAATTTATGTCATGTACAATTAGTTTTTGAGCGAGAAGAAAGCAATTATGGCCTAGTTCCCTTCTGACCATTAATTTCCTGGGCCTTTCCTCTTTTGTGTTAAGAGGAAGGGATCCATATTGATTATGATTTATTTAAGTAGATGTGTCTTATTGTAAGATGTTCTAGGTAACCCATTGTATACAGAGTCAGATGTAGCAATAAAACACTGTAGTTGTTTGCAGCTATTTTATGTTTATGTAATTAATGATACAAATAAAGAGCATATTTATTCTTTTTATTGTTGTTGTTGAGATGGAGTTTCATTCTTGTTGCCCACGCTGGAGTGCAGTGGCACAATTTTGGCTCACTGCAACCTCTGCTTCCTGGGTTCAAGCGATTCTCCTGCCTCAGCCTCCTGAGTAGCTGGGATTACAGACGTCCGCCACCATGCCTGGCTAATTTTTTGTATTTTTAGTAAAGACGGGGTTTCACTGTGTTGGCCAGGCTGGTCTCAAACTCTGGACCTAGGGTGATCCACCCACCTCAGCCTCCCAAAGTGCTGGGATTATAGGCGTGAGCCACCATGCCCGGCCGCATATTTATTCTTTATAAGAGTGTGTACTTACCATCTTTTCCAAGGGCTAATATTCTTTTATCATGTTAGAATAAATTATTTGAGGAGACTAAAGCTTTCACTGTGGTAGTATGGTTTGTGTTGCCTTTTATGTCTGTGAGCCATCTGGAAGCTACATTTCAATGTTTAATGTCCCTGCATTAGACACAGTGTTTAATGTTTTCATACCTTTTCTCTCCATGACCCAGGTTATTACCCCAAGAAAAAGCCAGTAGAATAACTACTGCCTTCATTTTCACCCACCTCTGCAAAATCAGCTCACCAGAATGATTGGGAAGACACCAATAAGGTGATTCCTGGGTTTTGTAAAACATGTAGATAGTAATAAAAAGCATAAACATTGACTGTAAATGTCAGTATTAAACTATACCAATCTTTGACCTAGGAATAACCAGTGACTTAAAAGTCCATGTAATAACTTCTGCTGATGTTCACAATCATTGCTTAAATGACCATGTGCATACTCTGGCTCCATTTAAAACACAAGCCCTCTGAGACACAGTGGTGGACGGTATAGGATAAGGTTATTACTAAACATTCAAAGCTGAAAGATTTTGTAAAGTAAACCAGTAGGTTTAAGGTTAAGCTTAAGTTTAAGGTGAGAAGGACTCTGGGTTTCTGTGTTTGTACAATGAGCTATATAAATCTTAGGGCAGTTTTAAAGATATGACACTGTTCCTTGTGTGAATATAACAATAACAGTGAGATTTTCAGACTGGCTAGCAGTCCTCCACATCATATTATAGAATGATGTATAAAATCATATTGCATACTTAATGTTCTAGAATTAGATAATTTATTCCAAAGACTGTGTATGTGGCAATTGACTATAAAACAGTGGAATCTCAACCACACTTCAGTTAAGCATGAGAGATTGGAGGCATCAATTCCAAATATGAGGACTCTCGGGAGAGTACTTGGTAAATTGTGACATGCCCTGCAGATAATATTACTGATAATGACTCTCAGTTCCAGGTAAAAAGCAAGCTTATTTAAAGTTCATATTCTGGAATGTGTCTAAGTCTGTTCTGGACCTATCAGTTCACAAAGTGTACATAACAATCAATTTGGTACTGCTGGTGCCGATGAGGTGAGAAACTTTTGCACGCTGACTACCCTTTCTTTCCAGGGAGGGGACCCTTTGGCAGCTGGAGGGGAGTTGGGTGGGGGACTTGTCTGGCAGCATCTGAATGCTTAGACGTCAGATGGGAGGAGCACTGAAGATGTTAAGGTTTGCCTTGTGGTTCCCTTTCTCCAGGGCACCTGGACGATGACGGATTACCGCACGGGTTCTGCACAGTCACCTACTCCTCCACAGACAGATTTGAGGGGAACTTTGTTCACGGAGAAAAGAACGGACGGGGGAAGTTCTTCTTCTTTGATGGCAGGTAGCACTCACAGTTTTATTTTGTTCTTTGGGGGTACCGAATTATTTTATGTTAAGGACTAATACAAACGAAAGAATTCAAGTGGAAGTTTTTCTACAATTTATTCAATGGGTAAAATTAACCCCTACCTGTAGGCACTGCTTTGGTGACTGGGGAAGTCACCCTGTGGTTATGGGACAGCCAGCCTAAGGCTTAGCTCTTGTCATCACTGTCTCCCAGAGTGTGCTTGGCCAAAAGATACCAGATTTGGGGGCCCCCATCTTGCATAAGTTGGTTACATGGTCACCCAATTCTTTGATGGATTTCACTTGATCATTCCGGTAGCGCATCTCCCTGAAGTCACACAAGTGGGGATCGTTTTTGTCAGTGGCCAGTTTGCACAGTTCCAGTAAAGTCAGATTCACACTTTTTTCCAAGGGTCACACACACTCTATTGCGTTCAGCACACTCTCCCAGATGTCACAATCTGGCATCTTAGTACCCCGAAGCAAGATTCTGCCACCTTGTTGGTTCTTCTGCTTCATCGGTTTCTCAGCTT